>NC_000017.11:43810980-44435980 GCF_000001405.40 Homo sapiens
GGGACCTCCCAACATGACTTCTCTCCCGCTTCCCCCATCCTTTCCGGGAGTCCTCCCAGGAGCTCTAGTGGAATACAGATACAAAAACACACAACTGCCTGGAGGGCCAACTGGCCCATCAAGCAACGTACTTGTTGTGATGTAAGTCGGCCTCAAATGCTTGCTTAGACACAAAGTGATATTCCACTCCTTCCTTCTCATGGCTCTTTCGGGGCCTGGTGGTATCTTTTAAAGAAAGAAGGAAAGCTGGGCAAAGAGATGTCACATCACAGCACGCAGGGACAGCAGCAGGCTTAGGCACTCATTTGGGAGTTCACTGCTGCTGTGTCTAAACCAGGCACTTCCACCTCATTGCATGTCCCTGTATCAGGCACTGTGCCTTTCCAGGCAGGCGTATCACTGATTCACACAACAACTCTTTGATGTAGGCAAAAGGAGGCTTTTCCTTTTGCAGCTGAGAAAACTGAGGCACGGAGAGGTTCAGCACTGTGCACAGTGACCCACAACCAGTAGAGAGCACAGCCAGAATCGGTCTCTCTGCCAAATGCCCAGCTTATACCCTTAACCACTCTGCTAACTGACTCCCTGATGCTGTGTTTTTTTTTTGTTTGTTTTGTTTTGTTTTTTGTTTTGAGACGGAGTTTTGCTCGTTCCCCAGGCTACAGCGCAATGGCATGATTTCGGCTCACTGCAACCTCTGCCTTCTCGGTTCAAGCGATTCTCCTGCCTCAGCCTCCCGAGTAGCTGGAATTACAGGCATGTACCACCACACCCGGCTAATTTTGTATTTTTAGTAGAGATGGGGTTTCTCCATGTTGGTCAGGCTGGTCTCGAACTCCCGACCTCAGGTGATCCACCCGCCTCAGCCTCCCAAAGTGCTGGGATTACAGACATGAGCCACCGCGCCCAGCATATGCTGTGGCTTTTAAAGAATCACTTAAGGGACCCCTAGTCCTAACTTTTAATTCTTCATTGTTTTTTATTTTTTGAGAGCAAAGGAGCCACACATACACTTGACCCTGATGTATGCTTTTAATTCTTTAGTCAATTAGTTCTCATCTCCAGAAAAAGGAGACAGGAAGACAGACCGTCCCTATATAGATCGGATGTGTTTCAGCAAGGCTGGCTCTCAAACAAAAATGTTGAAACACATGGTGTTTTCTCATTGATTTCCATAACAGAATTGGGATGCACACTTCTGAGGAAAATCAGGTCTTCTGCAGAACAAGGGCACACACAAAGCCACACACACAGTATTTTCCAAAAGATAAAATGGGATCTTGAGGCACTGTGTCTTCTGGCCCATGGGAACCACCCAGGGTATGCCCTGTGTTCTTTCTGTGGCATCTTAGTCCAACCTCCGGTAGAGGTGCTAGGGTCACTTTTCCAACCATGTCATCCCCCTGCTTAAAAACTTGTATTTATCTATGGGTTACATTCTAAACACCCTAGCTGAGTATCTGAGACCTGCGTGATCTGCCCAACCTCTCAGCTCCATTTTCCAGCACACCATCCACACTAATCTCCCCGGTCCCCAACACTGCTCCGTCCCTTTGCACATGTTGTTTCCTCTGTAAAGAGAACTATTCCTTTCTCTTCTGCCTGGAAAACTCCTATTTACTCTTCAGAACCCAGCATAAAAGTCACTGCCTCTGGGAAGGCTTCCCTGACTCCCCCAGTTTCTAAAACAAAGGAGGAAAGTCTCCTATCTGTGGAGTGCCTAGAAGCAGGTGGGCCTGACCATCCAGGTACCTCTTCTCCAGGGGGTGGATCCAAGGGGTTCTGAACGATCAGTGTGTGAGCAACCTCTGCATGTCCTGTTTCAGTCCACCTGAAACTTGGAAGGCCGTGGCTCCCTGAAGCCCTCCAGGTCCATCACAGGTGTGCTGCCAGGATGGCCTCCCCAGGGCCACCACCTCCCCCACATCCCTGCCACTTCAGATTGGGCTGTGGAAGACAGCTCTGACAACCCACAGACTAGACGCTGGGCCCAGGGGCCCAGGGAGAGCGGTGTGATCAAAGCAAGGCTTCATGGTTGCTCTGCCCCAGAACACTCTGAGGAGGCCCCATTAGGGCCCCCACAGCACCCCTCTCAGTAGCCACCAGGCATTCACACTGCATCCCTCTGAGGCCAGGGGGACTGAGAGTGAGTCCCAGAAAGAAAAGGGGCAGCCAAGGGCACGAAGTGGGAGGCGGCAGGTGAGAGGCCATTGTGCATCCTCGTTAAGAACATGACTGGGGCAGGCTGCCTGGGTATGAATCCTGGCTCCACCACTTACCAACTGTGTGACATTGGACAAGTTACTTAACCTCTCTGACCCTCACTGTCTTCCTCTGCCACACAAGATGATAACAATCTCTCTTCTCAGGGGTACTGGGAGGGCTGACGCAGGGCACTACACATAAAAGCTCTTGGTGCATTACCTGGCACCTTCATTCTCCTCCTCCTCATCCTCCTTATCACATTCAGAACCAGGATCCTCTGCCCACTGGAGCTTGACATCCCAGGGTGCCCCTGGCAGCAGTAAGCCCCAGGAATTGGCAGGGGAGGCATCACCCAGGAATGTACCCAGCTACCCTGACAAACTGGAATCTGGCTATAAGGGAGTGCCGAGAAATACCACTCACAGGGCTCTGTGGCTTCTCTGACCTGCCCTCTCATCCAAGCAGAGGGCAGCGGCCACAGGAGTCAAAATTCACTGTGATGAGGAGGAATGCCCCCTACTGTGGGGGCCCCGTGGTGTCAGGTTGAGGCTGCCACTTTGCCTACAATGTGCTCTGGACTCATCTCCCACCCCAGGCAGGAACCAAGCAAGTGGTCCTCCAACTTCTGCCTCAGAGGGTCTCAGAGGACCACTGGGAGTGGATTTCTTCCCATCATGCCTTTGTCCCACAATTTGCCAATAGCAGGCAGTGCCTGGTGATCCTTTAAACCCAAAGTAAGGATTTGGATGGATCTGGGGAGTTAAGTCTCCATGGAATATTTGTGTGTGTGCAGACAAACACACACTCCCACATGGGCCCTCTTACGTGGAACAGCGACGCCAAAGTGCTGTGGGTTCTCAGCCACCACCTTTTGCTTCAGCTCGTGCAGTCGGGCTCCCAGAGACCCTGGGAAACAAGAAGAAGGCTGACCAGGGTCCCTGCTGAGCTCCCTCCCCACCTGCTCCAGGGAGGAAACCAGATCACTTCCTGGAAACCCAGGATGGCACCTACCGATCAGAACCACCAGGCGGGGCCGCTCTCCGGGCTGGTGTTGGTACCTGGCCACCTCTTCGTAAGTCAGCAGCTCCGGAGACTCAGCTCCGGAGGACATCTTTCCTTCCTGCGAGCCACCCAGTCTCTCCCTACAGCCCAGCCGGAAGCTCCTCCGAAGACCAGCTTGGGAGGAGGGGCAGAGGGACACCATGGCATTTGTCCCAGTTGTCCCAGGATCTCCCAGTAGAGACTTTTCCCACCTGGCCAGACCTGGAGATGGGACTGAGTCCCACTGACTTCTCCCAACCTCCTCCTGCTACTGGAAGAGGTTGTTCAGGAAATACAATAATAAGATGAAAGGGTGACCCCTGCATTCACAAACTAGGGCTTAAGGTCACTGTTTTACTTGGCATGTGACTGACCTTGGACAAGTCCCTTCATCTCTCTGAGCCTCAATTTCCTTACCTGTGAAATGAAGATATGAATCTACAACTACTATGTGTGGTCCTAGATTAGATCCTGGACCAAGGGAAAATGTCATAAAGGACATGATGGGGACAATTGTTAACATTTAAATAACAGCATATAACAGATTTGGATACATTTTAAATTCTCAGAATTTGATCACTGCCCTGAGAAAGTCCTTGGCCTTAGGAAATACATGCTGAGAGATTTAGGGTTAAAGGGACACGATGTCTACAACTAAGTCTCATATGACTCAGGAAAAAAAAATTCAGAGATGTGGGAAAGGAAATTGAGCAAACATGGCAAAGGAGCAACTGGTGAATCTGGGTGTGGAGTATATGAGAGTTCTTTGTATAATTCTTACACCTTTTCAGTAAGTTTGAAATTACTTCAGGACAAAAGTTAAGGGGCTGGGTGCAGTGGCTCATGCCTGTATCCCAGCACTTTGGTAGGCCAAGGCAGGCAGATCACTTGATCTCAGGAGTTCAAGACCAGCTGGGCAACATGGTGAAACCCTGTCTCTACAAAAAATACAAAAATTAGCCAGGTATAGTGGCATGCACCTGTAGTCCCAGCTACTAGGGAGGCTGAGAGGGAAGAATCGCTTGAGCCTGGGAGGCTGAGGCTGCAGCGATTTGTGATCACACCACTGCACTCCAGTGTGGGTAACAGAGCAAGACCATATCTCAAAAAATAAGTTTAAAAAAAGTTTAAAAACTTTTTAGAAAGGAGGATTGCTTGAAGCCAGGAGCTTGAAACCAGCTGGGCAACATAGCGAGACCCCATCTCTACAAAAAAAATTTTTTTAATCAGCTGGGCATGGTGTCAGATGCCTGCAGTCCCAGCTACTCAGGAGGCTGAGGTGGGAGGATTGTTTGAGCCTAGGACATTGAGGCTGCTGCAAGCTGCAATGTCACACACTACTGCACTCCAGCGTGAGAGACAGGGCAAAACCCTGTCTCTAAAAAATAACCAAAAAACAAAAAAAACTTTTTGCCTATCTCTAAGACCTTTGAAAAAACTGACCAAAACAAGTGAAAAGGGGCTCTGGAGAGCCGCAAACACCCCTCACTGCGTGGTAGTGGTGTTAATATTGAATAAACTCCAATTGCAATGATGGTGATAATAGAATTGGTATTAATGTAGGGGTGTGTGTGCCTTTCCCGCCAGGGCAGTGTGCCCCACAGCTGGGTAAAAGCTGGGTGGGGGCCCAATGCCTGGGCAGGCTCAGCTCCTGCTTGGGTTGAGAGAACTGAGGAGAGATGGGGGTCCCATAGGCTCCACTGCTCCAGAAGGACTCCTGGGGCTCAGATCACCCTGCTTTGACCTCTCCCTAACTCTGGGGCCTTGGGTGGGGCAGGTCGTGCATGTGGGTGTCAGGGGGAGCTACTTACCCACATAGTGCCCTTTGAGGTAGCCCTCACAGTCACAGGTCTCTGGGAAGCAAACAGAGGGAGGGAAGCCAGTGAGTCCCACCAGACACATCCGGCCCAGGGCACCCAGCCCCTGGATGGCCAGGCAGGAAGAGCCCCCTGGGATGGTGTCTCGTGGGGAGCTCAGGGGAAATCCCATGTCCTGGACACCCCAAGAAAGCAAGGTCCTCTGTTTTGCTCAGTTCTCCATGCTTAGGCCCCTAACAGCCTTTCCAGGCCCTGAGGGGGATTCTAGGCCAGCAGGCCTCCCCAGTCCCTGAGTGTGAGCAGTGTGAATAGGGAGGGATTCACTCCAGCCTGCCCTGCCCTCCCACCCCTTGTCTCCTATCCAGCCCCATCACAGCGTAGCCGAGTCCTGGAAAGGCTGGGCCGCACGTGTCAGGAGGGCAGGGAGGTGCCCCTAAGGCCTTGAACCCTGTCCCCACCAGCTTTGCCTGCCTCAAGGAACAGCCCAGTCCAGCTGGCAGAGCAGGAAGAGGTGCGCAGACAGTGGGAGGGGCACAGCTGCCCAGATAGGGAAAGAACACGAGCCCCTCAGGCCCCAGACGTTCCACGGAAAAGGGGCCACGCCTGTGGACAGCGGATAGATACTGGGCCTACCTTTGTCACAAGGCTGATCATCTGCGGTTTGCACAAAAGACAGATGGAACAGCATTAGTGGAGGGAAGCGGGGACCCTGCGGCTGAGGGCAGCCACGGCCCGAGTGCCTGAGGAGCCCGCCATCTGGCCTCTTTCCCTTTCCTCCAACGAACCTGTGATCTGAGCTGTGGTACGTTATTAAACCCCAAGACCTGCTCTAATTAGTCTTCTTGTATGTGTCTCATTAGCACCAGAGAAAGCCAGCTCATCAGTGGCACAGCAGCCTCAAGGCCACTGCCCTTCTAACCTGACAGCAAGTCTGGAAAAGTGGCCATTGTCAGGGGCCCAGGGAGCAGCTTACTCTAGGATCCTGCGGTGGGAATAGGACCCACTCTCTCTTTTCTGGGGTTGGAGTCTGGCCCTGGAAAACGCAGATGCCTGAGGATGGAGCGGGGTGGAGCAGAGCTGCAGGCCATCTGTGTTCTGGTCACCTGGCACCTGCTCAGGCCGCTCACTCGGTTACAAGTCTGCCCTCTAGTACCAGAGAGACCATGCTCTGGAAAAGCTTCCTCTCTGCACGGGGCCCTACCCTGGGGCTCTGATCACAGGCCTTCAGAAAATGTGACCCCAACTCTGCTCACTTAACCTTGTGACCCTACATATTCCCAGCTTAGAAAAGATAGCTGACTCTACCGACTTCACAGGGTTCCAAGAAGTAGGTGGACATGTTTTCTAAAGTGTAAAGTGCTACACGGTGTAGAGTTGCCAGATAAAATGCAGGACACCCACTTAAACTTGAATTTCAAATAAACAACAAGTAACTTCTTAGTATAAGTATGCCTCAAATATTGCACAGGACATACTTATACTATAATAAAAACTACATAAAAACATACTTATACTAGAAACCAATCTGTCATCTATCTGAAATTCAAGCTTCAACTGGGCATCCTTTATTTGTATTTGCCCAGTCTGGCAATCTGGCAGCCCTACCAGAGGCACCAGGTCACACATGGCCTTCTCCATTCCCTTCCAACGCCAGTGCTTCTTCCATTTTCAAGGTCAGAGAGCCCTTGGGAATCTAACGAAAGCTGTGGATCCTCACACGCACATGCACACGCGTGTGAACACACACACATCTGCACATTTTGGGAAAGCTGTTAACATACCCCCCAGCATCATCTATGGACTCCAAATATACAAGCTCCTCTCCAGGGACTAGCTGCCCCCCACCTCCTACTTCCCACCCCCTCCTTCCTCTGGAGTCCATGAGCTCAGACAAGACCCCTGATGCCCCCTCCAGCCCACTGCCTACTTCTTCCCAGCCTGAATCCTCCCTCGCCCTAACCCCGGGCCCTCCCTGGAGTGCCATCCCTGACAATCTACTCACAGGGGGGCTTCCTGAGGCTCTGGGGGCTCGGCAGGGTGCCCGCGGCTCTCCGGTAGCTTAGTCGTCTGCAGGGACACAAGGGGATGGGCGGGCCCGTGAGCTGGGCCAGATAACCACTTGAAAGGAACCTTCTGGAAAACTTGGGAAGCCAAGGCCTGGATCCCACAGGTGGGCACACACTGGACACTCTGAGGGCCTCCTGCTTAGCACTAAGTTCCAACGAAGGGAACACTTTCACAGGGCTCACTGGCTCACCAGGAGGAAGAAACTGAGTCTCTTGCTCCAGAAATAGCTCATCCAGCTCAAGATGGCCACACAGGATCCAGCCCGGTGTACAATCCTCAGCTGGTCATTACTCTCCTATGGCCAATTTCTAAGGAGAGGCAGCCCCTTCTCTACTCCCCAGCCTCCCCATCTCTGAGGGAGCTGAGAAATAGCAGAATGACTCCCAGGAGAGGCCGAGGACAGAAGTGACCCTAATTTAACACCCTCCCCTCAGCGGAAGGCTCAGCCCGGGCAGACTGTCCAATGTGGCCATGAGTGGAGAGGTGGGGCTCTCAGAGGTCACTAGATTTCCACATTTAAATGCAGCTGAAGGGCCGGGCGTGGTGGCTCACACCTGTAATCCCAGTACTTTAGGAGGCCGAGGCGGGAGGATCACTTGAGGTCAGGAGTTCGAGACCAGCCTGGCCAACACGGTGAAACCCCGTCTCTACTAAAAAATACAAAAAGTAGCTGGGCATGGTGGTGCACGTCTGTAATCCCAGCTACTCGGGAGGCTGAGGCAGGAGAATCCAGGAGAATCACTTGAACCCGGGAGGTGGAGGTTGCAGTGAGCTGAGATAGCACCACTACACTCCAGCCTGGGCAAGAGTGAAACCATGTCTCAAAAAAAAAAAAAAAATGCAGCTGAAGAGCTGTCCCCCACATCCTCTGGTAAGATGTTGCCAAGACCTGTGAACCCTAAAATGGAGATGGGTCTGGGGTTCCCGAGGAGACAGAGCTTCGTTCTCAGACTTCGGCATCTCAGAATCGCCTGGAACATTTGTTAGAATGTGAGTTTCTGGGCAGGACCCATGGATCTGCATTTCTAACAAGTCCCCAGGTGACGCTGAAGCCCCCAGCCAGGGGGCCACACCTTGAGGGCCACTGAAATGGGTGAACCCCAAGGTCCTGTCCTTACCACAGTCCACACACCAAAAGATGTGAGGGCTACAACCCACAGTGGAAGTCACAACTGCCACCCTCTGACCCAAGACTGACCTTCCTGGAAGTCTAAAGAAATAATTTGAAACATGAGGAACAGTCTATGTGCAAAGTAAGTAAGTACTGCAGCCTTATAAAAGTGAAGAATTGGGAACAACCTAATCGAAGTGCAGCCACAGGAAAGCAGTGAAATCACTTAGCTAGTTCCTCTGAGAAGCCTTCCCTGCATTCCTGGATGAGGGCGCAGCCTCCTAATATGAACTCACACAGCACCATGTCCTCCTCCCTTGCACCCATCACGTTTATATAAACTGTGTGTTTGAAGAGCGTCTGGCTTTTCCACTGAACTATAAGCTCCTCCAGGGCAGAAACCCTGGATTCACAGCAGCCCGCAAGATGCCAGCACAAGGCCAGCTCAATTCATCCTAAATACCTGCCGCCTAGGAATGAATGGCACAGCTCCTGATGAGTTAGTATACAGCCACTAAAATCACACTACAAAAACGATGCTATAATATGGAAAATACTCACGCCAAAAATGTTTAAAAAAAAAAAAAGCAAGACCCCAAATTCTGTATGCAACACTCACATAAAAAGCACAGTAAGGAAACAAACTATGCAGTTTAGATAAGGGTGAGACGTGGGGAATTTCCTTTCATAGTCCTCCTCTTCAGTTTTTTTCTGTTTTTTTGTTTTGTTTTGTTTTGTTTTTTGAGTCAGGGTCTCACTCTTACTCAGGCTGGAGTGCAGTGGTGTGATAACAGCTCACTGAAGCCTTGACCTTTTTGGGCTCAACTGATCCTCCCACCCCAGCCTCCCGAGTAGCTGGGACTACAGGTGTGTGCAACCATGCCCAGCTAATTTTTTATTTTTTGTAGAGACAAGGTCTTACTATGTTGCCTAGGCTGGTCTTGAACTCCTGGGCCCAAGGGAACCTTCTGCCTCGGCTTCCCAAAGTGCTGGGATTACAGGCGTGAGTCATCACCATGCCCAGCCTCTCTTCTGTATTTTTATATTTTGTTTATCAGCATTCTCTGAGCATGCATTATAAAATATACATTAACTTAGGCTGGATCCAGTGGCTCATGCCTGTAATCCTAGCACTTTGGGAGGTCAAGGCAGGTGGATCACTTGAGGCCAGGAGTTTGAGACCAGCCTGGCCAAACCCTGTCTCTACTAAAAATACAAAAATTAGCCAGGCATGGTGGTGCACGCCTGTAATCTCAGCTACTCAGGAGGCTGAGGCGGGAGAATTGCTTGAACCCGGGAGGTGGAGGTTGCAGTGAGCTAAGATTCGCCACTGCACTCCAGCCTGGGTGACAGAGGGAGACTCTGTCTCAAAAAAAAAAAAAATACACACACACACACACACACACACACACACACACATTAACTTAATAACATAAATTTCCATAGATTCCTTTAAATCTCAAATAACCATCATCACTAGTTATGGGAAAAGACCAAACACAAGTGCAACTGGTACTTACCTTGGGGGAACAATGCTCAGCAGGCCCCTCTGGCTGTGAGGGCAGAGACTTGGGGGTCTGCCATGTACCTGTGCCTCTGCCACTCTGGAACCAGCCCTTCACAACATACCCCAGACCCACCTCTCCTGGAACCCCTTGGAGGGGATGAGGCCGGCTCGAAGGTTGGTGTCCCCGACTCGCTTGGCCTGCCACCACGTGGGGTCGTCCTGGCTCACCACCTCCAGGACCTGCCTGCGCTGGAAGGGCAGGCCCGCCTCCTGGCAAGGGATGGCCCGGTCCTCCCGAGGGTTGTAGTGGAAGAGGGCGCGCATGAACACCTGCACAAGGAGGGCTCTGGTGAGGCGGCCCTTCCCCAAGTGAGCACAGACAGGTCATTGTCACATCAAAGGCCACATGACAACGACCATCCACACTTAGGAGGACCAAGTGGCCTTTCAAATAGAAAGCTACTTGGAAATACACTGCACGTATGTTCTTAACTGTTCTTCAACCATTTGGGATACTATAGTCAGGAAGTCCATCAAGAATCAGAAAATTAATAAGCCCCATGACTGAATGTCTCTTTCCTACCTAAATATTTCCTTATTTACTTGACCAGCTGTCCTCATAACAGCCTCTTAGCATACACACAGCAACAACTAATCCTGGGAACAAAAAGTAAAGGCAAGCACAATTTCTAACTCAAGTGTTATTTTTGATACGCCAACTGCGCTGACGGAAGGCAGCAGCCATCTGTTATATAAGTAATCTAGATGTTTGGGTAAGAACACAAATATCAACAAAACTACTGTTACTGACTCCTCACCATCACTTTTCAGTGGGTAATTGACACCCACAGCTCTTACGGCTCAATCCTGCCTCGTCTGCCATAGACTCGGCCAAGCCCTAATTCCCCCCTCTGCTCTAGAGTCACCCTCTCTGGAGAAGATGGTGTGAGGACACAGCATTTTTCACACTTCCTTGTTCTCTTCGATAATTTAGTGGCATGGATTAACTTTATTTATTTCTATTTTCAGACCATTAGGGCCCAATCACTTCAGTGGCAAACAGGAAAAAAAAAGCAATCAGGGGTCTTCCTCAGACAGATACAAACTCTATTCCTTTGTATGCCAACCAGAAAAGATTCCACTGGACAACAGTAAGAACTTTCTGGCATATGTTGTGGGGACAGATGCCCTTAACCAGCCACAGATGTTACCAGGGTCCTAAGCACTCAGAAGAATGTAATCTTAAGTGGCCAGCCCAAATCAAGCATCTGGATCAAGAAGAAATATTCAAGAAGGACAGGCTGGGGGACAGGCTACTCATTTTGTCCTTTAGGAAAACCAAGTTCTCTTCCTCAAAGAGGTTTCCTCAAGTCAGAACCCTCAAAGTTGCATGTGCGGACCACATTCGCTTGTCCTAGGAAGAATCACTTTCCACCAGGTAAGAGGAAATATTATGCCCTGGGATTTAACCAAAGAGCACAAATAAGAAACAGCTATATAAAGATTATTTCTTCACTTGCTGTAAAAAACTGTCATTGAAGACGTAGTCCATTACAAATCCACATTCTTCAAAGTATCGACTGACATCTCCTCTGTGCTAGATGCTGTAATGTTTCTTCTTTCATGCATTAAGTACTGAGAGGCAGGTATGGGAATGTCTTGAAAAACTGGCATGCTTCCTTCCATTCTCTGCTCAACAGTATGTAATTCATTATGCTCTCCTTTTTGCCTTGGCTGCCAGGAAACTCTACTATGAAATCAAAGTGATGCCCTCCTCTCTATCTCATCAACCACCATCTCACAGTTCAGGTCTTAACGTCTCACCTGGGCTTTTACAAGAGCCTTCTACCAGGCCTCCCTGCCTCCAACCTCTACCCACTCCACCCTCCTCCCCGTGGCTGCCTCACGGAGCTTTCTAAAACACAAATATAACTGCACCACTCCCATCCTAAAAAAAAAAAAAAAAGAGCTTATTAGAACCTATGGGATTATCTCTTGGGCTGTGGGATGCCCTCCCATATGCCCCAGGGCTGGACCATTCAGTGCAGCCTGGGCTGACTTCCAGCTGCCAGCACCTGCATCTCTTTGCCTAAGGACTTACTTTCTCTGGCCACTGGAACCTACTCATCTCTAGTCCAGCAGGCAGAAGTTGCTAGGAATTAATCCCCCGGGTGCAGCCTGGCAGGAGTTGGTATATAGATCGCCCAGCTCCCAGGGCCCCTGGGTGGGATGATGGAGGCGTGTGTTCTACAGGGGAAGAAGTAGTTCCCCAAGTTCCCAGCAGGACTAAGCTCCAGCTGCCCATAGTGGTAACCTGCTTGATAACACACCCTTAGTCAGATTGGCTGTCTTCCCTTTCCCAGTCCTGTACTGGTATTTCCTGGGGCCACTTCCCAAATAAACCATTTGCATTCAATCCTTGTCTCAGGGTCAGCTTCTAAGAGGCCCCACACTAAGCAAGGATTATGCCAAAACCCTTAACAAGGCATTCGAGGCCATTCAGAACATAGGCTTAACCCACCTCCCCAGCAAAACCCACCACCATCCTCCCCTCAAAGCCCCACCACATAGCCCTTAACGTGCTCCTCTCCAGAGTGCCAGGGAGCCTCTGTATGGGCAGACCCCACCAAGGTCCTACTCGTCTTTACCTTCTTCAGGCCTCAGTTCCAACACCCCCATTCTGTGACACCCTCTAGGGTGACTGTAACTCTTTGTACAGAATCTTGGCAAAGCACTTATCACATAGCAATGAAAGACTTGCTGCCCTTCTGCACCAGGAAGCCTTGCAGCTACCAAGAGTCCCTGTCTCCAGCATCTGGCAGAGTGCCTGGCACAGAGTAGGTGACCAAATAAGGCAGGCTCAGCAACAATTAAACAAATGGCAGTTGCTTAATTGGTTCAGAATTCAGCACACTTGGTACCTTCTCCTCCTCTTCATGGCCCTGAGTTTCTATTTCAATTAAAATAACCTTGTCTTTTATTAGTAAGCCACGTCAAATCCTGTTTAGAAAGAGGCAGGATACAAACAAATGCATCACTTTGTGACGGAATTAAAGTCCTCCACTGGGCACAGATTACTAGGATCAGATCTATGATCTGTTCGCAAATGACTGTTACAAGAGACTGGACTGGATCCAGCCCCCAGCCAGCGAGCTGCATCTCTCAAGCTGAGAGAGGGCACCGCGGACCCACCTCCCCATACCTTGCTCTCCTTTAAGCGATCTTCCTCCTGGGTGGCTGGGATGATTTTTAGGGTGATGGATCCCTGGGACTGGGCCTGAAACGAAAGAGAACAGAAGCTTCTCGCCTACCAGGTCTAACCCTCCAAGAGTTCAACTCCTACTTCTCAGGCCTAAAAACTGATGTTCAGAAAGTCAGACTTGCAGCCTCCCCTGAGGCCCACTCTTCTAGGATGGTGCCCTGGTTGAATGAACTAAAACAAAACTCAGTAACCAAGTAACTGTACATTTTTGTATTTTTTAGTATTTTTATTATTTTTAAGCCAGTTCAAATTTAGCAGTGGCGGGTTGGTAACTGTATTTTCAAAAGTCAAAGGGACGGAAGACTTTCCATGAGAACCCAAGGACACTACGTGTTGAATTCCAATTCTCCATCCCTCCTGACCGCTACGGCCCCAGAGGGCTCCCTTCCTTGCTTTTCTCCTGGGTCATCTGAACAACCCATTTCGGTTTCCTTTGCCTCTTTCCTGCCTGATTTGGGGCTGGTCTCTGATTAATACTTCCCTCTTTGCTTCCATCTCCCCAGTCTCAGGCCATGCCCAGCTTTCTAGGAGCTCCCTTCACCCTCATCTACAGAGACCCTGTAGCCCAATGCCAGGGGCCCAACAAAGGAAGAATGCAGTCGGACCAGGACAGCAGGGCCCAAAAGATCACCTCCTGGCCTCTCCACTACCCAGAAAGCCCAGACCCTTGCTCTGGAGCACAAGAAGGTTGGCACCCAAAGCCACAAAAAAGCAAGCTTGGGCAAAAGGACTGAAGGGCCTGCCTGCAATCCGCATCCTCTACAGAGAGGGCTTTATTTTGTTGTTGTTTTTTTGTTTTTTGAGATGGAGTTTTGCTCTCATTGCCCAGGCTGGAGTGCAGTGGCACGATCTCGACTCCCTGCAACCTCCACCTCCTGGGTTCAAGCAATTCTCCTGCCTCAGCCTCCCAAGCAGCTGGGATTACAGGGGCCCACAACCACACTCAGCTAATTTTTTGTATTTTTAGTAGAGACGGGGTTTCACCATGTTGCCCAGGCTGGTCTCGACCTGACCTCAGGTGACCCACCTGCCTCGGCCTTCCAAAGTGCTGGGATTACAGGTGTGAACTACTGAGCCCAGCCCAGAGAGGGCTTTAAACAGTGGGCCTCCTCTTTTCAGATCTCATCCTGTTTCTGCCCCCAAAACCATCAGAAGTTAGCAGAGTGTCAGGTCAGGGGAGGAATCCTGAGGATAAAGGGGACCAAGCTATGATTGGGGCTTTTCACAATTTCAGTTTTGACTTCAACTCCCCAGAATGGACCATGGAGGTTTTCAGCCAAGCATTTTATACCTTAAAATCCCCTTACACTTCTGAAGGGCTTTACCCTTTTCCAGATGTTAGCATGCCAATGATAACCACACATTGGTTGAGAAAGAAACTCTATCCCAACGTTAAAGGAAAGGAAATGGAAACTCAGATGATCTGATGGCTTGTCCAAGGTTGCACAGCTGGAAGGAGGCAGAGCCAGGATTCACACCCAGGACCCAGGACCCAGGAGGGGCCTTGTGAAAGGGAACCAGGGGAAGGAAGGAAGGCTGTGCTGAGGAGAAGGTCTAAGAGAGGCAGATGGAAGGGAAGTTCCCCTCCTCCTGCTGCCACCCCATACCCCGGGCACACTGTTAGGGGCACACCATAAGGCCACTTTGCCTGCCACCTCCTCAGGACAACAGCAAGGCTAAGCCAGAATCTGTCCTGGCTCCAGGAAGTGCCTTGCTCTGGGTGTCTGAAGACCCAGCACATCCCTAGCAGGCTTGTAGCACGGACCAGAATCTGGCTGATCTCGTCGGGCCGCTTGTGCAGGACTGCGATCCCGTTCACTTCTCGGAGCTCATCTCCAACGTGGACCAGGCCTAGGAGACACAGGGACTGACCATCAGCACAGGAGGAGGACCTGAGCACCCCTCGCTCAGAGCTCCAAGCACCACAGGGGCCGGCCTGAGAAGCCCACTGCAGGGCCAACTCGAGGTTTAAAGTTGATGGGTGGGACTGGGGCGAACTAAGCCCTGCTAAGTGCTGGGCACCTCACTCGGCATGCAGGGCTCAAATCACCCAGTAAAATCTCCAATTTACAAGTTGGCACCTGAGACCCAGGAAGATTAAGCAGCTTGCCTAAGGCCACATTGCTGAGAAATAATGAAGCCAGTATTCAAACACAGTTATTATGATGTAGAAAGCCTGTGTTCTTTTTGCTATAATCTCTGCTTCTTTAAAATTATCATTAACTCTTAGAATGGCATTCTTAAGTCTTAACAAGGAAAGACAAAGGCACCAATGAAGACATCATTAAGAGTGTAAACACACTATGAGCCTCTGCCTGAATGACTAATGTCTCTGCATATTAGGGCCCTATATGCTACTCAAAGTGGGCACTGGCCCGGCTGCATCAGCATCACCTGGAGGCAGGTTAAAAGTGCAGAATCTTCGGCCTAGCTCAGACCTGCTGAATCAGTCTGCATTTTAACAAGATGCTCAGGGAATTCGTGGACTCGTTAATGTTTGCAAAGTGCTGGTCTAGGATTCTCTGCAACGATGACCCCCCAGACTTTGGGGGTAACATCGCCCTATACCAGGAGGTTTGTCTCCCAGCTTAGTAGCTCTTCCACACACCGGTGATTCTCAACCTTTCTACCCAAACGAATCTGGGGCACAAACACTCTCTTTGTAATAGTAGCTTGACAAGACCTGGGATGGTGGGGAAGGGTGTCAACCCTGTCCCACAGTTAGTAATCCCGCAAGCCCATGCTATATTCTTAACTGTCACAGTCCTTGGACTAAACCAACGCATGAGCTTTTTCTCAATCACCCCAAAGTACTCCATGACTATTTATATATATATATATTTTTTTTTTTTTTCTTTTTTTTTTGAGACGGTCTCACTGCGTCGCCCACTCTAGAGTGTAGTGGTGTAATCACGGCTCACTGCAACCTCAAACTCCTGGGCTCAAACAATCTTCCTGCCTGGGCCTCCCGAACAGCTAGGACTACAGGTGTGGGCCACCCGTGCATGGCCTATATTTTCTTTTTCTTTTTTTCTTTTTTTTGAGACGGAATTTCACTCTTGTTGCCCAGGCGGGAGCGCAATGGCGCGATCTCGGCTCACTGCAACCTCCACCTCCCAGATTCAAGCGATTCTCTTGCCTCAGCCTTCCCAAGTAGCTGTGATTATAGGCATGTGCCACCAAGCCTGGCTAATTTTGTATTTTTAGTAGAGATGGGGTTTCTCTGTGTGGGTCAGGCTGGTCTCGAACTCCCGACCTCAGGTGATCCGCCCACCTCGGCCTCCCAAAATGCTGGGATTACAGGCGTGAGCCACTGTGCCTGGCTTTTTTTTTTTTTTCTTTTTTTTTTTTTTTTGAGACAGAGTCTCACTCTGTTGCCCAGACTGGAGTGCAGCAGCATGATCTTGGCTCACTGCAACCTCCGCCTCCCAGGTTTGTGTGTTTAGTAGAAATGGGGTTTCGCCATGTTGGCTAGGCTGGTCTGGAACTCCTGGCTTCAAGTGATCCGCCTGCCTCGGCCTCTTAAAGTGCTGGGATTACAGGTGTGCACCACCATGCCCAGCTGGCCTATATTTTCTATTAAAATTTCTACTGACTTGGGAAGGAGATGAGAATTCCAGCCACAACCCCAGAAAGCAAAGCAAATCCCAAACAGGTGACCTGATAGGAGGGAGGTAAGGGGACCTATTAGCAAAGGTGGAGGGCTCTGGAACAATGGCCATGATCGGGGCTGGGCCAGCTTTGCACTGCCGCCACTCACCGCTCCTGTCTGCTGCGCCTCCTCGCATGATCCTGGCCACCACAACAGCCCCTGAGTGCTCGTCCCGCCGGATGGTGGCACCCTGAACCCGAGACAGAAGAGACAGGTTCTTAAGCAGCAGCTCCAAACCTCAGACCCCTACTCTCTGGACCCAACACAGCCTCCCCAGTCCCTCCCTCTGACAGTCCAGAGAGATCAGTGGGGACCTTCCCAATGCTGAAGACAAAACAAAACCAACATCCCCCATTAATATAGCCCTGCACTGTACAGTTTACAAGGCACAATAATGCTGCAACATTTTAGATGAGGGACTGGGGCTCAGAGAAGTTAAATATCCTCAAGGTCACCCAGCTGGTAAAGGGGAAAGCTTTTTGTGATGCCAAATCCAGTAAGTTCTCCATCACATCTCTCTCATATCACAGTTCCTACCACTTGCAAAGACATTTAATAATGAGGATGACACGTGCCAGCTAATTCTCACCCTGCCTCTACCCAATCACAGGGTTACCGGGCCTTCTGCTGCTGCTGAGGGAAACCAATTATGCACCCCAGCCAGGGCTTCGGGACCAGGACTTGGCCCATGAAGCACAGCAGAGATGACACTTAGGATGAGAAAGGCACTAACGAGCCCTCGATTTCCTGCACCACACAGGCCGGACTGCAGCAGGACGGCAGAAAGCTTAAGAGCTAAGCTCTAGGGCTGGACAGCCTTGGGTGTGAACACAGTTCTGCCGTTTACAAAAAGCATGTGGACTTAACAAGGAAATCTCTTATCCTCTCCAAGCCTGTTTCCTGTGAGATGTGGGACAGCATTTAACTCACAGTGTTGTTGCAAGGATTCCACTCAAGGCACTTAGTACACAGTAAGCACTCAACATATGTTAACCACTTATTAGTGGCTGTAACTGCAAACACATTTGCACACTTATTGTTAACATCATCTGTGCCATCTATTTGAAGTACGTAAGATAATTATTGCTAGAAAGAGAGGCCATCAGCTAAGAACCTCAGGACTTCTAGCCCCCCAGAACTGAGAACTTTCCAGCATCGCTATCCATCATTTATTCAGCTCTGAACCGCCAGCACCCAATACAGAGCCTGGATAGGAGGGCTCACAATGTGTTTGCTAAATCAATGGATGGCCACTCCATTTTACAAGTGAGGAAACAGAGGCAGAGGAGAGATCCTCGTCTGTTTGCAGAAGAGGCTCGTCGGAGGTCATTTGGGGAAAGTTGGAAATAGAGAATGCCAGCTGTGGGATCCTCTGGAGCCAATCTCAATTCTCTGGGCTTCCACCACTTCTGAGCATCTCATAAACAACGCTGTCCCTTTGCTCGGTAAATCAATGCTGAACCAGGACCAAAGTGATAGCAGTCTGTCTGCTGGGGAGAGGAATGCCCTGTGCTTCCTCAACATTCAGAGCAGGCATTGTCACACGTTTTCTATAAGGGGCCACATGTAAATATTTGAGGCCAGCCACACAGTCTCTGTCACAACGACTCAACTCTGCCATCGCACTATAAAGGCAGCCACAGCCAATCTGTAAGTGAATGGGCCTGGTTGTGCTCCAAAAAAGCTTTATTTTAAAAAATAAGCTGTGGGCTGGTTTTGGCCCTTGGGCTGTAGTTTGTCCATTTCTGGCTTAAAGCATGATCAGGGTCACCCTGTACAATTGTGCAGGTTATTAACTACACAAAGGGTGTTGGCCACAGTTGAGAGGGGCTGTATCCACCTAGAGAAAGGGGTGCCCTGCACACAGAGGCACCACAGGGATGAGCAGCAGCGCAGGCAAAGCTGCCGTCACTCACTCTGAAGACTTCGGGGAGGATCTTGTCCAGTGTTCTGGGTGGGGGTGAGAGGCAGGGGAAGAGTGGGTTAGAGAGGGGCAGGCAGCAGCACCTACCAGGGGTTCCTTGTTCTTCACCAAGCGGACGATCTTCACCGATTCCTCATCAAAATCCTCATCGATATTGTCAGGCAGAGGCGGGAGAACGGGGTCAAAATTCTTCTGGGCAACCGTGTCATGTACCATGAGCACAGCCTGCCGGGAAAGCCAGAGAAAAGGAAGGCTGGCCCGCCGCTCACAGGGTCAGCAGGCCGCAGCTGGCCGGTGGTATGGAGGGTGGCAGACGCCATGCCAGAGAGACAACTGCCCAGACACTAGTGCTGAGGATCGCTCCCTCAGTCTCCACTCCTCAGCCTCATTAGGAGAGCTCCCTCCGCCCCCATCCCAGGAGACCCAGAGGCATGGCTGGGCAGGGGCTCTGTGTGACTACCCTCAGGTGCGGGGTGGACAGCAGCTGGAGCAGCTCCCTCTCATCACTGTGCACGGAGGCGGCCTGCAACTCCTCCATCACCTGCAGAGAATGAGACAGGCGCCACTGATGGCTAGAGGTGCCCCTGCCCCATATCTGCTGGGTCCTTCCTCTTTGGAAGGGCCCACCCAGCTGCAGCCCCCAGGGGCACACCAGACCCTCAACCACCCGACGACGATGATCCTGGGAACATCACACCAGGGGTCAGGAGCAGCTCTATGGGGCCATCCTCCAAGGAGCCACCGTTTTAAGCCCTACGTGCTTTCTGCTTTATGTGGATCTTCTCACTGAACCCTCGCAACCAACTTGATGCAGAGGGTCTTGTTACTTTGCCATTTTACAGATGAGAATCCTGAGACTCAAAGAGATTAAACATTTTGCCCGAAGTCACAGAGCTCATATACAGCACAGCTAGGATTTGAACCTGGGCTTATCTGGCTCTCAGATGCTATTTTATGAATGAGGAAATGGGAGCTCAGAGAGGTTGAGTGGCCTACTTAACATCACAGAGCTGGTGGGACAGGCAGCGCTGAGCCTGGGAGCCAGGCAATCTAATGTGCCCCTAATCACATTCCACAGTGGAGAAGGGCCCAGGGCTCTGCACCCACAAGCTGCACTCATCCCTCCCCAGGCCATCTCCTGGGGTTAGGTGAGTTTATTCAGGAACTGATCTTAGTAATCAACCAGAATGGGTTTTCCCCAACCACGCAACATAGACGACTAGGTCCACAAGAAATTAAGAAGCGTTCCTTTAAAAAATGAGAAGCCTGAGCCAGTATGCGGGGACACACTGTAGGTCCCTTGACTTCAGGAAAGCACAGACATAATGTCTTATTGACCTATTCAAATCACCAGTCCTCAGGGCAGTTTGGGAACTGCTGAGCCAATCCAATGCTCTCATTTACAGCAGAGGAAGCAGACTTGCTAAAGAACACACAGTAAGTGGGCAGCTCCATGTCACAGTGTCTCCCAGCCCAGTCCAAGGCTCACGGGTTCCTCCCTACCTTTCGGGGAACCCAGAGAGAGGAAGAGAAGGAGGAGGACAAGGGAAGAAAACACCTCTTCACCTTTGGGCTCCTGATTCCCGGTGTCCCCACACTAAGCAAGCGAGGCAAGATGAAGGAGCCCTACAGGGTGGGGAGTGGGGCAGACACTGTAAGGAGAAACCTGGGGCTTACGTCCTCAGCGAGGGCCACAGCGCTGTGCAGAACTGGGGTTGGACTTTGCCTTTCATAATAGCGAAGCTTCTCATGAATCTGCAAAGACAGAGTATTTCAGATGCACCCTGGACACCACACATCCCACCCACGGCTGTGGGGACATTTGGGGCAGCAGACTGGGCCACTGACAGGGCACCATAAGAGAAAGTCCTGTGTAGTGGGCAAGTGAAGGCCTTCCTGGGGCAGGGAGATGACTAGGATGACCTCAGACGGCCACAGACAGCTAGAAAGACCTCTAGACACCCTTCCACGCAGGATGACGTGGGACTTCACCTTCATTAAGTAACTGAGGCTTTTTTCACTGAAAACATCCCTCAGGAAGCCCATCTCCTCCTTGTGGTTGGAGTCAGGTCTGAGCTGGGAGGTCAGCAGGGCCAGGGTTTCATGCAAACCTGGGGAGAGGTGAGAAAAACAAAGGATAGCAAACGCAGTGGGTGCTCCCTGCCCCCGAGGAGCCCGAGTGGGGCCTCAAACAGCACTTCAGTCCTGCCGTGAGGACATTCTCTCCCCAGGCTCTCACTGCCAGGGCCTGGAGGCTGCCAGGCAGGCTCTTGTCTTCAGGACTGTGGCAGGTCCAGCCGGGGGGAGGTACTTACCAGAGTCCTCCGATAGCACTGGCATGCTGGCGTTGTCACCTCCCGACCTCTCCCTGCAGATTCTGGGAGAAGGGGGTGGAGGTGGGTATTGAAGCTCCATCAAGCATATTTATTGAACAAACTGACTACACATCTACTGTGTTCTCTGAGACCAGGCTGTGGACAGAGAGGATGGGAACAAATAACTCTGCTTACTTTTTTCAGAGAGGAAGGAAATAAAGCTAAGATGTGCTGAGTGTCCTCGATGTGCCAAGCATTGTGTGGGGTGATTTCTATGATAAACTTTTTGTCTGCACAAAGTCCTGAGAAATGACTGCGAATGTTCCCATTTTATTGATGAAGAAACAGCGGCGTGGAAGCTTTCAGTAAGCTGTGGGTCAAAATCCATATTCAAGCAGGCTCTTCCAGGCTGGCCTTGGAGGTGCCAAGTGACCCTGCCTGACAGTGTCAGCTGTCCTCCGCAGCGCGCCCCCTCCACTGCAACCTTCTAAGAGCCCTGGCTCAAGTCTCCTGCTGGGACACACCTTCCACAACTACCTGGCTGGGCCTACAAGCCCCCTGTCCCCGACCCCCCAAGACCCAACCCAAAGGGAGCCTCCAGACTGGAGTGCAGAGAGGAGGGGGGGAAATGGGAGTCGGGCTTCCACTATGCAGGAGGGGGGACCCCTATCTCATGAGGCCCTCCAAAGGTGCTCTGCAGCACGTGGACCTCAAAAAGTCCTCCTTAGGAAGAGGAGAAGGAGAGTCATGACTGATTCATTCCGCAAACATGGAGCCAGCCCGCAGCGCCGAGCCCCGGTGCCACTAAGAGGCGTAAGAGCGGCCCCGGGCCCTCCAGCCTCCGCCCCGCCCCGCCCCGCCACGCCACGCCGGACTCACCCTCGGGCTGCTCCCCGCAGGAGGCCGAGCACCGACTCCCGCTCGCTCTCCGAAGGAACCTGTGGGAGAACAAGGAGCGCACTGGGCGCAGGAGCAGCGACCCCGGGGGACCTCGGAGGGCGGTCCCGGAGGACGCGGAGCAGCAGGGAGCGGGGGGCGCGCGGCGGGGCGGGCGCGGGAAGAGGGAGGCGGGGGCCGAGGGGCGGGGTTGAGACTCCCGCGGTGGGCTCGGTGGGCCGCGAGGCTGTCCGGGAGCACGGGAGGAGGGTCTCGGCCCGGCCTCCCGCCCCTCCCGCCGCGGCGCCCAGCTCCCTCGTCCGTTCCCCTCGCGGCCTCCTACCTCGTCGCGCCGGGATGTGTGCTCCGCGAACGGGAGCCGCGCGAGTGCCCAGAGCCTGGGCCGCCGCTGGCTCCGCCTTCCCGGACCCCTCCCTGCGGCTGCCGCGCCGGGCGGGGGTGGCGGAGCCTGAGGAGGCGCGGCGCGGGGAGGAGGCGCGGCGCGGGGAGGAGGCGGGGGAGGAGCGGAGGCCGCCCTCCGCGTCTGGCACCGCCGCACCCTCCGGGCCGGGCTCCGCTAGCCGGCGTCGTACCCGCTCCCGCTCTCCCGCTCCCTGAGTCCCCTGCCTGTGTCCCCCCGCACCCTGGCACACAGCCAGACTTCCCTTCCGCCCGCGCAACCCACCCTCCGCGAGTGGAGGGGTGGACACCTGCTCAACAGAGAATTCGATTTTGCAAACATTTATTGAGCGCCCTCCAGGTGCCAGGCGCTGTGCCAGGGGCCGGGGCTTCAAAGACGACCAAGGCACAGATCCTGGGTTTGAAGATCTCCAGAGGTGGGGCGGGGGGCCGGTCGGATGCGAGGGCAACTCGCTGTAACAATGCAACGCGCTGGGAAAGATTTATCGGTGCACGCTGCCCTGGGGACGCGGAGCAGGGGAGGAGAAGTCAGGCTGGAGAGGAGGGGGACTCCATTCTGCCCGGCTGCAGGGGAGTGAGGCTACATAGCAGAGGCGAGCAGCATCCAGGGGCTTTACTGGAAAAAGAGCTCTGAAATGGCCATGACGATAACTGACTTATATTGTGCTGTCTCCATGCCCAGGTACTCCTCAGATCACTTCCCTTCACAGTAGTTCCTGATATCAAGACCATTCTTATTTTGGTTCTGCAATTGAGGAAACTGAGGTTCCTGGTGAAAGAATGTGTATAGGGGAGAGCATAGGAACTGCTGGGTGAGTGAGCAGGTGGTTGTGGGTATTAAAAGGTGAGGAGTGGGTGAGTGAGTGGGCCCCCTTCCCTCAATCCCAGCAGCAAAGAACGGCACAGCACATGTCAGGAGAGGTGGACCCAGAGGTTAAGTCTGGAAGTAAATCTAGCCCTGCACAGTAACCAGGGAAAATGGGTTGGCAGGCCCCACAGGCTGTAGTGCATGGGGAGGCTGTGAGAGGCAGCAAATGTCATGATGATGTTTCCCCTCATTCCTCAAAAATTATCCTCATTCCTCAAGAAATATCTACACTATTGCTCCTCAAAATGTAACGTGCCTGAGACTCACTAGGGGGTTGTGTAATGCTGGAGTGGTGCCAGATTCTGAATTTCTGACAAGCTCCCAGGTGATGTGACGCCACTGGTCTGCAGACCACACTTTTTGAGTGGAGAGAGACTGCATGAGACACATTCTTAGCTGCAATGTTTACTGTTGGAAAAATAATGAGAACCATCTGATCCATCTGATATGGGTCAAATGATTTTGGACAAGAACACCAGGAAGTGGTGTTGGAACAAGTAGATATTTATGTGCCTGAAGGGACCCAATCCCTACCTCACACCATATTCAAAACGCAATTTAAGAGAGATCATTGGCCTAAACATAAAGCAAATCGATAAAGCTACTAGAATAAAACAGGAGGGTATCTTTTAAATCTTGGGGTATGCAAAGATTTCCTAGAAAGGATACAAAAAAGCCAGGCATGGTGGCATGAGCCTGTATCCCACATACTCAGGAGGCTGAGGCAGGCAAATTGCTTGAGCCCAAGAGTTCAAGGCTGCAGTGAACTATGATCAGTCCACTGCGCTTCAGCTTGGGTGACAAAGAGACACCGTTTCTAAAAAAAGAAAAAATTTTTAAAAAAAGCATGGACCCTGAAAACAATTGATAAATGGACCTCATCAAAATTTAAAACTCCTGCTCATCAAAAAACACTATTGGCCAGGTGCAGTGGCTCATGCCTGTAATCCCAGCACTTTGGGAAGCCAAGGTGGGTGGATCATCTGAGGTCAGGATATTGAGACCATCCTGGCTAACACAGTGAAACCCCATCTCTACTAAAAATACAAAAAATTAGCCAGGCATGGTGGCACACACCTGTGTCCGTTCCAGCTACTCAGGAGGCTGAGGCAGGAGAATTGCTTGAACCCGGGAGGCAGAGGTTGCAGTGAGCCAAGATCAGGCCACTGCACTCCAGCCTGGGTGACAGAGTGAGACTCCATCTCAAAAAAAAAAAAAAAAAAGACCGGGCGCAGTGGCTCACGTCTGTAATCCTAGCACTTTGGGAGGTCAAGGCGGGCAGATCACGAGGTCAGGAGATGGAGACCATTCTGGCTAACATGGTTAAACCCCGTCTCTACTAAAAATACCAAAAATTAGCCGGGTGTGGTGGCGGAGGTTGCAGGGAGTGGAGATCGCGCCACTGCACTCCAGCCTGGGCCACAGGGTGAGGCTCCGTCTCAAAACAAAACAAAACAAAACAAAACAAAACAAAACAAAACAAAACACTATTAAGAAAATAGGACCAGGGACCAGGTGCAGTGGCCCACACCTGTAATCCCTTCAAGCACTTTAAGAGTTCAAGGCGGGTGAATGGCTTGAGCCCAGGAGTTCGAGACCAGCCTGGGCAACACGGCAAAACCCAGTCGGTATCTACTAAAATTACAAAAACTAGCCAGGCATGTTGGCTTGTGCCAGTAGTCCCAGCTGCTCAGGAGACTGAGGCAGGAGGATCACTTGAGCCTGGGAAGCAGAGGTTACAGTGAGCCATGATTGTGACACTGCACTCCAGGCTGGGTGACAGAGTAAGACCCTGTCTCAAAAAAAAAAAAAGAAAAGAAAAGAAAAAAGAAAGAAAAGGAAAGGAAAAGAAAAGAGGCAAGCCACAGACTGGGAGACTAGGAAGAAATATATCTGACAAAGAGATTGTATTCAGAATAAAGAACTCCTGTAACTCAATAAAAAGACAAACCACCCAATCAAAAAACAGGCAAAAGATATGAACATGCACTTCACAAAAGAAGATATACAAATAACCAATAAGCATATGAGAAAGCACTCATCCAACATCATTTGTCATCAGGGAAATGCAAATTAAAACCTGTCATAGTCAGTTCCTGCTGCTATAACAAAATACCACAGTAATTTATAAGAAGTAATAGTAATTTATTGCTTACAGTTCTAGAGGCCGGAAAGTCCAAGATCAAGGGGCCAGCTGGTTCAGTGTCTGGTGAGGGCCTGTTCCTCACTGATGGCACTGGATAGGTATCCTCACATGGTGGAAGAGAAAGACAGGCATAGGCCAGGCGCGGTGGCTCACGCCTGTAATCCCAGCACCTTGGGAGGCTGAGGCAGGTGGATCACAAGGTCAAGAGATCAAGACCATCCTGGCCAGCATGGCAAAACCCCGTCTCTACTAAAAATACAAAAAAATAGCCAGGCGTGGTGGCAGGCACCTGTAGTCCCAGCTACTTGGGAGGCTGAGGCAGGAGAATGGCGTGAACCCGGAAGGCAGAGCTTGCAGTGAGCTGAGATCGCGCCACTGCACTCCAGCCTGGGCGACAGAGCGAGACTCCATCTCAAAAAAAAAAAAAGAAAGAAAGAAAGACGGGCATAAAGGGATGAACGCTGTGTCCTCATGTGGCAGTAGGGGCCAAAGGGACTAGGGTGCTCCCTTCAAGTTCTCTTATAAGGGCATTAATCCCATTCAAGTGTCCATCAAGAAGTGAATGGATAAATATTCATTCACTTGTGGTATATCCATACAATGGCATATTTACTCACCAATAAAAAGAAACAAATTACAAGAAAGAAATGATGAAAAAATTTAAGATGGCAGAGTATACAATTGATATTAAAAATTTATGACTTTCCGGCCAGGCACGGTGGCTCACGCCTGTAATCCCAGCACTTTGGGAGGCCGAGGCGGGCAGATCACAAGGTCAGGAGATCGAGACCATCCTGGCCAACATAGTGAAACTCCGTCTCTACTAAAAATACAAAAATTAGCTGGGCTTGGTGGCACGTGCCTGTAATCCCAGCTACTCAGGAGGCTGAGGCAGGAGAATAGCTTGAACCAGGGAGTCAGAGGTTGCAGTGAGCCGAGATCGCACCACTGCACTCCAGCCTGGTGACAGAGCGAGACTCTGTCTTAAAAACAAACAAACAAACAAAAAAAACATTATGACTTTCCTGTGGACAAAAATAATTATTAAGTATAATGAAAGAAAAAATCCAAACTAAGATATCAAGAAAGATTAAATACCAATTTATAAACTTAATAGGAAAAATGAAAGACCTATTGATATTTGGGAGAAAAAAACTTTAAAATTCTAGTGAAGGACATAAAAGATAAAATGTACCTCAAATGGCTAGGGAAAGAACAGTTCAATAGTGCAATTATATTAATTCATTCTGAAATAATCTTTATACCCAATGCAATTCCAATTAAAATATAAGAAGTATTTTTCACAGAGAATTTATTAAATGCTACCACAATTCATCAGGAAAAATAAACATTGGTGAATAATAGGAAAGTTCTGGGAAAAAAAGAGTTATGGGACCAAGGGAGGTGGGATTTAAAAATATGAAAACAATTTTTAAAGTTTAGTACTGAGGCTATAGTCCCAGGACTCTGGGAGGCCGAAGCAGGTAGATCACTTGAGCCCAGGAGTTCAAGAACAGCCTGGGCAACATGGCAAAACCCCATCTCTACAAAAAATGCAAAAATTATCTGGGTGTAGTGGTGCTCACCTGTAGTCCCAGATGCTCAGGAGGCTGAAGCAGAATTGCCTGAACCCAGGAGTTCGAGGCTGCAGTGAGCCATGACCACACCACTGCACTCAAGTCTGGGTGACACAGCAAGACCCTGTCTCAAAAAAAATGAATTAATAAAGTTTAGTACTAAAGAGGCAATCAACAGCTAGACAAATAGAACAGAATTGAAAGAACAGAAATAGTCCTCATGTATACTGTCTTTTAATATTTGAGAAAGGTGACATTTAAGTGGAAGGAGAGGAATTTTTTTTTTTTTTTAATGTGGGGACAGGCCAGGTGCAGTGGCTCACACCTGTAATCGCAGCAGTTTGGGAGGCTGAGGCGGGAGGATCTCTTGAGCCCAGGAATTCAAGACCAGCTTGGGCAACATAGCAAGACCTGTCTCTACTAAAAATAAAAAAATTAAAAAAAATTGATGCATGTGCAAGTAGACCCAGCTACTCAGGAGGCTGAGGTGGGAGGATTGCTTGAGCTCAGCAGATAGAGGTTGCAGTGAGCCGTGATCATGCCACTGCACTCCAGCTCGGGCATCAGAGCAAGACCCTGTCTCAAAATAAAATAAGGTATGGCGACAATTACAATAGCTACTCTTTATGGGAAAAAAAAAGAGAGAGGAAAAAAGGCTGGGCGCAGTGGTTCATGCCTGTAATCCCAGCACTTCGGTAGGTGGAGGCGGGCAGATCACCTGCCCTCCTCTGCAAGATTATAAAAATAAATTTACTGAGAAAATATTTTGATGTGAGAAGTGAGGTAGGGATACAGCTTTCTTTCGCTTTTGTTTTGAGACGGGGTCTTGCTCTGCGGCCAGGCGGGAGTGCAGTGGCGAGATCTCGTCTCACTGCAAGCTCCGCCTCCCGGGTTCAAGTGATTCTCCTGCCTCAGCCTCCTGAGTAGCTAGGATTACAGGCACCCGCCACCACACCCAGCTAATGTTGTTGTTGTTGTTGTTGTTGTTGTTGTTGTTGTTTGAGACGGAGTCTCGCTCTGTCACCCAGGCTGGAGTGCAGTGGTGCGATCTCGGCTCACTGCAAGCTCCGCCTCCCGGGTTCACGCCATTCTCCTGCCTCAGCCTCCCGAGTAGCTGGGACTACAGGTGCCTGCCACCACGCCAGGCTAATTTTTTGTATTTTTAGTAGAGACGGGATTTCACCGTGTTAGCCAGGATGGTCTCGATCTCTTGACCTCGTGATCCGCCCGCTTTGGCCTCCCAAAGTGCTGGGATTACAAGCATGAGCCACCGCGCCCGGCTGCAGTGAGGGAAACATTTCTAAGTAAATTCCAAATCCAAATCTATAAAGGAAAAGGTGGATATGTGTGATTTAAAAAAGGGTAAACATTTTTATAGGTAAAAATATTATTTGCAACATATGATATCATATGCAATATGATAAAGTTAAATTCCTCAATTTAAAAGAGTTTACATAAATGAGAAAAGATGAAAAAATTTTAAACGGTCAAAGAAAATAGTCTAATACAAAAAATACATAGCCAATAAACACAGAAAACTGATGCTAGATCTCCTGTTTAAAAAAAAAAAAAAAGGAAAAAAAATCCAAAAGATGCACAACCTCACTCATAATCGAAGAATTCTTAGCCAAAATAGGAGGCAATGTCCCTTGTTAAGACAAAAATGTTTAAGTCTGTTGACATCCAGTGCTATCAAGGATGTGGGGAAAAGACACATTTACACATTTGGAAGGAATATTATTTGGTGCAAACTTTCTGGGACACGATCTGGTAATATTTGTTAAAATATTATAT
This sequence comes from Homo sapiens, assembly GCF_000001405.40. Lineage (NCBI taxonomy): Eukaryota > Metazoa > Chordata > Mammalia > Primates > Hominidae > Homo > Homo sapiens. The sequence continues at coordinate 43,839,563 of NC_000017.11, forward strand.
GTACATGTCCTTTAGTCCAGAGGATATTTGGGCAAGCAGAATGGAAGAAAAGAGAAGCAGAGAGAGATGTTTAGGTGGATGAGAGCTTGGAGCAGGAGTGCTGGGAGAGGCTGCATCATAGGACAGGGCAGGTGCAGCCAGGGCGGAGTTGGCCCAGATGGCCGGAAGCTCAGGGCAGGAGTCGCCTCACCCAGCCAGGGCTCGGTCAAGGTGCTCGTTTAGAGCAGCTGCACAGGGAACAGGAAGATGAGCTCAATGCCAGAGGAATGAATGACTTTGGGTCCATCTGGACAGGGAGAAGAGACTTTACCAAGCATGCTCTGGAAAAAAAGAGAATGCCAACGATCCTTGAAGAGGTGACAGAGAGAATCTGCTTCAGGCTACAGGTGTGCATTGTCATTGCATTTGGCATTCAGCCCAGACACCATAGGGAACCAGAAATAATTCCAAGAGGAGCAATGGGCTAGTGCCCAGGCATGCAGCAAGAGGGCAAGTCAGAAGCGGGTGGAGAAAGGGCAGGCTCAGCTCCATTTACTTCTCAATGAGAAGGGAAATTACTGTACTGGGGTTTTGGGGTTTTTTTGTTTTGTTTTGTTTTTTGAGATTTCTGATAACTTTTCCTATTGTTTGTGGCTTTTGTTACCTATTTCTCTTATTTTTATTTTTGTTTTATTTTTTTGAGACAGAGTATTGCTCTGTCACCCAGGCTGGAATGCAATGGCACGATCTCAGCTCATTACAACCTCCGCCTCCCGGGTTCAAGCGATCCTCCAGCCTCAGCCTCCCAAGTTGCTGGGACTACAGGCATGCGCCACCATTCCCAGCCAGTCCTAGAATTCTTATGTTGTGCTTTTTTCAAATCTGCTGTCACTTTTTGTTCTTTCCAGTTCCCTGCCAAAAATGTCAAGCTTGACTTTTACCTCCTTGAGCACAGTAAGAATAGTTGTGTTAAGGCTGATCCTGCTATTTACAGTATATGGAGTCCCCACGGGTCTGTTTTGTTGTTTCTGCATATTCTTGCTTATTGAGTCTTCTCATAGATTTGGTTATCTTTGATTATATATTAGATGGTATTTGAAAAAACTACTTGTAAAAATGATCAGCTTAGGCTGATGCTATTTTCCTCCAGAAAGGATTTTTCACTAATATCTTTAAGGTACCCGAGGGTAGGGATGGGGAAGGTGCTGCCAGACAAGAGCCACTTTTAATTCAAGTTCAAAGCTTGAAGTTTCCTGGGACACCTAAATGACAGAAAGCTGGGTGGAAGTCCATGGTGGCCTGGTTTGTACAGCCTTTTGGGGTCCCAGCCTAATGTGACCAAAAATATGCCAGATTCCATTCCCTGCCCCCAGAGGGCCCTAGACTCCTAGTTCATCCTCTTCGCTGCTGCTTTGGAATCAGTAAATGCCCACAGGGAAAACAAGCACATACACTGAGCTTATCTTTCTGGCTTCCTGTCTACTTGCATGCAGACTTATGCCTGGGAACCCCCATGCTCTTTTTAGCTTTTCACTGCTTTTTTTTTTTTTTTAAGACAGTCTCGCTCTGTCACCCAGGCTGGAGTGCAGTGACATGCTCACGGCTGACTGCAGCCTCGACCCCTCAGGCTCAAGTGATCCTCCCACCTCAGCCTCCCCAGTATACTTTCTTTTTTCTTAATAAACTTTATATTTTGGAATAATTTTAGATTTACAGAAAAGTTGCAAAGATAGTACAGAGAGTTCCTGAACACCCTTTCCCCTGTTTTCTCTAATGTTAGCATCTTACATAATCATGATACATTTGTCAAAACTAAGACATGAACATTGGAATGTTATTATTAAGGAAATTCCAGACTTTATTAATCTTTCACTAGTTTTTCCACTAATATCCTTTCTCTGTTCTGGGATCCAGTCCAAGATAACACATTGCAGTTAGCCTTCAAAGTTTCTGAGAAGATTTGAAATTTACCTATCAGTAAACGTGGGCATTTACTGATTGAGCTCCTGAGGCATTACCAGTCTCCCATTACTGCCCTCCTCCATCATTTTCCCTGTCATTCCCCGAAGTAATTGGTTAACATAAAAAATTTGAAAGGGGCCGGGTGCGGTGGCTCACACCTGTAATCCCAGCACTTTGGGAGACCGAAGCAGGCAGATCATTTGAGGTCAGGAGTTTGAGACCAGCTTGGCCAACATGGTGAAACCCTGTCTCTACTAAAAATACCAGAAAATGAGCTGGGCATGGTGGCACGTGCCTGTAATTCCAGCTACTCAGGAGGCTGAGGCACGAGAATCGCTTGGACCCAGGAGGTGGAGGTTGCAGTGAGCCGAGATCGCGCCTGCTGTCTCAAAAAAAAAAAAAAAAAAAAAAAAAAATTGAAAGGGAGTTTTCAGATTTGTTTGATGGAGAAAGTTGAAAAATCGAGTTTGCAACCAGCTAGGGTAGGGAAGCTGCGAGGAGACTAGAGGATGAATGTATGACGGAAAACAAAAAGCATGGTGGTGGTCTACACTGTGCTACAGCAACTAGCAAACTGCAAGATCTCCGTGGCTAAACACAGAAAAGTCTATCTCTTGCTCATTCCAAGTCCGCCGCACGCTTGGTGGCTGTCCAGGGCAGCTGTCTTCCAAGTGGTAGCTCAGGAATCCAAATCTTCCTGTCTTGTGGCTCATTTGTCTTTGCCGGGGACACGTCTTCCCCACTCCTGATGTTTCCTTCCATGAGCAGAGAACCCCACTGGCACAAAACTCTTAGTCTCTCTCCACGCCTCTCTCTACGCCTCTCCACACCTCTCTCTACGCCTCTCCATGCCTCTCCACGCCTCTCTCCACGCCTCTCCACGCCTCTCTCCACGCCTCTCCACGCCTCTCTCTACGCCTCTCCACGCCTCTCCACGCCTCTCTCCACGCCTCTCCACGCCTCTCCACGCCTCTCCCCGCCTCTCTCCACGCCTCTCCACGCCTCTCTCTACGCCTCTCCACCCCTCTCTCCACGCCTCTCCACGCCTCTCTCCACGCCTCTCCACGCCTCTCTCCACGCCTCTCCACGCCTCTCTCCACGCCTCTCCACGCCTCTCCACGCCTCTCTCCACGCCTCTCCACGCCTCTCTCCACGCCTCTCCCCGCCTCTCTCCACGCCTCTCCACGCCTCTCTCCACGCCTCTCCACGCCTCTCTCCACGCCTCTCTCCACGCCTCTCCACGCCTCTCTCCACGCCTCTCCACGCCTCTCTCCACGCCTCTCCACGCCTCTCTCCACGCCTCTCCACGCCTCTCTCCACGCCTCTCCACGCCTCTCTCTACACCTCTCCACGCCTTTCTCCATGCCTCTGCTGATTTGATTGATGAATGTTGAAGGAGGAACAAGGCGTGTGTAACCCGGCTCTCTTCTTCCTTTTCTCTGGTGAGCTGGCCCACCTGCAAAAAGTGTGTGTTCTAAACTGATACACCACACCTCACCCTGAGTATTACGAGGATGGCCCAGCTCCACTGAGGAAAGAAGGACGCAGTTTTACCTGATTCTGGGGTTCAGCATTAGGTTCTGCCCACTGTCCTGTTTCCAAAACCGTGTTACTATGCCTGCATCAAGCTTATCCACCCGCGGCCCACGGGCTGCATGCAGCCAGGATGGCTTTAAATGAAGCCCCAAACAAACTCGTAAGCTTTCTTAAAACATTATGAGATTATTTTTTTAACTCATCAGCTATCACTGGTGTTACTGTATTTTATGTGTGGTCCAAGACAATTCTTCTTCTTGGCCCAGGGAAGCCAAAAGATGGAACACCCTGACCTACATAAACAATAAACATAACTTACACAAAAGTGCACTTATTTGTTCCACAGTTATTCATCATCTAAGACAGCAGTTCTCAACCCAGGGTATTTTTGCCTCTCAGTGGGATGTTTGACAATGCCTGGAGGCTTTTTTTTTTTTTTTTTTTTTGAGACAGAGTCTTGCTCTGTCACCCAGGCTGGAGTGCAGTGGCGTGATCTCAGCTGACTGCAAGCTCCACCTCCCGGGTTCACGCCATTCTCCTGCCTCAGCCTCCCGAGTAGCTGGGACTACAGGTGCCCGCCACCATGCCCAGCTAATTTTTTTGTATTTTATTTTTTTAGAGACGGGGTTTCACCGTGTTAGCCAGGATGGTCTCGATCTCCTGACCTTGTGATCCGCCCACCCCGGCCTCCCAAAGTGCTGGGATTACAGGCGTGAGCCACTGCGCCCGGCCTTTTTTTTTTTTTTTTTTTTTTTGAGACAAGGTCTCACTCCCATCACCCAGGCTGGCGTGCAGTGATGGGATCTCGACTCACTACAGCCTCGACCTCCCATGCTCAGGTGATTCTGTCACCTCAGCCTGTGTGTAGCTGGGACCACAGGTGCACACTGCCATGCTTGGCTAATTTTCTGTATTTTTTGCAGAGACGGGGTTTTGTCATGTTGCCCAGGCTGGTCTCAAACTCCTGGGCTCAAGTGATCCACTCACCTTGGCCTCCCAAAGTGCTGGGATTATAAGCATGAGCCACCTCACCCAGCCTGGAGACATTTTTGATTATCACAACTGGGAAGGGACTACTGGCATCTAGGGGGTACAGCTGGAGATGCTGCTAAACATCCTATAATTCACAGGACAGTCTCCCACAACAAAGAATTATCTAACTTAAAATGTCAACAGTACTGAGGTTGGGGAAACCTTGATCTAAGAGGAGCAAGTGACCCTCTTGGAGCAGCTGAAGTGATTTAGTCCAAGTCCAAACCGAGAGGAATTGGACCAGGGTGGCCATCGAAGACCAAGCAGCTCAGTCCCCTCATCCCTGCCACTGTACCTCTTGGGCACACAGAGGCCTTCCTGAGGATGTGATGAGGCTGTCACGAGCCCAGTGACCTGTCCAGGAGCCCTTGTGCCTCATTGCCTCTCCCAGGTGCAGTGATGGTGGGGCACCTCCCCATGCTTCTGGTGGGAAGCAGGACAAAAATATCCTCTCTTCTCAGATCCCCAGCCCACCACGGAGGTCTGTCTGTTGGCCCCATCTACCCCAGAGTGTGGCCTAAGGTGGAACTAGGTGCGAGGCTCATGCCAGCACCTCACTTTCACCCTTCTCCCCAGCCCTTGCTCCACTTCCCAGTCTGGTGAATCTGTTTCTAATGGAGTTCTTGAGCCAGCCTCCTGGGCTAGGTGTGGGGCTGGGAAATGGAGGGGAAGGACCTTCAAATATGCAGGAAGAGGGTAGGGATCCACTCAACATGCTCTTTATATAAATAAACATTTAATAACACCTCGCTTACTCTCCTAAAATGACAATCATAAATAATATGCCTTCACAAGCACTTACTTCTTTAAAATCACACTATAGTGCCTGAGCTATACTAGGGAGAAAAAATAAAAGGAAAGCAATTTATAACCAAATAACACATATTTCAATCTGTCAGTGCTCAGGTCCCATGACACTAGAAAGCATAATGAAGTGTCAGATGCTCGTCCTTGCATATAATAAATAAGTCTGAATTTAAGAAATGTAGAGGATCAGAAATTATTCTGTGTAAGGACAAAAATAAATAAATAGAAGAGCAAAGATATGCTATCAAATGCTAGAATAAGTATTACTTTAAGGCCGGGCATGGTGGCTCGTGCCTGTAATCCCAGCACTTTGGGAGGCCGACGTGGGAGGATCGCATGAAGCCAGGAGTTTGAGAAAAGCCTGACAACATAACAAGACCCTGTCTCTACTAAAAATAAAAAATTAGCCAGGCAACAGTGGTGCACGCCTGTAGTGCCAGCTACTTGGGAGGCTGAGGTGGGAGGATCACTTCAGCCTGGGAGTTTGAGGCTGCAGTGAGCTGTGATGGCGCCACTGCACTCCAGTTTGGGCAACAAGAGTGAGACCTGTCTCAAAAATAAGTAAATAAACAAATACTTTTTTTTCTTTTTTTAGATAGAATTTCACTCTTGTTGCCTAGGCTGGAGTGCAATGGTGTGATCTCAGCTCACCACAACCTCCACCTTCTGGGTTCAAGCGATTCTCCTGCCTCAGCCTCCCTGAGTAGCTGGGATTACAGGCATACACCACCATGCCTGGCTAATTTTATATTTTTAGTAGAGACTGGGTTTCTCCATGTTGGTCAGGCTGGTCTCAAACTCCCGACTTCAGGTGATCCACCCGCCTCAGCCTCCCAAAGTGCTGGGATGACAGGCGTGAGCCACCATGCTGGGCCATAAATATTTTTTAATCTGTGTTTTTTTAAAACTGCAAAAACAGATCACCTTTTGTAGTCTGTACATGTAAAAGAGAGTCAGGGGCTGAGATCATGGTAACAGTTTTCCCCACCGTGAACAGCTGGCCCTGCCCACTAAATGGCAGCAGTGCTTCGCAGTCATTGTGAAATTAAAACACTTCTCCCCACGTTACTAGACTCACACACACACAATCTTCCCTCCCAGAACCACTGAGTTAATGCTTCAGATATTAACCTGACAAGTCAGTAAAATTCCAACTGAACATTTGGAAGGATATATGCCAAAATATTAATGGTGCTTTTCTAAAGCAGAAGGGGAATTACAAGAAGCACTCCCTTTTTTCTTTCTTTCCTTTTTACGTTCTGTATTGTGTAAAATTTTGCTTACAACCTGTATGAACTTTGCAACCAAACCAAAAAAAAAGTCATTTTTGAAGCCAGTGTGTCAGAGCTCCCAGTAGTGTACATGTTTGTTTTGGTCCTTTCAAGGAGGATTCAAGTCTGCGATGGAGAAACCACCAATTCACTTTTTCAAATGCCAAAACAACTCCGCAGGCGTGGAGGAGACCTATCTTGCAGCGCTGTAGGCCCAAGGCACCAGGGAATCCGGTCCAGCTCAGCCCTACAGCTTTGCTCAGCCCCGTCTGCACCGCCGCCCCGTGGCCAAGGGCAGTACTGCGTCCTCCAAAAGGCAAGGGCGGAGGAGGGGCCAGGGGCCTTGCCCCAGGGGCAAGCTTCTTTCTGTCCCACTGACCACATGGCAGTCTGGTGAAGTTTATGGACCCCTCTCTCAGTATAATGGCGGGTAAATATATAAATAAAATATATATGCTGGAAAGAAAACTAATACTGGTGAGATGATTCTTAAAACTCTTTATAAATGTGTAATATAATAATAGCCGTTTCATTATTGTAAATAACCAGCTCTAGGGGCAGGTCTAGGAACTCATTGTTTTCCAAGCAGTGAGGGGTATACACGACGTTTCGAGATATCCACAACTTGATGTGCCAGTGTCTGTGATTGTAATTGGTAACAAAGTTGCAGGTACTGCTAACAGTACACTCTGAATAAGAGGAAAAGCTAAATATTAGAAGTTGATGAAAGTCAATATGTAACTTTTTCCCATGCGAATTCGACTTACAGACCCCTTAGGGCGCACGGACCACAGGTTAAGGCCCCCTTGAAGGGGCACGAGTTTAGGAGAAACTCTGGTGTGGGTTTTCAGTCCTGGAAGGTGAGCCCTGGGGTAGGCACGCGTGGGCGCTCAGAAAAGGGAAGGCAGAGGCGCCTCCCCGGCTGGGCCTGCGGAGGGATGACCCACACGCCCCTCCCCTCGCTTCCTTGGCCTGGTTTCACGCGACTAGAGAAAGTTAAAGACCCGTGTGACTGAAGAGGAGCTCACAGTTCCCAGCGTCTGCTCCCACGGTGTCCAGCGCCCAGAATGCGGCTTCTGGTCCTGCTATGGGGTTGCCTGCTGCTCCCAGGTGAGATGGGGAGAGGGTCTCGGGAGGGATGTGGGGCTCACCCTTGTGGTCTGCAGGGAAAGGACCTCTTGACTGACTGATAGCCCCACCCCACCTATCCTCAGCCTCCTCAGCCCTAGGGGAGCGGGGCGGGCTGGGGGTGGGGGGAGGTGGGGGTGGCGCCGGGGCCGCACTTGCTGTTTCTGGAACCTAGAGCCAGGTTTTCTCCAGACCTGTGGGTTTCCCCTCATGGCAATGTGGCTGTGAGAGTTGCTTTGCCTCTCTAATCTTAATTTTTCTACCCTGTGCCAAGCCTGGAGGCGGACAAGACACCCCATCTGGTTGCCCTGTTAAACTCAGCAAATATTTGTTGAATTTCGGCTATGCCTCTCCCCACAACCCTGAAAGATGAAGAATTATCACGTTTCATCAATTCTTTTGCTTTCTTTTTCTTTACCTTCTAACACTTAAAATCAGGATAAATCCTACAACTGATGTCAGTTGTTCAGTTGGCAATAGTGAGACCCCATCTCTACAAACAAACAAACAAACAAACAAACAAAATTAGCCAGGCATGGTGGTGCACACTTGTAGTCCTAGCTAGTGGGAGGCTAAGGTGGGAGGATCGCTTGAGCCCCAGAGGTCAAGGCTACAGTGAGCCATGAGCACCATTGCCCTCCAGCCTGGGCAACAGAGTGAGATCCTGTCTAAAAACAAAACAAAACCAGGCACGGTGGCTCACGCCTGTAATCCAAGCTCTTTGGGAGGCTGAGGCGGACGGATCACAAGGTCAGGAGATCAAGACCATCCTGGCTAACACGGTGAAACCCCGTCTCTACTAAAAATACAAAAAATTAGCCGGGCATGGCAGCACGTGGCTGTAGTCCCAGGTACTCAGGAGGCTGAGGCAGGAGAATCACCTGAACCCGGGAGGCAGAAGTTTCAGTGAGCAGACATCGGGCCACTGCACTCCAGCCTGGGCGGCAAAGTGAGACTCCATCTCAAAAACAAACAAACAAACAAACAAAACAAAACAAAACACTCAGAAACCCTGCTGGCTATCTGGCTGTCAGATTCTATCTGAATCTAGAACGCCACCCCTGCACCCCAATTCCTCAATGGGCCAGGGTTAGGGAAACAGCAACAGCCCTGCCCCAAGTTCCCCCAGCGTGGGAGGTTAGTAATGGCTCTTCCAAGGCTGTCCCCAGAAGGGATGACTGAGAAAAGCCTTCCTTCTTCCTCCTAAAATGGAAGCTCTGGCCTTGACCTTGGTACATGGAGCCTGGTTTTTCCAACCTCCACTCCTGCTCTGATTTTAGGTTATGAAGCCCTGGAGGGCCCAGAGGAAATCAGCGGGTTCGAAGGGGACACTGTGTCCCTGCAGTGCACCTACAGGGAAGAGCTGAGGGACCACCGGAAGTACTGGTGCAGGAAGGGTGGGATCCTCTTCTCTCGCTGCTCTGGCACCATCTATGCAGAAGAAGAAGGCCAGGAGACAATGAAGGGCAGGGTGTCCATCCGTGACAGCCGCCAGGAGCTCTCGCTCATTGTGACCCTGTGGAACCTCACCCTGCAAGACGCTGGGGAGTACTGGTGTGGGGTCGAAAAACGGGGCCCCGATGAGTCTTTACTGATCTCTCTGTTCGTCTTTCCAGGTAACAGATATCTCTCCTTCCCCAGGCTGGGGACAGGAGCTGCAGAGGGAAGAGGGAGGGGTGGTGGGGCATAATCCTGGTACCAACATTATGGGCACTGAGTCCTCAGGGAGATCATGCAGGTCAAGCACCGAGCAAGGCTTGGGGCACAGAAGGAGCCGCCTGAGTCTTGGCCATTGTCTCACTCTTGCTGCCCGAGGTCACACCAGTAGTAGATGTCAGAGCAGGACCGGACCCAGATCTGTCCAGGGCTGGGCTCGGCGCCTTTCCTTTCTGCCCAGGTGTGCTGGAGGGAGATTTCCATAGGCTGGGTACAAGATAGACATATCAGGGGATAAAGAAGACTCCTCGCCTGGTGTCAGAGATATTCCTGAGGCCTCCCGAGGCTGGGCCAACCATTGCTGCATTCCAGACCCAGCCCACAGCATCACCCTGGACATGCTGGCCTCGCCCTGCTTGTGCCCTCAACTCTCCCCTCCTGGCCTCCACCTCCCCAGATATTGAAGTCCAGCCACAGGTGCTAGAGTGCCTGGGAACCAGCCTCTGGGTAGGATGCCTGAAGGAGGGATCGTTAAATGCAGGGACACTAGGGGGCCGGGGCTGGAGCTATGGGGCCTGGGTAGGGGATAAAGCACCTCTCTGGGAGCCCAGAACCCCAAGTGGACCTGCTGAGCTAAGGAGAAAGAAGCCAGAGAGGGCCCAGGGGAGTGGGAGCCTTGGTCTGCTGGCCAGTGTGGGCGAGGTACATCTTTGTATCCCCATTTCACGGATGAGGGACTGAGGCTCCAAGAGACTAAGTGATTTGCCCAAGATCTCACAGCAGGAAGTGATGGAACTGGGATTCAAACACAAGTCGTTTCCAGCTTTGATGTCTGCTTTATTCCTCTCCTAGCCCCATAGCTGGGACCTATCCCAATCCCAGGCCCATCCCTACCACCATAGCCCCTATTTTTTTTTTATTCCTTTATCCATGGATCTTTAATTTGAGGAAATAAAGTTAAACTTGCCAAATAGCAGCAGCATCGAACCACATTGAATCTGTTCTTCATTATTTACAAGATTCTCTTATCTCTTCCAATTCTTATCAGTGTTCACATGTCATTTCTACCAGTTATGATCAAGTTCGCTTGTGTTTTAGGTTTACCCTCATTTGTAATTCTTTATTTGTGTATGACATGTGTATTGCTATATTATCGTCCTATATCGGACTCTATTGGCCTCTCTCTGATGGCAGTTGGGATGTTGAAAATGAAGAAGACTGACGACAGTGATGTGCTGGTAAATGTTTAACAGGCTGGGGATGCTGTCATTTTGTGGTGTTTTCCAATTTCTGTGGTGTCCATTTCTGTGGTCCAATTCCCATGGCCAATTTCCAGCCATCGACAGTTTAACACGATCTCACCAACTCCTGAAAAGTTAACAGTGAGCTCTTGTGAGTCAGTGCGAGCCATCTCCAGCACACCATTGAGTATGGTGAACCATGAGAAGAATTTCTAAGAAAGTCAGAAAAAGACAAATGTAGCCACTATCATTTCTTTTCTTTTTATTTATTTATTTTTATTCATTCATTCATTCATTCATTCATTCATTTTTCTGAGATGGGGTCTCACTCTGTCATCCAGACGGGAGTGCAGTGACACAATCTTGGCTCATTACAACCTCTGCCTCCCAGGCTCAAGTAATCCTCCTACCTCAGCCTCCAGAGTAGCTGGGACCACAGGCACAAGTCACTATGCCTGGCTACATTTTGGTTTTTTGTTTTTTTTTTAAGATGTGGTTTCGCCATATTGGCCTGTCTGGTCTCAAACTTCTGGACTCAAGCCATCTGCCTGCCTCAGCCTCTCAAAGTGCTGAGATTACTGGCAGAAGCCACTGTGCCCAGCCAGCCTACTATCATTTTCTTTTATTCATCTTTGCCTGAAGGCCCTAGGCAATGAAATATGCAAGATTAAGAAGTATAAGTCCCGGCATGGTGGCTCACGCCTGTAATCCCAGCACTTTGGGAGGTCAAGGCGGGTGGATCACGAGGTCAGGAGTTCAAGACCAGCCTGGCCAAAATGGTGAAACCCCGTCTCTACTAAAAATATAAAAATTAGCCGGGCATAGTGGCAGGTGCCTGTAATCCCAGCTACTCAGGAGGCTGAGGCAGAGAATTGCTTCAACCCGGGAGGCGGAGGTTGCAGTGAGCCAAGATCGTGCCACTGCACTCCAGCCTGGTCAACAGAGCCAGACTCAGTCTCAAAAAAAAAAAAAAAAAAAAAAAGAAGAAGAAGTATAAATGTTGGAAAGGAAAAGATAAATACTCTGTATTTGCAAAAGATTTGATCATCTACTTAGAAAAATCCAAGAATAAACTGACCTAGTGTTACAGATTGAGTATCCCTAATCCAAAAATGCAAAATACTCCAAAGTCCGAAACTTTTTGTGTGCCAGCATCACACACACAAAGGAAATGCTCACTGGGGCATTTTGGATTTCAGATTCCTGGATTAGGGATGCTGAATCGGCAGATATAATGCAAATATTCTGAAATCTGAAACACTTCTGTTCCCAAGCATTTTTGGATAGGGGATACTCAATCTGTAGAAGAGAAAGTGGTGGAGAAAGAGGGAGAGTCCAGGATGGCACACAGTCAGCAAGGACTGGGGAAGTGACAGATGGACTTGGGGAAGTGGGGACCGGAGTAGCTCCTGGGGAGTTGGTTGCATCAGGCTTCTGCCCACTGTGCTGGGCACAGAGGACAGGAATTTTTTTTTTTTTTTTTTTTTTTTTTGAGACGGAGTCTCGCTCTGTCGCCCAGGCTGGAGTGCAGTGGCGCGATCTCGGCTAATTTTTTGTATTTTTAGTAGAGACAGGGTTTCACGTGTTAGCCAGGATGGTCTCGATCTCCTGACCTTGTGAGCTGCCTGCCTTGGCCTCCCAAGAGGATAGGCATCTTGCCTTTAAGGAGTCTCAGCCTAGCAGGGAGACCCAGTACACAAGAAATTGCAGTGTAAGTGAGCATTAGCGCCACTGGAGGCACGCACAGGGGACTGTGAGTGCACAGAGGAAAAAGAGATTCGCTGCTTCCAGGGAAGACATTACAGAGGAGTTGACCTTGAGCTTGTGCTGAAGGACAGAAAGAAGTGCTTTAGGCAGAGATGGAAAGGAAAGGCATCGCACACAGAGGAACAGCATGTCCAAGGCACGGAGGTGGGCAGGAGGCTGGTTTAGTCGGGAATAGAGGATGACTCTATGGCTGGAGCACCGAACAGAGAAAGAGGCGAAGCTGACAAGGTGGTTCAAAGCCTCAAAGCCTGAGTTTTGTTCTTTGCTTTTTTTTTTTTTTAGAGACGAAGTTTTGCTGTTGTTGCCCAGGCTGGAGTGCAGTGGCGCAATCTTGGCTCACTGCAATCACCGCAACCTCTCCCTCCCGGGTTCAAGCAATTCTCCTGCCTCAGCCTCCCAAGTAGCTGGGATTACAGGCATGCTCCACCATACCCAGCTAATTTTGTATTTTTAGTAGAGAGGGGGTTTCACCGTGTTGGCCAGGCTGGTCTCGAACTCCTGACCTCACGTGATCCACCAGCCTTGGCCTCCCAAAATGCTGAGATTACAAGTGTGAGCCACCACACCCGGCCTGAAGCCTGAGTTTAAGAGGCCTCGAAAGGCATACTAAAAAGTTTGAACTTTGGCTTTTAGGCAATGGAGAGCCAGTGACTGTTCTAAGGCAGAGAGGGATGGGATCCAACACAGACTTTTGAGACAAAACTGGAGTAGTGTGAAGGGTGGCAGGGAAGAAGCAGGCTGAGAGGCAGGTGGGTTTGAGGCTCTGAGCTAGGCGCGAGGCCAGGGGGCTGCAGGAGTAGAAGACCAGGGATCTGCTGGAACCCGCCACGTGGCTCCTGGTTGGCCGAGGCGAAAGATGGCAGTGCTCTGTGCTGAGGTGGGGGGTAGGAAAACTGCCAGCTGCTCCCAAGGAAGGAAAAGGGGTTCAGAGCGGTGCCACCCCTGAGAGCAGCCTTTCCCTTTCCTCTAGGACCCTGCTGTCCTCCCTCCCCTTCTCCCACCTTCCAGCCTCTGGCTACAACACGCCTGCAGCCCAAGGCAAAAGCTCAGCAAACCCAGCCCCCAGGATTGAGTGAGTGAATGGCAATTCCGCCCCTTCCCTTGCCACCCTTCTTACAGAAGCAGCCAGTGAGTGCCTGCCTGGTACCAGACACAATAGTTTATGGCCACCTAGGTGTCCCCACAAGCCTGGGAGCTGGGTTGTCCAGCTGTGGAAGTGGAGGCTCAGCAGGGTTAGGTCACTTGCTCAGGGTCACACAAGAAGTGCCAGATCCCAGAAGTGGTCACAGCCTGACCCCAAAGCTCATATTCTGTCTGCGCCATCCAGAGTCTCGGGGGCAAGCCAGAAAGGCCAGGCCTTGGGCCCTGACCTCTGGACTCATCCTGCCACCCTGCCCTTCCTGGTCTCATGGCTGCAGAAGGAAGTCAAGGCCTTACTGAGGCACGGGTGGTTGGGGAGGGGGCACATGGTGGTGAGGGGAGGACCTGCCCTTCTGGTGAGGAAGGAGGTGACAATTGACTGGGACTGTAGGGGGAGGGCAGGAAGGTGTCCACTGAATGGTCACTGGAAAGGGTCATGGAAGCGGGGAAGGGGAGTGCTTATACCTCCTCACAGAGGCAACAAGCTGTGGGCACAGAAAGAGACTGAACATCATGCACAGCTGTGGGGTGTGCCTGATCTACGGTCTCCTTCCTCAAAGTGGCTTCATCTAGATCTGTTTGCTTACTGGGGTATCCTTTAGCTGGGGATGTTCCGAGAAACGGGTCCCAGGGAGGCTAGGGTTCAGGGGTCCAGGGTCAGAAGTCAGGGATGCTGGGATGCAAGGGTCAGGAAGGATGCTGAGGCATTGCTTTTGGACTTGTAGCTTCTCCTGGGCTCTACCCGGCAGCCACCACAGCCAAGCAGGGGAAGACAGGGGCTGAGGCCCCTCCATTGCCAGGGACTTCCCAGTACGGGCACGAAAGGACTTCTCAGTACACAGGAACCTCTCCTCACCCAGCGACCTCTCCTCCTGCAGGGAGCTCCCGCCCCCCCATGCAGCTGGACTCCACCTCAGCAGAGGACACCAGTCCAGCTCTCAGCAGTGGCAGCTCTAAGCCCAGGTGAGCCCCAGGTGACCAACATCCCCTTTCAAGCCATCACTAAACCATAAGGTGCCTTTGAGAAAATAGGAACTCAACACTCTTTCCTCTAAGCGGACGCATCCTCTTGTCATGGCCACAGCCTGCAGCACAGAGAGTCCCTCACAGGGGCCCTTGAGCAGTGGACAGCTTGTACTATAGGAGCCAGCAGCTCTGCTGCCTGTCCAGTGTGAAGGGTCCACCAGGATCCCAGTCCTGACCTCTCTCCCTGCCCCAGCCTCAGGGACGGCCACCCCAGTTCTGGGGCTTTTGCCTGTATACTTTGCACTAAGCCCTGTGCCAAACATGAAAACTCAGAGTCCAAAAGAAAACAATTTTTTGCCTTACAACTGGAGTCCCAGCCTGAAGGATTGGTTCTTGGGGGTTGTAAATGCACTTGGCTACCGACATCCAGGCAGCTGCTGGCAGGTTCAGGCCCTGCTGAAAGTGAATCCTGGGTTGGCAATGGGGGCGGGGATCCGTTCCACACCTGACAGGGCTGATGGGACATCGTGGTCCCTAGTGCCCTCTGATCTCCTTGGGAGAGAGAAAGGACATGGCTTGACTCACAGTAAGAATGCCAGGATGCCCCACATGCCAGTGACACCAGCCCAGATACAGGCCACCGGGAACTTCCCCACACACCACTGCATGACCTAACGAGTCGCTCATTGCTTCAGGTGTCAGTTTCTCCAGTGTGAAATTGATCCACTCCTACCTAGTTATACAGGGGTTGTGGAATTTAACAGCTAACATTGACGTGGTGCCTGGCATGTGTGTGGCACTGAACTATGCGCTTTACACATCCTCACCCATTTGATCCTCACCACAGCCATTTTACAGAGGAGGAAATTGACACCCTGGGAGGTTTAGTCACTTATCCAAGGTATAGAAAGGTGGTGGAGCTAGAGTTTGAACCTAGACAGCCTGGCTCCGGGGTCTGCGCTAATTACATAATGTTTGTCAAGAGCCAGTAGCACTAAATACCACCCCCCCGCACCACCACCCCCCACAAGTCTCTGCTGCATTGAATTGGATTCCACACTAGGGATTGGCTTTCTCAGCCTGTGCCTGGGACCCCCAAAGGACATAGACTCTGGCTTATCTGGTAACAGCCACTAGGCTCCTTGCGTCTCGTCTCCAGGGTGTCCATCCCGATGGTCCGCATACTGGCCCCAGTCCTGGTGCTGCTGAGCCTTCTGTCAGCCGCAGGCCTGATCGCCTTCTGCAGCCACCTGCTCCTGTGGAGAAAGGAAGGTGAGCAAAGGTGGGCGGCAGGAAGGCGGGAGGCTCACTGGGCCAGGGACCTCACTGAGACCTGCAGCTCCCCATCCAGCCCTGGAAAGACCCTGTGGGTCTCAGCGTGTCTGTCTGAGATATGAGCATCAGGAGCTGTGGCCTCCCTTCTGAAGGAGCCACGAGGTAGTCAACATTAGGAAAGTAATTCACAAGGGGAAATGGGAGAATGAAGGGTTCTCAGCTTCTTCCTGCCTGTCTAAACTGATCAAGCACTTCTCTACCTATTGATCCCAGGGAATTCATTGCCAGCTCCTTGTGTGGGAACCAACTGCCAGGGGCAGTGCAGGACCAAGCACTTGAATTTGAGCAGGACAGACATTGTAACCCCACTCCTGCCACTGGGTCTCTAGAGCTGCTCAGCCCCTTCCATAGGCTGGGGCTCAAATCCCAGCTCTGCCACTTTTTAGCTGTGTGACGTCAGGCAAGTCACCTAACTGCCCTAAGCCTCATTTACCTCAAATCACAGATATACATCAAACAGAAATAGAATACAAGCCACAAATGTAATTTAAAACTTTTGAATAGCCACATGAAAAAAAGTAAAAAGAAATGAGTGCACTTAAGTGTATTTTATTTTATTTTAATTACTTATTTTTTAGACATAGGGTCTAACTCTGTTGCCCAGGCTGGAGTGCAGTGGTGTGATCATGGCTCACTGCAGCCTTGAACTCCATGGCTCAAGCGATCCTCCTGCCTCAGCCTCCCGAGTAACTAGGACTACAGGCATGAGCCACTACGCCCAATCTAGTGAAGTTAATTTTAATAATGTACTTTATTTAACCCAATATATCCCAAACATTATCATTTTGATATGGAATCAATATGAAAATATCAATGATACATATTCTACTTCCATGTTTTTCATACTGAGCCATCAAAACCCAGTCTAACATGAAGTAGTCACATTTCAGTGCCTGATGGCCATGTGCAGCTCCCGGCTCCCGTGCTGGATGGCAAAGACTAAAAGGATTAACCAAAATCTCAGTAATAAGAGCTACCATGTGCCAGCCACTATCCCCAGCTTATCTTGCTTATCCCCTTTAATCTCCACACTGTGGAGTACACCCATTTTCCAGGGGGAGAAACTGAGGCACAGAGTGGTTAAGCAGCTTGCCCTTTGTTTGCATAGCTAAGAAGTGGTGGAGCCGGGAAGATAATCACAATGTCATACCCATGGAGGCGGCCACAGGGGAATCCTGGGCCTGCTTTCTGTCCCTTCCATGTGTGGCTCCTAGGAGGAAATGTGGGCTTTGTCCAGGTCCCCTCTGAAGAAGCCAGGGTGGGAGCATTCCTGGTCACAACCTCAGAGCCACTTAGCACCTTGCATCTCAAACTTTGATTGCCAGCTAGCAGCGGTGGCAACCCTTGGTAGCCTGTTAGAAATGCAGACCCTCAGACCCTCACCCCAGCCTACTGAATTAGACTCTGCACTGTACAAAAACATCCAGGGGGTCCTATGTGCACACTAAGGCTTAAGTAGCAGTGACCTTAGCACACAGATTTATTTTCCCAGCCAGTTTCTGACCCTCATGAGATAATCTCCATGCACTGATCTCAGAAGACTGGGTCATTCCCAAGGGGCTAAGCTGGAAGGGGCTCCTCTGCCCATCTGGCTGCCTCCTCCCTCTGGGAAGCCCCTGCTCCCGTGTGCAAGGGGGCCAGTCCACCTTTCTGGGAGCAGCTACAGGCCACTCCCGGCTACTCCTGGCTTCAAGGGGCTCCTCCTTCTACATCTCTTTCAGCTCAACAGGCCACGGAGACACAGAGGAACGAGAAGTTCTGCCTCTCACGCTTGGTAAGGACAGAGGCATATGGAAGCCCAAGCTCAGATCCCCTTGGGGCTGGAAGTCAAGATTCCTGGGCTTTGCCTCTGTGACTTCCTACCTGGTCCTCCTTGCCTGACCTAGAGGCAGCGCTTGCTCCCCACCTTGGAGGAATGTGTGTGAGCCCCAAGATCAGCCCTTCAGGGTGTGAGCCGGACACAGTGCCCATGGGGGACTCACAGGTGGGAACCTGATTTCCCGCCAGGTGCCAGGCAGGGTGGGCTCCAGGAGCCATGTGAGCATCTTCTCCAGGCGCCTTCTTTCCATCCCCCCTTTTAGAATCACAGAACATCAGAGCTGGATCCAGATGAAGCCTTTGAGATCTCTAGCCTGACTTTTCTCTCAGTTTGAAGCAAATCGCCTTTCAGAACGCCCAGGGGTCAGGGAGCTGTTAGAGATGCACTCTCCAGGGCCCCAGACCCAGCTGAACCCTCCAGGGGTGGGGTCCAGGGACTCTGGCAGTGCTACAAACTCTAGTGTGCTTTTACAAAAGATGAGACTGAGGCCCAGAGAGGGTAAAGGTCTTGCCCATGGTCACACAGCAGGTGGTGGCCCAAACAGAGAACAGGACCCAGATTTCTTGACTCCTGCTCTTCTCTTTCCAGAACTCCCTGATGTTTTCTCTGAGCCTGCCTTGGCTCTGAGACCAAGGTGGTGTGGCTGCTCTGGGACCCAGGCTGAGGGTGGTGCTCTGGGGACCAGGGGCAAGAGAATAAGGGTCCCTGTGCCCATTGTCTGGAGCTGGGAACCTGCCCCAAGGCTACTGCTGCAAGAAGAGACTGTGCCCTCCGAGGCCAGCACTCCAACGGAGGGGGCTGCAGCATCGCACTTCAGGCAACAGAAGCCCCTCCTGGCCCCTCCTCCCTCTGCTGTTTACTGAGATGCCTCCACTCCATTCCTTTAAACACAAGGGCAGGAAAGCGGAGCTACCATTGCCTTCTTTCCTGGCGCCAGTGAGGACAAAAGACTCAGGCCTGGTCACCCCAAGGAGGGTCTGGGGTGGAAATGGGACTTTGGGCTGTGGCTTAGGAAGCAGCTGTTGTTGTCTCAGGAAGCTCAACAGGGCCAAAGGTAGCAGAGGAGAGTAAGGGAAAAGTCATGGAGACACACGGATGGATGGACGGTGGGTGCCACTGGCCACCTCCAAGCCCGGCCTCCTGGCTCTGCGGGCTAGGGCCTGGGTCTCACCCCACCTAGCTCCAGAAGAGGGGCTGGGGTCCAAGGAGGCTGAGAGCGCCGGAACCAGCCACAGCTCCCATGCTACTGCCTTCTGGCAACCCTGAGAAGGGCTGCTTTGGGCTTTTTCCTGCCTGAGGCTCCTGACCCTGGCTCTGCTGAAGAGGGAGGGGACAGGAAGGGGCACAGGGCCAGCAGGCAGAGGGGCTCTAGGGGGCGGCCCCTTGTTGAGGGAAAGATGGAACAGGGCCTCCCAAGAGGGTCAGAGGCAAGAACCCTGTAAACACGATCAGGTGGGTGCTTCTGCTTTTTCTTGATTATTTCCCTTGTGGCTTCTCCATAGGATTTAGCAGAGTCTGGAGATGGAATTGAAGGGGTTTGGGGCTTTCTTTGTCCACATTCGGGTCAAAGAGGGAGGGGGATGCATTACTTATACTTTGAGAGGCCTCACAGGGGTGTGAAAACCCTGAGGGAAGTCTTAGGGGTCAGACCAGCATTTTCTTTCCCTAAGAGATCTTGCTAGAAGGACTGCCATCCATCCATTCGTCTGCCTCATCTTTTATTGAACACCTACTACGTGTCAGGGGCTTTATATATGCCAACGAATCCTCATCATTCCCATACGAGGTAGAGTTTAGTATCCCCTTCATTTTGCAGATGAAGAAATACAGGCTCAGAGAGAAAAGGGAAATTGCCCAGTGACCCAGCCTGAAAGAGGCAGAACTGGGGAGGCTGACAGGTCTATGGGGCTGGCTGCAGAGCCCTCTGCGTCCTCCACCCCGCTGCACTGAAGTACAAGGGGTTTGAGGAATGGAGCCAAGTTCGCAGCCCAAGACTCCTCCCCCAGACTCAGGAGAAAGACCCTGGGACAGCTGCAGACCCTCACTCCTGGAAATGAATAGCCTGCTAAGCTCCGATCAGAACTCAGCCCTGGCTTCCCAAGACTTCCCTCTTTCTTTATTAGGTTTATTACTAGTACCTAGAAGCAGAGCTCTGATATATATCTTGCATATTTAGCAACCCAGAAAATGCCTCCATGCTTGCTGGAACAGGGCCGATCGTCCACAGTGGAGGCAGAGGGGCAGGGGAGAGGTTGCAAATCACACCAGACTTGCGATAGTGGGCCTGGCTGCTGCCTAGGTGTGCCGTTTGGCCTCTGCACTGCGAGGCTCTTTCCTCAAACTCAGTCACCCTGGAACAGGTGACACTTCTGCAGCTGCTGGTGGTCCAGGGTCAGCAGTGGCTGGGTTAAAACCAGATTGCAAAGCTGTAAATATGGACTCATGGGTCTGATGTCAGGAGTCCTCTGGTGTAGCCCCAGGTCTGCCCTGCACCAAGGCCCCCTCTGTCCTCACCATGGGCAGGGCTAGGAGGGACAAGGGCCCTAAGTGGCAGCATTTGGGAATTGCCTTACCCCTCCCAGTGCCCTCATCCACCACCCACACTTCCCCCAAGGAATTCTGCTCTAATTCCTACCTTGTCCCCAGAAGGCTGAAGATGTCATCCCTGTGTTTCTTTTCTTTGGTATATATTTTATCTTTTTAATTTAAGGTTTTAGAGAAATGGGGTCTCACTATGTTGCCCAGGTTGGTCTCAAATTGCTGGGCTCAAGTGGTCCTCTAGCCTCAGCCTCCCAAAGTGTTGGGATTACAGGCAAGAGCCACCACACCCAGGCTTCATCTTAGCATTTCTAACAAGATTTGGCTCAAACATCTGCCTCTGCCCCCATCCACAGCAGCTAGGTATTGAGAGAAGCTGGGCCCCGGTTAGTAGACCATGGACACCGAGCCCAAGAGGAATGTGTCACACACCCTGCCCGGATGGCAGCAGGGTATAGGGAAAGAGCTTGGGTCTGCAGTCAGACAGTCTCCAGTATGAGTCCCAGCTCAGCCATGTGCCAGCTGTGTGATGTCAAGCAGGTTGCATCACCTCTCTGAGCCCCTGTTGCCATAGCTCACATAGTTGTAAATAGGAAAGAGTGAGATGATATACCCTATACATGCCCAGAAAATGGGAGCTTCTTTCTCTGGCATCAGTGCCCATTTGGCCATGGGATTCACTGTCCAGGAAACCCCAGGGCAGCCTGTGGCCTTGGGAGTCTTGGCTGGGGAGCTTGGCCGGCTCCAGCCTCTGCTCCGCCCACCTGCTAGGGCAAGGCCTGAGATGGACGGGCCTGGCGTTCCTGATCTGAGGACCCATGGGAGCAGCCAGGCCCGGGTCAGAATATGGGCTTCCCCACTGACCCTGGACTACCTGCTGTCTTCCCTGGGCCGTGGTCTCCTCATCTGATGGATAATGGATTGCTCAG
Organism: Homo sapiens; assembly: GCF_000001405.40. Taxonomy (NCBI): domain Eukaryota; kingdom Metazoa; phylum Chordata; class Mammalia; order Primates; family Hominidae; genus Homo; species Homo sapiens. Next base: position 43,860,669 of record NC_000017.11, read on the forward strand.
ACCCATCATCTCAAGAATGTTTCATGTGTCCCTTGTTATTCGACGAATCTTTGGCGTGTCCAACTTTGCTGTCTCTTGGCCTGTTACAAAGAACCTGCAGCCTGCATGATCTTTCTGCTTTAAAGGATAGAAAATAATGAAAACAAATAAGTCATTCCAGAATTTCTCATTGGTTGAGTGGTAGGATGCTATTATGAATATTATAATCCCAAAGGACAAATTCTTACCTAGTTTTACAGCTGAGGAAACTGAGCTTCAGAGAGGTGAGACAGCTTGTCCTTCCTTGGACAAGACAGGAAGGAAGGAAGTGGCAGAGGCATCCAGGAGCTTAGTATTCTCCCCTCCCGGCACCTCCCTGCCTTGCCCACCCCTCCCACGTTTCCCTCATCTTGCTTGGGCTTGGCTGGGCTAGCAGACCATCCCTGCTGCCAAGAACAGGCTGTTCTGACCAAGTCTCTGTTACAGCCACTGGGGAATGGCCGGGACCCAGAGGACGCTGTGATCAACCTTGCAGGGCCCATGGGGTCTCTCACCATCCCCGAGCCCTCTCCCAGCCTCTACACAGAGATCCAGTATCTAAGCCAAGTATGGACAGAAGGGCCCTGGGAAGGGAGGGGCTGAGGAGCCACCTTGCCTGCCTCCACTCTGACAATTAGAGGAAGTGGAAGGAGGCCTTTTCCTCAGCATCTGCTCCCCAAACCCCACACCCCCGCATCTACCCACCTTCCCCATTCACAGCCATAGGCCTAGCCCATTTCACCTGGGAAGCCAGAGCTTTTGACCTCACATCCTCTTTTTTTCCGGTCCAGAAAATTCCTGAATAGCTTGTTGGGAGTCACAGCTGACAGTGCTGTGGGCTGCACTGCCCTCAAGGCCACAACTGCGCCAGAACCCAGCCTGGGGCCTTGAGGGCACCCCGGGGGAGGGATGGATTGGGGTCATGAGAGGCCATGAATCAAAGCCTGGGAGTTCTGGGGAGTTGTTAGGTCCTGTGCCTCTGCAGATGGACGGAGGGCTGGAACTTGTGGAAAAGGCTGGGTGGACGCAGCAGCTACCTGGGGACCACCCCTCACACCTCCCACCCCTTCATCTGGGTTCTGCTCTCCAAACCCCACTGTTGTCTTTACAGACTGCGGAGGAAAAGGAAGCCCCTTCCCAGGCCCCTGAGGGGGACGTGATCTCGATGCCTCCCCTCCACACATCTGAGGAGGAGCTGGGCTTCTCGAAGTTTGTCTCAGCGTAGGGCAGGAGGCCCTCCTGGCCAGGCCAGCAGTGAAGCAGTATGGCTGGCTGGATCAGCACCGATTCCCGAAAGCTTTCCACCTCAGCCTCAGAGTCCAGCTGCCCGGACTCCAGGGCTCTCCCCACCCTCCCCAGGCTCTCCTCTTGCATGTTCCAGCCTGACCTAGAAGCGTTTGTCAGCCCTGGAGCCCAGAGCGGTGGCCTTGCTCTTCCGGCTGGAGACTGGGACATCCCTGATAGGTTCACATCCCTGGGCAGAGTACCAGGCTGCTGACCCTCAGCAGGGCCAGACAAGGCTCAGTGGATCTGGTCTGAGTTTCAATCTGCCAGGAACTCCTGGGCCTCATGCCCAGTGTCGGACCCTGCCTTCCTCCCACTCCAGACCCCACCTTGTCTTCCCTCCCTGGCGTCCTCAGACTTAGTCCCACGGTCTCCTGCATCAGCTGGTGATGAAGAGGAGCATGCTGGGGTGAGACTGGGATTCTGGCTTCTCTTTGAACCACCTGCATCCCAGCCCTTCAGGAAGCCTGTGAAAAACGTGATTCCTGGGCCCCACCAAGACCCACCAAAACCATCTCTGGGGCTTGGTGCAGGACTCTGAATTTCTAACAATGCCCAGTGACTGTCGCACTTGAGTTTGAGGGCCAGTGGGCCTGATGAACGCTCAGACCCCTCCAGCTTAGAGTCTGCATTTGGGCTGTGACGTCTCCCACCTGCCCCAATAAGATCTGCTCTGTCTGCGACACCAAGATCCAGCTGGGGACTCCCCTGAGGCCTGCCTAAGTCCAGGCCTTGGTCAGGTCAGGTGCACATTGCAGGGATAAGCCCAGGACCGGCAGAGAGTGGTTGCCTTTCCATTTGCCCTCCCTGGCCATGCCTTCTTGCCTTTGGAAAAATGATGAAGAAAACCTTGGCTCCTTCCTTGTCTGGAAAGGGTTACTTGCCTATGGGTTCTGGTGGCTAGAGAGAAAAGTAGAAAACCAGAGTGCACGTAGGTGTCTAACACAGAGGAGAGTAGGAACAGGGCGGATACCTGAAGGTGACTCCGAGTCCAGCCCCCTGGAGAAGGGGTCGGGGGTGGGGGTAAAGTAGCACAACTACTATTTTTTTTCTTTTTCCATTATTATTGTTTTTTAAGACAGAATCTCGTGCTGCTGCCCAGGCTGGAGTGCAGTGGCACGATCTGCAAACTCCGCCTCCTGGGTTCAAGTGATTCTTCTGCCTCAGCCTCCCGAGTAGCTGGGATTACAGGCACGCACCACCACACCTGGCTAATTTTTGTACTTTTAGTAGAGATGGGGTTTCACCATGTTGGCCAGGCTGGTCTTGAACTCCTGACCTCAAATGAGCCTCCTGCTTCAGTCTCCCAAATTGCCGGGATTACAGGCATGAGCCACTGTGTCTGGCCCTATTTCCTTTAAAAAGTGAAATTAAGAGTTGTTCAGTATGCAAAACTTGGAAAGATGGAGGAGAAAAAGAAAAGGAAGAAAAAAATGTCACCCATAGTCTCACCAGAGACTATCATTATTTCGTTTTGTTGTACTTCCTTCCACTCTTTTCTTCTTCACATAATTTGCCGGTGTTCTTTTTACAGAGCAATTATCTTGTATATACAACTTTGTATCCTGCCTTTTCCACCTTATCGTTCCATCACTTTATTCCAGCACTTCTCTGTGTTTTACAGACCTTTTTATAAATAAAATGTTCATCAGCTGCATATTCCATCCTATCAGTGTGTCTCAATTTATTTAACCAATAGTCTATCACTCGATATTTAATTTGCTTCCATTTTTGCTATTGTAGATAAGTGTGGGTGAAATTTGCCTGGGGGTTTATCTGCATTGGGAGATTTCTTTTCCTTTTTCTTTTTTTTTTTTCTTGGAGACAGAGTCTTGCTCTGTCGCCCAGGTTGGAGTTGAGTGATGCAATCTCAGCTCACTGCAACCTCCACCTCCCTGACTCAAGCCATTCTCCTGCCTCAACCTCCCAAGTAGCTGGGACTGCAGGCATCTGCCGCCACGCTCCGCTAATTTTCGAATTTTTAGTAGAGACGGGATTTCACCATGTTGGCCAGGTCTTGAACTCCTGACCTCAAGTGATCCGCCTGCCTCAGCCTCCCAAAGTGCTGGGATTACAGGCATGAGCCACTGCACCTGGCCGGGAGATTTCTTAAAGAAGGATTTGCGTGCATGGAAGTGCCAGGTCATAGGGAGTGAACATTTTTGAAGTTACTGATGCCTCTTGCTAAACAGCTTTCTGGAGTGGCAGCACCAATTTCACCCCCACCAGACCCTTGCAATCAGTGTTTCTTGAAGTCCTCTGCACCTGTCCCTGCTGGAAAGGCAGGAGAAACAGTTCAATAATGGCCCTGTGATCAGAACCTCGAGGGCCTGGGGGACTGGGTGGAGGTGGAACTGGTCTGATGAAGCTAGAGCAGCTCACCAGAAGGTGCCAGCCTGTGCCCGAGGCCTCTGGGTTGGGGTTGCACCAAGTACCTTCTCTGGGTGGACAGTGAGCTCCCAGGCCCGAACTCTGTGTGCTGCACCCAGGCTCCAGGCACTGTGTGTGCCAAGGTGTTTGGGACATAGGGAGCAGCAAGTTTCACATGGTCCCAAATCTTCTGCTGGGACCTGGGCACACACACTGTCAGAATGCACCCTAGAAGTGCATCAAAAGCAGGCTTCCCCCCTGAAAAATCCCTTGGCTGGGGTTTCCCTGGAAGGAAAGAACCCTCCTGTCCTCTGAATCTCTCCTCACCTACTGGAGCCGGGGCTTCCTGGGAACCAGGAGGTGGTCAGCTTGGCCATCCCACTCCCATCCCTCACCCATTTGCAGACTGGGCTGAATAAATTGACATATTCTGAGAGGCAGAGCTCTCTCCCAGGCAACCTAGGATTGGCATCCATGGAATTCCAAGTTTCAGTGGATTTATGAGACACATAAATATTACTCAGAGACACTCTCTTATTCCCACAGTACCACCAAGAGGGCCCAGCTCCCTCCTGACAGGTAGGGGAGAAAGACCACTCCCTTACCAGTTGACACTTTGCAATCCCCCATTTTGATACACCTTGGTTTGATGTTTGTACTTGAATACTCAGATCTGCAGTCTTTGGTATTTACGTGAGATTTTATTCAATCCCCTTAAACAAAAAGAAGCAACAAGTCACTGCTCACCTATCCTGAGAATGAGGGACTTTTGCTGGGAGGTAAAACTTCAGAAAAAATTGGAGGAACATCAAAGAATTGCAAACATTTAGTTTTGCCAAATTAGGACAGTAAATATAACAAAAATAACAAACTGTCACTTACCAGTCCAGCTATTTCTTTAAAAGAAACTTTTTTTTTTTTTTTTGAGATGGAGTTTTTGCTCTGTCGCCCAGGCTGGGGTACAATGGCACAATCTTGCTCACTGCAACCTCCACCTCCCAGGTTCAAGCGATTCTCCTGCCTCCTAAGTAGCTGGAACTACAGGTGTGCACCACCACACCTGGCTAATTTTTATATTTTTAGTAGAGACGAGGTTTCACCATGTTGACCAGGCTGGTCTCAAACTCTTGACGTCAGGTGATCCACCCCCTACGGTCTCCCAGAGTGCTGGGATTACAGGTGTGAGCCACCACGCGGGCAGCCAAAAAGAAACATTTTAACACCAAAATGGATTATTTAAGGCCTCTCTTCCCCACCTTACTCTTGACAAAGAATTGGAGATTATGATTCTAATCCATTGAGGTCTATTAAGGAGAAATTTGTAAATTCATCCAGGAAGTGGGTAAGGGAGGGGCATATAGGGGGAAAGAAAACAGACACAGAGAAGGTGGAAAGCGCCTAAGACATGCAAGGGGCTGTGATGTGCTTTGGGGGAGTCTTCCCAGGAGCAGGGAAGAGCTCCCCGCCAGTATCACTTCAAGGTGTGGCAAGCAAGCACCTGGGTCTGACAGCTGGGACGGCACCATGGGGCTGGATGTGAGTGCCAAGGCCCTGAGTCTGATGCAAAGCAGCAGATCTACCCATCTGCAATCACACATGGGCTGGGACAGAAGAGACAAAACCAGTGGCCCTTTCCTTACTGTCTTTCTTGCCTTTTTTTGGATTGACTAAGTTCTATTTTTGTTTTCTTATGCCATTCTTTTTCCTTCTACAGTATGGAGGTTATATCCTCTATTTTGAATCTTGAACTTTGTATTATACATAGGTTTTCAACAAAGACTACAGTTAATATCCTCACAATCCTTAATTTTTCCTTGAATAATATAGGATCCCCAAACCCTTTAACTCCCATCACTTGCTCCTATCTTGCAGACCATTTTCTTCCAGTTTTTAATTCTGTCCTTTCCCTCTCTTTTTTTTTTTTTCCAACAAACTGGACATCATTGTTAATTACTATTTTTAACAGCTTTATTAAGGTATAACTGGGGACGGGCACATTGGGTCACGCCTGTAATCCCAGCACTTTGGGAGGCCGAGGCTGGCAGATCACCTGAGGTCAGGAGTTCGAGACCAGCCTGGCCAATATGGTGAAACCCCGTCTCCACTAAAAATACAAAATTAGCCGGGCGTGGTGGCTCATACCTGTAATCCCAGCTACTCAGGAGGCTGAGGCAGGAGAATTGCTTGAAACCGGGAGGTGGATGTTGCAGTGAGCCAAGCTCGCACCATTGCACTCCAGCCTGGGCAACAAGAGTAAAACTCTGTCTCAAAAAAAAAAAAAAAAAGTATAGTTCGCATTCAATAAATTGCACGTGTTTAGAGTATACTATTGGATAAGTTTTGTATTATGTATATACCTGTGAAACAGTCACCACAATCAAGATAATGAATATATCCATTACCCCCAAAAGTTTTCTTCTGCCCCTTTGTAATCCTGCCTCACTCCCATCCTCATTCACCAGTCGATGGGTATTTGGGTTCTTTCCAGTCTGGGGCTATTACAAATTGAGCTGCTATGAAGATTTATGTACAAGTCTTTGCATGCTATCACTTCTCTTGGGTAAATACCTTGGAGTGGAACATCTGGGCCATATGGTAGGTATATGCTCATGTTTTCCAAAGTGGTCATAACATTTTGCATTCCCACCAGCCATGTAGAATTCCAGTTCCTCCACTGACACTCACTACTATCAGCCTTTTTCATTTTAACCATTCTAATAAATGTATAAACTGCACCAAGATTGTAGCTTTAATTTATACCTCCCTGATAACTAATGACTTTGAGCATCTTTTTGTGTGCTAATTTGCCATCCATTTATCTTCTTTGGTGAAATTTCTGTTCAAATATTTCATCTATTTTTATTGAGTTTAGAGAGCTCTTCATATATTCTAGAAATAAATCCTTCATCAAATATGTGATTTACAGTTATCTTCTCCCAATGCGTGACTTGTCTTTTCATTCTCTTAAAAAGGTCTTCTTAGCTTGCTGCACTGAAAAAGGGAAAAAAAGAAGTCTTTCACAGAGCAGAAGTTTGACATTTTGATGAAGTTCAGTGTGTCAATTTTTTCTTTTATGGATCATGCTTTTTGATGTTGTATTTAAAAAATCTTTGCCTAATCCAGGGTCACAAGGATTTTCTCCTATGTTTTCTCCTATAAGTGTTGTAGTTTTAGGCTTTACATTTAGACTTATGAATGAACTTGAGTTAATTTTCATATACGTGTGAGTAAAACAACTTCTTCTTCTTCTTCTTCTTCTTCTTCTTCTTCTTCTTCTTCTTCTTCTTCTTCTTCTTCTTCTCCTTCTCCTTCTTCTTCTCTCCTCCTCCTCCTTTCTTCCTTCATCTTCTTCCTTTTTTTGGGTATGGATATATCCAACTATTCCAGCACCATTTGTTGAAAAGTCTACCTTGTCCTTCCTCTACTGAATTGACATTGCACTACTTTGAAATCAGTTAAACATATTTGTGTGAGTCTGTTTCTGGCCTTTTCTGTTCTATTGACCTATTTATCTATCTTTATGCCAATACCACACTGTCTTGATTGCTGTAGCTTTATAATATGTCTCAAAATCAAGTAGTATAAATCCTCCAACTTTGTTCTTTATCAAAGTTGTTTTTGCTCTTTTAGATTTCTAGTATTTCCGTGTGGATTTTAGCATCAGCTTATCAATTTATACCAAAAAAACTTGCTAGGATTTTGATTGGGATTACATTGATTACATAGATCAGTTTGGGGAGAACTGACCTCTGAACAACATTGATTCCAACCCATGAATAACTCTATTTATTTAGGTCTTTATCTTAATTTGGGCTGCTATAACAAAGTGCCATAGTGTTGGTGGCTTCTCAACAACAGAAATCGATTTCTCACAGTTCTATAGGCTAGAGGTCCAAGATCAGGGTGCCAGCATGATCAGGTTTTGGTGAAAGCCCTCTTTTGATGTAGTGAATTCTTATAATTTTATTTTGCCTTGGCATCCATTTTACATATAAGCTGGACTTTCTCATATCAGAAGCAGGGCTTAGTCACCCTTCCAGCCACAGTTTCCAGTTCTCTGCCCTCTCGCAGTTCCTCAATATGGTCGATCCCAGTTCCTGCTTCATACAACCACTTCCTGGTGACCACCTCTCTATGAGACAGCTAGATGCGACCTACCTGACTTGCCCTACTGACCCTCTTACACAGGGACTGTGCAAATATGCCACAGTGACTACCTCGCAGTCACAGCATGACTCCATGGAACTCATGCCTGCTTGCTCTAAACCCGTCAATTAGAACTCTCTACGGGAAACTTGCTTGGGTAAACCCCTGGACTCCAATAAAGGCTTTGGCCCAAGGTCTGTCACCATCTCTCTCCTGCTCTCACTCACTGGTTGAGCTCCTTGCCACCTCCAGACTTCCCATTGGCAACCAGTAGACGCCCCTAATGTCTCTGGGACCTGTAAGTAATAAATTTCTTCTGTTTCATGCATTTGGGTTTCACTCTCTCATCGTGTCTCACCTGACCTACACACTGTAACTTAACTTTCCCCTGATTGGGGCTCTCCTAGAAAATTGCTATGTCAGACCGGGCGCAGTAGCTCACACTTGTAATGCCAGCACTTTGGGAGGCTGAGTCCAGTGGATCACTTGAGGCCAGGGGTTTGAGACTAGCCTGGCCAATATGGTGAAACCCTGTCTCCACTAAAAATATAAAATTAGCCGGGCATGGTGGTACATGCCTGTAATCCCAGCTACTCAGGAGGCTGAGGCAGGAGAATCACTTGAACCCAAGAGGTGGAGGCTGCAGTGAGTCGAGATCGCGCCACTGCACTCTAGCCTGGGTGACAGAGCAAGACCCAGTCTCAAAAAAAAAAAAAAAAAAGATAAAGAAAGAAAATTGCTGTCTCAGCTTATGGCCACTGTCAAGAGAGACCTTAAGACCAGATTAAAAGAAACCATGGGCCAGGCATGATGGCTGATGCCTGTAATCCCAGAGCTTTGGGAGGCCAAGGCGGGAGAACTGTTTGAGCTCAGGAGTTTGAAACTAGCCTGGGAAGCAAAGAAGACCCCATCTCTGCAAAAAATAAAAAAATTAGCCAGGCACGGTGGCATGTACCTGTAGTCCCAACTACTCAAGTGGCTGAGCCAGGAGGTTTGCTTGAGCCAGGGAGGTTGAGGCTGCAGTGAGCCATGATTGCACCACTGCACTCCAGCCTGGGTGACAGAGCAAAGACTCTATCTCAAAAAAAAAAAAAAAAAACAACTATCTTCCTCTTCAATGACACCTATGGAGTCCACTCATTAAAGATAAAGTGTTGGCTGGGCACGGTGGCTCACGCTTGCAATCTCAGCACTTTGAGTACTTTGGGAGGCTGAGGCGGGCAGATCACGAGGTCAGGAGTTTGAGACCAGCCTGGCCGGCATAGTGAAACCCCATCTCTACTAAAAATACAAAAAATTAGTCAGGCATGGTGGTGCACGCCTATAGTCCCAGCTACTAGGGAGGCTGAGGCAGCAGAATTGCTTGAACCCGGCAGGTGGAGGTTGCAGTGAGCTAAGATTGTGCCACTGCACTCCAGCCTGGGCAACAGAGCGAGACTCCATCTCAAAAAAAAAAAAAAAAAAAAAGAAGATGAAGTCGTAAGATGGAAAGAGGCTAGATCCCTGAATCAATGCTAGTAGCACCACTCAACATACATGAGATGTCATGTGAACAAGAAATGAGTAACAAAGTTATTAAGTTGCTGAGATGTGGTGGTTGTTACAAGGGTTGGCCCCTCCTGACCTTCTGATCTAATTGATCTGGAGAAGGGCCTAGGCAATTGTTTTTTTAACCCCCCAGGTGATCCTAACGGGCAGCCAGAATTGAGAACCACTGGATTGGGACAGAAATACAAGTGCAGAGTTGCTTAGTAGAGAAATACTGAGTTTCCAGGAATGCCCCAGGAAATGGGAAGAAAGTTGTCCAGAAATGAGAGGAAAAAAAGAGAGGACAGAGAGGACCCAGCAACATGGTGGAGGCAAGGGACCAAAAGAGAAGTTGACCAGAAAGACATTCTTTGTGCTAGGAATGGTCAGAGGCTCTTTGGAATAGAGGTGTTTAATAATCAATGCCAAATTCCCATCAGAACTATGAGGTGATATGAACCCCCATGGATGCTTTGGGGAAATCAAAATAAGGGTGGTTGCTCATCTGGCCATTGCAGGGAGAAGGGAACCGCCAAAGCTCCTGAGAATCCTCAGTGATCCCGAAGGAGTGGCACGCAGCTCCGCTGAATAACTCATTTAGGAAGAAAGCTGATCCCTTAACCCTGAAGGATTTGCCAAACATCGCCCTTGGGTGCTCTTTTGATGTCACCTATGGCCCCTGTTTCTGAGTACCTGGAAGCAATCCTAGTGTTACCACTGGGAGGGTCCATGACACTTTTACAGAAGATAAATCTGAAGCCCAGAGAGGTAGAGGGACCTGTTGGGGGCCACACAAGTTCCAGGTGGAGCTGAGTGAATTAGCCACAGCATGTCTGAGTCCTCGAGCCCCATGAATGCTCGCAGACACCTGGGTGCAGGCATTTTTTTTTTAATTTTAGATTTTTAGGGGGTACACATGCAGGTTTGTTACATAGGCATATTGTGTGATGCTGAGGTTTGGGTTTCTATTGAACCTGTCACCCAAATAGTGTACAGAGAACCCAATATGTCATCAATATGTAGTTTATCTTTTCTTTTCTTTTCTTTTGAGATGGAGTCTTGCTCTGTCCCCCAGGCTGGAGTGTAATGGCACGATCTTGGCTCACTGCAATCTCCACCTCCCGGGTTCAAGTGATTGTCCTGCCTCAGCCTCCCAAGTAGCTGGGATTACAGGTGCATGCCACCACACCTGGCTAATTTTTGTATTTTTAGTAGAGACGGGGTTTCACCATGTTGGCCAGGCTGGTCTTGAACTCCTGACCTCAGGTGATCTGCCCGCCTCGGCCTCACAAAGTGCTGGGATTATAGGCATGAGCCACTGTGCCCGGCCAATATGTCATTTTTCAACCCTTATCTCCCTCCTTCCTTCCCTCCCTCCCTCCTCTTATCATCCTCAGTGTCTATTGTTGCCATCTTTATGTCCATGTGTACCCAATGTTTGGCTCCCGCTTATAAGTGAGTACATATGGTATTCAATTTTCTGTTTCTATGTTAATTTGCTTAAGATAATGGCCTCCAGCTGTATTCATGTTACTGCAAAGGACATGTTTTTTTTTTTTGTTTTGTTTTTTTGAGACAGAGTCTCACTCTGTCGCCCAGGCTGGAGTGCAGTGGCGTGATCTTGGCTCACTGTAACCTCTGCCTCCCAGGTTGCAATACAAGCAATTCTCCTGCCTCAGCCTCCTGAGTAGCTGGGACTACAGGCACGCACCACCATGCCTGGCTAATTTTTGTATTTTTGCTAGACACAGGGTTTCACTATGTTGGCCAGCCTGGTCTCCAACTCCTGACCTCAGGTGATCCACCCGCCTTTGCCTCCCAAAGTGCTGGGAGTACAGGAGCAATTTCACTATTTTTATGGCTGCATTATATCCCATGGTGTATATGTACCATATTTTCTTTATCCAACCCACCACTGATGGACACCTAAGTTGATTCCATGTCTTTGCTATGGTGAATAGTGCTACGATAAGCATACAAGTGTGTTGGAGGCCAAAAGAATGAGGGTCGTGATCAACCCAGTATACCACTGGAGGCTATATGAGCAAACAGCAAACTGTTCTCATAATGCAGAATGTTGGCAAACTGACAAACTGCGTCTGCCACCCAGAAGGAATGCTGAGGGCAGTCACGCCCCAGGCGCAGTGTTTGTGATTATCTACAGGCACACCTGAAGCCTGTTAGCAATTATGTGAACCTGTGATAAATCAAGCAGCTGACCAATGGTTACCTGCTCTTCCCTACTCTTTCTACCCAATAAATATGGAGGGCTGTGGAAGCTTAGGGCCCTTGCTCACTAGAAGCAAGAAGCCCCCAACCCCTTCTTTAAAACAGATTCTTTTGTCTTAAGTTTTCATTTCTGCGTTCATCCTCTTTTGTTCAGTCCCATAGTAACTGTCACAAGTGGTGCCCAAACAGGGATGAACAGGGATAGGGACAGACAGGGACAGATAGAGACAAGCAGGGACTTGCAGGGACTCGTAGAGACTAGCAGAGACAGACAGGGACAGACAGGGACACGAACGAGGAGGGTCCGCTGGAGCAGAGAAAGTGAAACTGGCCAGACGAACGAGAAACCCCAGAACGAGTCTGCTGGCAGTGGATATAAGGTCAGTGCCCTAAAAAAGTACTGGGATATAAGGTCAGGTCCCTAAAGAGGTACTGGGAGCGGGAAGTTTCTGAATCAGGGTAACATGGGGCAGAATTTGTCCATTCTTTCTGTTTTTTCTGTTTGGGGTTTGGTCTGTACTGTCCTTTTGTCATTATTTCAAAATTTGAAAGAATTTTTTGCCCCACCCACAGCACCTATCAAGGGCGGTGAATAGGAGAGGGAGGGTGAAGATTGGCCTGTACCGTCTTCTTTTGTGGCTGCAGAAATACTAACTTTAACTTTGGCTTTGAGAATGCAAACGTGGATTGTAAGCATGCACTGGCACCTGTGAGATGTACAAGAAGCTTAGGAAATTTTCTCAGAGCTTGTCAAGATGTGGGAATTGAGCTTCATCGCTCTACAATGTTGGCTCAAGCAATGGCTAGTTTAGTAGTTGATAAACCTAAAAGGAGCCAAGGGTCAAACCCTAAAGTGGGAAAGTGTTATAATTGTGGAAAAATTGGACATTTCAAAAAAGAATGCCGTCAGATCTCTGGAAAGAAGGGATCTTATAATACAGTTCCCTCCCGCACAATAGAAAAAAACACCAGGACTTTGCCCTCCTTTGCAATAAAGGAAATGATTGGGCTAATCAATGCCATTCAAAATTTCATCAAAACAGCACCCCCCTGTGGGGAAATGAGAAGGGGGCCTGGATGTGGGCACCTCAAACAATGAGGGCATCCCCAGTCCAGCCCACAACTCCGTTTCAAGGGTGGGTTTCCGGAGGCACATTGATTCCCTCTCCCCAGGAACACCTGGAAGCACAGGATTGGGTCTCCCAGTCAAAGAATGTGTTACTTTAGTTGGAGGAGACAAATCCACGAAGATTCCCACTGGGATTTGTGGACCTTTGCCAACAGGATACATGGGATTAATTTTAGGCAAAAGCTGTCTTAACTTACAGGGCATTACTGTAGTCCCAGGAGTTGTTAATTTGGATTATGAAGGAGAAATTCAAGTAGTGGTAATGTTACAAGATCTTTGGGTTTTGAACTGGGAGAATATATTGCTCAACTGTTGCTTATCTCCTGCAAATTACACCCTTCTCCACGAAAGAAGAAACAAGGGAATCAAGGATTTGGAAGTACAACTCGGAGGGACATTTATCTATCACAACCAATAGCATCTAGTAGACCCACTTGTGCAGTGCAAATTAAAAGTTTTGTGGGCTTATGGATACGGGAGCAAGAGACTGGCCTCTGGCAGTAATGGATCTTGGAGATTTTTTTTTTTTACTATACCTTTACACGAGAAGGATAAGCCTCGATTTGTTTTCTGTGCCTTCTGTTGATTGGAGAAAGCCTGTTTCTCATTATCAATGGAAAGTTTTACCCCAAGGCATGCTCAGCAGTCCTACGTCATGTCAGCATTTTGTAGGAAAAGCATTAAGGAACCTCAGAATATGTTTCCCACTGCCTATAGATTTACTAACGTGGGGACGAGGGTATGCTTATGTTTTTATAGGAGATGGACAAACCATGTGGGTGCCCTCAAGGTGTGTGCAACCATGGAACAGGAGACTGGAGGGACCCATGGATCCCAACCATGGGCCTGGTTCCCCTGGTATGAGCCATGAGCCAGTTGAATCTGAGTGCAAAGACAGAGTGAGGACTGACCAGAGTCACACTGACATCAACCCCCATAACATGAGGACAGATTTTGTTCAATTAATGTAAAAACAAAAAGGGGGAGATGTTGGAGGCCGAAAGAATGAGGGTCATGATCAACTCAGTATACCACTGGAGGCTGTATGAGCAAACTGTTCTCATAATGCAGAATGCTGGCAAACTGACAAACTGCGTCTGCCACCCAGAAGGAATGCTGAGGGCAGTCACACCTCAGGCGCAGTGTTTGTGATTATCTACAGGCACACATGAAGCCTGTCAGCAATTATGTGAACCTGTGATAAATCAAGCAGCTGACCAAAGGTTACCTGCTCCTCCCTGCTCTTTCTACCCAATAAATATGGAGGGCTGTGGAAGCTCAGGGCCCTTGCTCACTAGAAGCAAAAGCAAGGACCCCTTCTTTAAAGCAGATTCTTTTGTCTTGTTTTCATTTCTGCATTTGTCCTCTTTTGTTCGGTCCTGTAGTAACTGTCACAAGTGGCGTACATCCTCCTTCATTCAGTCCCATAGTGACAGTCACACAAGTGCAGGTATCTTTTTGGTGGAACGATTTCTTCTCCTTTGGGTAGATGCCCAGTGATGGGATTGCTGGAATGAATGGTAGTTCTATGAGAACTCCCCAAACAGCTTTCCACGGGGGCTGAACTAATGTACGTTCCCACCAATAGTGTATAAGCACTCCCTCTTGTCTGCAACTTCACCAGCATCTCTTATTTTTTGACCTTTTAATAGCCATTCTGACTGGTGTGAGATGGTAACTCATGGTAGTTTTGGTTTGCATTTCTCTGATGATTAGTGACGTAAAGCACTTTTTCATACATTGTCACTTGTATGTCTTCTTTTGAGAAATGTCTGTTCATGTCCTTGGGTACAAGCACTTAGAAGGAGCATCTTCTGGGGATGGGGGAGTGTGCAGGGGCAAGACAGAGGAAAGGAAGACATCGCAGAAAACAAGACATGTTGCTCTGACTTCCATTCTAGTAGTCATCTGTGCTGTGCTCCCCAGCTCTCACTCTCTCCCAAAGCCATCCATCCAACCCCAACCAAAGAAAAGCAGAGCCAGAAGCCTTTGCTTTCACATTTAATCCAAGGAAAAAGAAAGAAAACCAATCAGTGAGAAAACTCAAGAATTGGATGGCTGAGGGAGGGAACAGAGGAAGCGCACTGGGGCTGGGACTGAATATGGACAGTGGATGGTAGGGTCCTCACTCTCTTGAGGTCCCTCAAATACAAGAGTCCACAATGGCAGGGAGGGAGAACAGAGTCATAGAGCTGTGGTGGGGGCACACACCTGTTCCAACCCAGCCCCAGCCCTGTTCCAGGTGAGCCAAGGACTGACAGCCTCTGCTAGGTACCTGGGAGGGCTGTGGAGTGAGGGCTCAGGCAGGGGAGGTAGGAGGCTGCTCAGAGAGGAAAGACCGAGAAGAGACAGGAGGGAAGGGCCCCAGGCCTGCCCCTTGAGCATCCCTAGCAGTGAAGGTGCCATGAAGGCCAGGTACCCAACCCATCTCCATCAGAGATGATGGTCATTTGGATCAAGGGGGCAGAAGCAGCTGCAACAACAGATCTTCCCCTGCCTCTACCCTCAAATCCCCCAGAGAAGGTAGGAAATGGCAAGTGACCCTATAGCCTCAGGTCAGCAAGAAAACACCCCATTTCCTTCCCACTCCCTTAGGCTGAGGGTGATGCAAGGCAGAGCTGAATCAGGATGAAAGGACACTGACTAAGGGAAAAGAGGAGCAGGAGAATGAGTGTGTAGTATACGCAGAGCCACACCAACGAGATGGGGGCAGGCCTGGCCTTTCCACCCCATGTGTATAGTCTATGCAAATGCAAATGAGATTCCTAGTATAAGAAATATATTCTAACATTTGTAATAAATATTCTGTTTATTCTCCTTCCCCTTCCCTAGGAAATGGGCACACAGTGGTTCAGGGGCCAGCTTTGGCTGACGCTGCAGCGAAGACTAGTTAGACACTTGGAAGAACTGGGAGGCACAAGGGTTTGGACTCAGGGTGTCACAGGTTGTCCCCTCTGAGGACAGGCTCCCCCCGGAAGGAATGCAGAGAATAATGAAGGATGAGATGCCCAAGTACATCTAGGACAGCATTCTTTCTTAAAGGGAGTCTCCTATTTTACAAAACTGCCCTCCCCAAGTTATGGCAGGGGGGCATTTAGGGTAGGGGGACAATAAGACAAGGGAGGAGACATCAGGAAAGGACCAGGGCTTTGGAGTCTGGGATCAGGGTATTATAAGAAATGAGGGCTGATGGGGAACCCCCAGAAAGGGGCCCCAAAGAGTGACCTCCAAAACAAAACCCTTTGCTTCCTCCCCAAATTAAACCTGACACACACACACACACACGCACGTGCACACGCACACACATACACACAACCTGGTGCCAGAGGCACAGACAGGTGCCGAACATGCACGTGGAACCACAGGTTGTACAGACTACAGTGTAAATGGCGCCTCTGGAGTTGTGTGTGAGGAACCTCCTGGAGGGCAACTGTCCTTCAAGCCCAGGCTCCCAAGGTCCCCTCTGCACTCCTCCTTAGCCCCTCCAACCCAGCAGCCCTGATGCAAGTGGGCTACCTGGACCTGGCTAGACAGAAAACCAAATGGACCAAGGTCAAGGACATAGAGCTCAGACCTGTGCCTGCTGTGGGCCATGGAGAGCTTGGGGCTCTTCAGTTGGTAACAGCAGGTTGTCACAGGGCTCAGCCCTCCATCCTGCCCCTACCTGGGCTGAGCCCACTGGCCCCTGCCAGCCTGGCCCTGTGGGGAGCAGGGCTGACCTGTCAGGACACATTGGAGAAATCTGGAGAAACTTCGGCAGTGAGAAGCTGTGGATGAGGGAAGGACCGAGCAGCATCTGCCCTGCGACCCTGTCCCTTTCCAAAGGAGCTGGGAGCTGCAGTGCTCTGCAGCTGTGGCCACTAGCTCTCACTCTGACTCCTCCAGCCTTCAAGATGGCACCAGGCTGGCACCACCACCCGGGCCTGCCTGGCTGCCAGCGGGCCACACATTCCCCTGGTCACACGGAAACAGCCCAAGGCCTGTTCCTCCGACACAGGGGTGAGAGGTGGGAGGAGTCCAGGAATGGGGTGGGTGTGGCCAGTCCAGAGGAGAACTGGTGACTGGGGAGGGGTGGCAGGGGGCAGTGTGCCTACTGACCATGTGGTCCCAAAGCAGCTTTTCTCTTCTCTGTACTGACCATTATGGAGGTGACTCTGACACATTCCTGGGCATAGCTTGGCCCTCAGAGATATCTGGTGACCAATGGGCATCAGGAGTGGGCAGCACCTGGGCACAAGGTACCCCATGAATGCCCACCTCCCTGGCAGTGCACGCCTCTGTGCTGAAGCCAGACTTAGGGCCTGCTGGGAGCTGTTACCCAAGGACAGCCAGATATGGGGGCTAAGGATTGTGGCAGGGGGTCACAGGTCAGGAGGGGGATGGATTCAGGTTCTGGGTTTCAACACAGAGTGAGCCAAAGACCAGGTGAACAGGCTCAGTACACCCAGCTGACAGGCACCCACTGGGGCTCTGTCCGTAGCTTCTCCATGGCTGTCTGGAGCTCGCGGAAGGTCCTCTCCAGGTTGCTATTGACCAGGCAGAGGTCAAAGTAGTGCCCGTAGCCCCGCTGGATGCGGCTGCTCTCCTCCACTGTCCGTCTCAGGTCCGCCTCCTGCCCAGGCACAAGGGGACCTCCCTACAGTCAGTGCCCACAACTCACCCCCACTGTCAGAAGGAGCTACAGCTGCCCCCACTCCCCCTCCCCAAAGCCCAACCCTGGTGTGGACTCCCTGGCTAGGGAGGCAGGGGCCCCTCTCTGCGTGCCTCAAAGTGGCTCACCATCAACCACAGATGGTGAGTGAAAGGGAGGAAATAAGCTTTAATAACTGCCAATCACACCCCTAAATGCTTTGCATGCCACATAATCTTCACTACAGCTCTGCAAGATAGGATTAATTCTTTCCCATTTATAGCAGAGAAAATGAAGGTATAAAAAGGTCACATAGCCAGTCAGTGGCTAAACAGGGTCTGCCTGACTCTCAAGCCAGTGCTCCCTCAAGTCTGACTAGGCTGCCTTACCTATGCAGCTAGACAGGCTGGTACCAGGGCAATCCACAAGTACCCAGGGCAACCCCACCCTCGACCCAGTGGAAGCTGGATGGGCAGGGGTGAGGAAGGGTACTTGACAACTGACTTAAATAAGCTGAAGCTAGCTGCATCCCAACAGCTCCAGTTGGCCACACCTGTTGCCAAGGAGGAGGTGCCCAGAATGGGGATCAGGCAAAGGTCCAGAGCTCCTTAAGGGGGTCATTGGCAGAAGGGTGCCAGCCTAGACAGCCTCTCCTGGGCCCCAGGCACGCTCTGACCTGGGGCCGGAATGCTGCAGCACCAGGCATGGCCAGCAGAGGGACCCCTGCGCTCAGAGCGCCGCAAACCCTCCACCTCCTGGGAAGGCGCAGCAAGACATAGGAAGGAGGATGGGGCTGGAGTTCTGCAATGAGGCCTTGAAGCCTCTCCTCCAGGCGCTGCCTGCTCCCTGACGCTGACTCAGCCCTCCAGCCAGCCTTCCCGCCTCTGGCTTTCTCCTACCCTTCAGCTTTCCCCCAGCTGTAAGCAACCCAAGCTCACCTGGCCCACCTCCAGCCCACCTCTCCCAGTTGCCCTCGGGAACTCTCTCTGGCCAGCACTCTGTCTCTGCAGAGTGGGCTGAGCCGGGGGCCTTGAGTCAGAAGCACATGTATCCCAGGCTAGGTGTGTGCCTGGCTCACTCTGAGACTTTGGACTTCCTCTCTCAGACCTCCCCTTCCACATCTATGCAGGGGGGACCACGTCCTGCCTCACTGATAACTGGAGCAGGCCCCTGTCCCTCCCCAACACCACCTCCTTCTCTCTGTCAGCTCAGGCCTGTCCCCCACCACCCTAGGCAGCTATCAGACCCCTCCCCCACACCTCAGAGCCCTCACCGTGAGCTGCTTGGTGGATATTCCACTCTCCAGCGCAGCCCTGTTCATGGCCCGCAGGGTCTCGAAGTCTGGGGCCTCGATGAACACCACGTAAGGGACAAACTCGGCCGTTCGTAGCACCTTCACCGCCTGCAGAAGGAGAAGGCAAGGTAGGGAGTATATCCCCATGTCTGTCCTAGGAACCAGAGAAAGGCTGTGAGGGTAACTGGGGTTGGGGTGAGCACTTGGGAGTGGATGAGAAAAGGGTGCCCGGGGGTCTGGGACATGAGTCCTGGGACAAATGACAAACAGCTGGCAGGTGGCTGGGGTGACTGGAGGAGACTAGAGGAGGAGTGGGGACTCTGGAAGGCTGAGAAAGGTTCCAGGTGGGCTGGGTTTCTAGCAGTAGTTGAGGGCAAAGGGGGTACATGGGCGTGTTCAGGTGACAGGTGTCTGGAACTATATGGGGGAGCAATGAGGCAGCAGAGAGGACATTGGGCAGGCTGGGAAGGAGCAGAGTGGCGGTACCTGGGGGTTGACATCCAGCACGCACACCTTCCCAGCAGCGACCACGCCCCGGATGGAGTCAATACGTGTGCCATACAGGTTGCCCTCGTATTCGCCATGCTCCAGGTAGCGCCCAGCACGGACGTCAGCCTCCATCTCCCCACGGGACACAAAGCTGTAACCCTGACCTTCCCGCTCTGAGTCTTTCGGCCGCCGGGAGGTGTCTAGGGGGATGGGGGTAGGTTGGACCAAATGGGCAGGGGCAGGTTACAGTGCCTCAGACACATATATGCACCCCTACCCAGGCCCCCGTTTCCCAGCCTTGGAGGTGCAGTCTGCTCCCCATCTTGCCAGCACTGCTGCCTTTGCACACACCTGCCCCCCACTCTCCCCATTGGCACACACAGAGACATGAGCTGGTAATCATGGTCCAGCCCAGAGCCCACAGAAGAGAGGCTGAGGTCCAGAAAGGGCAATGTACAGCCCAAAGCCACACAGCAAGAGCCAAGCAGACCAGGGCAGTGCTCTTAGTCCTGCCTCTGGCAGCCAGGAGCTTCCACCACCCCCGCTGTTTCTGCCACTAAGAAGCCCTGTCTTCCACAAGGCTACACACATGCAGCTCGTAGCCTGTTTCACCCGGGTGCACAGCTGGGCACTCACTTTCTTCATGGCTTTTAGCAAGTGAAACAAGAGAAGGAAAGTGGACGCCAGCCCAGCCCGCTAGGCCACCTGTTGGCTGGACACCTCCCTCACCCTTCCTGAGCCTGAAGTTCCCCTAACCACCCACAGAGGGCGTGCACCCCAACCCGTGTACCCAAAGGTACCACCTGGCCTGGTGCCCATGAAGATGCCCATTCGGTGGGCCCAGCCCTGGCCCCAGGGGAGCCCTGCTCCTTGTCCCCAACTCAGCAGGGCCCAGCTCCCACTCACAGGGCACCGTGGTGCCATAGCGATCTGGATCCCACATGATGAGCTTGTTCTTCAGGCTGCGCCGTCCCACGCCCTGAGCCCCAATCAGTACCAGGGTTTTCCGGCGGAACGGGGGCATGCGGGCCACCTCCTCATAAATGAGCAGCTCATGACGGTCAAACTCTGGACACAGGGAGATGGCGCTGCTCACCAGGCTGCACGGTGAGGGAGGGGCGGAGCTCTCAGGGAGGCTGAGGGCAAGAGGGCTTGGAACAGGGGAGCAGGGGGGAGTCGGGCAGGGCCTAGGGACACGGCTGGCAGCATCTGAGCCAGGCACACGTCGTCACAGGTGATGGGTGGGGACAGGGAAAGGCATGCCATGTTAGAGGAGGGTAAGGGAGGGGGCGCTCTGATACCCACCTGCATTCTTGGTGGTCAAATACATCATTCGCTTCTTTTTCTTTCCTGAAAGGCTGCCGCATAGGGTCCCTGGCCATAGGGAGATGGGTGAGTGAGGCAGACAGGGCCCTGTTGGATCCCAGATTGGAGGTGTGGGGTAGGGGGGACCTCCTACCTGAGTTTGGTGTCAGCTCCAGGTCCCTCTTGACAAATGCTTTCCGCTTCTCCTCCAGCAGCTGGCTGGGAATGAGCCCAGCACTGCCCCCTTCGACATGGCATGCCTAAAACGGACATGAGACCAAGATCTGCCTGAGCAAGAGGACCCCTCCCTGTGCCCTCGCCCTCCCATGCACCATACCTGGAGAGATGCGGGGGTGCCCGCAGCTCACCTGCCACCAGTTGGCATCATCCTGGTTTACGATCTGGAGCAAGTCCCCGGCGTTGAAGCGCAGGCCTGCTTCCTTGCAGGGGATGAGGCTGTCTCGGGCCGGGTCATAGTCAAAGTGACATTTCACAAATACCTGGGCCCAGGAATCAGCAAAGGGTCGGGGGAAGGGTCAGCAGAAGGCTGCAGGTGGAGGTCTACCCCATGCCCCCTCTTTTCACAGAGACTAAGGGGCAATGGAACTGTCCCCCTGCAGGAGTGATGCCTCCAGGCCTGCCCATGCTCCTCCCTGGTGCCAACCTCCCTTTGCATCTAGTACTACAGGATTCAGATCTCAGGACCAAGGATGCGGGACCACCAAGTAGGGCACAGGACCCTGGCACCTAATCCTGGATCCCTCCCTCCACTCACCCTCTCCCCTTGGAGAAGGGCTCTGGTGGAGGGCGAGAGACCCAATAGGATAGGGAGACAGAGCAGCCACACCCCCAGAATTGACCAACCAGGAGACAGCTATCCAGGACATATGACAACCCCACCCTGCGCACGCGCACAAACGTGAAGAACGCTGACCATAATGCAGGCGCTCTCTCATACACTTGTACCCCAGGCTGTGGCTGCGTGCATAATACCAGCCAATGTGGGAGCATGTGCAGGTGCAGCAGCGGCAGAGGCCTGTCGGCGGCTGCGGTCAGCTGCCCCTGGGCTGCAGGTCCCACCCCCATCTTCCCTGGAGGAAACCAGTAGGAGAGGAGGGCCTCCGTGAGACCTGCAACCTTGACAGCCAGGAGGCTCAGCCATCCCTTGGGCCTTGTGCTGGGTGAGGGGCCCACCTGGCGGGGCAGATGGGGCTCCTGGTAGCTGGGCAGGATCTTGAGGATGACACTGCCACTGGCATTGCGCAGGAGCTCCTGCAGTGCGCGGGGGTCACTGCCCACTGGCTGCCCGTTCACCTCCTTGATGATGTCACCCACATGCAGCAGGCCTTGTTGAGCCACCATGCCCCCATGCAGAATGCGCGCGATCACCAGCTCGCCGCCCTCCACGCGGAACGTTACACCCTGGAGGTCAGAGGGAGTGTAAGATGAGGCCCCAATTGCTCCAAGTCAGAATCTTCAAATAGTCTCCTAATAGCTCCTCCATTCCTGTCCCTACCCACCCACCCCCACCCTCACAAAGTCCTCCTCCATCCTTCTGCCTAAATTCTTCACTTACAGCAGGTACTAATGAGGGGAGAGGTGGGCAGACTGGAGAGGTGCGGACACAGGTGTGTGTGCAGTGTCTATGGTCTCCTGGGTCTTCCCCCGACCCTTTGCTGCATCAATCCTTCCCTGCACAAAGCTGGCCCCATCTTCATCTTCAGACCACACTTGGCCTTTTTTGTCCGTTCATTGGTTATTCTCAATCCCCCCACCCTCACCAGCACCACCTCTGGCCCTGCCCAGTCCTCACCAGATGTTCTCCGGCTGTCTTGCGGATGCCCACCATGCGCACAGCATCGGGAGGTACAGGCTGGTTGCTGAATGTAGGGTCCAGGCCAGGGCTGGGGGGTGGTGTCTCATAGGTCTTTGAGGCCACAGAGTCGTGCGTCTCCAGGAGGGACTGGGGGGTGGTGGGAAGAGAAGGGACAATGGGGCAGTGTCCCGGGTCTCTTCCCATCCCAGATCCAACTTCCTGCTGGCCCATCCAACAGCAGCATGCCCCAGTCCACCCACCTCCTGCTCCCTCACCCCAGCCCTAGCAGCCAGGAACCTGGAAGTGGGGCTCCTGGAGGATGTGGGCCAGCTCGGCGGCTGTGCTGCTCTGCTCAGCCAGCTGCGCCAGGTCCCGCAGGATCTCCTGCACCAGCTCCAGGTTGTTGTCTCTCACGGCCTCCAGCTTCGTCTCCTCCAGCCTCTCATGGGCCTGGGGGTGGAAGCAGAACAGGTGGGGCTAGGAGCTTCCCCAGGAGCCCTGGGACACCAAGCAGGGTCCTCCCTCAGCCCCCAGGCATTTTCCCCATCCCACCCCCCAGCCCCCAGCTTCAGCTCCTCACTCACTGACAATCATACCCACACGTGCACATGCATTCCTTGCTGTCTCCTTTCTTCCCCAAAATTACTAGGACCTAGTTTAGGGAAGGAAGAAACCAAAGGACAAACCTTCCTTTCCATCCCCTTGCCACAGAGGGTCATTAGAAGTTACCAAATTGTCCCCAGCTCCCAGGACCCTATATGCATTGGCGTTCAAAGATGGCTTCTTCCACCAGACATCATGGTTGGGTGGGGCCTTGAAGACCCTGAAGCCCAGGATGAGGAAATTAGGGAGGTAGAATAACTTTCCCAGGGTCAATGGGACTTGAACTTGCGTCTCCAGGCCCTCAACTCAGTGTTCCCAGCGAATGAGGGGACAGGAAATCAGAACACGGTGCCAGGAGCAGGCCCTGCACCTATTTGTTGCTCTGCTGGCTCCGGGCTCCATACCAAGGAGCGCTGAAAACAGAAAAGGAATCCTTCGCCAGTGACCAGCCCAGTGGGGAGTGTTAGGTTAGATGGGTCAGGAAGAAAAGAATTCCATTTCAATAATATATATGAAGACCATTTTTCCCCTCTGAATCTTTGAAAGATCATTGCAGACAACACAAGCCACTTTACCCCAAAGTATTTCAGCATGTATTTCATAGGAACAAAGACATTCTGCTGCATAAACCACAATACCATTATCACCTGCAAGAAATTTAACATCGATTCATTAATACATTATGTAAGACAGTCCACATTCAAATGTTCACTCTTGTCCCAAAAGTATCCTTTATAATTTTATTTTTTCTGATTCAGGATCTAATTGATGATCATATGTTGTAGTTGGTTGACATATCTTTTTATTCTCCTCTAATCTAGAACAGATCCCAATAACTTTTAGACTTTCAGAACATTTGTTGTTTTGTTTTTTTTGTTTCTGTTTTTGTTTTGTAGGGACAGGGTCTCACTACGTTGCCTAGGCTAGTCTCAAACTCTTGGCTTCAAGTGATCCTCCTGCTTCAGGCTCCCAAAGCCTGAGATTACAGGCATGAGCCACTGCACCCAGCCTAGACATTTTTAGACTCCAGGCCAGTAGTTTTTAGGATGCTCTACCACTAGATTTAGTTGATTGTTTCCTCATGATTAGACTTACGTTAATCCTTTTGACAAGAGTTCTACGTAGGTGATCTTGTGTCTTTGTGTCTTTCCCATACTTTGAGACTATGTGACTATTCTGTTCCCCCAAAATCCTTCACCAATGGATTTAGTGTCAATTTATGACCCTTGCCTAAATGAGTTATTATACTGGAGGTTGCAAAATAGTGATTACCTAATTCCCATCATTCCTTCTACATTATTGGCATTCTGCTATAAGAATGAGCTTTTCAGCCAGGCACAGTGGCTCACGCCTGTAATCCCTGCACTTTGGGAGGCCAAGGCAGGTGGATTACCTGAGGTCAGGAGTTTGCAAAACAGCCTGGCCAACATGGTGAAACCCCGTTTCTACTACAGATATAAAAAATTAGCCTAGCATAGTGGTGGGCGCCTGTAATCCCAGCTACTCAGGAGGCTGAGGCAGGAGAACCGCTTGAACCTGGGAGGTGGAGGTTGCAATGAGCCGAGATCATGCCATTGCACTCCAGCCTGGGCAACAAGAGCAAAACTCCAGCTCAAAAAAAAAAAAAAAAAAGAATGAGCTCTTCTTTTCTCCCTACCACCTTACTCCTCTTTCTCTCCTTCTCTCTCTCATGATATCACTATGAATTTTTTTTATTCCATGTGTTCTAATCCATTACGATCACTATCTTCGTTGACCCAGTTTATCCCAAATTTGTCCAGTGGGAGCCCCATTCACACCTCTGTCCTGTTGACATGTTCCCATCAGTCCTTGAGCATCTTCTTCCCTTCTGGCACAGGCTCATCTGATGCATTCCCTACCCCAGGTCTGGAATCAGCAATTTCTCCAAGGAACCCTGATTCCTTTTAGCAGGAGATAGTATTTAGAAACCAAGATGTGGACACTCAATACCCATTGTTTCTGGGCATCATTTCTTTGGCAGTCATTAGTAGATACTAATGGCTCCAAATAAAATTAAAGGATTTTTCTCATCTTCCCCCATTCCATATTTGTGTCTCCCTTCTCCTTCAGTGAGAACTTATTTCCCAATAACATCAGTATATTTACTTATTTGTTCTGTCCTTCAATATTCAAAGCAGTTTCAAAATTGCTATACAACTGCTACTACCTATCACAAATCTATTAGTAAAAATCAGCCGGGAAGGGTAGTAGGGGCGTAAGGGATAAAAGACTACACACTGGGTACAGTGTATACTGCTTGGGTGATGGGTGCATCAAAATCTCAGAAATCACCACTAAAGGCCAGGCGCAGTGGCTCATGCCTGTAATCCCGCACTTTGGGAAGCCAAGGCAGGAGGATCACCTGAGGTCAGGAGTTTGAGACGAGCCTGACCAACATGGTGAAACACCATCTCTACCAAAAATACAAAATTAGCCGGGCATGTGGCACATGCCTGTAATCCCAGCTACTCAGGAGGCTGAGTCATGAGAATCACTTGGACCCGGGAGGCAGAGGTTGCAAGGAGCTGAGATCGCGCCACTGCCCTCCAGCCTGGGCAACAGAGCAAGACTCTGTTTCCAAAAAAAAAAATTAAATAAATATATTGCCCTTTCTTACATAAAACACAGAACACTGTATATACCCTTTGATACCCTAGGGCTTTTATTTAACTGGTTTGGTTTTCTGGCTTTTTATTTAAAAATATGTCATAGAAATCACTCCATGAAACTGCATGGAGATCTTCCTTTATTAATTATTATTGTTAGTTTGTTTGAGACAGAGTCTTGCTCTGTCACCCAGGATGGAGTGCAGTGGCGCGATCTCAGCTCACTGCAACCTCTGCCTCCCAGGTTGGGATTACAGGCATGAACCACCATGCCCATCTTATTATTTTAATTACTGCATTTGACTCCATTGCATGACTGGATTCCTGTAATTTATTCAACCAGTCTCCATGGGTATTTAGGTTGTTTCTAATACTTTGCTATTGCAAATAATGTTGCAGTAAATGACTCCGGCATAGTATTCTATATCTGTGGAGAAGATCTTCCATGTAAATTCCTAGAAGTCTTGCTGGGTCAAGCAGCAAATACATACGTAATTTTCTTAGATATTGACAAATTCCCCTCCATGGGACTTTGGCCAGTTTGCTCTCCTGCTAGCACTGTATGAGGGATTTTCTTGAAGCTCACCACCAGAGTGTTGATCAAACATTTGCATGTCTGCCAATCACATGGAGGAGAAATGATCTCTCATTGGGGCTTACTTTGCATTTTGCTTATTATGAGTAAAGTCAAACATCTCTCCATATGATTAAGGACCATCTGTATATCTTTTTCTGTGAACTGTCTACTCATGTCTTTCCCAATTTTTCTGTCAGGTCTTGGTTTTTATTCTTTTCCCTATTTTAAAAAATGTTTTCTCTCTATTGGGAAAATTAGCCCTTTGTGATATTTCTTGTAAATGATTTCCCCCAGTTTGTCACTTGTCTTTTGACTCTGCTTGTGGTGTTTTTGCATGCAAAAAAAAAAAAAAAATTTAGGTCAGGTGCAGTGGTTCACACCTGCAATCCCAACACTTTGGGAGGTCAAGGAGGAAGGACTGCTTGAGCCCAGGAGCTCAAGACCAGCCTGGGTAAGATGGGAAGCCCCTGTTGCTACAAAATATTTTAAAAATTCACCTGAGCATTTTTAATCCTCATTTTAATGCATGGTGGCATGCACCTGATGTCCCTGCTACTCTTACTTGGGAGGCTGAGGTGGAAGGATCACTTGAACCCAGGAGATTGAGGCTGCAGTGAGCACTGTTTGCACTACTGCACTCCAGCCTGAGTGACAGAGCAAGACCCTGGCTCAAAAAACAAATTTTTTAATGTGGGTGAATTTAATAATCTTTCATGCATCTGAATTTTGAGGCATAGTTTTTTGTTTTTTTGTTTTTTTTTTAAGGGAGGGCTTTTCCCATATACAGAGCCTTGTTTTCTTCTAGGACGTGTATGATTTATATTTTCACATAGAGATCTCTGATCCGCTTGGAGTTTATTCTGATATATGATGTGAGGAATAAATACACTTTGATATCTTTCAAAATGACTATCCAGATGTTCCAATACCATTTATTAAAAATTCATGGCAGGGCACAATGGCTCACACCTGTAATCCCAGCACTTTGGGAGGCCAAGGCAGGAGGATCACTTGAGCCCAGGAGTTCAAGACAGCAAGACCCCATCTCTATTTTTTAAAATTTTTTTAATTAAAAAAATTCAAAAGAAAACTATTGTTTGATTTTTTTTTTAGGTGTGACAATAGTAGTGTAGCTTTAAAGAATCCTTTTCAGTTGAGCCCAGGAGTTTATATACACAATGAAACACTTGCAGATACAATCTATTATGGCTGAGATGTACTCCAAAACAATGGAGGAGAGAGGGAAGCTGGTAAAGGTGTGGATGAAACAAGATTATGCATGACTTGTTGAATGTTGAAGTGGGGTGCTAGGTGATGGAGGTTCAGGATATATTCTTAAATTTTTTCATAATAGAAAATTTGTTTAGCCATGAGATGGTGAGATTTGAGTAATACTTCATAAGACTGCTGTGAGGATTTGGTGAGATGGACATAGTGCCTGGCAGACAGCAGGTGCTCAATAAAGGTTAGATGCTTTCTGCCTTCTCTTTTCCCAAACAGGCCAGGGAACAGCACCCCACATGGCCCCACAGCCTCCCATACCATCCTCTGCCGGGTGGGCAGCATTTTAGACTGACATCCACAACCTACTGGGGAAACAGACAACTGATGGGGCAGAGGAGTAGCATTTGGGGAAAGGAACAAGCCCCAGAGGGCTGGTCTTCCACAGACCCCTATGTGACTTTCAGTCATTTAGCTTGGCCCAGCCTATGGAGCCCCAGAGTGAGGGAGGCGTCCCAGCTCTGGCTCTGTTACCCTGTGCCTAGGACAATGTTGGAATCAAAGCCCAAATAACTGAGTGTCAAGAATAAACAATGGCACTCAGGCAGCAACAATCTCACCATGGCAACCCTTGCATGGCTCTTTTGGGTTAACAGGAGCCAGCTCTGGCACAGGTGTCCTGATGTGAGCATTAGAGAAGTCACTCATTTTGACTTTAGCACTATCTGGTCCACGGATGGAGGACAAGTTTTCCGAGGAGACGTGTGTGATCAAGGGGGAAGCCAGGGTGCCTCCTAAGCTGCTTACCTCCTATCTTTGACTTAATGACATTCCCACCATGGGCTAATCCATTCCTCCTCCTGTGGCCACCCCTGGACGTTTTATACCCACAGATATGAAAGCACAGCTCTCCAAGCTCAACCTCATAGCCCAGAGGAAACTTTAAACATTTAATCATTCAAATACAAAACCAACAATTCAGTAGGCTGAACAAATAATTTTTTTTTTTTTTAGACGGAGTCTCACTCTGTAGTCCAAATTGGAGTGCAGTGGCACAATCTTGGCTCACTGCAACCTCCACTTCCTGGGCTCAAAAATTCTTGTGCTTCAACCTCCCGAACAGCTGGGACTACAGGCACGCGCCACCACCCCTGGCTAATTTTTTATATTTCAGTTGAGATGAGGTTTCACCATGTTGCCCAGGCTAGTCACAAACTCCTGAGCTCAGGTGATCTGCCTGCCTCGGCCTCCCAAAGTGCTGGAATTACAGGCGTGAGCCACCACACCTGGCCTAAATTAGATTTTTTAAATGATATAACAAGGATCTAAGAGAACCCACCACCCAAACTAAAAAACAAAGCTCTTGTCAATATCCTACATCTAACCACATGCCCCACTCACCCTTCCCACTTGCAGAAATCACCATCTTTTTTTTTTTTTTTTTTTTGAGACAGAGTCTCGCTCTATCGCCCAGCCTGGAGTGCAATGGCACAATCTCGGCTCACTGCAACCTACACCTCCCGGGTTCAAGTGATTCTCCTGCCTTAGCCTCTCGAGTAGCTGGGATTACAGCATGCACCAACACACCCGGCTAATTTTGTATTTTTAGTAGAGACGGGGTTTCTCCATGTTGGTGAGGCTGGCCTTGAACTCCAGACCTCAGGTGATCCGCCCGGCTCAGCCTCCCAAAGTGCTGGGATTACAGGCATGAGCCACCATGCCCAGCTGAAAGCACCATCTTGATTTAGTGTGTTTGTCATTCCCTGGCTTCCCAGTTAAAGAGTTGTAATGTGTCTGTATGTATTCTACATACTTCTGAAATTCTGAAATGAATATAGTTAATAAAAAGGGAATTGTGTCTGTCCAAATGCGTTTTTTTTTTTGTTTTTTTTTTTTTGAGACAGAGTCTCACTCTGTTGCCCAGGCTGGAGTGCAGTGGCGCAATCTCGGCTCACTGCAACCTCCGTCTCCCGGGTTCACACCATTCTCCTGCCTCAGCCTCCCGAGTAGCTGGGACTACAGGCATGCACCACCACGCCTGGCTAATTTTTTGTAATTTTAGTAGAGACGGGGTTTCACCATGTTAGCCAGGATGGTCTCGATCTCCTGAACTGGTGATCCACCCACCTCGGCCTCCCAAAGTGCTGGGATTACAGGCGTGAGCCACCGCACCCGGCCGTATTTTCTATGACATAAAAAAAGGGGGGAATCATGATTTTATCCATCCCTGGGGTCTGATTTTTTTTCACTTAACATTAAGTGAACAATTATTTCCCTTACTGCTTTTTTACTCACTATTATTTTGCTAAGACTTATTCTTCTTTTTCATGTTAAGTGACACATGGCCCAGAACTAGAAGAGTGATTTGAATTTCTGTGGTAGCCATTCATTTCATTCTGCTCTGAAAATTATCCTCAGCAAAGCAGGGGCTCAAGCTCATGGTAGACCAGAAGCTTAAGTGGGAGACACAGCTAGTTTATAGTGGCACCAGCCTGCACTCTGTTCTGTTTGCTCCCAATCCAGAGCTGTAGCAGGCTGCAAATGCAAACACTACACAGTCATTTCACTGAAAAGTTTTCCCTCTGCCCTCCACTCCAACCCCCCGATCATGGCAAAAGACAGGGAATTCCTATTTGAAGCCCTGGTTCATAATTAAATAGTTAAATTAAAAGATGTCCCAGAGAGTAGTGTGTCAGAAAGTAAAGGAACTCTTTAATCTGGGTTTGACAGATGTGACTTGCTTTAGCCAATGGGCCATTATCAAATGTGAGCAGAGGCTTAGAAAGTGCTTGTGACTGGAGGCTTGTCCTTCCTTGCTTGTGAGACTACCATGTGAAGGTGGCTGAGGATGAGAGACCCTCCTAGAGGATGAGAGACCACATGGAAAGGGGTCTGGCCATCCCAGACATTGCAGTTTTCCCAGCTAAGACACCAGACATGTGAGTGAGGCCATCCCGGACCACCCAGCCCCAGCTAAGCAAGCCCAGGCCAGAAGAACCACCCAACCAACCCACAAAATCAGGGGAATTAAATCACAGTTGTTTTAAGCCACGACACAGCACGATGGTTTGTTACACAGCAAAAGTGAACTGATACACTGGCCTCACCACTACACCCTCTGCTTGTCATGTCCCCTTGTCAGAGCCCCTATCTTAGTGACCTCCCTAGACCTTTATTCTTCTAGGGCCCTGTCTTGCTTTCCCAGGTCTTCCACCCTAGCCTCCCCACAGAACAAGAGGCCTCCCTGTGAACTCTAGTCTGAAGCTAAGATTATAACAACTCTTCCTGATTCAAAAATCACTTCTGGCCGGGGTGGCTCATGCCTGTAATTCCTGCACTTTGGGAGGAGGCCG
This sequence comes from Homo sapiens, assembly GCF_000001405.40. Lineage (NCBI taxonomy): Eukaryota > Metazoa > Chordata > Mammalia > Primates > Hominidae > Homo > Homo sapiens. The sequence goes on from NC_000017.11 coordinate 43,891,287, forward strand.
AGGTGGGTGGATCACCTGAGGTCAGGAGTTCAAGGCCAGCCTGGCCAACATGGTGAAACCCCATCTCTACTAAAAATACACAAATTAGCCGGGGATGGTGGGCCTGTAATCCCAGCTACTCGGGAGGCTGAGGCAGGAGAATCGCTTGAACCTGGGAGGCAGAGGTTGCAGTGAGCCGAGATTGCACCATTACACTCCAGCCTGGGCAACAAAGCAAGACTCCGTCTCAAAAAAAAAAAAAACTTACACTTCCATAACCTCCACCTAGCCCCACCACGACTCTGAGGGATAGGTATCATTCTCCCCACTTCTCAAAAGAAATAACTGGGCTGGGCATGGTGGCTCACACCTGTAATCCTAGCACTTTAGGAAGCCAAGGTGGGAGGATCACTTGAGCTCAGGAGTTCAAGACCAGCCTGGGCAACACGGTGAGACCTCACCTTTCTTTTAAAATAAATACATAAAGAAATATTAATTTTTTAAAAATTCCTCCATAAGAAATAACTGAAGTTCAGAGAGGTTGACAGATATACCAAACTCACAAAGCTGGTCAGTGGAATCTTCTGACTCCAAGCCCTGTGTTCTTTCTTCTTCATCTCATGTGAATTAGTTCACAACAGCCTTCACATGCCTCTCAGCTGTCCCCATTAGTAACAATTTTTCTGAATTTCTGAATGTCCCCTGCCTTGGATTCCTCACCTTGGCCTTGTCTGTAGCTGGAACACCTGCTACTGGATCCATGTCAGCCGTCCCAGATGCCAGCCACCTGCCAGGGCCGCCACTTGCTGTGTGCAGCCAACCGCCTGGACTTCTGATCTCTCTGCCAGACTTGACTTCCCTTAGGGCCTTTAACCCTCTGGGTTTGTATCCTCAGGCCCTGTCCCTCCCTGGTCCCAGATCTACCCAGCCTGGCCCCTCCTACACTGTCTGCCACATCCCCAGACAGAGTCAAGCCCAGCTCCACAGCGTAAGGGAGGGAGGCCAACAGCTACCACATGTGGCTCCAATCTGATTTCATTCCTGTGGGTTTCTGGGCCACTTCACGAAGTTTTTGCAGCTGGATCTTTGATCACAGTGCTTTGTCTATTAGGTTAGAAATTTGTCTGTGTACACATAATGATTAAAATTGGTGAGAAGGAGGAAGTAGGTCCCATTGTCCAATGCAGGGAGCTCTGAGAGACACTGTCTTTGATGAGAGGAGTGGCAAATTTACATTGCAAAGGCTCACCCATACAAGGACAGAAGAAATGAATGGCTTTTTTTTTTCCAGTGGGCTCAGGTAGGCTCCTTTATGGAGATTCACTTCCTGTTTGTTTCACAACCACAGGGAGAAAGAAGTTACTGGATTGCCTTAGCCCATTAGCCTCATACTGGGGGTCTCAGAGGGGAAGAAACGTCCATACTCTCTTCTATTGTGCTCTACAAATCCGGAACCATACCAGGAATTTCTTGGAAAAAATCCTGACCAGCTTCTCGCCAAAAACGTTTCCAGAGAAGGGAGTTTACTTACAATGTGACACAGCACATTGGTTCATTTTCAATTAGGCTTTACTGTGAGGTCCCAGGACTGGGGCATTGTGGTGTCCAGTGAAAGGAAGACAGACTTGGGCTTCATCAGGAAAACAAACTATCTGGCAGTTCACTGCCATAACCCCAGCACTGTGCCTGGTATGTGGCGAGTGCAAAATAGGTATTTGATGGATGGATGGATGGATGGATGGATGGATGGATGGATGGATGGATGGATGGACAAATGAGTGAATGACATAGCCAGCCAGCCAGCAAACCCATCATTAGAGAGCTGTCGAGTGGACTGTCGAGTGGACTGGACCAGAGAGGAATGCTATCAAGGGGGACCCTGCTTTGAAGGGTATTGGCAAGAGGGCTGTCTCATTCTGAGACTCTGCCATCACAAAGCAGAGTCTCACTGTCTCACTGTGGAGACAATAGCTAAAGTACCCAGAGGTGATGTGGGCTCATAAACCCAACTCTGAAATCAATTTTGGAAAGTTACAGATGTTGAGGTTCAAAACTGCACATATTCATCAATTTCATTGCCAAGTGTCCATTCTAGAGAAACCCTCATATGCATGCAGAAGCAGATGGATATGAGGATGTTCACTGCAGCACTGTTTTTAAGACAGCAAAATCAGCAGTGACATACACATCTCTCAGGAAGGGAACCAATAAACAAACAGCTCTATTCATATATTAGAACAGGGGTCCCCAACCCCCAAGCCATGGACCAGTACTGATCCGTGGCCTGTTAGGAAGTAGGTGAACAGCAGGAGGTGAGCAAGCATTACTGCCTGAGCTCCACCTCCTGTCAGATCAGTGGTGGCATTAGATTCTCACAGGGGCACCAACCCTACCGTGAACTGCACGTGCCAGGGATCTAGGTTGTGTGCTCCTTATGAGAAGTCTAACAAATGCCTGATGATCTGAGTGGAACAGTTGCATACCAAAACCACCCCCCTCACCCTGATCCGTGGAAAAATTGTCTTCCACAAAACTGGTCCCTGGTGCCAAAAAGGTTGGGGACTGCTGTATCAGAACACCACACCGCAGTTCAAATGAATCTCCCTATCTCTATCTATATCTATACTTAGGTCGATAGCTGTACTACTTGTATGAAATAGAAATCTCAAAAACAGAAGCACCTTACACTATCATTTCATTTATATAAAATTTAAAAGCACACGTAATGGCCAGGCATGGTGGCTCACGCCTGTAATCCCAGCACTTTGGGAGGCTGAGGCAGGCGAATCATGAGGTCAGGAGTTCGAGACCAGCCTGGCCAATATGGTGAAACCCTGTCTCTACTAAAAAAAAAAAAAAAAATACAAAAATGGCCAGGTGCGGTGGCTCACACCTATAATCCCATCACTTTGGGAGGCCAAGGCAGGCGGATTGCGAGGTCAAGAGATCGAGACCATCCTGGCCAACATGGTGAAACCCCATCTCTACTAAAAATACAAAAATTAGCTGGGCATGGTAGCGCATGCCTGTAGTCCTAGCTACTTGGGAGGCTAAGGCAGGAGAATCGCTTGAACCCAGGAGGCGGAGGTTGCAGTGAGCTGAGATTGTGCCACTGCACTCCAGCCCAGTGACAGAGTGAGATTCCATCTCAAAATATATATATATATATATATATATATACACACACACACACACACAAAAATTAGCCGGGCATGGTGGTGCATGCCTGTAGTCCCAGCTACTCGGGAGGCTGAGGCAGAAGAATCGCTTCAACTTGGGAGGTGGAGGTTGCAGTGAGCCGAGATTGCGCCACTGCACTCTAGCCTGGGCAACAGAGTGAGACTCCAGAGGAAAAAAAAAAAAAAAAAAAAAGCACACATAACAAAGGTAGAGCCAGTCATGGTGGCTCATGCCTATAATCCCAGTGCTTTGGGAGGCTGAGAGGATTACTTGAGGCCAGGAGTTTGAGACTAGCCTGGACAATGTAGCAAGACCCTGCCTCTACAAAAAAATTTAAAGATTAGCCAGGCATGGTGGTACATATTTGTAGCCCCAGTTACTCAGGAGGCTAAGGCAGGAGGGCAGGAGGATCATTTGAGCCCAGGAGTTCCAGGCTGCAGTGAGCTATAATTGTTCCACTGTACTCCAACCTGGGAGATGGAATAAGACCCTGTCTAAAAAAAAATCCCACAAAGGTATATTGTTTACAGCTAAACACATATGTAGGCAAGATAAGCCAACATTCAATGAAATGACATCAATCTCTAGGCAGTGGTTACCTGTGGGAAGGGAATGCAGTGAAAATGAGGAAGGGGAGAGGCATTAACTGTGCCAAACTTTTTATTTATTTATTTATTTTTTTTTTTGAGACAGTGTCTCACTCGGTCACCCAGGCTGGACTGTAGTGGCATGATCATGGCTCATTGTAGCCTCGACCTACCCAGCTCAAGCAACTCTCCTGCCTCAGCCTCTTGAGTAGTTGGGACTACAGGTGAATGCCACCATGCTTAGCTAATTCTATTTTTTTATAGAGACAGGATTTCACCATGTTGATCAGGCTGGTCTTGAAATCCTGAGCTCAAATGATCCACCCACCTTGGTCTCCCAAAGTGCTGGGACTAAAGCTGTAAGCCACACCGTGCCGTGTGCCTCATACTTTTTATTTCTTAAGAAGAAATGGCAAGAGTCAAAACAAACATTATTAACATTTTGGAGATGGGTACTCAGGAGTTTGTTATTTTTTTATGCTCTTTTGTATTTATTCATTCAACAAATATTCAGTGAGCACCTACTATGTGTCAGGCATTTTGTAGGCTCTGGGGATACTGCAGTGAATCAAAAAGACAAACATTCCTGCCTTCATGGAAGTCTCTATGTTTGAAATGTGTATAATTGTTATTATTTATTTACTTATTTATTGAAGACGAGCTCTCACTATGTTACATGAACTGCACTTGAGCTTCTTGGCCTCAAGCAATGCTCTCACCTCAGCCTCCAGAGTAGCTGGGACTACAGGTGCATGCCCCTACTCCCAGCTTCTTGTCTTTATCTTTAGTAAATGAGTAGGATCTTCGATTGCTGAATGAAAAGCACCCTGCCTTTCTCCAATCTCCTCCAATCTGCTCAGTTTTCTCTTCCCCAGAACTTCCCACTATTAAACCTCTGCAACTTTTCATCTTTCGCTGTTAACAATCTTCCCAAGTCTTCAACCATTCCACAGATAATGTGAATAGGCTACAATCCAAGGACATGGTGTCCCCTGCAGCAGCAATCCCCACTCCAGTGGGACGTGGTCCTCCACATCCCATGCCAGGGCCAGCCATAGCCAGCCTGTGACAGAGTCCCCGCTCTACAGAAAACCCACCACCTGGCTATACCTTCTTTCTCCCTACCCTTGCTGTCATTGCCGACTTCCTGGTCACCTCCACCACCATGCACTGAAAACCCTGGGGACTGCCTCAGTCTTCTCCCCACCCTGACGCCTGCCATAGCCCTACATGCCAATAGGTGTGTGGACAAGCCCATCCCACTCCTGAGCCTTCCATTTCTGGGTGTCTTCAACACTGATGACCTACCTGTCCACTGCAGCCCCACCCTACATTATCATGGCATCCCTAGAACTGTCCTCCTTGGAAAACTTTCACCTCCTACCTCCCTTCCTCTGACCTTGGTCTTTTTCTCTTCCATCTATATCCCTACCATCACCCCTCAAATACTCTGTGACCTCAGAGAGCCACCGAGCCTTCACCTCCATTTTCTCCCTGTTCTGCCTCTTTCCAGCCTGGGCCTCTTTTCTCTGAGCCTCTCTCACCAGCTCCCTTCACAATTCCCTGCATCCGACTTCCACAGCCCCAGGCCAGCACGTGCCCTGGACCAAAGCCCCCGCTCCTTTCTCTTCCTCTCTGGATGGAGTCACCCCCACCCTGGGAAATCGGGCACCTGACATGGACAGTCGAGGTCCCCATCCATTTAATTCCTTCTCCCTTTCAGTGACCAGTCAAACCTTCCCTTCTGAATCTTCCTGCTCCATCTCTGATCCCTAATTCCCAGGAGAGGACTGCTCCACCTTCACCAAGAAATCTGAGCAATTAGGTCTGATTTCCCACAGCTCCCAGCCTTGCCTCCAACGCAGCCATGGGCACCATCCCCACCTCCCCCCCTCAGGAGAGGGGGCATCCTTCCACACTCCCTGGGGCAGGATCCCAGGTGCCTTACTGTACCCTAGCCCTTACTGCCAAACACCAAGTTCCACCAGTTTACCCTAAGGTCTGGGACCACAGCTCCATTTCAGGCTCTCAGCATCTTATACTCAATCCACTGAAGAGCCACTAACTGGCCTCTCCAACTTCAGATATAACCCCCCAACAGTCCTCCACATGGCTGCCAAAACACCCACATTTGGCCATCATATCCCTGCTTAAATAATGTAAAGCCTGCCAGGCACAGTGGCTCATGCCTGTAATCCCAGCACTTTGGAAGGCTGAGGCAGGCAGATCACCTGAGGTCAGGAATTGGAGACCAGCCTGACCAACATGGAGAAACCCCATCTCTACTAAAACTACAAAATTAGCTGGGCGTGGTGGCACATGCCTGTAATCCCAGCTACTCGGGAGACTGAGGCAGAAGAATCACTTGAACTCAGGAGGTGGAGGTTGCAGTGAGCCAAGATCACGCCATTGCACTCCAGCCTGGGCAACAAGAGCAAAACTCCTTCTCAAAACAAAACAAAACAAAAAAAACCATAAAGCCTCCCTGATACTCACAGAAGGATGCCCAAGCACCCACATACAGCCCCCAGTGCCCTCCAGACCTGCCAACCTTTGCACAGCTCGCATTGTCTTACACTTGAGGCTCAGCCTCACACCAGCCCTTCCAATCCCCTGCACACTCCTGACTCTTTCTTACCTCTGTGCTTCTGCTCAAGCTCTTCTGTGGCCCAGAATGCCCTCCCCCTCTTCCTCATTCTTCCACTCAGCTCAAGTGGTCCTTCCTCCAGGAAGCCCTCCTCACCCACCCCAGGCTGGGTTAGACACCTGTCCTTTATGCTCCCAAAATGCATAGTGTATCCACCTCTATCACTGTCATTACCAAATTGTCCTATAATTTTCTCTTTTAGTCAATCTCTCCCCAACCTGATACATGGCAGGTGACCTTAGAAAGACATACACACAAAACGCCCAAAGGCAGAAGGACAGGCAAGATGAATTCTAGAGATTCTCCAACATGTGCATGCTAGCCCGCACCAATCACACACTCCACAAGCTGGCAGTCAACAAACATCCACCCACGCACTCACCAGACAGGTGTGGGGGCAGCCCCCTCTACCTGCAGCCACTCAGGTCATCACCTGGGCATGATTTTCTTCTACAATCCCCTTCAGGGGGGCCTCTTGTGCCACATGTCCCATTCCCAAAGCCCTCTGTAGCTAATACCCCATCCCCTACTGTGCCTCCCCAAGCACAGTGCCCTTGTGCCCACCTCCCTGGAGCACTGTACCTTGGCCAGGGATCTTACTATGGGACTTTCCATAATGCCTCGAAGGAAGATCAGGTCCAGCTCTGCAGCCCCCGTGGCACTGGGGAGGGATCCCAAGTTGTCCAGGACTTGCTGCATGGCTGGGGGAAGGTACGGGCAGTGAGATACACAGGTACCAGCTGGGTACAGAAGACCAAAACACACCACAATACTTGCCACTTCCCCACCCCCATGTCCCACAGAAGGCAGCCCCTCCCCGGCAACATTCCCCTCCCTGCCCAGCACAGGCACCCCAGGCCCTTGAATGCCTGGGACAGGGATCCTGGAGGAAGGGGACAATTTCCTTGGCCTGTTCTCTCCACCCTAGGTAATGCCAGCCTGAGCAGGTGGGAGGCTCCAGGCAGCTGGAAGAGACTCTGAGGTGGAGAGAAGGGAGAAAGGGAAGCAGGTGTCAGGTTGCAGATCCTGCCCTGCACCAGAAAACCACAAGCTGTTGGGTGGATCACTTGAGGCCAGGAGTTCAAGACCAGCCTGGGCAACAAGGCAAAACCCCATCTCTACTAAAAATACCAAAATTAGCCAGGCATAGTGGTGTAGGTCTGTAATTCTAGCTACTCAGGAGGCTGAGGCAGGAGAACTGCTTGAACCTGTGAGGCAGAGATTGCAGTGAGCTGAGATCACGCCACTGCACTCCAGCCTGGGTGGCAGAGCAAGACTGTCTCTGGCCGGGCGCGGTGGCTCACGCCTGTAATCCCAGCACTTTGGGAGGCCGAAGCGGGTGGATTGCCTGAGGTCAAGAGTTCAAGACCAGCCTGGCCAACACAGGGAAACCCTGTCTCTACTAAAAATACAAAAAATTAGCTGGGCGTAGTGGCAGGCGCCTGTAATCCCAGCTACTCGGGAGGCTGAGGCAGGAAAATCGCTTGAACCCAGGAGGCGGAGGTTGCAGTAAGCTGAGATCCTGCCATTGCCCTCCATCCTGGGCGACAGAGCAAGACTCCGTCTCAAAAAAAAAAAAAAGAAAAAGAAAAGAAAACCACAAGCTCCTCACTCAACCTCTAGATGGGCTGAAGCCCAGGGCTCAGCCACCTGTACCTGGCAGGCTCAAGGATGAGACAGACAGTACTCGGAGCAAGTCCGTGAGTACAGGCCCAGAGTCAAGCAGGCAGCCACACAGGAGCCAGGGCCTGCAGCCTCCAGTCTAAGCACCACTAATTCAGTGTGACATTGTACAAGTCACTGTCCCTCACTGGCCTCAGTCTTTCCTGCCTGTAAAATGGATGGATTGGGCTAGATGATGTTTACAGGCCTTCAGCTCTGAGTGACAATGATCTATAATCACTGAGAAATTAACATGGATGATAGGAAGTCAAAGCTGAGGCCTGGAACGCTGGCAGGAGCTAGGGAAACAGGCACTGGAGGCCTTGGTGTGACCCAAAGGCTGAGGTCACACCAAGTCATCACAGGGATAAGCAAACTCTCAGCCCGAAATGGGACATAATGGAGGACACGATAACACCTGCAGCTGGGCCGCAACAATGCCCCCGAGACCTGAGGTGAGGGCTGCCTTCACTCACTGACAGAGGTGGGAGTTCCAGGCTGTGGCAAGTTCCGGGGAAAGGAAGCGAGAAGCAGAATGTGCCCAGCTGGGGGCAGAGATGGGCGAAGGGTATCATTACTCTGCCACCATGCCGCCCATGCCTACATCTGCATAACAGTACCCAAGCCACGGAGGACGGCGGAGGATGCACCCCTGGCGCCTCTCAATGCTCTTGTCAGTGCCCCCCTCCTCCAGGAAGGAACAGGAGTGGGGAGGAGGGGGCACTGGAACTGGAGCTGGCAGAGATGGTTCAGGGACTCCTGGACTCCCATCTCCTTCCTCCTCCTGCTCCCTGCCTTCTCCAGAAAAAAAAGTGCAAGCTTGCCCTTCAGACCCCTCTTGCCCAGGCCGGGGCTTGGCATTGGTCAGAGACCTGCGAGGCCCTCAGTGGGCTCTGAAAGAGGCCAGGGCAGGGACCCTTCCCTTCCTGCCAGGGTATGCCAGATTCCCTCCGTTATCTAGGGGAGGACTGAGCCAAGGGAGTTGGTGCCCTCTGCCCAGGACAGCTCTCCTGAAGGTGCCCTCAGATGACCTCTCCCAGGCCACCCTCCCCAGATGCCCCGACTCTGCTGGAGGAAGGTAGGCTAAGGGGCCAGCTGCCCCGCCCCCATCTGGCCCGCCCTTCCCTACCTTCCCTCTGGAGCTCCGCTTCCTCAGAAGACTCCAGGGATATACCCTCCAAGGAGACCCCGCTGCCTGGGCTGCCTGCCATGGCGGCCCCCAGACCCGGGGACTCCCGGAGCGTCCTACACGCCGCCGTCTACCGCCTCCCCAGCCAAAGCCTGGCCGGGCTGGGGAAGGCGGGAGTCGAGGAGCGCCCTCTGAGGAACCAGCCAATGGGAAGGCTCAGCCGCCGTGACCGCCTTGCTGATTGGCTAAAGCCCTGACTGGCGCTGCGCGGTGCAGAGCAGGCGGTAACCCGGGTGGGAGAAGAGTGGTGGGAGGGAGCCCTAGTCCCACAGATTGCCCGATCCCCAGCATGTCAGTGTCGGTGGGGATGGGGAGGAGGCGGCTAACAGGAAGTTTTGAGGAGGGGGTAGGCATGCTGCCCCTTCAAGACTGGCGCGGTACTCCGAGACCCTCCCCTCACAGCCAGCTTCAGGAGACCCGAGGGAGAAAAGTCTTGGCCCATCTTGTCCCTGTACCCTCTTTTCTAGAAGCCCCTCCTCTAATACACCCCATGCCACCTCCTCCCTATGCCCTCTGACCTCTGCTCTCAGTCCCCTCTCCAGGCCCTGTTTCCTTTACAATAGTCCCTCAGTCTAAGGAAGTCCCCAAGAACGACTCAGCCCTCCACCGGGAGGCAGCCTCACTTGGGCATGGGGCAAATACCTCAAGCCTCAGACGCCTCCCCCTACCCACCCTTGGTCAGCCACTGGGAGGCAGGGTACGTGGGGGAGGTGGCATCGCTGTGGGTAGGGATGGTGCCCCAGCCCTGCTTACCCCTCGCCTCACAGCAGCTTCTTCCCCTCCCCCATCTCCCATGAGTTCTTCCTCTTAATGAAGGGGATGATGCCCAGGAAGCAAGTCAGGCATCTTGGAACTCAGTTCCCCAGAAAGGAAAAATGAGGGCACATTTGCACACAGGGAAAAGTGTGGGCAGAAGGGAAGGACTCAGCTCCGCTCCGGTGACCCCATTCCTCTGAGATCTTGTGCCCAAGAGGCCACCATCAGGGTACTGCAGCCTCCACTCAGACATTCCCTGAGGAGTGGCACCAGGTCGCATTGCACCCCTGGTTGCCATGACAGTAGAATTACACACCAGGACAGTAACCCAGGGATGGAGGAGAGATTTAAAGGGACAGCTCCACCTGAAAGCAGCCACATATCCCAGCCTTGATCCAAAAAAGGGAGGGAATCTGGTGACAGGGGAAGAGGGAGCAAGGCTGCAGGTCAGGAGATGCCAGGTTCAGGATCTCTAAGTTCTCAGCCCAGTGCCACTGTCCATTTATCTCCCAAGTCTCAGGAAAAGGGCCCCTGACTCTACCCAAAGTAGATATGGGGTCTCCCTGCAAGAGGAATACACCCATACCCTTTCCCTCCCTTCAACCATACTGACCCATGGGGAAGGGCGGAAAAAGGATCTTATTAGCTTTGCCCTTTGCAGAGTCCAAGGCAGGGATCTCCCAGGGGAGGAGGAGGGAAGGGGAGCCTGAACTCAGAGGCAGGGACACAGCTGTCTCTCTATCCTGTGGGAAGTATAATGACCACCAGATAATAAGGGGCAGAATCCACCATTAGATTTTTGAAGCTGGGAGCTAATGTAGCTCAGGATAGGACAGAGGCTGCCTGAAGGAAGAAAAACACTTTGTACTTCTTCCTTTGAATATGAGAAGCCAGGAGCAGCCCCTCGAACAACATGAAGGGGAGCAGGAGCCCCAGGAGTCCTTTGAGGAAGCAGAACCCACCGCCACACCCCAAGGCTCCACTCCCTGTCCCCCATCCTCCCCCACCACGCCCCCATCAAGTGGTCTGCAACAACGAAGCCAAATTGCTGGGCTTGCTCCTCCTCCTACGCCCCAGTCAGGCACTATTGGTGGGTTTACTGGGCAGTCCCGGCTGGAGAGGCCATTAAGCACAGGCTCAGGGGTGGGTTTAATTAATGCCTAAGCAGCTTACAGTGGGGCCTAGGCAGGCTGAAAGAGGCAGGGAGACCCCAGGGAGCCCAGCAGGCTGGACAGGAGATGGGGGACTGAGCCCTCTGATGCTGCAGAAGCTGGGGACATTGGTGCCATCCCTCCACTGCAAGGAGAAGAGGCCTTTCCTGGACAAGTGTACCACAGTTTAGGCCCTGGCTCACTCCCTTCACTTTCTCGGAGAGGAGGCACAGAGGAATCATTCTACCCAAAGTGGCAGCCCTGGAACCTCTGGCAGAGGCAGTAGTGGGGCCTAGAGCAAGGGAAGGAGCTGCATGGGAGGGAGGCATCCAGGCAGGGGGAAGTTCAGACAACTCAGAGCAGAACCATAGCAGTTCCCAGCTGCCCGGGCCTCAGAGGGCCTCTAGCACAGGGAACTTAACCTTCTGGGGTCCTGCGTGCACTACGGGAATCCATGATCCCCTAGAGTAGAATATACCTTTTGTGCATGGATGTATATGTCTACGATGAGGGCTCACTGCTGTCACCAGATTCTAAGTGACTCAGGACCAATAAAATTAAGAACAGGCCAGGTGTGGTGGCTCATGCCTGTAATCCCAGCACTTTGGGAGGCCAAGGCAGGTGGATCACCTGAGGTCAGGACAGCCTGGCCAACATGGTGAAACCCAGTCTCTACAAAAATACAAAAATTAGCTGGGCATGATAGCAGGTGCCTGTAATCCCAGCTACTTGGGAGGCTGAGGCAGGAGAATCACTTGAACCTGGGAGGTGAAGGTTGCAGTGAGCCGAGATCCCACCACTGCCCTCCAGCCTGGGCAACAGAGGGAGACTCCATCTCAAAAAAAAAAAAAAAGAAAAAGAAAAAAGTTAAGAACACTGATCTTGTCCCATCATCTCATCTTAGGGAAATCTCAGGTCTTCAAAAGGAGGTGACTGTTTCAAGGACACAGGGTTAATGCCAAAATAACAACTCAGGCCAGGCACAGTGGTTCACACCTGTAATCCCAGTAGTTTGGGAGGTCGAGGCGGGTGGAGTACTTGAGCTCAGGAGTTTGAGACCAGCATGGGCAACATTTTTGTCTTTACGAAAAATACAAAAATTAGCTGGGCATGGTGGTGCACACCTGTAGTCCCAGCTACTTGGGAGGCTGAGGTGGGAGAATGACTTGAGGCTGGTAGGCAGAGGTTGCAGTGAGCCAAGCTTGCGCCACTGCACTCCAGCCTAGGCTAAAGAGCCAGAACTTGTCTCAAAAACAACAACAACAACTTGGTGGCAGCGGCAGCAACAGCAGCATAATAATTATGACTATTCCTAAAAGTAATGTGCTCTCCCATTACAGCCTTTGCGTCTCACAGCAGCCTCTTTACAGAAGAAGAAATGCGAGCTCCAAGAGGTTAAGCAGTTTGCCACTGAGGCTTTGCTAGTTTGTCTGAGTGGCCCACTCCCTTGTCCTAATGCCTCCTACAGAGCCACGTCCAGGTATCCTAACCTGGTATTCTTGTTCCTTCACTCACAGCTTCCTGGTCCCCAGTACCCCCTGTCCACCTCTGGCACATGCTGGCCTAGTGGGCAGCGATTATGGACTTCTCAGCCCCAGGCTGTGCTGCTGTAATCCCTCCACCCCCAAGCCATTCTCCAAGGCCCAGCTCCGGGGCCACCTCCTGAAGGCCTGGTCCTATGCCACTGCCCTCCAGCAATAGTACGGGTCACCTCTGGAGCATGCATCCCCTGCCCTCCACGGAGGTGAGTTGTGCTCCAGCCCTACACTGGAGCAGGTATGGGTCTTATTCTTTCTCTTCTCCGTTCCAGCACAGGAACCCACACAGAGGAGATGGCCACAGCAGCTGCCAGAAGGAATGGCTGAGTGGTAGGGTGGACAGCAGTGGAGCCAGTTGGTTCTTATCTGGAGCTGTGCAAGTGCCCACCCCTAAGTCCTCGCCTGGCACCCTCTGAACCACTGAAATAAGCTAACATCCTCACCCCCTTCTTACCAGTTTCAGAGTTGGTGGCGGCAACCGGCATGGTGAAGGAGGCAAGGGCTCTGAAACGTCTCTCCTGGAGAGGGGAGAGAGGAGGATGAGCAGATACAAGGGCAAAGCAATGGGGAAGGGAATAGGAAGAGCCTCCCCTTCAGGACGAGCCAGAAAGGTAGGGGAGAAGGTGCTGCCCAGAAAGTGGGGGTTGGAGAACAACAATGATTCCAACGGTCCTGGGAAGCAGGAAGAGCAGGTATTACTCGCCTATTTCTCTGAGGAGGAGGAGACCAGGGAGGATAAGGGAGGTTAACTGATTTGCCCAAGTTCACAAAGCTAATAAGGAGAGCTAAAATGAAAATCCAGGTTTTATGACTCAAAAATAAGTATATAAATAAAGTGTTTCTTCCTGTTGTATTTTTTGTTTGTTTGTTTTTTGAAGAGGAAACAAGTAGAATTTTTAGAGGGTAAGACTATAATTTGGCTGAGCAAGGTGGCTCACGCCTATAATCCCAGCACTTTAGGAGGCTGAGGCAGGAGAATCACCTGAGCCCAGGAGTTTGAGACCCACCTGGGCAACATGGCGAGACCCCCATCTCTACAAAAAAATTAAAAATTATCCAGGTGTGGTGGTGCATGCCTATGATCCCAGCTACTTGTGGGGCTGAGGCAGGGGGATCTCTTGAGCCCAGGAGGTCGAGGCTACGGTAAGCCATGATTGCGCCACTGCACTCCAGCCTGGGCAACAGAGCAAGAACCTGTCTTAAAAAAAAAAAGTCATTTAAAAAATAATAAAAGAGTCCAGAATTTGAGCCAAAGTAGAAAACATGAGTACTCCTAGACTGCAGGTTCCCTGAGAGTCAGAACCACATTGATTTTATTTGCTTCTGGAACCTAGGCCTACCAAAGCGCCGATGTTCCACATTTATCTGGGGGGCTGACAGAGTGATATCTACCTCTCCACGGCCCCTCTGGCTGGCTCTCTCTCCTCTCTCCCTTTCTTAGCTCAGAGCTGGCACAAGGAGACCAAGTGCTCTGGGCAGAACCAAGCATGGAGTCTACAGCCCCAGTTTCCATTCCAGGGCCTCCCCAGGCTAGGAGTGGCTCCCTCGTTCTCCCAGGAGAGGGCAGGGGGTTACCCCCCACCCTTCTTCCCTTTGCCTTCCTGGGCATGTGCTGCTGGATAAAACCCTAATTCCCAGTTGCCATGACAACAGGAGGCAGTGGCTCACAGCAGGGGTGGGGAGTGGGGGGAAGCATCTGGCAGTGCCCACTTTAGGACTGAATGCCTGCTGAGTCCTGGGGGTGGGGGAACCACGGCAACTCCACCTCCCCCCAAAAGAGGATTCTTCCCAGAGGACTAGTACCTGATTTCAATAAAACCCTCTCTGCTCCCATTCCCTTCTCAGGCCTGAGCTGGTCACCTGAGCTCAGGTGACAGAAATTACAAAAGTGAGGGGGATGGTTCCCTTTCCTCCCAGCTCTGCCGCTGAGGACATGGAATAAAGGTGCTTTCAGGGAGAGGAAGGGCACCCCTATTCAGGCTACACCCAGGCTGGAAGAAATGCCCAGGATCCACTGTGCTGGCCCGTGCCCCTGGTGCCAATCTCTACTCCTAGAGAGCAGGGAGGAGGGATCCCTTCCCTCCCCCTCCCAGGCCTTGATGACCTGGAGCCTTCTCCTGGCTGGCGCTGCTCTCCCTCACAGGGTCAGAGAAGGGACTCCAGAAGTCCTCCTTCCCTAGAGCGTGGAGGGCGGGAAAAGGCAGGGAGGATCCTGTATGAAATCCCTGCGCTCGGAAGTCTTGCCCAGCCTGCCTGGGTTTTCTCCCGGGGAATCGGTTCCCAGAGCATCGGCTGGCTTTGCTCCCCCACGCCCGTCCAAGCCTCTGAGAGGGCGGGGCCTGGCTGTGTCCACAGGAGAACGGCAGTGCCAGGCAAGCTAGCCTGGCTCCGTGCCAAGGTCCTGCACCCAGACATCTGGGAACCTGCACCTCGGCTTCCAAAAGCCTGGGCCCAGATGCCCTCTCAGCTCTGCCTCCGAGATATCCACATCACCCATAGTGTCCGCAGGCGAGCGGACCAGCAGTGAAAGGGAGAGGTTTCTTCCAACCTCCCACCCATCCCTCCATCCATACACATACAAAGAGGTGCGGAGAAGAAAGGTCTGACAAAGGCGCTTTGGAGAGCGAGAGGTCGCGGGGAGGTCTGGACAGAACTGAGGGCCAGAGGATGGGGTCGAAAGGCCAGGCGGACGTGCATGCTTGGACCATCAGATCACCCCTGCCCCAACGGACCCAGCCCTAACACCCTGGGCGCTAGGACCTGGGGGAGGGGGGCGTGTTGTGAGCCATCAAAGAAGGCTCTCTACGTGCGCGCCCGCCGGAGACCAGGGATGAGGTCACTAAATGACTGCCCCGGCCAACCCCCACCCCGTCTTTATCCGCACCGCCCCCCCCTTAATTGACCTAACTTTCTAACCCTAGCTCTTCGCTTCTGGCACCGGTCCCCTCCCAAGTCTCCAGACCCTAACCCTGGCTCCCGACCCGCCCCGCTACAGCTTGGGAAGCGGGAGAAGCAGCGCGCGCCCTTCTGCGGACCCCCTCCCAGGGAAGATTGTGGTGTTAGCTGCCTAGGGGGACCAGGGGGCCACCGGGACCCAGCGCAACCTCTGTCTCGCTCCCCAACCCCCGGAAGCGCTAACAGCACGGTTCTTACGTAATGCCGGGCTTCTAAGTACCCCCAACCCGCACAGCCCCCGGGGAGGCCGCGCAGATACCGGGGCCCCTCACAGCTCACCACCTTGGTGCCTGAAGCCACTTTGGAGCCCCTACCGCAGGGGCGGGGACCAGTGTCAATGGGCAGCGGGGCTTGGTTCTCCCAACCAGCACCCCAGAAAGAGGGCCCAGGGGCGGGGGCGGGTGGACAGGGAGGGAACGGGCCTGGGTGAAAGGGGCCTGTGGAGTTTAAACCCAGTGAATAGGGTCCTAAGTGCCGTGTCAGGACGAAAAGAAGGCGGAGGTCTTGGGATAGGAGCTGGCCCGGGGGCCGGGGGACGCCTACCTGCGCCCCGGGAAGCCCCTAGCTCCGGGCGGCTCCAGCGCAGCCGGGCGCTCAGCGTTTATTGCTTGTCAATCGCTAGCCCGGCTCTTAAAGCGGCAAGGCCTCTCCGCGAGGGGGCGGAGGTCCGGAGGAGAGGGGAGGTGAGGAGAACGCGGAGGCCGGCACAACTCGGAGGAAGTAGTCTTTCCCAGCAGCTGGTACGGGGGCAGCCAGGTAGTGGTTTGGGAGACACCGCACAGACCACGACGCCCTGCTGGAGTCCCACTGGGAAGGGTTAGGGAGGCAGGACTGGTACCAGTACCCGCTGGTGCCCCTCGGCTCCCAAGGATCCCTTAAAGGGGCGATGGTAAAAGTGCCTAATGAGACCGGCTTGATTACTCCGCCCACCCATCTTGGCTTAGACCGGCGTTCTAGTTCCAGGCGTGCCTCACTTTTCCTCGTTATCCTGCTTCCATATTGAGAAAAAGAATAGGAGGACTTCAGAGAGACTCCCAGGAAGCAGGATACCAGCCCCAGAAGGCCTCGGGATCAGGGGCAGCTTTTTAAGGACTCAGAGGGTGGATATCCGGATTCCAGACTTTCCAGAAATTTTGCAAAAAAGAGGAAATGTCTTCCTGAAAGGATTCGAGAGCCTCTTTTAGGTCTAGGTGAGGGAGGCCTGGTCCATTTTCCTGCCTATGGAATAAAGAAGTAACTGGCTAGCCTTCCTCAGAGTCCCAGCCCAAAAAGTAAATAAAGGGTTAAACCCACTGGCCCGCCTTCGCCCAGCCTCCGGCTCCACCCCACATCTGCTAGTAAAAGATGCTGGGCCTCCAAATACGGGAGGCTCTGTGCAGTGCGACTAGCATTTGGGGCCAGCTACGCTACTTCTCCGACCTCGGCGTTCAGCCACCCCGTCCAGTTGCCCTGAACAAAATGTGAGAGTCATCCCTTTTCCTTGCTAACTGGATTCCTAAGATCATAAATGGACTGCATCTTTGGCCGGGCGCGGTGGCTCACTCCCATAATCCCAACACTTTGGGAGTCGGAGGCGGGAGCATCGGTTGAGCCTAGGAGTTCGAGACTAGCCCAAGCAACATAGTGAAACCCCATCGCTACAAAAAATAAAATAAACAAAATTAGCTGGGCGTGGTAGCGCGCGCCTGTAGTCCCAGCTACTTGGGAAGCTGAGGCTGCAGTGAGCCGAGATTGCAACACCGCACTCCAGCCTGGGCAACAGAGTGAGACCCTGTCTCAAAAGAAACAAAAAGAAAAGAAATGGATTACATTCTGGAAACTTGCTTGGAAATCTCAGAAATGGGAATCTATCCCGAAAGCAGGGGACTGGTCCCTGGGTTCCAAGACTCAGCTCTCCCCTGAGTTCCAAGGGTATAAGTTTGGATATAGGAAAAAGCCACAGAGGCGGCCGAACTGCTGAAAACCACATTGTTTAGGTGACCCAGGCTTTTACTGAGAGAAGAAAGCCATCGAACCCAGATAGCTTTGACAGGAATTGCAGGCTTTGGTCTCTAAACAAAGAGGGTTCTTGGAGCGCATTGCTTGCAGCTCTTTCCTCTATCTGCAAGCTAGAAAATCCTTCTTCTTCTTCTTCTTTTTTATTTTTATTTTTTGAGACGGAGTTTCGCTCTTGTTGCCCAGGCTGGGGTGCAATGGCATGATCTCGGCTCGTCGCAACCTCTGCCTCCCGGGTTCAAGCAATTCTCCTGCCTCAGCTTCCCGAGTAGCTGGGATTACAGGTATGCGCCACCATGCCTGGCTAATTTTGTATTTTTAGTAGAGACAGGGTTTCTCCATGTTGGTCAGGCTGGTCTCGAACTCCTGACCTCAGGTGATCTGCCCACCTCAGCCTCCCAAAGTGCTGGGATTGCAGGCATGAGCCACTGCACCCGGCCTAGAAAATCCTTATAATTGAATTCAGGAAGAGTTCCCCTTTCCATTATAAAGGCTACCCTCCACTGTCACCTGTCCACCTCTGGGCTGGAAATCACTCAGCTATTTGTATTTTGGAAGAGGAAGGATCTTGAATCTCTACAAGATATTAATTACTTCTTAATCAAGCAATTATTACCTCCATAGCGACCCACATCAAATCTTCCATTCCATTTAGGATCCTCAGGACAGTCTGGGATCTCAGATTCTGGCCCACCTGGGGAGGTGGAGCCCAACTCATTATTCTTAGCGGCTGCCCCACTGCATTCGTCGGTCAACAAGTATCTCTCTAATAAAGGCCTTGCAGAATGCCAGCCTCTCACATCTGTTCAGGACCTTACAATTGACAAATTGTTTCATTCTCACAACAGCCTTGTGCAGTTACAGAATGAGAAGAAACATTTATTGATGCAGAATAGGATGCTCCTCTTCTGTGCCAGGCAAGGTACCACTTACTGTGATACTGAGATAAGGGCCCTAACCTCCTAGAGTTCACAGTCTGGGGTTGAAGTCGGAAAGGAGTGTGTTACATAGATACAAAAAGCGCTTCTTGGTAGCACAGCTGAATGCCATAATAAAGGTGCAGTGTGTCCTAAGCTGTTCCCCAAAGGAATAGAGCTGCTAATGGTTGGCAATGGAGTAGCTGGGAAGGGAAGCAGGTTTGAAGGTCGGCAATGCATCCCCTAGTAGTTAAGGGCTGCCCCCTACCTCAAGAGGGGAATGAGTCCTCCTTCTCTGAGGTTTGTAATTAGCTCTGCCTTCCTCCCTGCCTCAGCCTCAGAGGTCATAAAGGTGCAGGTAGTATATCTCCTTCCCCCAAAATCAAGGTATTCCTATGGTGGTGTTCAGCCCAGAGTTTTGGGAGTCAAGGCACAGAGAAAAATAAAACTCAAAAGTGTTACAAATTTCCAGCAGGTAAGGCTTTGCACTGAGTGATGGTGCACTTCCTATAATGACCAGCAGGGGCCACCAACAGCTATTCCCAGTTTATCTACACCCAGCCTCTGAGGTGCTTCGCCTCCACACCTGCGACTGGCCAGTGCCTAGTTCTGGAAACCTTATTTATGGACTATACTTAAAAAAAAAAAAAAAAAAAAAAAAAAAAACTTGGGCGAGGTGCCATGGCTCACACCTGTAATCCCAACACTTTGGAAGGCCGAGGTGGGCAGATCATGTGAGGTCGGGAGTTCAAGACCAGCCTGGCCAATATGATGAAACCCTGTCTCTACTAAAAATACAAAAATTAGCTGGGAGTGGTTCCGGGCGCCTGTAATCCCAGCTACTTGGGAGGCTGAGGCAGGAGAATCGCTTGAAGCCGGGAGGCAGAGGTTGCAGTGAGCCATGATTGCGCCACTGCACTCCAGCCTGGGCGACAGAGTGAGACTCCGTATTTAAAAAAAAAAAAATTAGAGCCTTCAATGGACTATATAAAATTATATAAATATTTGCCTATAAACTATATTTGTGTTATTCAACTAATTAGTATGCATATTAGAAATCACACACATAGGGATGAATTTTTATTTTCATTTTATTTATAAATAAATAAACATATTTTGAGACAGGGTCTTACTCTGTTGCCCAGGCTGGAATGCAGTAGCATGATCATAGCTCACTGCAGGCTGGACCTCCCAGGCTCAAGCCATCCTCCTGCCTCAGCCTCCAGAGTAGCTGGGACCACAGCTGCATGCCACCACACCTGGAGAATTTTTTTTTTAATTTTTTGTAGAGATAGAGTCTTGCCATGTTGCCCAGGCTGGCCTTAAACTCCTGGGCTCAAGTGATCCACTTGCCTCAGCCTCCTAACGTGCTGAGATTACAGGTGTGAGTCACTGCACCAGGCCAGGATTAATTTTTTAACTATAAATAGAAATTCCAATTTTGTCTTCCCATACCCAAAAGGATCATCTTGCACACCCCTAGGTGCACACCCACTTTGGAAACCACTGTTCTAAAGGAAAAGCTATGCCGTCCTCCCTAGTCCCCGCCTCAACAGGGCATCCAGACAGGAATGGATCCAGACAGCTTTGCCTTCCCACCAGGACTAAACCAAGGCCTCCGTGAAGGACCAAGTTTCCTGGCCTCTTGCTCATCCCACAACCTCAAGACAGAAATTGAAGCCTCCTCCGCCACTACCACTACCATTACCACCAGCCTGGCCTGCGTTCATGTCAGATTGCCTTTCTAGAGGGCAGAGCCCCAAAACCTCTCTTGTAAGCAGCATCTGTTCCTCCACCTGGCCCAACAATTGCACTTTCCCTTGCCTCCTGATTTTAGTCTGCCCACCTCCCTATTGGGGTGGGAAGTTCTGGAACCAGACAATTTTGTGTTGAAATCCTGGCTCAGCCACTTCATGTGTGTGTCTTAGGCCAGTTAAATAACCTTGCCAAGCCTCAATTTCCTCATCTGTACAATAGGGATAACAACTTTGGGAGAGGACAGAGGTAGAGTGGCTGCCATGTGCCAGGCACACAGAAGGTGTTCTATAAACGCAGTTCCCTTCTGGGAGTAGGTCTAGGCAGGTTCTAGCTAGGTGCCAGCGGGCCGTGGGTGGTTAGTCCTTATCTCTGGCTGTCTGCTGTGTCCTGGCTGACTTCAGGTTCTCCTGCGGAAGGCAGGATCCACCCCAGGGCTTCTGGAGCCCCAGGTATCTGTTACAGATAGCATGTCCTCTTCTCGCTGCCCACACACTCTTTACTGGCACCTTGCCCACATCCATCTGTGCCACCCACTTCTCTTTTCCTCCTCTCCCTCCAGCACCTCCACTGAAGTGCCAAGGGCTTTGATATGGGCATCACGTGAGGGGCCAGTAACAGGTGGCCCATCGCCAAAGTGGGGAAGAGCTTGCAAAAGTCGGTGCATCGGGGTGTGGGGTGCATGCCTGTAGTCCCAGCTACTCAGGAGGCTGAGGCAGGAGGACCCCTTAAGCTCAGGAGTTCAAGACCAGCCTGGGCAACATAGTGATACCCCAATCTCTCATAATAGTAATAGTAGTAATAATAATAATTTTTAAAAGTCAGTGCAAACCCTGGGAGTGGGGGGAGTCCTGCTAACCACCCCAATGACCCAGTGTCTATTGCTGGAGCCCCCCTACAAGCCAACCATAATTTGAAGTGTCCCTGTAGACCCTGGACAGGGCAGAGATTGATGAGGGAGTGGGTGAGGGAGTGCAGGAAGCTTCTGAACAGTAGGAGTTGAAGAGGGGATCAAAGCAGAAAGTAGACGCAGTTAGATGCCCTGGGGACCGCATGAGGCACTTGAGTTGCTCTTTGGAGACAGATCAGAGGAGTGTCCCCGCTTGAACTAGTGACCTGGAGGAGAGCTGTACATATACATACACCATGCATGCGTGCACACACTCACATATACAGACACACACACACTCACATATACACACTCACCCTACACACACACACTCAGACACACTCATACACATACACCACTCTCACACACTCACATATACACACACACATATCCCTACACACACTCACATACACGCACAGACACAGGCACTCAAATACACACATACACACACTCACACACTCACATATACATACACTACACACACACTCAGACACACATACATATACACTCACATACACACATAAACACACACATACACCTACACACTCACATACACACAGACACACTCAGACACACACACTCAAATACACACATATATAACACTCATACACACATTTACCCATTTGAGTACACACACTCACACACAGATACATACACACTTATATGTACACACATACATACATGCATACACTGACATACACATACACATACACTCACAGACACTCTTGGATACACACTCTTGGACACACACATACACATACACTCAAACACAGACACTCATACACACACCCTCATACACACACTCATAGACACACTCTCACATACACATACTCACACATACACTCATGTATGCACACATCCTATGCTGCTTCCCTCCCCGCTTGTCCTGGACCAACGCAGTGCTTACAGAGTAGATTGGAGCCCAGACAGAAGAGGGGGCCAGGGCTGTGGAGAACACTGGGTGGCCTCAGGCAAGCCATTTGTCCTGGGCTTTCCCTGCTGTTAAACGGGCAGGATAATATCCACCTCGCAGGCTCTGCGACCACTGCGTGGCCTGATAAAAATGCGCTGTGAGCCATGATGGGGGAGCCCTGGGCACCCAGGCCGTGCCCTGGCCATATCCCTTCCTAGGAATGCAGGACAGTCCATCCCAGAGCTATTCTCTGCCCCTCCCCTGCCTTGACCACCCAGCGACTCTGTCCCCAGCCCTGCTTGGCACCAACTGCCCAGGTCCAGCCTCCCCCACGCCCCACAGGGATCTTCTCGTTGCCCTCCTCATTGGGGTTCACCTACCCTGGGCTCACCCTGTGCACCTCTCCTCTCTGAGGTGCCTGAGGACAGAGCGGGGAACCTCCTGCCCATTCCCTGCCACCCCATAGGGGCTTCAAGCCCTCTGACACCTCTACTTCCAGCTCGCTTCCCTGAGGTACTGGTATGGGGAGATGTGGAGCCCTGGGAAGGGGAGAAGCTGCCATCCACCCCTCCCCAAAAATGGCCTTTTTCCAGGCCAGAGCCATGTGGGGGGCTGTCCCCACCCTCACCAGTACAGACTGTAGGAGCACCCGCCATCACCCAAGGCAGACTGGGAATCTGCAGGTTCTTGGCAGCAGACCTCAGATAAAGAAACAAGCAAAGAGGTCAAGTAATTTGTCCAAAGGCATCACATGGGTCAGTGTAGAGCTGGGGCTTGACCCCAGGCAGTTGGCCTCAGGCTCCACTGCAGATGCTGCACCTCGCTTTGCAGGTACTATCATTACCTTCATTTTATAGATGAAGCAGCTGAAGGTCAGAAGAGTTCAATGACTTGCCCAGGATCACACAGAAAGCGAGTGGTGGAAGCCACGCTTAGCGGGTAAGCTTAGTAAAAAGCTTAGTAAAGAGATTGACTTAGTTTTCCATCAATTATTTTTCAATTGACAAAACTGTGATAACTCACAAAAACAGCTGAACATAAACAACATTTTAATTTGACTTAAGACTATACATATAATCAGTGTTGAAAGAAATAAATTCCTGGAAACAATTTGTAATCTTTCTTGCTAATCCTTAGCTGCTCATCATGGCTGAGTCTAATCTCGAAGGCATCTAGACTTGATTAAGATACCTTTACTAATGCACCCTAAATCTGTTATTAGCTTGACATCAGACACAGGACTTGAGGACAGCTTAGCAGCTCTTGACAGCAGCTGGCAGGAATTATGTAATGTGAGAGTCTTCTGGCTTTCAGAGACCACTTTCCTCCTCCAGGGCAGAAAACTCAGCTGTTTGGCCTTGGTTTTTGCGTCTGTAAAATGGGAGGTTGGGGGATAGGAACTAGATTACTAACTTCCCTTCAAAATTCATCCATCTAAAGAGACAACTTTGCACTCTGCTCATAAAAAAGATAAAAATCTTTCCAACAGGGATTTCCAAGAAGTGGCCTCTTGGTAGATATTTCTTGAAATATTATTCCATTCAATAAATATCTATTCCCACCTGACTGAAGTTCTTCGAGGACAACAATTATATCTTAGTGATCACTGTAACTCCAGCACCTAGTTCAGTGCTGGCCATTGAGTAGGTGCTCAGTATTTTTTAATTAATTAATTTTGAGATGGGGGTCTCAGTAGTTTCCCCAGGCTTAATCTTGAACTCCTGGTC
Organism: Homo sapiens; assembly: GCF_000001405.40. Classification (NCBI taxonomy): domain Eukaryota; kingdom Metazoa; phylum Chordata; class Mammalia; order Primates; family Hominidae; genus Homo; species Homo sapiens. Next base: position 43,915,127 of record NC_000017.11, read on the forward strand.
TCAGGGAATCCTCCCACCTCAGCTTCCTGAGTAGCTGGGACTACAGGTGTGCATCACCACACCTGGCTCTAGGTGCTCAGTTAATACAAGGTGCAGAATCTCTGGGAGGCAGGGCAACACAATAGTGGTTTGTAACGTTCCCCAGGTGATTCCCATATACAGCCAGGCGAGGCCTGCCCGGCAACTACATGCAGAGAGGACCCCCGAGGCCTCTTTCCTCAGAAGGTAGCTGTGGTCATGGAGGGCACTCAGGGTGGCAAGGCCTGCTCCTGAAAAAGCCGTGAAAACCCAGAGGAGATGGAAGAGAAGAGGCCACCAACAAAGGATGGCCCCAACAGTGCTTCCCAGTGCCCACCCTGCAAAAGGGGCTTCTGTTTAGTACTAAGGACATGGAGTTCAGAGAGGCTGATAACTGGCCCCCGACCACACCCAGCCAGCAGCTCCAGGGTCTCTAGTCCTCACAGTCCCTGGCATTGCATCTGAGAGTAGGGGCAGAGCTAATGCCATCAGTAGGAGTCACTTTTGTCCCCTAACTTAGGGGAGACTGTCCTGTCCTTACAAAGGAATGTGTAAGCACAGCTGATCAACATCTGCATAAGGAAAGATGTTTCTTTATGCATTTCTGGCTCCATCGAGACTCGTGACTCAACCAGTCCTGTGGCTGCCAACCAGAAGCAGACTCAGCATTCAAGGACCATTTTCCATACCCCTATATCTGCATGCCCAACCAATCAGCAGCACCTCTACCCTACCCTAGACCCTGCCCACCAAACTATCTTTGAAAAACTAATCTTCAAGTTTTGGGGGAGACCGATTTGAGTAATAACTATTTCCTGTGTGCCCGGCCTTGTGTCAATTACTCTTTCTTTACTGCAATGCCATGGTCTCAGTGGATTGGTTTTGTCTGTGCAGTAGGCAGGAAGAACCCATCAGGTGATTACAGTACCTGCACCCCCAACCTGCTTTGGGAAGAATCCAGCCAAAAAACTTGAGGCCTGCAGCCTCAGGGTGAGAACAAGACAAAAGGGGGATGGAGGGAGATTGACTCGCTGTGTCTCAGCTCCAGAGCAGCCCCCCTGCAGCCTCCCAAGGGTTTATGCAAATCATCAAAGGGATTCCTTGAGGCAAAAGGTTTGAGTCTGCAGTTCTGAGACCCCCAAGGATGTGAGGAGAGACCCAGGCCTATCTCCTTTGGGAGGGGCCCCAAACTTGGGGGAAGGGATACTGGATGCCAACTGAAACCCAAACATAAAATTCTAAGCTCACCCAACCATCTGAATGGACTCCTCCTCTCCACTCAGCAAAGGGCATTCCAAAGTTAACCTGAAAACTAGTTCAGGCCATGATGGGAAGGGGAGCCCAGTCATGCCTAATTATACGATCCCTCCTTTTGGACTTACTGATAGAACAGACTCTTTAAGTCTGAAAGGAAACATTTACAGTCTATTCTCTCTGAAGCCTGCCACCTGGAGGCTTCACCTGCGTGATAAAACCTTGGTCTCCACAATCTCTTATCTTAACCCAAACATTCCTTTCTGTTGATTTTAAGTCTTTAGACAGTAATTTAACTCTTTCCACCAATTGCCAATCAGAAAATCTTTCGATCTACTTATAACCTGGAAGTCGTCCACTTCCCCAACCCCATTCCAGTTGTCCAGCCTTTCCAGATCAAACCACTGTACATGTCGCATATATTATTGATGTCCGATGTCTCCCTGAAACACATAAAACCAAGTTGTGGCCTGATCACCTTGGGCACATGTTCTCAGGATCTGCTGAAGGCTGTCATGGGCCATTGGTCATGCATAGTAGGCTCAAAATAAATCCCTTCAAATATTTTACAGAGTTTGACTCTTTTGGTTGACACACCAAGCTCAAGCAGGAAGAACCGGGCTCAAGAACTGTCTCTCTCCTTTCTCTCTGTTAGGCATGGGGGGGAAGGGAGTGTTGTGTTAGGCATGCGGAGGGGAAGGGAACAGGGTTGTGTGCAGAGGAAAATGCAAATTCTTACCTTGTCAGGGTCTCTGACCTGATGGCGACCCGTGGTGGAGTCTTCACAGAGACAGATACCACTGCAAGGGCAGACCCAGACTGTGCAACCCCCAAAGCAGGTCTCCTCACTCACCGGGATAGATAGAACTATCGGCCCCAATTCCTCAGCCCTACCTGCAACCACCGCTTGCCATGGTTTCCTTGTGGGTGGAGGGTACTTTCCCGCCCCCTGGTTTCGGGCTTGCCCACGTGGCTTGCTCTGGCCATGGAATGAAGCAGAAACGAAAGCCTGCCAGTTCTGAGCCTACGCCGGAAGACGCCTTGGGCGGTTCCGCGGTCCCTGTGCGCTTCCACCTTCACCCAGAAGGACTTCTCTGGTGCAGCCGCTGCTTCTTCAGCCACGGCCCAAAAGGATCGGAGCCCCCTGGCCGATCCGCAGGTCTGCAGGGAGCCACAGAGCGCAGCGGCCGGCCCAGCGTTCAAGCCCAAGCACAGGCCTGCGAGAACCTTGTTCCAGCCACCGTTTGGGATGGTTGATTAGGACTTGTTGCTGTGGCGGTAGCTCACCAATCCAATGCGTGCACCCGCTCCTTTATTAGGCTATAGGGCCAGTGGCTGCGACAGGGACCTGATACAACAGTGCGTTAAATAAGGAGCTTATTGAGCTATCATGTCGTAAGCCGGTGGAGAAGTCCAGGGCTAGTGTGGGGGCTCCGGCGGGGGCTGTGGCCCCCATCCGCATGGAGCCTCCCCACGGTTCACAGGTCTCGGTCTTCGGAGCCTTCAGCCCCGTGAGCCCGAACAGTCCACACGGCGGCGCCAGACCCTCTTCCCAACGCCACCCTCTGAAGCCTCCGCTCCAACCGTCTCCACTTCTGCTTCAGGCTCAGGATTTTCACTTTTCTCGAATGGGGGTGGCCCTCCCCTGATCTTCTGAGTCGCAACAGCATCTCCCTCCCTCCAGGACCTCAGAGCCAGAGCTGGGCGAGAGGCCCTGACCTCCGGGGTAGGGTGGCAGCATCCCTGTGAAGGTGCGGTCCTGCCTCCCATCCCCAGGCGCCCGGCCTCTCCCACCCTCAGCGCCCTGCTCACCGCCAGCTGAAGATGCCAGGGCACCTCTGCTTCCTCCCTGCCCTCTCTGCAGTATCGCAGAGTGAGCATAAAAGGGCTTAATATAGGCTTCACTGGTCGTGGTGGCTCGCGCCTGTGAACTCAGTAACTTGGGAGGCCAAGGCCGGAGGATCACTTGAGGCCAGGAGTTCAAAACCAGCCTGGGCAACAAGGTGAGGCCTGTCTCTAAAAAAAAAAAAAAAAAAAAAAAAGAAAAGAAAAGAATAAAATAGGTTCCTTTTTCTGGGAGATTGATGTAGGGGAGCGAGCGTGTGTGAGTTGGAAGGGAGGCATTGAGGATCAGCCATTTAAAGCAGCACACAAGGATGTTCAAGGCTAGAGATCCACAGGTGTATTTTCAGAAACTGAATTTCCTGGCTGGGCGTGGTGGCTCACACCTGTAATCCCAGCACTTTGGGAGGCCAAGGCAGGAGGATCACTTGAGGTCAGGAGTTCAAGACCAGCCTGGCCAACATGGTGAAATCTTGTTTCTACAAAAAATAAAAATAAAAATCAGCTGGGTGTGGTGGTGGGTGCCTGTAATCCAAGCTACTTGGGAGGCTACGGCAGGAGAATCACTTGAACCTGGAAGGTGGAGGTTGAGATCACACTACTGCACTCCAGCCTGGGTGACAGAGTGAGACTGTCTCCAGAAAAAATCCCAAAACAAACAAACAAAACCCCTGAATTTCCTTGTGGACACCTTTTCTCTGGCAGCCTTTTTGAATGAGGGCTATGTTTTCTCCAATACTATATGGCCTGCGGACCGCTCAGCTTTCATTCCAGTGAAAACATTCCAGAACAAACTCCGGGTCAATCCCAGGTGTTTTTCCAATCAACTCGGGATGATTGTGTGTCACCTGCCGCCCAGCTAGAATGACACCTCTCCAGGCCTCTGACTTAGCTAGATCTCCACCATGTGACTCCACCATAGACTCCATGCCTTCTTCTTTTGCAAACCCTCGGACACCCAAACACCTACCAATTTCAGCCCTTTCTGTGCAGGTGCCGGAGCCCAGGAAGCACACATCAAGGCTCGCTTGCCAGCAGGGTGCTGCCAATAAAATGTAGTCACATGGAATTTGGAATGTGGAAAGGAGGTAGAAGTCATCCTTTCTTCCCCCGTAGCAGCAGGCGTGCAGGCCTCTGGTGATCAGCTGGACTCCATACTCCCCCACCAGTCACCAGCCTGGGGACTGTGGGGCTGCAAGGACCTCAGCAGCGGTTTCCCAAGTTTTCTGACTTCTTCCATCCTCTGGAAATCAGCTGTGGTAAAGTAGCCTGAAAGCCAGTGGTGCAACCCCCTCCCCCCAACCTTCACCATCTCTAGCCCCTCCAGTGATAAGCACTAATTGCCTATATACAACCCCTATTTGTTTGAAATATCTAGAGTAATTTCTGTTTTCCTATCTGGGGTAGTGTAACATAAAAAGAAATATAAATATATATTGGTCTCTGCCCCCAGTTCCTAACACAAAGCTCCTAAAACCCTTGGAAATTCCTGAATGATGGGGATGCTAGGAGCATTGTCTTCTTTTTTTTCTAATTTATCATTTTTCTTTTTTTCCAGATGTTTTTTCCTTTTTTTTTTTTTAAACTTAGGGTATACATGTGCACATTTAACTTTTTTTTTTTTTTTTTTTGAGACGGAGTCTCGCTCTGTTGTCCAGGCTGGAGTGCAGTGGCACAATCTCGGCTCATTGCAAGCTCCACCTCCCGGGTTCACACCATTCTCCTGCCTCAGCCTCCCAAGTAGCTGGGATTACAGGCGCCCGCCACCACACCCGGCAAATTTTTTTTGTATTTTTTTAGTAGAGATGGAGTTTCACCATGTTAGTCAGGATGGTCTCGATCTCCCGACCTCATGATCCACCCGCCTCGGCCTCCCAAAGTGCTGGGATTACAGGCATGAGCCACTGCGCCTGGCTTTTTTTTTTTTTTTTTAACTTAGGGGATACATGTGCACTTTTTTAAAACTTAGGGGATACATGTGCACATTTGTTATATAGGTACACTTGTGTCACAGGGGTTTGTTGTACAGATTATTTCGTCACCCAGGTACTAAGCCTAGTACCCAGTAGTTTTTTCTGCTCCTCTCTCTCCTCCCACCCTCCATCCTTAGGTAGGCCCCAGTGTCTGTTATTCCCTTCTTTGTGATCATTAGTTCTCATCATTTAGCTCCCACTTACGTGAGAACATGCTGTATGTGGTTTTCTGCTGAGGATAATGGCCTCCAGCTCCATCCATGTTCCTGCAAAAGACCAGTCATTGTCCGTATTCTAACAACAGTTAGATATACCTGTTCAGAGGTGGGAAATGATACAGAAGGATGTGGTCCCTTTAAATGACACGGAAGGGGGGAAGGAGAGTGCTGGGTGGGGGTGTGTAGTCCCTGGCTAGGGCTCTACCCCCAGGCCTGTGCCCACGGACCTAAGTGAGGACAGGCATTTTTGTTTTCCTGCCCAAATGTTGCATTTCCCAAGACCTCCCCTGGCCTGCCACGCCCCCATCCTGTGCCTATAAAAACCCTGAGACACTTGCAGGCACACATACAAGGACATGGACAGGAGCAGATCGGCAGAAGAAGACACAAGCAGCTGGACATCAAGAGGGCGTGGAGGGGAGCACGCCAGGCAGGCCACCAACCGGCAGAACAGCAGAACGAGGCAGAGTTTGGCTGAGGCAGTGGGAGGACAGCCTGGGCTGCTCAGCAGCCCGGCTCCAGGGGAAAACCTTCCCACTCCACCCCCTTCTGGCTTTCCCCATCTGCTGAGAGCTACCTTCACTCAATAAAATCTTGCACTCATTCTCCAAGCCCAGGTGTGATCCAATTCTTCTGGTACACCAAGGCAAGAACCTGGGATACAGACAGCCCTCTGTCCTGGCGACAAGGTAGAGGGTCTAGTTGAGCTAGTTAACATAAGCCGCCTATAGACGGCAAAACTAAAAGAGCACACGGTAACACATGCCCACTGGGGCTTCAGGAGCTGTAAGCATTCACCCCTAGACACTGCCATGGGGTTGGAGCCCCAAAGCCTGCCTGTCTGTATGCTCCCCTCAAGGTTTGAGCAGCAGGGCACTGAAGAACCAAGTCACTCTCCCTGTCCCACGCCCTGCGAGGGGCCCAAAGGAACTTTTCTCATTTCAATATGGTGTCCAAGAAAGGGTGACACATCTCACAGAAGGCCTAGGCTCAGGAGGGCTGGAGTGTGAGACATTCCCCCTCCCCTGTGAACTTAAAAATGTGGCCAACAATTTTTTTTAAAAATGGCTACCCTGTAGTGCTTTAACTGGACCTATTTAGACAACGCCTTACATGCTGGAGAAGGACGATATACTATGTGAATCTAATAAGTCTACAAGACAATACTTCTCTCTTTTGGCTGTCTCCTTCCTCTCCAGGGTGATGACAACTCCGTGAGGGTTGTCTTCATTTCAGCAACAAGGAAATAAATTAATGATCCCAGAAGCCCCCAGTGTGCCCCTTTCCAATCATATCCCTCTCTCTAACCGTTATAGGTAACCACTATCCTGACTTTTGTAATAATATTCTTGCTTTTAAAATGTAGCTCTGGCCGGGCACGGTGGCTCACGCCTGTAATCCCAGCACTTTGGGAGGCCGGGGCGGGTGGATCACCTGAGGTCAGGAGTTTGAGGCCAGCCTGGCCAACATGGCGAAAACCTGTCTCTACTAAAAATACAAAAATTACCCAGGTGGTAGTGGCGTGTGCCTGTAATCCCAGCTACTCAGAGGAGGCTGAGGCAGGAGAATCGGTTAAACCTTGGAGACAGAGGTTGCAGTGAGCTAAGATAGCACCATCGCACTCCAGCCTGGGTGACAGAGTGAGACTCTGTCTCAAAATAAATAAATAAAAATAAATAAAAAAATAAGATAAATAAATAGTTCCGGCTGGGCACGGTGGCTCACACTTGTAATCACAGCACTTTGGGAGGCCAAGGCAGGAGGATTGCTTGAGCCCAGGAGTTCAAGACCAGTCTGAGCAATACAGCAGGACCTTGTCTCTAGAAAAAATTTAAAAATTAGCTGGGCATGTTGGTATGCACCTGTAGTCCCAGCTACTGGAGAGGCTGAGATGGGAGGATTGCTTGAGCATGGGAGGTCCAGGCTGCAGTGAGCCATGTTTGCACCACCGCAGACCCTTTCTCAAAAATAAATAAAATAAAATGTAGTTTTACCTATTATATGTCAGTCATAAACAATATAGTTTAGTTTTGCCACCTTGAACATTATATAACATTATATAAATGAAATCGTGTTATACATATTATTTTCTGTATCACTTCTTTCACTCAATAATTTGTACATTTAAGATGTATGTTGCTGAGCAATCACAAGTAAAAGAGTGGAGAAGGGGCCTAACAGTAAAAGAGAATGAGGAGAAGGAAGAGTTGACAAGCAAAGGTGAAAGCAGAAAGTCAGTTGTCCCTATGGCTTGGGGAGATAAAGGTGGCCCAGGAAGGCCTCCAGGAAAAGGCTGCCATGTCAGGCAGGACACAGAGGACAATTGAGGAAAGGTGATTCTTACAAGATGGTGAAGGTGCCATTGTGGGTGTTGGGCTCTGGCACAGGCACTTGGCGGAGCCTCTGCTCTGGGTTGAGATCAATACATGACAACATCTCATCTCCGCAGGTACAGAGCTCACATATGTTGGTGCTTGTGGAGGCCTTCTGTTCCTCTGGTGCAGTTAAAGCCTTATCTTGGATGTAACTTTCAGACTGCACCAATGAATCCTGAGTAGGTTCTAGCTCAGTAGGTGGACCTGTGACTTCAGTCAGTTTTCGATGCAGAGTCTGAAGCTGATCTGGATGAGGAGCTGTAGTCTTCCCCAGGGCTGTAGAATGTCCAATCTCTGTAGTGGGTTCTGGAGTTATGGCAAGCCCTGGGTCTGGAGGCTGAGTTGAGGTCTCCTCTGTGGTTGGAGACAGTTTAACCTCTGTAGTAGGTTCTGTAGTTATGGTAAGCTCCAGGTCCAGAGGTTCAACTGTGACTTGAGTCAGGTTTGAATGCTGGGTCTGAACCTGGTCTGGATGTGGAAGTGTCACCTTAGGGTGCTTTGGAGGAACTAAAGTCTTCTTCAGGGGTATAGAATGTCCAACCTCCGTAGTGGGTTCTGGAGTGATGGTAAGTCCCAGTCCAAAGGTTGAACTGTAATGCTGGGTGACATTGGATGCTGAGCTTGATCCTGACCTGGTGTTGGAACTGTTACCTCTTGATATACTGGAAGTTGTGCTACAACTTTCTTAGGAGGCTGAGTTGGGGTCTCCTGGACGACTGGAGAAAGTTCAACCTCCGTAGTGGATTCTGGAGTGATGGTAAGTCCCAGGTCCAAAGGTTGAACTGTGATACTGGGCAATATTGAATGCTGAGCTTGATCCTGACCTTGTGTTGGAACTGTCACCTCATAATGAGCTGGAGGTTGAGCTGCAACCTCCTTAGGTGGCTCTGGAGGCTGAGATGGGACCATCTGCTGGCTTGAAGGTTCTACCTCCTTAGGGGGCTCTGGAGTCTGAACTGTGGCCTCTTGCTGGGTTGGAGAAGGTTCTGCCTCCATAGGGGGCTCTGGAATCTGAGCTGGAATCTCCTGCTGAGTTAGAGATGGTTCTACCTCCTGAGGGAACTCTGGAGGCAAAGATGGGGCCATCTGCTGGGTCAGAGAGGGTTCTATCACCATAGGGGGGTTCTGAAGACTGAGCAGGGACTGCCTGCTGGACTGGAGAGGATTCTACCTCTTTAAGGGGCTCTAAAAGCTGAGTTGGGGCCTGCTATAGGACTGGAGATGGTTCGACCTTCTCAGGTGGCTCTGATGGCTGAGCTGGTATCTCCTGCTGCAGTGGAGGACTGACCTCTTCAGTGGACTTTGGAGGATGACCTGAGGCTTCCTGCTGGGTTGCAGATGGTTCAACCTCCTTAGGGGGCTCTGGTGGCTCAGCTGGAAACTCTTGCTGGACTGGAAAAGGTTCTACCTCCTTAGGGGAATCTGAAGTCTGAGCTGTGGCCTCCTGCTGGACTGGAGATTTAACCTTTTCAGGAGAATGCAGAGGTGGGGAAGGGAGATCAGGCTGGGCTAGAGAAAAGTCAGCCTGCTCAGTGGGAATAGAAGGGTTGTCCTGCTGGACTGGAGAAGGTTCAACTTCCATAGTGACGCTGCAGGTATGGTAAGCTCCATATCCACATTTTTAACTGTGGTATTAGGCAAAGTTGAATTACTTCTGAATACTGAAGACAGATCTAGAAGTGAAAATATCATCTCATCATTCAATGAACTTTCAAAGTCTGAGGAGAGCTGAGTTGGAGACTGAGTTGTGGGCTCTTGATGGACTGGAGTAAGTTCATCATTTTCAGGGGTATTTAGCTGCTGAATTATAATCTCTTGCTGGTATTTCAAATGTTGAAACTGCTCAGGAGACATTAAGGGCTGAGCTGGGGCCCCTTGTTGGGTTAAAATTTCAACCTGATTAGTGATATCTGGAGTCATGGTAACCACGTGATCCACAGGTTTAACAGTGGCATTGTGCAATGTTGGAGGCTAAACTTGATCATGACTTAGAGGGGAAACTGTTACCTCATGATGCTCTGGAGGTTGAGCTACAACTTCATTAGGGAGCTCTGGAGTCTGAGCTGGGGCCTCCTACTGGATTAGAGAAGACTCAACCTCCTTAGGGGTCTATGGACGCTCAGCTGCAGCCTCCTGCTGGGTTGGAGAGGGGTTCTCATTATTAATAGGTTCTGGAGATTGAACTGAAGTCTCCTGTTGAACTGTTAAAGGCTCAGCCTCTTCCAATGACTCTGGAGGCAGAGGTGGGCCCCCATGCTGGGTGGCAGAAATTTCTACATCATTAATTGGCCCTGAGAGCTGAGCTGTAGCCTCCTGGTGGACTGGAGAAGTTCCCACCTCTGCACTAGGCTCTGTTGCTATGGTGAGCTGCATGTCTGGAGGCCTAACAGTGACATTGGGCAAATCTGAATGCTGAGCTTGATGGTGACCTGGAGGTAAAACTGTGACTTCATGATGTTCTGGAGGCTGAGCTGGGGTCTCCTGCTGGGCTGGAGAAGATTCAACCTTTCCAGAAGACTCAGAAGGCTGAGCTGGCTGCTGCTGCTCACTGAGGGAAAGTTCAAGCTCCATAGGAGGACCTGGAGGCTCAGTTGCAGCCTCCTGTTGGGTTACAGAAGTTTCCACCTCCTCTGGAGGCTGAACTGGGGCCTCCTGCTGGGCTTGGGAAGATTCTGTCCCATTGGTAGGCTCTGAAGTTATGGTAACCTCCACATCCGCAGGTTTAACTCTAATGTTGGGTAAGTTATAATGAGCTTGATCCTCACCTGGAGGTTGAACTGTCACCTCATGATTCAGTAGAGTTTGAGCTAGACTCTCCATAGAGGACTCTGGAGTCTGAGCTGGGGCCTCCTGCTGGATCTGAGAAGGTTCAACCCCCCCAGGAAACTCAGAAGGCTGAGCCGGCTGCTCCTGCTCACTGGGGGAAGGTTCAGCCTCCACAGGAGAACCTAGAGGCTCAGCTGGGGTCTCTTGCTGGGTTGCAGGAGGTTTTGTCTCCTCAGGGCACTCTGGTGTCTGAGCTGGGGCCTCTAATTGGGTTAAGGAAGAGTCCACCTCCTCGGGGTGCCCTGGAGGCTGAGCTGCAGCCTGTTCCTGGCTTGACGTAAGTTCCTTACCTGGCTCTAGAGTTACTGCAAGCTCCATATCCACAGATTTGACTGTGACATTGGGCGGGCATGAGTGCTGAGCTTCACTCCAACTTTTCAATGGAACATTTACCTCGTGGTGTATCAATGGCGGAGCTACAAACTCTTCAGAGGCAGGTCGCTGCTGTCCTGGGGCCTCCTGCTCTGTTGAAGAAGAGTAGACCCCCTGAAGAGACTGTGAAGGCAGAGCTGGGGCCTCCTGATGGGTTAGAGAAGGTTCCTCCTCAGAGAGCTGTGGAAGCTGCACTGGGGCTTGTTGCTGAAGCGAAGAGGACTGGATGTCTTCAAGGGTCTCTGGATTTTGAGTTTCGGGCTCTAGATGGAATTGACAAAGTCCAGCTTGCTCAGGCAGTCCTGGAGGCTCATCTGAGTTCACCCAGAGTTCTGGAGGCAGGCTGCCGGGATACAGTATATCCATAATTGGATATTCATTCTGCTGAGGTTTTTTTTTTTTTTTTTTTTTTTTAAGACAGAGTCTCGCTCTGTCGCCCAGGCTGGAGTGCAGTGGCGCGATCTCGGTTCATTGCAACCTCTGCTTCCCAGGTTCACGCCATTCTCCTGCCTCAGCCTCCCAAGTAGCTGGGACTACATGCTCCCGCCACCACACCCGGCTAATTTTTTGTATTTTTAGTGGAGACGGGGTTTCTCCGTGTTAGCCAGGATGGTCTCGATCTCCTGACCTTGTGATCCGCCCACCTCGGCCTCCCAAAGTGCTGGGATTACAGGTGTGAGTCACCGCGCCCGGCCCATTCTGCTAAGGTTTTGATATAAATCGGTGTGGAGTTCCAACAGCCTTAGCAAGCTTCCGATGCTGAGCTAGATCTTTCTTCCTGTTCTTGGGCGAAACAATAAACTTGGTTGCTTTTGAATCCTTACTGTCTAGAGGTGGAACAAGTATTTCATCTGCCTGATGATCTGCAGCCTGATCTAGACCTGCAGTTTGAACCTTACTTTTGAGGCGAGGAGGCTGAACTAGGGTCTGGTTCTGATCCCAGTCCAGCATTGGAACCGCCTTTGGGAGCCTTTCTTGTCGAATCAGCCTGTCATTTAGATCCTGGTGTGCAGCAGAGAACTGCTTTGGCCCCGGGAGCAGCTCTCCAGCTGAATCCGTGTCCAGGAATGGAACCAAATGGGGCGGGGCTGACATCTGCGAGGTAGCAGAGGACCCCAGGTAATCAAAGCCCCTCGGGTCTGCCGGGGGAGTAAGCGCATGGGGAGATTCCCACGGGAGATGGGAGGAGCGAGGAGCGGGAAGACCAGGGCTCAGTCGGCCGCAGGGGATTAGAGGTCAGCTGGAGCGGGTCTTTGATCCACTCCAGAGGCTGAGCCTACTGGACTAGTAGCCACAATAGTTGCCACGTGAGGAGGGGCCGTGGGCCCCAGGGACGCTGCTGGGACATGACATGCGCTGGCGCCGTGCACTGAGCGGGAGCCATTCTGGCAGCCTCCAGACGCTCGTGCCCCTGACAAACACGCGCCCCGCCCCGTCGTTAATGACACCTTTATTTACGCCACCTTTATTAGGTTGGGGTCCAGATCTGCTCCATGTCACCAGGGCGATCTTAAGTCACAATCCCGCCCAAGGTCCCCTTCCCGCCCCGCCCCGCTGGAACACCCCTCCCCTCCCCTTAGTGAGGAAGGATTTGGGCCGCAGACCTGGGTGGTCTCAGGACTCCAGCGGCCTGTTGGGGTGAAGTGGGGTGGGGTCGGGGCGCGGCACAGCTTCCCAAGGAAGTCACAGGACCTCGCCTCGGGATATTCAGAAGTGCTAGTCCAGTTCTGGCAGCCTGAACTCTTCCTCCTCCAAGGTGAAATCCGAGAATACTCTTCCTTCCAGGGAGAGCGACTGACCTGCAAAATGGGTGCCAGTTAGGGTGGCAGGGAGGACGCACATTACAATCATTTATTCCAAAATGTTGCCATTTTCGCTAAACTTTCGGTATCTTTTGTTGCATGTTTGATAATTAATTCACCACCCTGTTAGGTAGGGGCTGCCAGGGAATGAGCGAGGACTCCAGATTTTCTGTAGGAGGGGTGTTGGGGGTAGGCAAGTCGGTCTGGGAGAGAAGGTTTTAATCCGAGTGAAGAGCCCTTTGCACTAGCCTGGGAGGAGGCTGAACTGTCATCCTGCCTTGACTCAACACAGCCATTCCCCTAGAAGTTACAGTGTCACCCTTCAGAGATCTACCCCGTGTGCACACATAGAGAAGAGGCTTAGGTTGTTAGAGTCAGCATGTTAAATCATTTCCTGAAATGCGACTGTAACTAGAACCCAGCTGACTTCCCCCACAGCCATTCTTACCTATTTTATTACTGTCTGGCATAATTACCAGCATGTAAACTCCAAGAAGGTGCTTCATCTTCTTCCAGTGCCTAGCATAGGCATAGGGTGCATAGTGATGGCTTTAAAGTGGAAGGGATTCCAAGGTTCGCCTCATTTAGGGATGGAGCTATTGTTATAATCAGTTTTCTGAAATCATTGCTGACTTCCTCTCACATTTCACAGGAAGCTAGACTTCTTAAAGCTTAAGGTTTCCTTGGTGGGTTTTATTTAAATTGAATTAAAATATTTATTTTACAGGGAAAAACTTCAAAACAAAACACTTTGCAACTTTGTGGTGAAAGTTAAATAAAACACTCTAGCTCCAAATTAAGTTCCCACTGAAATGAAACACTTCTGCTCCTTTTTTAAAAAAAAAAAATTCATATGTAGTAAATAATGACTGTTTTCTTTTAGAGATTAATTTAGAAAGTTAATCCCTATTTAAGGCTTTCATATACAGTCATGCATTGCTTGTCACGTGAGGAGTCTGAGAAAGGTGTCATTAAGTGATTTCACCATTGTGCTAACATCATAGCATATATTTACACAAACCTAGGTGGTATAGCCTATAGCACACCTAGGCTATGGTATGGCCTATGACTCCTAGGCTATAAACCTGTACTGCATGTTACTGTTGTTAGGTTTTGAAGAAAAAGCAAGGGTTAAAGAAAGACACACAGAAAGAGGGCAGCTCAACAGCAAATGCAGGTTTTATGTCCAGCATAAACCCTACAGAAGTGGGAGACCAGCCTCATGCCAGAGCCCACCACTGCTTACAGGCTAGGGCAATTTATAGGTATGGTGGGGAGGGGTCTGGGCAGTAGGGCTTGCTGCCTGGCAGGATATTGATGAGATGTTCCCATGATGAGGTGCTTCTGGCCCTTGTTCCAGCGGGATGTCATCATGGTGTTCCTTGGACCTTTGTCCAGCAAGATATGACAAGGATGTTTCTTTTTCTTTTCTTTCTTTTTTGTTTTCTTTTTCTTTTTTCTTTTTTTTTTTTTTTTAGATGGAGTCTCACTCTCTTGCCCAGGCTGGAGTGCAGTGGCGTGATCTCGGCTCACTGCAACCTCTGCCTCCTGGGTTCAAGCAATTCTCCTACCTCAGCCTCCTGAGTAGCTGGGATTACAGGTGTGCACCACCATACCCAGCTAATTTTTGTGTTTTCAGTAGAGACAGGTTTTCACCATGTTAGCCAGGCTGCTGATCTCGAACTCCTGACCTCAAGTGATCTGCCCGCCTCAGCTTCCCACAATGCTGGGATTACAGGTGTGAGCCATTGCACCAGGCCAGGGATGTTTCTTTCGTTGGGCCTTTGTCCGCCCTGTGGTCAGGTGGTTAGGTAGGATGTTTCTCATGGCCTGAACCCCTGTGAAATGTTTCGCTTTGACCAAGGTCTGCAAAATAGCAAGGAACTTGTAACATGGTGCAGTTTGGCTAACATTCTTGCCTTTTACTTTAATATAAAAGGAAGAGGGGTGTTGTGTTGTTGATTGTCTGGCTACTTCCTTCCGAATAGGGGTGCTGTACTCGGCGTGTGGGTTTTGAAGCAGTGGGCGTTCGACTTCAGAGTTGTTTTCCTTGAGGCGCTGATACCGGCCTTGGCGGAGGAGAATGACGGTATTCATGTGTTTCTGGGTGGTTGCCTGAACAAGGGAGTTCAGCCTTTGGGAGATAAAGCAGGATATGAAGGTGAGTACACATGGGCCAATTGTTAGTATTAGGAGGCAGAAAATTAGGGGTCCTCCAACTGGCTATCCCGGTGCCGAGTGTAGCAGAGATATTTAGTCCTGCTAACGGGAATGAAATGTACAGCCCGCTTGGTGTGTGGGGTGGGGAGAGGAAACAGGCATTACTAAAGGAACCTGAACCTGAATAGTTTGTTAGGCAAAATGTTATTGTTTGGAGATTGAAACACCAGGGTGCATATTCCTGATCAATTGGCCAGTAGGCAGAAATAAGATTTTGCACCACAAAGGAAGAAGATCACAGGTGCATGCCACCACGCCCAGCTAATTTTTATATTTTTTTGTAGAGGTGAGGTTCCCTGGGCCCAAGTGCAGCCTAGGGAATTCTGGCACTCTCCAGATGTCAGAGGTCATAATCAAGGATGACGCCTTTAGTTAGGCAAACCAACTTAGAGCCTCCACTCCATACCATAGGGGAGTCCCAGACAAGAACACAGCTTGGGCTGGGCGTGGTGGCTCACTCCTGTAATCCCAACACTCTGGGAAGCTGAGGTGGGTGGACACTTGAGGTCAGGAGTTCGAGACCAGTCTGGCCAACATGGTGAAACCCCGTGTCTACTAAAAATACAAATATTAGCCAGGCGTGGTGGCCCGTGCCTGTAGTCCCAGCTACTCAGGAGGCTGAGGCAGGAGAATTGCTTGAACCTGAGAGGCGGAGGTTACAGTGAGCAGAGATCATGCCACTGCACTCTAGCCTGGGCAACACAGTGAGGCTCTGTCTCAAAAAAAAGTAGTAAAAATAATAATGTGTTATATATCATATCATATGACATATAATGTAGCTATGATGATACAATAATAATAGCCGTTATTCTTAAAATGGCATATGAGGCAGGTCTTGAAGGATATGCAGCTTCATTGGCCAAAATTTCCATCACTCCCTGCTTGCTCTCTCCTCTGTCAATCAGCTGCTACCAGGGAGGTCCAGTTTCTGAAACACTGGAATCGTGTGAGCAGAAGTCGCCACTCACACCAGCCCTTGGTGTGAGGAGGAGGACATTTGAGGGCAAGGTAGCTGCAGCCCCCAAGCTGCCCTCCACACTGGAAGCCAGTCAAGGCGTGGCCTCCTCAGCTGGAGTTGACATCCAGTTCTGCTCTGGACCTGCAAAGTCTCTGAGGGCTTCCTGCCAGGCTGCAGGGAGGGGTTTGGGTGTAGACCTGGTGGACTGTAAAATTACCCATTTGCCCCAGATTAATGATTAACGGGTCCCTGCCCTCACCCTGTCTGGGAGAGGAGCCCAGGGTCAGGCTAGGCCAAGGGGAGCCCGATAGCATCTGTCTCTGCTCAGAGGTTTCAGAGATATGCTCCATGATGGTTTGACTGCACCTGATGGGTGTGGAATCTACGGGTGATTTCTGAGGCCACCTGGGGCCTGGCCAGGCCGCATACCCTCTGGTGAGGCTTCCAACTTCTGGGGCATACAGAGAGGATGTGGCATCCAGTCAGAAGCCCTGGTTAAGGCAAGTGGCTCCAAACAGGAGAGCTGTCCCTTGGCTCAGAGGAATGTGGGCTTCTCTGACTACTCCTGGCTTGACCACAGGACTTACCCTGGCCAGTGGCACATGAGCAACATGATAAGTGCCACATCTAAGCAGGATGTGGCACTTTAAGAGCTACTGCAGCCGGGCGCGGTAGCTCACACCTGTAATCCCAGCAATTTGGGAGGCCAAGGCAGGCAGATCACAAGGTCAGGAGATTGAGACCATCCTGGCCAACATGGTGAAACCCCATCTCTACTAAAAATACAAAAATTAGCCAGGCGTGGTGGTGGTGCATGCCTGTAGTCCCAGCTACTTGGGAGGCTGAGGGAGGAGAATCGCTTGAACCCGGGAGGCGGAGGTTGCAGCCTGGCGACAGAGCAAGACTACGTTTCAAACAAACAAACAAATAAACAAGCAAACAAACAAAAAAGGAGCCATTGCCTGGTTCTACTTTTGCTTTTCTTTTCTTTTTTTCTTTTTTTTCTTTTTCTTTTTTGAGACAGGGTCTCACTCGGTTGCTTAGGTTGGAGTTCAGTGACGTGATCTCTTCTCACTGCAGCCTCCACCTCCTGAGCTCAAACTATCCTCCTGCCTCAGCCTCCCAAGTAGCTGGGACTACAGGCTTGTGCCACCATGCCTGGCTAATTTTCATACTTTTAGTAGAGATGGGGTTTCGCTATGTCATCTAGGCTGGTCTCAAACTCCTGGACTCAAGCAATCCGCCTGCCTTGGCCTCCCAAAGTGGTGGGATTACAGGTGTGAGCCACCGCACCTCGCCCACCTTTGCTCTTTTACCCTGGCTAGGAGCCCAGGATGTCCCAGAACGGGGTTACTTCTTTTGGGGTGAGCCCTGAAATGATGTATATTCCACCCACACTGGGGGCACCCAAGGAGGCTCCCTTCCCTTCACCTGCCCCTCACCACCATCCCCAAGGCTCACCCGTCTCTGTCCTCTCGCCGTCTCCAGCCTGACCAGGTGGGAGGTCCTGATGCCCTTCCCAGGACTGGGCACTGCGGTGGCCCCAGCACAGGGCAGGGCCCACCTGAAGCAGTGTGACCTGCTGAAGTTGTCCCGGCAGCAGAAGCAGCTCTGCGGGAGGGAGCCCAGCCTGGCTGAGACCCTGTGGGACGCCATGCACCTCGGCCTGGAGTGCCAGTTCCAGTTCCGGCATGAGCGCTGGAACTACAGCTTGGAGGGTAGGAGGGGCCTGCTCAAGTGAGGTGGGGAGGAGGGCTATGGGAGGAGGAGGGCTGGGGGCGCGGGGGAAGAAGGCTTCTGGGAGGAGGAGGAGGCTGGGAGAGGCTGCCTTTTCCTCTCCCCTGGACCCTGTGCCCAGAACACACTGCCCTTGCTACCCTAGCACGGTTCCATATGAGAAGAGTCCCGGGATTAATGAGGGGCAGTTGAAGACCAGGTGTGGCCCAGCCTCAGGTTTCGGGGAGCAGAGGAGCAAGGAAGATCCAAGAGAAGAGGAGACACAAGTCCGGTCCTGGAGGAGCCCACAGATGAGAGGGGGGTCCCCTAGTTACCTTCCTCTGCCTCTTCACACACACATGCGAAACAAGGCACATGAAGACATGAGGACAGGCAGCAGCGGGTTCCAGGACCCATGACATGAGCCAGGCCATGCATTTGTTCACTCCTTTAGCTGTCCCTTTGTTCATCACATCCATTGATCCATCAGTCCCTCCCTCCCTTCCACTCCCATTCTACCTCCCTCCCTTCTTCCTGCCTCCCTCCCACCTCCACCCACCCACTAAGCATCCATGGAGGCCCACAGTAAGCCAGGCACTGTGCTAGATGCTGGAGGTTCAGAGCTGAACAAGACCCCAGCTGCCCTTGGGAAGCATGCAGTCTAGAAGGGAGAACACAGGTCACCATGTGACTCCCTCACCAAGGGGAAAGGGCTTTGATGGGACATTTTTTTAAAAAATGCAGTGATGCTGTACAGGGCAGCCAGGCCTCTCCTAGGCCAGCTGCTCTCCACTGTCAGCAGTCAAGCTGATGGCCTCTCTCAGGACATCACTAGCACCCAGATGCACTGAGGGCAGGTAGGAAGTAGTGAGCCGGTGGGAGGACAGCTTTGGGCCACACCCAGCAGAAAGGAGTAGCGGTGGTCCCGGAGTGGGTGGGATGGTCAGTCTGGGGCAAGTCAGCCAGGAGACTCAAGGTCACTCTATCATTGGGTCTATTCCACAGTGGGTAGCAGAGAATGATATTTGAGAACCATCATGCATCACAGGAAGCCCCCGGCGCTTATCTCAGCGGCCTCAGAAATAGGCCGATCCAAATGGTCACACACTGACTTGGAGTCAAAATGGCGGGTTTAGCCCCAGCTGTGGTGGCACCAGGTATCTGCGTAGCTTCTCTTTGCATCTCAGTGTTCTTCTCTGAGAAGTGGAGGCCATAGCCCCTGGCCTGCTGCCCTCTGGGAATTTGGGCATGTCCTCCACAGTGAATTTGGAAGTTCCATTTAAGTGGGAACTCGCAGTCAGAGTTTAAGGGGCAGTTGACAGGGAGACCCACCCGGAGTTGTGTCCTCAAGCCACATTCCCTCATCCTGCCCATTGCAGGGCTACCACTACCGCCTCCTGCCCTCAGAGAGCAGCAGGCAGCGTCTGAGCTTCTTCCTTTCCTCTCTTCCCCCTTTCCTCCCTCCCCATACCCTTCTACAGTTCCTGGAATGAGTAAGAGAGTCTGGAAGAGCAAGGGGCTGAGAGCCTTCAGTGCCTGCAGAAAAGCCTGGGTTTGTAAGGGCAGCCAAGGCTGCAAAGGGACACATGGTTTGAGCTCTTGAGCTCTTCAACACTGGGCTGTGACAAATGGGGATAAGGAATAGCCTGTTTGCTGGTATTTAGGGTACACTGGTCCCCAGATATCTCCTCCCACCTGTACTATGGAAATTTATCATGGGAATTTCATTTCTTTTTCTAGAGATTCTTGGCTGCGTAGAAATGCGGTCCTGGTCTCACTTGGCTACTGAGCCATCCCATAAACTTCAGTGATATTGACATTGACATTGAATTTCTCACCCCCACTGAGAGCAGGGTTGGTTTGTATGTTTGTTTGTTGTTGTTTTGAGACAGGGTCTTGCTCTGTCACCCAGGCTGGAGTGCAGTGGTGTGATCCTGGCTCACTGCAGCCTCAATTTCCCAGGCTCATGCAATCCTCCCACCTCAGCCTCCCCAGTACCTGGGACCACAGGCACATGCCACCACACCTGGCTTTTAAAATTTTTTTTGTAGAGACAAGGTCTCAGTATGTTGCCCAGTCTACTCTCAAACTCTTGGGTTCAAGTGATCCTCTCACCTCAGCCTCCCAGAGTGCTGGGATTACAGGCATGAGCCACCATGCCTGGCCGAGGGCAAGTTTTAATAAGGAGAAGAGGCCAGAAGATGAGA
This sequence comes from Homo sapiens, assembly GCF_000001405.40. NCBI lineage: Eukaryota > Metazoa > Chordata > Mammalia > Primates > Hominidae > Homo > Homo sapiens. The sequence continues at coordinate 43,934,908 of NC_000017.11, forward strand.
CACTTTCGGGAGAAGTGGAGATGGGAGAAAGGGGTTCTTTTAAGGCCGGGTGTGGTGGCTCACGCCTGTAATCCCAGCACTTTGGGAGGCCAAGGTGGGTGGATCACGAGGTCAGGAGTTCAAGACCAGCCTGGCCAAGATGGTGAAACCCCATCTCTACTAAAAATACAAAAATTAGTACGGCACGGTGGCAAGCACTTGTAATCCCAGCTACTCAGGAGGCCGAGGCAGGAGAATCGCTTGAACCTGGGTGGCAGAGGCTGCAGTGAGCCGAGATCATGCCACTGCACTCCAGTATGAGCGATAGGGTGAGACTCCATCTCAAAAAAAAAAAGGTTGGGGGGGGTTCTTCTATGAGTGGAGGGGCTCTCACGCCTGTTAATCACCTAGCATGTGCCAGGAGCTGCCCAGAGGCTGAGTTACATCACCCAACTCCATCTTCACGACAGTCCTATGCCAGGATTTAACCAGCTCCATTTCACAGATGAGGATGTGGAGGCTCAGGGGAGATAATGTCCCCTAATCAAGGTCACACAGCCAGGAGGGAGTGAAGTCAGGATTCCTACCCAGAAGCCCCTGCTCTTCCTACTGTGCCCCTTCTGGGGTTGGTGTGGGCATGAAGAATTGGTGCACATTTTACAACCTTGCCCCATAAAAGCAGCAATATTGAGGAGGTAGAGGGGACCTGACAGGCCACACAGCTGAGGCTCTGTGGCCTGAGGCAGCCAAGGCCTAAGTCCATCATCCAAGCAGCCAAGACCCACCACCCTCCAGAAGGCTCAGCAGGTCATGCCTCAGGGGCTCCAAAATGGCCAGGCAGGCTGAGAAAATCTCCAGGTTGTGCAGCGGGGCCTGCAATCCTGAAACCAGAAACTGCAACTCCACCCCCTCCCCATGGCAGCGGGCCTAGGGGGAGGGAATAGGGGTGCTGGGATCCCAAAGTAACCCTGCAGGAGAAGGAGGCAGAGGCACCTTGGATCTAGCCAGATGGGGAGGGGCATCTGGTCTCAGCATAACCCCCTTCCAAACCCTGACAGTAACCCCTGGGAAAAGCACAGCCCCCTCTCAAGCCCAGAGCCAGTTTCTCCCTAGGATCTGTGTACTTGGAGCAAAAAGTTACCCGACACCCCACGCCTCCCTGCCTCTGCTACCCACACTTCTGGGCCCCCGGCAGGGACTGTGACCTGGTCAGAACAGCTGGTAGCCCATGTGCTTCCACCCCCACCTTCTCTCCGTTCCGGACTTTCAGGTCACGACACAGGGAGGAAAAGAAGGCTATGCTGGGAGTGGAGCCTCAGAGGGAAAGGGGGCAGGGATGCTTAGGAATATAAAGGGCCTCAGGTCCTGGCCAGAGACACTCTGCTGAGCTCCTCTGCACCTGCCCAGCACCATGGTGATGTCTGGTGGCCAAGTCTGGGCCCCCATCAGCTGTATTCTCTAAGAGCTTGGGGATGGGGGCTGGCACCAAGGGCCCCTCCTCAGGCCCACTAAGGGCATGAAGGAGTTAGGCCAGGGCAGCCTCGTCTGCCATTCTGATGGCCAGGATAGCTACTAGGGCTTCTTATTCCTGCTTGGGGTGGTGGGGATGAGGAGAGTTCCTGGTTAAAAGAGGGTTGAGGGGCCTAGGAGCTCTGGGAGTGTGCATCATGTTTACGGGCATCATAGTCTGTGAATCATTGTGTGTTGCAGGCACAAAATTCTCTGTGCATTGGGTGTGTGAATCCTCAGGCTGGCTTTCCTGTGTGTAACTGTTAGTCATTCATTTAATATGTATTACTGAGTATCTGCTAAGTGCCAGGCACCATTCTAGGTGCTTGTGATCCATCAATAGACAAAATAGGCGAAGAGCCCAGCTGTAATTAATGATGCTTACATTGAGGGAGGATATGCCGCTGGGAAGGGACTCAGACAACAAATATAAGTATAGAATATAGTAAGTTAGAAAGTGCAGGCCAGGTGTGGCGGCTCATACCTGTAATCTCAGAACTTTGGGAGGTGAGGCGGGAGGATCTCATGAGGCCAGGAGTTTGAGACCAGCCTGGGCTACATAGCAAGACTCCATCTCTACAAAAAATTAAAATTTAGTTGGGCATGATTGTATGCACCTGTAGACCTAGCTACTTGGGAGGCTGAAGCAAAAGGATGGCCTGAGCCCAGGAGTTTGAGGCTGTAGTGAGCTATGATCCCGACACTACATTCCAGCCTGGAAGGCAAAAGAAGGCCTTGCCTTAAAACAATAAAATAAAATAAAAAGAAAGAAAAGAAAAAATAGGGCAAAAATAGAGCAAGAAAAAGAGCAAGATGAGGGGTTTGGTTGCAATATTATTTTATTTATTTATTTTTTTAAATCGTAGAGACGGGGCTCTCTGTCTTTTGCCCAAGCTAGTCTTGAACTCATGGGCTCAAGCAGTCCTCCCACCTCGGCCTCCCAAAGTGCTGGGATTACAGGCGTGAGCCACCGCGCCCGGCCAGGTTGCAATTATAAATAGGGGTGTCAGGGTAGGATCCATTTAAAAGGTGGATTTTGAGCTAATGCTTACAAGGGGAGACAGAGCTGGCCATGAGGATGTCTGGAGGAAGAGTCTTCCAGGCAGAGAACAGAGTGACCGTCATTTTGCGGGAACAGCAGGGAGAAAGGAGGGGGATAAGCAAGGAGTTTGCGGGAGAGAGGGCAGTGAGGTTAGGGAGCTGACCAATGGCTTTATGCCGTCCTCATGCGTCCACCTTAGGGTGTGTCTCCTCGTTCGTTTTTTTTTTTTTTTTTTTCTTTTTCTTTTTTTTTTTTTTCTTTTTTTGAGACGAAGTCTGGCTCTGTTGGGCAGGGTGGAGTACAGTGGCGCAATCTCGGCTCACTAAAACCTCCACCTCCCGGGTTCCAGCAATTATCCTGCCTCAGCCCCCAGAGTAGCTGGGATTACAGGCGCCCACCACCACGCCCGGCTAATTTTTGTATTTTTAGTAGAGACGGGGTTTCGCCATGTTGGCCAGGCTGATCTTGAACGCCTGACCTCAGGTTATCCGCCCGCCTCGGCTTCCCAAAGTGCTGGGATTACAGGCGTGAGCCACCGCGCCTCGATGCTCTGCCTGCATCACCGGGCATGTCCAGGTGTGTACCATTCCTCCGAGCACCAGGATGTCCCTTAAGGCGTCCGTGCTCTGGTGTGTGTCCCAGAAATAGACACGACCCTCGGTCTGAGCGCCCCTGCACCCCAGCCTGCCCACCGCGCGGAACACCTGCAAGCTCCGGTCCGGGTGCCGCGCTGACCACAGCCCCGGCATCACGTGACCTCCCGCGGCTCTGTCTGCCCCGCCCCCTCCAGACGCCTGCTCTGCGCTGCGCATTCGCTCTGGCCATAGCGGGCCTCGTGTCGCTGCTGATGCAGCCCGAGGGCGCCCTCGGCGAGGAGCTGCAAGTGCCGCAGCCCAGGGCCGCCAGTTGGCTGAACTTAGGCTCCATCAAGAAGTACTTGGGGAAGCTCTTCAACAGCAGGTGGGCCGGCGGAGGGTGTGAGGAAGGGAGGGAGGGAGGGAGGAAAGCGGGGGGTGGGGGGGGCGCGGGGGGGGGACACGGACGCCACCAGGCACCCCCACGCACATCGCGGCCTGAGCTGGGCTCGGGGAGCGGCCTCATGACTGCAAAGACTTGTTCCCAGCCCGAAGAAATCTAAAAACCACAAGAAAACTGCGAACGCCACGGACACCTCCCCATCAAAAGCCACGAAACCCCCACCATGGACCACCACGAACCCCCAGTGGCTGAACACCTCGGAACCCCGACCACCGACCTCCTCCCGGGGCCCCAGGTAGGACAGCCTGGATGCTGGGCACCGAGCCAGGGGCCTCGGGGCTGGGGGCAGCTTGGGTGCTAGCGAGAGGAAGTTCCTGGGGGCGGGCATGCGGGGAGACACAGCACCCCTGTGGGGGGGGCTTCTTTCTCCAGGCTGGGCCTTGGCCTCCAGACGCCTCTCTGCCCACCAACCCCTTTGTATTGAGAGGGGCCTCGACCCCTCCTCATCCCCTCAGTGAAAACAATAAAGACAAATTTTTGTTGCTTCAGTGACTTCTGTGGGCCTGCGGGCAGGGAGGGACCAGTCCATGGAACGGGAAGTGGGACCCTGTAGTTTCTGCTGTGAGAGAAAAAGACCTCAGCTGTTGGGGGTCCTCCCCTGCCTCCCCTGGCAACCCATCCACCTTCCCCCACTCCACCCACACATGGCCTTGTGGGTCTGGCCCTCCACCCCGTGGTAGAGACACAGATACGGGTCCTGGAGAAGACACTTATTGCCCCTGTAGTCCTGCACAGACAGCACCAGTGTGGGGGGCTCTAACCCAGAGGGAGAGCAGAGGTGAGAGAAGAAACCTCAAAGAAGGGGCTTCAGCTAGACACACCCCAACTCCCACCTGGCTCAAGTTTCTACCAAACAGCCCAGACTCCTCTCCCCATTCACCGCGCATCCCCTTAAGCTGCCAGAGAAAATGCTGGGACTTCAGGCTCCCTCTCCCAGACTCAAACCGTTCTTTTGCGAAACCATCTCTCTATCCAGACATCTTTGGATTTAAGAATCAACCTGAGGCTGGGCACAGTGGCTCACACCTGTAATCCCAGCATTTTGGGAGGCCGAGGTGAGCAGATCGCTGGAGCCCAGGAGTTTAAGACCATGCTGGGCAACATAGCAAGACCCTGTCTCTAAAAAATAAAAAAATTTGCTGGGTGTGGTGGCATGTGCCTGTAGTTCCAGCTGTTTGGGAGGCTGAGGCAGGAGGATCGCTTGAGCCCAGGAGGTCAAAGCTATGGTGAGCTGTGATCATGCCACTGTACTCCAGCCTGGGTGACAGAGCAAGATCCTGTCTCCAAAAACAAACAAAAAATCAATCTGAGCCAAGCAGCTGCATCCTCTAGAAGCTCTTTGCCTTTTAGGACCTGTTTCTACTTCCAGGTCATTTGCACACACCAGATGGAGTAGGACTTGAGGGGAAACACAATTGTGTGTCATTTCCATTTCTGTGCAAGGTGCTGAGCCCAGGAAAGTGGACCCCTCATCCTCCAAACCCATAACCCCATCCCTTGAGACCAAGCATGTGGGGGAGGCAGGAGAAGCCTTTCTAGGAACCAGAAACATTCTAGTTCCCTCACTTCTCCCCTTTACACATGCGCGTACACACGCATGCACACGCGCACTGTCCCCACCTATTCAGGGTGCCTGAGAAGGGCCAGGAAAAGATGGGTTCTCTGGGAATCTGGGAAGTCCTCCCTGGGGCAGGATCCAGGTCCTTGTCCTCCCAGGGCTGGAGTGTACAATCTACAGATTCAACTCATGGTGGCTGGAACTCTCAGCTAATCTAGCCTCCTCCCCTTCCACAGCAGCTTGAATACCTCCTGTGCCCAGGACTTCACTACCTCTCAGGGCAGCCCATTCTCTCCAAATTTCTGGACGGCAGCTCAGGCCCCTGGATGCAGCCATGACTGCCATAGCACCAGAATCGTTCTTCCAGGCTGGGCTGTGCCCCTGCCCCCATGCCAAGGGTGCTTTCGTATAAATTTTGGTGCTTCTGCTGCCTAGGCTGCAGTAAGGCACTGGTGAGGGGTGCACTTGGGGAAGGGTTGTCATCAGGCTGTGTCGGGAAGGTCTATGGGTACTGAACTGGGAAGATTCAAGACTGCCACTTCACAGACTTGCTGAAGGACCATCTGCTCAGAGGAGTCCCTGCCTTCCTCTGGCCACCACTTTTCCCTCTGCGAAGGGGAGAGGATGAGTTGAGTGACTCTGATGACCCCCGCCAACGTTCTGGATGATCCCCTTTTCCTCTGCCCTGCCCTGCCCTCCCCTTTCTCTCCCATGCATTTGGCACTTCCTGCTGCCCCCACCAGGGGTCCACAGAGACACAGGACAGGCTGTGGCTTTGACTTGCTTTATTGAGCCTGTGTGGGAGCAGGGAGCAAGCTTTGGCCAGAGCCAAGGGTGCAGAGGGGAGAGCTGGGCTGGCGCTGCTCATGGAGTCGTAGGAGACAGAAGGTGGCATTATAAGTCCAGCGGGCTGAGCTCCCTGTGAGGACAGGGCAGAACATGGCAGTGTAGGGGGTAGGCCTCGTGCCCTCAGGAGGCCTCAGGCTGGCCCTGGGCTCCTGTTCTCCCTCTTCCACCCCCCACTACACCTTTCCAAGCCCTGATTCAGTCCCACCACCCCCATTTCAGCTCCAGGGAGCTGGACAGACAGGGCAGGGAGTCAAACTCACCTGGGGACAGCAGCATGCGGGGACCCCCACTCCGAGAAGGCCAGCGTGTCCTCTTTGTGTCTTTTCCCATACCTGGGAGGGAAGAGGCAGCAGGGGCAAGCACTGTGCCCAGGTGCCAGCCCACCTGTTTCATATCTGCCTGTAGGCACCATCTTGCCCAGGGCACATTGGTCTAGGCCTGTTGAGCACAGATGCCCTGTTTTCCCAAGAGCAGGCCTGGAAGGGGCTGGGGCTGGGGCTGGGGATAGGGTGTGGCCAGGAATGTGGAGTGGGCCCAGGGTCCCAGGGGCTGGGATCTCTCTCCCCAACTGTGGCACACACCTAGGCCTGGTCAGCATGTTGATGTATCTACGGAGATCAGCTGCATACTGGGCCATCTGCTCTGGTGTGGCATTGTCCCCTGGGTACACTGGCTCCAGTGGGGCTCCCTGGGCACCCAGCAGTGGCTGTAGTAACAGAGCCACGCAGGTGGACAGGAGCAGCAGGGAGAGGCAGAGGCGTGCGGCAGCCATCTGAGGAGCAAGCAGAGGGGAGGTGGAGAGCCCGGGCTGCAGATTTTCCCGTGCCCAGGAAGCAGGGCCCAACTATCCAGCCCCTTAGCCCATCATCCATTTCTCCAAGCCTGGGGACAAGGGGGCAGAGCAAAGGGCCACTCCAAGCTGGCCACTCCACCTCCTAGACACTGCTCTGAAGGCACGGACAGCCTGTCCTGTGAGCAGCCCAGCAAGCCAGGGCCTCGCAAGTTAGAAAAGTATAGCAGAGAAAATGGGGATGTGAGTCCTGGAGACACGGGACTCATGACATCCAGGGCCTCATGGCTCCCAGGAGGCAGCAGCTAGTGGGAATAAGGGCATGCCAGGTCACCCACAGGGTGGGGGACACAGAATGAACTCGGGAAGCCAAGGACAGAAATCCATGGCCTTGTGGGTCTGGCCCTCCACCCTGCGATAGAGACACAGATATCGGTCCTGGAGAAGACGCTACTGTCCATGTCGTCCTGCACAGACCAGCAAAGGCACTCACACAGGGACCCCAGTCACTCACAAGGTCACAGTCACACATTCCAGTTCACAGCCATGCACACGAGTGTGCACACACACGTGCAGTCAGCAGACGGCTCTTCTAGCGTGACAGGTCTGTCCAGATGCAGAAAGCAAGACCCAAGCAGGACCTTAGGCCTCCCAAGGCCCCTGGCCCTGCAAAGCACCACCTCCTCTCCATCCCAGGCCCCAGCCTGGGGGAGGCCCCCAGAGCCCCAGGCAGGCTGAGCCCACTTACCCGGAGTCCAGAGTAAATGGGCACTAGACCAAGCGAGCACCTGCCTCAGGCCGGATGGGCCCCTGCCCTCGGCTGGGCCGCTTTATAGTCCTCAGCCCCCCAGAGTCCCCGCCTCCTGTCAGCCTCTCTCACTCCGAAGCCCTCACCCCTCCTCTCACTGTCTCCTCATACTGGCAACGCCAGTACTGAGGCCAGAGACGGGAGGGGGACAGGGCAGTTCTGTGGGTGCCAGACCAGCAGCATAACAGATAAAACTGGACCACAGTAAAAGTCTCCTGTGGGCCCCCATCACTGACACCCCTTCCCTTTGGGCACCAGAGCAGGCTTGGTTCAAGAAAGATGGGGTTCTGGGACTCGAGAGTGACTGAAAGGTTTTGGTCACAGGCCTTGGAACTAGCTCTCCTGCCTCCCAAAGATCAACCCAAATCATCCAACGGATTCTCTTGGGGCAGAAGATTGAGGCTGCAGCTGGAAGACTGAGGCTACAGCCAGAGCCTCCAGGCTGAAGAATGGAAACTCAGGCCATCCTCTGCAGCTTGCAACTAGAACAAGGTGGGAAGAGGGAAGGGGCCTCAGGTCCTCAGGCAAGGTGGAAAGGAGTGGGGTGCCAGGCTTGGAGAAACCCATTTGGTGGGTGCATAGGATGCAGAATGAGAACTCATGTGCCTGGGTTCAGGGGAAATGTTGAGGGGGGTGCCGGTTTCCAGTATCCATTTCCCTCCCCATCTCAGAGCCCCCATTCCAGGGAAGTGCTAAAAACCAGCTTCATTTGTAAAGCCTCACATTTTCCAAAGTGCTGCCAGCTCAGTCACCTCACTAAATCCCCACAACAACCCATTTTACAGATTCAGGATCTGAAATCTGCTCAGAGATGTCAAATCACTGGCCCCAAACCCCACAGCCAGTCAGACCCCAAAATTTAACTCCAAACCTGGACTGTTTTTTTTCCTAAGTGGGGCCGTCAAAGTATTGTTATAATTTCCCACTTTTTGGCTGAGAAACCTGAGGCTCACAGAGGTAAAGACGCTTGCTCAAGATCTCATAGCTACCGAGGTTCCGAATTCTGGCTTAGATTCTCAACCCCACTAATCCATCCCCACCAGAAGCCCCTGAGTCTCCCCTGCCCAGCGTCTCTTCCCAACCCCCAGTCTCCCTCCCCTGCTTAGGCCAAGGAGTGGTAACTGGCTGTGTCTGAATGACACGGTGACACCAAGTACGGAGCTAAGGACTTATGACTGCTGACGTTCTGCTGTCCCAGATCAGTATACCAAGAAGTTGGGAGATGGGGGGGACTGTTGGGGAAGAGGGGACTGGAGGTGAAACTCCAGGGATCTGGCAGGGTGGGCTTAGAGTCAGACAGACCTGGGTCCAAATCCTGGCTCTGCATTGGCTGGCTCTGTGAGCCTGGGAAAGTAATTTCTTTAGCCTCTCTGAGCTTCACTTTTCCTCTCAGTAAAATAGGCTCATCACACCCATCTGAAGATAGGGAGAATAAAGGAAGGCTCAGCAAACATCAGTGTTCTGCCTTGACCCTCTCAATTTTGATTTTGGTTAACAAGAAGAGCAATAATGCTTCACCAGACAACTTACATTCCACAAAGCAAATACGAAAGTCATTCTGTCTCAGCAAGCCCGGGCCTTTCTCTGGACTGAGGTTTTCCACTTGCAAAACAAGGGTGTGAATTGGTGGCTGGTCTCAGCCTGGCCTTGGGTTTGGCGGGTAGAGGTTGCAGCTCGCCGCCAGAGGGCGCCAGGCTCCAACCCTAGTTAAAAGGATCTGAGCTCCCACAGGACCATGGCCTTGGAGGGACCTGTTCTGGCTGCTACTCATGTGGGGACCCAGCCCCACCCAACAGACAATGGATCTAGGGATTGACTCAGATGCCAGGGCCACTTACAGTTCTATCCTGTCGCAGAGGTAAACCTAAGTGCCTAAGAAATAACAGGCACTCCACAAATGTCAACCAAACCGTAGCTTTCATTTTTCTCCTTTGCAAACAACAGATTCCTCTTCTGGGTCCTCTCAGGGATGTGGTGACAATCCAGGAGGAAGTGGTAGTAGATGTGCTTTCTACACTGCATGGCCATGTGTATTAGTTCCTTCTCATACTGCTTTGAAAAGAACTGCCCGAGGCCAGGCGCAGTGGCTCACGCCTGTAATCCCAGCACTTTGGGAGGCTGAGGCAGGCGGATCACCTGAGGTCAGGAGTTCAAGACCAGCCTGGCCAACATGGTGAAACCCCATCACTACTAAAAATACAAAAATTAGCCGGGCGTGGTAGCGCATGCCTGTAATCCCAGCTACTTGGGAGGCTGAGGCAGGAGAATCACTTGAACCAGGGAGGCAGAGGTTGCAGTGAACCGAGATCGTGCCGCTACACTCCAGCCTGGGCTGTAACAGAGTGAGACACCATCTCAAAAAACACACAAAAAACAAAAAGAACTACCTGAAATTGGGTCATTTATAAAGGAAAGAGGTTTAATTGACTCACAGTTCAGCATGGCTGGGGAGGCCTCAGGAAACTTAAAATCATGGTGGAAGGCGTAGGGGAAACAAGGCACCTTTCTCACAAGGCGGCAGGAAGGAGAAGTGCTGATCAAAGGGGAGAAGAGCAACTTATAAAATCATCAGCTCTCGTGATGACTCACTCACTATCACGAGAACAGCATGGGGAAAACTGCCCCCATGATTCAATGACCTCCACCTGGTCTCTCCCTTCGCATGAGGACTACGGGGATTACAATTCAAGATGAGATTTGGTGGGGATGCAAAGCCTAACTACATCACTATGTCTAGAACACAGCAATGGTTCTCACTCATCTTGATGTGTTCCTGTCAGAGGCGTTTGAACCACAGCGACTCCATCTTGAACAAGGGCTGGGTAAAATGAGGCTGCAACCTGCTGGGCTGCATTCCCAGGAGGTTAGACATTTTTAGTCACAGGACAAGATAGGAGGCCGGCACAAGATACGGGTCACAAGACCCTGCTGATAGAATGAGATAAAGAAGCTGGTAAGAACACGCAAAAACCAAGAGGGTGATGAGCATGACCGCTGATTGCCCTCACTGATTTTTCTTTTTTTCTTTTTCAGCAGAGATGAGGTTTCACCATGTTGGCAAGGCTGGTCTCAAACTCCTGACCTCAAATGATCTGCCCCCATCGGCTTCCCAAAGTGCTGGGATTACAGGCATGAGTCACCGTGCCTGGCCTCGCTGATCATTATACACTAATTATAATGCATTAGCATGCTAAGAGATGCTCCCACCAGCATCAGACAGTTTACAAATGCCATGGCAACATCTGGAAGTTACCCTCCATGGTCTAAAAGGAGGAGGAACCCTCAGTTCTGGGAAATCCCCACCCCTTTTCTGGAAAACTCATGAATAATCCACCCCTTGTTTATTAGTATATGATCAAGACATAACCATAAAAATAGCCAAACGGCAGCCCTGGGGGCTGCTCTGCCTATGGAGTAGCCATAGGCTTTTATTTATTGATTGATTTTGTAGCGATGGAGGCTCACTTTTTTGCCCAAGCTCAAACAATCCTCCTGCCTTGGCCTCCCAAAATGCTGAGATTACAGGCATGAGCTACCGCACCTGGCCCTTGTTTCCTTACTTATCTAATAAACTTACTTTCACTCTACTCTGCGGAATCACCCTGAATTCTTTCTTGCATGAGCCCCAAGAACCCTCTTTTGGGGTCTGGGTCAGGACCTGTTTTCAGTAACATTCCCACAGTGCTTGCCACAGAGCCCTGCTTAAAGAAAGCACCAGTTCCTGGCCTGCAGACCCACTAAATGAAGATGATAGTGGTACCTCTTCCCCTGCCCAACACCACGCCCTCTGGCACAAGGTGGATGGCCACTGGCAGTGATGGGGATGGAGTAAGTGCTATGAGACTAGGAGAGGAACACCCCAGGAACACCTGAGGTCACAGAGTGAATGAAGGCAGGTAAAGGAGCAAAGGGAATGGGGGCCCCCACATACGTGACCCCAGGGCAGCAGCTTGGCCTGCACCAAGTCCTCCATCACACACACTCCCCCGCCCCACCCCCGCATCCTGGCTGTCTAACCACAATCCCTGCTGCCTTCAGTTAATCAACCAATGAGTGGTCATTCATTGCACATCTGTTCTGGGCCTCATGGGGGCAGCGGGAGGTGATGAAGAAGCAAGGGTTCTACAAAGAGGTCAAAGCTACGTGAGGAGCCGGGGAATGGCTTGCTTTTTTTTTTTTTTTTTTTTTTTTTTAGACGGGCTCTCACTCTGTCACCCAGGCTGGAGTGCAGTGGCATGATCATTGCTCACTACAGCGATGTTTCATGGGCTCAAGGGATCCTGCCATCTCAGCTTCCCAAGGAGCTGGGACCAAAAGTGTGTGCCACCATGGCCTGCTATTTTTTTTTTTTATTTCTTGGAGAGATGGGCTCAAGCATCTACACACCTCAGCCTCCTAAAGTGCTGGGATTATAGCTGTGAGCCGTTGCACCTGGCCAGGATGGCTTTTTTTGAAAGTGAGGACACGAAAGTTCAGAAAGGGGAAGAAACTGGCTGTGGTCCTGCAGCAAGCTGGCAGCCGTCCCTCACCTAGCCCTGCGCTTCAGAACCTTACTCACAGATCATCTTACAAATGCCTCTTTGCTACTTTGTGAGGGAGGCAGGAATTACTCTTCACCCTTATCAGATGAGAAAACCAAGGCCCAGTGAGGTAGCTGAGGCTGTCTAAGGTTACATGGGAGTCAGGAAGGGTCAAGACTAAACCCAGGTCCACGTGGTTCCAGCCTGGCTTCATCCCTGTTTGCAGACCCCCCAATCCCAACCCGCCACTGGCCAGAGCCTGGCCCAGCTCTTAGGCCAATGTCTTATTCCAAAATTAAATGGCAGCAGCAGAGGAAGGGATAGATTGGGGGGTAGCTGCCCCCAGATGCCAGGACCTATGCCCTGGAGAAACCCTTGGGCTGGGGATAGCTGTGACATGTACACACATACCTTGGGCCCCTTGTCTCACCCACTCTGAGCCAACTCAGGACCCAGTGGGGGCTCACTCCACTAATTTGGAGCCTGGGCTCTGCCTCCACTTCTCTCTGCCCTGGGAACTCCATCTGCCTCCAGGGCCTCCTGAAGACACGCAGGGGAGAGTTCAGTATTTCTCCCTTCCTGTCTCCAGTGTCTGCAACAGCAAATCCTATCATTGCCGCTCCAAATTTTTCTCAAAGAGGAAGCCTTCTTTCTTGCTGAAATAGAAACTAAACCAAGCTACATAATACAGTTTGAGAACAGCCTGGCCAACGTGATGAAACCCCATCTGTACTGAAAATACAAAAAATTAGCCGGGCATGGTGGTAGGTGCCTGTAATCCCAGCTACTTGGGAGACTGAGGCAGGAGAATTGCTTGAACCTGGGAGGCAGATGTTGCAGTGAGCCGAGATGGCACCATTGCACTCCAGCCTGGGTGACAAGAGCAAGACTCCGTGTCAAAAAAAAAAAACAGTGTTGGGGAGGTAAACAGAGAGGGCAGGGCAGGAAGATTCCTGGAGGAAATGAGGCCTGAAGTGGCATTGAAGGCTGGGGGCAGGGGAAATGCTGTTTCACAGAAGCAGGGCTCTGTGGCAGTGGGACTGAGCACTTTAGGGGCGCACACTGAGAAACTGCAGGAAATGCCACCAAAGGAGGAAGGGGTGTTATGAAAAGCCTGAGTTTCTGGCAGAGAGTTTAGATTTCACGTTTAGTAGAATCAGAACTGCTTCAGGGTGAGATATCTTACCTCTGCCCCTCACTCTATGGCCTCCTGCAAGCCTCTCTCCCTGTCCGCCTTGGGATTCTCATTGCTTCAATGAAGAGATAGGCCCAGATGATTTCTAGATGATATTCAAAGGACATCACGTTCCTAGCAGATAACGTTAGGTGCCCAAATATCCACATTCTCCTTTCATCATCAAAGACTTTGAGATGGTACATATGTAGGTTTGTTATATAATAAAAAGATAATCTGGCTGGGAGCGGTGGCTCACACCTGTAATTCCAGCACTTTGGGAGGCCGAAGCGGGTGGATCACCTGAGGTCAGGAGTTCAAGACCAGCCTGCCCAACACGGTGAAATCCTGTCTCTACTAAAAATACAAAATTAGCTGGGCCGTGGTGGTGTGCGCCTGTAATCCAGCCTCCTCGGGAGGCTGAGGCAGGAGAATCACTTGAACCCAGGAGGGGGAGGTTGCAGTGAGCCGAGATTGTGCCATTACACTCCAGCCTGGGCAACAAGAGCAAAACTCTGTCTCAAAAAAAAAAAAAATCCATTTATAAATTTAAAAAAATTTTAAAAACAAAGAGCTTAAGATGAGCACACAGCCACTCAGCTAAACACATCTCATAGGTTGTCTTTGCAACTAAGTGGGGCCATGAGACCAGGCTTTAGCCAATGGGCTGAGAGTTAAAGTGATTTTTGCCATTCCGTTTTTAGGAATGGATGTGCCTGCCTATGGCAGATTATATTTTTCAAAGATGACAAAAAAAATCTCCTATCTCATGTGTAATTCTACAGTGGGGTCTGTGTCCCCTCTTCTTGAATGTGAATGCACTTGTGACTGCTTTGACCAACAGAATATGGGATATGATGCCTTATCTCCTGAGGCTGGGTCACAAAAATGATTGTCATGAGTTAAATTGTGCCCCCCCTGAAATTCATATGTTCTAATTCATAAGTCCTAACTCCCAGTACTTCAGAGTGTGACCTTATTTAGAAATGGGGTCTTTGCAGATGTAATTAGTTAAAATGAGGTTGCCAGGCGCGGTGGCTCACGCCTGAAATCCCAGCACTTTGGGAGGCCAAGGCGGGTGGATCACAAGGTCAGGAGTTTGAGATCACCCTGGCCAACATAGTGAAACCCCATCTGTACTAAAAATACAAAAATTAGCCGGGTGTGGTGGCGCGTGCCTGTAGTCTCAGCTACTCCAGAGCCTGAGGCAGGAGAATCGCTTGAACCCGCGAGGCGGAGGTTGTCGTGAGCCTAGATCATGCCACTGCACTCCAGCCTGGGCGACAGAGCGAGACTCCATCTCAAAAAAAAAAAAAAAATGATGAGGTCATACTACAGTGTGTGAACCCCTAATCCTATAGGACTGTTCGCCTTTGAAAAGGGGAAATTTAGACACAGAAACAGCCATGCAAAGAGGGAAGATGATGTGAAGAGGCACAGCTCAGACACCCATCTTCAAGGCAAGGAGAGAGGCCTGGAACAGATCAGAAGGAATCAACCTGCCAACTCCTTCATTTCAGACTGCTAGCCACAGGAACTGTTGTTTAAACCACCCAGTCTGTGATTCTTTGTTATGGCAGCCCTAGCAAACTAACCAGCAATGCCATCTTCATCTGATTCTCTTTAAATACTCCAAGCAGGAGACCAGTTACCATTTAAGTCCAACTACCCCAAGAATATCAGACTGGGGAGGCCACATGTAGGTACAATGGTCAACAGCCCCGGCTGAACTCAACAGCCAGCACTAGCATGCGAATGAGCCTTCTCAGGCATCAGCCCAGTGGATCCTTAACCACAACCCTGCCAACCTCTGATAGTATCCGCATGTGAGACTCAAAGCAAGAACTGCCAGGGGGAGCACTTCCTGATCCTGACCCACAAAATCCTGAGTGATGTACAATGGTTGCTTGAAGCTGCCAAGTTTTAGGGTAACTTATTATACAACATAGTAACCAGAGTGCTTACCTTCCCCTTCCCTCCCTTGCCACTGGCCGGAACACAGATGAGGCCATGGTGGGCTGTCTTCAGTCCTGTAAATGACATAGATGAGGGCATGGGGAAGCCACAAACGAGGAGCCTGGGCTCTTGGATGCCCTCATGGAGCACAACTGCCAACTCCCCACGTGCCACTCACATTTCATGCAAGAGAAATAAATTTCCATCTTGTTTAAGCCACTGTTAATTCCACCTGTTTTTTTTTTAAGCCAAATCAATATCCTAGTAATATGATATATGTAAAACAAACAGCTCAGTGTCTCGCACATAAATAAGTGCTTTTTGGAAAAAATAATTATTGCTATTGTCATTATTATTATACTAATAATAATTATTAATAATGTTATTACCCTAAACTGCTCAACACTCCTCAAAATGAACATGAGGTGGACCCATGTCACTGATGGTCAATGAGACATGTCAAGCTGGGCAGAAATTGTCTGTGGTCATGCCTAACTCATACCAGGTCTCTCTTCCATCCGCCTTAAACTGACTATAGCTCTCCCAGGCAGACCAATAGACAGGGGATCATGGACACCAACACACAGACACATCCTCCCACTCCCCACCCACACAATGAACCAAAGCTCAGGGCAGCCACTGTGTGCTCTCGTCCCACCTGTCCTGTTGCAGGAGAGAAGACAGGAGGCAAAATAGGATGGAAAGTGGGTCTAAGATAATGAGTGGGGAGAGGGAGTCAAAGAAACTAACTCCATCCCCAAGAAATCAGGCAAGGCTTCCAGGAGGAGGTGACCACTATCCTGAGAGTATCTTCCAGGCTTAAGAGAGGGAAAGGGCTCTGCAAGGAGGTAAAGTGGCCTGGGCAAAGGCGCAGAGCATCAGAATCCACATAGCCAGTGACCTCCACCTGCCTCCTCTGCCTCATCCTTTCAGCTCTACCTCCAGGGAGGCTGGAGGGCAGCACAGGGGAGGGTGGGTGTCAGAGCCCTGTGGCCCCCAAGGGACCTGTGTCCAAGCAGGGAACTTCTCTGCAGCTATGGCAGAGTCAGCTTTAGAGTCTTCTCTCCTTCCAGAACCATTGAACTGCAAATACTCCTTAAAAACCCTGATCCAGCCCAGGCGCGGTGGCTCACGCCTGTAATCCCAGCACTTTGGGAGGCCGAAGCAGGCAGATCACGAGGTCAGGAGATTGAGACCATCCTGGCCAACACGGTGAAACCCCGTCTCTACCAAAAATACAACAATTAGCTAGGTGTGGTGGTGAGAACCTGTAGTCCCAGCTACTCGGGAGGCTGAGGCAGGAGAATCACTTGGACCCAGGAGGTGGAGGTTGGAGTGAGTCAAGATCGCACCACTGCACTCCAGCCTGGGCGACAAAAGCAAAAACTCCATCTCTAAAACAAAAAACAAAACAAAAAAACCCCTGATCCGCTGCAAGGATGCCCCCAGCCTTCCTGTCGTTTTTCCCCTCTCTGGGTCACAGGTTTTGAAGTCAACCTGATTTCCCCCCTCATCTCCTAGTGCCCTGCTTCAGATTTGGGCAGGTCTTGCTGAACTGGAGTCCCAGAAGAGAGCCCACAGATACAGGAGGCTGTGTCCCAGGAAGGAGACATAGGCCCTTCCTTCTTGAGGCCCCAGGAGGGAGACAGGACACAGAGACATAGAACTCTCAGTGAACAGAGCAGAGGCCCTGAGAGCTGGGCAGTTAGAGAGGGCAGGAAGAGTGCAATTGGGCAATCAAGGCAAGCTTCTTGGAGGAAAGGGGCAGGGAAGGGTGGATGTCAGGGGAGATCAGTCTGCAGGCAGGCTCTGGAATAGGTACAGAGTGGTGAGGGATTCGAGTTGGATTCCAGTTTAAACATCCACAGAGCCTTTAGGCTTCAGTAGCTAGTCCAGGGGAGGGGGGTACATGGAGGGTGTCCCTATGGCCTTGTCACTAAGAAAGAACAGTTCGTGACTTATCCACTGCGTGTGAATTCAGCGAGATTGGGGAGGGAGGTTTCTTAGGGATAGGGCAGCCTCCACACTCCCATTGCTCCTCTACTCAGGGAAAGGGGGACGGTAGAAATGGCCTGCCTCTCCGGCCAGCACACGTACAGCCATCTCACCCCCACACGGCTCTTCCTCCACAGCCCCATTTTGGATTACACTTCACCTCCAGCCACTCCAGCCCTGGGCGCTAGTACTACAGCTCCTGGGGAAACGCCCCGGGGTGTTGGTGCCCGACTCGTCCCCCAGCCGTCTTCGGCTTCACGGGGTGGGGGAGGGACAGCCCTGACCCCATCTGCTCTCCTAGGCTGCCTAGCAGGCTCCTGTCGCCGCTCCCCGCCCCTTCTTCCAGAGTTCCATCCACTCCTGCCCCCACTCGACCAGAGTTCCTTCCACAGCAGTTCCTGGCCTGGGCGCTGTCCAGCTCCAGGCTGGGTGGTCGAGTCTTCCCTGGGCTCCGAGCAGAGGGAACTCCGCAGCCCGCCCCAGCCTTGTCCTGGGGCGCCTCTGTCCAAGTCGGTTTTCTCTTCCCTGGCCCCCACGCCTCCACCCTCCACTTCTACGGGATGCCACCTCCACGAAGGAGAAAGGAAAGGAAATACAAAGGCATACATTCCGTTTCTGTGGAATTTGCTCTTTATTTTGGGACCAGGGAAGGACCACACACAGCCCTCCAGCCCAGGGGGCGGGGGCACCGAGACGCGGGCGGAGGGCCGCACCCGAACCCTGCCCAGACGCCGCCGTCGGGAGGCAGAATCCGGGTTTCTGGGGTCGGGAGTGCGTATGCAAATGACGTGGGCGTGGTTGGCAGATCTCCCAGGAGGCCTCAGGGGTCCTCACCACAGGTCTGGGCCCTCCGACCTGCGGAAGCGAAGGGGAAGGAATTGGATCTGGGGAGGCGAGCCTGGGAGACGTCGTTAAGTGATGTTGCCAGGGTAGGGCCAGGCCGCGCTCTCGGATGCAGGATGTGTGGTAACGGGCGCTTTTACCGCGACCTGACGGGGCGGTCCTCGCCGTCGGGGAAGAACGTTTTGGAAAGAAGCGTGTCCGGGCCGTCTCTTTTCCCATACCTGGGGGCGGGGAAGGGAAGAGCGTGGTCAGATCTGGCCACGCCCCCAGGTGGAGCGGGGCCGCAGGGTGAGAGCCCCAGGGGTCCCGCTCCGCGCCTGCGCTCACCGCTGCCGGGTGACCAGGTTGAGGTAGTGGCGCAGGGAGGCGTAGTAGCGGTTCAGCTCCTCCGGCGAGGCGTCTTCGCGGGGAGCCTCGGGTTTGATGGGGTAGGCGTCGACCAGCGCCCCTAGGCAGACGAGCAGGGCCAGAAGCACTGTGGTCAAGGCGGGCCACGGCCTGCGCACGAACACCATCTGGGAAGGCGACATTGGGACGTGGGTCATTCCAAGCCTCGACCCTACACGGCGGGAGGCTGCGGCTGCCGTCGGGGCCGCGCTCCGACGCTCTCCCTGGGGCTGGTACCGGACCAAGGCTCAGCCACCGGGCTTGCTGTGTGTTCTTGGGCACTGCACCGTCTCCTGACTCAGTTTCCTCATGTCAGAGGAGCATAAGCCCTGCCTGCCTCCCCACCCCCACCCCCGCTGCTGGCCTCCTTCCCACCTCCGATGGCCCCCTCCAATCCAGTTTCCTACCACTCACCCCCAGCTTCCACCATCCCAGCCTCAGTTTCCCCACAAAACAGCCTGGGTTTCCCCAGGCTTGAGCCCCCAGCCACTCACAGCGATAGCTTGTGAAGCAGACGAGCAGGAGGTGGAAGGCGAGGGAAGTCCCAAGGGCTGCACTGCCGCAGGTCAAGCTGAGGCCTCCTCTGCTCAGCGCTTTCCTTGTGGGGCTTATATCCCCGCCTGGAAAGGGAGGGGGAGTCCCAGGGGGAGGGGGAGCCAGCAGGGGGTGGGCCCTTCTTCCTCCCTCCTTCCACCCTCGCCAGATCGCTGAGCTTATACCCAGCCAGTGCGTGATGTCTCCACCTCGCAGGAGCTGAGGGGGCAGTTGCCATGCTCAGATTCGTGGTCTCACTGGATGGGGTACCCAGCCTGAACCCCATGTTCACCCCACAGCCCCCCAGTGGCAGGTCTAGCCTCCTGAGGAAGTGAAGCGGTTGGATCTAGACTCCTGGGGCAGCCCCTAGGACCAGGGTTGAGATTCTGTCTTCCCTAGCCTGTCCGTGGATGGGAGTTGGGGGTGGGAGGGTGGACACATTCCCTCCAGTCCGTGGGATGTGTGACCACTCTTTCCAAAAGACAACCCTTTTCAGCCTCTGTTCAGTAATACCTTGGAGAAGGGCTGAGGAATGACAGGACCTTTTGGGGAAAGTCTTTCTCCTGGAGGCAGGGTGGGAGCACCTGACCTTGGCTCCTGACCTGCAGTTTATGGTGTCTTGGGGAGAGGCCTCTCTGAACACTCCATTATGTCCTCTCTCTATTAAAGAGTTGGAAAAGAGGCAGGAGGAGGCAGAAACCAATCTCCCCGCCAGAAGCAGCTGAGTCGGCCACCTGTGTATCCAGACTGGCACACACAGACCCCAGTCCAGCCATGTGTGGTATAGAGCCCCCTCCCAAGGCAGAGTGTCTCCACCCCTATGCAGGTGTCATTCAGAGCACTGGTGTCTTCTGGGCCTGAGTGATGCCAAGGCTTCCCAGGCACATGCCACTGTCCCCAGCCCATGGCAGTCTCCACTGGGCTCTAAGCCCAGATCCTTTGAAGGAAAGGACTCGTGTTTATTAAGCACCTACTATGCACTAGGTAGTGCATAATTTCGGGCATCACAAGACGATGAGCTGAGTTTATCTCCATTTTCCAGATGAGGAAACTGAAGCCCTGGGAGGTGATGGAGCAGCCAAGCTCACCCACAATTCAAACAGGAAAAGCAGGGTGAGGCAGAACCCAGGAAGAGGACCTCTCAATTGTGAGGGGCAGAAAGGCTCAGCACCTGGAGTAGCCATTGGGGCGCCAGAGGCAGGCCTGGGAGCAGGGACCCGAAGACTAAGTCTAGGGCCCACACCCACTCTGAGAGGCGGAGTAGGGGAAGGACCTTCAGACTGCCAACCCCCTCAAACCCACCTGCCCAGGAGGAGAAAGGGCTGTGGGAAGGTCTCCCCATAAAGCCCTTCCAGCTTCCTCTCCCTGGCCTCGCCAGACCTCCAGTACTTCCAGATGTCCCATCGGCCCATAGGGACTGATGGGGCCAACTTGTCCAGGCCCTTGGTTCTGAGCCAGCCCCTCCAGCCCCAGGACAGATGGCTGTGGGCGCTATTTTTAGAGCTCTCCTGAGATGGGGAGTTCAGGGCTCTCTGTCACCATTTTATGGGTTCAATCACCTGCATTCTCCGGAAATGGCTCCTTATCAGCCAGTCAGGCCCCATGGGACTCCACATCCCAGGAAACACCAGGGTGCCCTGCTGAGCATGGGGGTGGAAGAGGACACCAGGACAAGGGGACATAGATCCTGCCCTTGGAGGGAGGAGAAAAATCATTCTTCTTAGGGAGCCCTCATCCAGGGGGCAAGACACACCCCTGCCCTTCAAGAACCCCAGTCTCAAAGGAGAGATATGGCCATGTCATAGGGGAGCCCCAGTATGAGCGGTTCCCAGAACAGATACAGAGAGACAGAGACAGCCTTTGTCCTGTTTGGAGGGGAGACAGCAGAAATCAAATAATTCCATTCCTCCATGGAAAGACAAAAGACAGGTGCTCACCCTAGGATGGAGGGAGCAGTGGGGGCTGGTTAGGACATCTGTGATCCCAGGGATCAGGGCCTAGAGAAGGACCCTGCAGGCTAACGGGGGCAAGGATACCAGAGAGTAGGGGGCTATTTGCTCTTCTGACCCTGCGGCGGCACTAACCATGGTGCTGGTAGGGGATTTCTAGTGCACCGATTCTGGACAGAGACGAAGGAAACTGTGAGATGGCCATGGGGAATCTGACATCCCTGGAACCCTGTCATGTCTTGGGGAATGTGGAGTCCAAGGACAGATGGGAAGAGAGGAGAGACACTGTAGAAGCTAGAGGGCATGGGGTGGCCTGAATTCGGGCTACAACCTCTGAAGAAGTCACTTCCTCATTTATAGCCAAAGTAAATGGGCCCCTAGGTGGTCTCAGTGTGGACCAGGAGCCAGCCGCACATCCCCGCAAACCCTCTCTATCCCTCATACCCCCACCCTCCAATCTCACTCCCCAATTACAGGGCAAGCTGATTGGTTCATTAATCACCGCCTCCTCATCGAAGAGCTTATTAACTTGTTGATTAGCGGGGAAAATGTCTCAGCCCTCGATCAATGGGCTCAGCCACCCCCCGATCCACACACCCACACCCATCATTGCTGCATGACTCAGTGGCCATGAGACATGTCTAGGGTGTGAGGGGGGAAACTTCAGAAACAATTGTTTTTGTAGAAGTGAGACCAGGACCTGCCTCCGGTTTGTCCTTGAAGGGTGGGGGACAGAATCAAAGGGGAGGGGACAGAATCAGAATGGTCCCCATTCTGAGAGCACCTGGCAAGGCCACCCCAAGTCAGGGAGACCATGGACCTGGACCCCAGCCAACAATTCTCCTTGTCCAGTGGGCTCAAGGGCCACTCATCAAGATGGTGTGGCCTCTGCCATTCATCCCCAGAGGCTTAGAATTCTGTACCCCATCACCCACCTGCCTGTACCCACTCCCCACACACAAGGCCTCACTTTGATCACCATGCACTGTGTGGCACTGCTCCACTGCTTTCCACCCTCAGGCATTTCCTCATGCCCAGGGTCCTAGAGATAGCAGGTTGTCATACAGCAAGTGTAATTCAGGCCAGGCGTGGTGCTCACGCCTGTAATCCCAGCACTTTGGGAGGCCAAGGTGAGTGGATCACGAGGTCAGGAGTTCAAGACCAGCCTGGCCAACATGGTGAAACCCCATCTGTACTACAAATACAAAAATTAGCCAAGCGTCGTGGCGCATGCCTGTAGTCCCAGCTACTCTGGAGGCTGAAGCAGGAAAATTGCTTGAATCCAGGAGGCAGAGGTTGCAGTGAGCCAAGATCGCGCCACTGTACTCCAGCCTGAGCGACAGAGTGAAACTGTCTCCAAAAAAAAAAAAAAAAAAAAGTAATTCAATCCTCATTCAACAAGCACTTAAGTCCCTGCTGTGTGCCAGGCACTGATCTAGGCACTGGGATAGAGTAGTGAACAAACAGGCAAAATCCTTGCCCTTATAGAGCTCACATTCTAGTGACAGGAAATAGAAAATAAATAAATAAGCATGGAGGCTGGGTGCGGTGGCTCACGCCTGTAATCCCAGCACTTTGGGAGGCCAAGGCAGGTGGATCATCTGAGGCCAGGAGTTCAAGACCAGCCTGGTCAACATGGTGAAACCCCGTCTCTACTAAAACTACAAAAATTAGCCAAGCGCAGTGGCGGGCGCCTGTAATCCAGCTACTTAGGAGGCTATGGCATGAGAATCACTTGAATCCAGGAGGCAGAGGTTGCAGTGAGCCGAGATGGTGCCACTGCACTCCAGCCTTGGTGACAGAGTGAGAATCTGTCTCAAATAAATGAATAAATACATAAATAAATAAATAAGCATGGAATATGTCTGATAAGTGCTATAGAGAAAAATCAGAGCCGGGTGTAGTGGCTCATGTCTTTCCCAGTGCGCTGGGAGACCACGTTGGAGGATCGCTCACTTGAGCCCAGGAAGGAAGTGAGGAAGCAAACCATGAAGCTACCTTGAGAAGAGCAGGGGGTGGGTTTAGGAAACAGCGATGCCAAGAAGTAAGGGATTTTCACTTTTTATGGTAGGAGCTCTCCTAGGAGCTCTCCCTCTTACCTGAAGCTTCTGCAAAACACAGTAACAGATACTTGTGGTGTGCTGCGCGCCCAAGGCTCAGGCTTCGCTCTAGGACAGAGGTAGGCAAACTCTGTAAAGGAGCAGATAGTAAATATTTTAGGCTTTGTGGTCCATAGAGTTTCTGTTGACACCGTTAGGTTCATCCACCGTAGCTTGAAAGCAGCCACTGAATACACCAAAAAAAAAAAAAAAAAAAAAAGAATGGGCATGGTAGTGCTTCAGTAAATCTTTACTTACAGACATTAAAGTTTGAATTTTATATAATTTTCATGTCATAAAATTTTTTTAGTTTATTTCAACTGTTTACAGATTCAACCACTTTAAAAGCCATTCTTTTTATTATTATTGAGCTCAAGGGATCCTTCGGCCTCAGCCACCCAAAATGCTGAGATTATAGGTGTGAGTCACTGTGCCTGACCTAAAAGGCATTTTTTTTTTTTTTGAGACGGAGTCTTACTGTGTCACCCAGGCTGGAGTGCAGCAGCATGATCTCAGCTCACTGCAACCTCTGCCTTCCTTCAAGAGATTCTCCTGCCTCAACCTCCCAAGTAGCTGGAATTACAGGCACATGCCACCACGCCTGGCTAATTTTTGTATTTTTAGTAGAGATGGGGTTTCACCATGTTGGCCAGGCTGGTCTCGAACTCCCAGCCTCAAGTGATCCGCCTGCCTTGGCCTCCCAAAGTGCTGGGATTACGAGTGTGAGCCACCACACCCGGCCCCTAAAAGGCATTTTAACCCATAGAATGTACAAAAACAGGCCCACAGGGCCGTAGTTTGCTGACCCCTGGTCTAGAAAAGCAAGAATTCAGCTACCTCTGGGTTGAGTTGCCTTTTGGTTGGATGTGTCCCTAGCCTGTTTATGCCAGGTGTATTTGTCATTGTAATCATATAATTGAATTAAATATTATATAAACTGATGAAATATGAGTGCATAAAGAATTGTTTCCTTGCAAACTACGTTAAATGCTTTGGAAGTAATACACAAAGAGATTTGCTGACATGTTGAATTAGATGTGAAAGATAAACCATTAAGGGAAAATCCTAAAAATCTAGAAGTGTGCTACATCAGATTGCTTCACAAGTGTCTTTAAGTTTAAAGAAACTGGAAATAACAGGTGACAAATTATAGGATTGTGGGTGTGATTTATGCAAGAAAGTCAAAGGGTAATTTGAGTCAAGACACCCAAAGAAAAATTCGTGCCTCAATGTGAATTTTGTGTTTGAAATCAAAACAAAGTGACTAAGACCTGTATGTGTCTTTATGATTGCCCATTTAAGCTGACTTTTTCAAAACACTGGTCAATGACTCAGACCTGTTTATATCAAAACAAGGGCTTCTCTAGTACTTTATATATTTCCAATATAGTTTGAATGTTTAAAGGGTATTTCTATTTAATGGCTTAAATAACAACCAAAGAATTTTTAAAAACCAATAAAAATAGGCTGGGTGCAGTGGCTCATGCCTGTAATCCCCACACTTTGGGAGACCAAGGCGGGCGGATCACCTGAAGCCAGGAGTTTGAGACCAGCCTGGCCATGTCGAAACCCTGTCTGTACTAAAAATACAAAAATTAGCTGGGTATGGTGATGCATGCCTATAATCCCAGCTACTTGCGAGACTGAGGCAGGAGAATCACTTGAACCTGGGAGGCGGAGATTGTAATGAGCCAAGATCGCTCCACAGCGCTCCAGCCTGGGTGACAGAGCGAGACTACGTCTCAAAAAAGAAAAAAAATAAAAATAAAAATAAAATGCTGGTGTGTGTTGCGAAGCCTGAAATTAGATACTGTGAGGGTCCCTGGGCGCCAGCCCCTGTGAGTTCTGCGCACATCCCCTCCACATGAATGCTCCTGTTTGAATCCAAAACTTTTTTAAGGGCCCAACAGTCTCAAGAGGCCTGTGCTGCAGGTGCAGAAACTCAAGTCCTGAAAGAGGTATGGATTCAGGGAGAAACAGTTCTGACCTAGGTCAGACACAGTCAGCTCCCTGATTCACCAGGCCCTTATGGACTTGTGTCTTTGTGGCTCCTGGCATCTGATGTGATACTGGCATGTGTGTGCTCCTAGGTTATTGAATCAGTCAGTCAACATGTGAACATATTAGCTAAGATATTCATGCACCCCCCCTTAATAGATACCAAATAGCGGTAGCTTAAATATCATAGATGTTTATTTCTCTCTTGTATAAGAAACCAAGCTGGTAGCCAGGGGATAGGGTGCCTCTGATCTACAAGGAGCCCAAACACCATCTATCTTGTTACTCCAAGTTATGCACCCATCTACATGGTTTAAGAATGTTTGGCCGGGCGCGGTAGCTCACACCTGTAATCCCAGCACTTTGGGAGGCCAAGGCGGGTGGGTCACCTGAGATCAGGAGTTCTAGACCAGCCTGGCCAACATGGTGAAACCCCATCTCTACTAAAAATGCAAAAATTAGCCAGGCATGGTGGCAGGTGCCTGTAATCCCAGCTACTCAGGTGGGCCGAGGCAGGAGAATCACTTGAACTGGGAGGCGGAGGTTGCAATGAACTGAGGCACTCCAGCCCGAGGGACGAGAGTGAGACTTTGTCTCAAAAAAAAAAAAAAAAAAAAAAACAATATTCATTAGGCCAGACGCAGTGGCTCACGCCTGTAATCCCAGCACTTTGGGAGGCCAAGGTGGTGGATCACCGAGGTCAGGAGTTGGAGACCAGCCTGGCCAACATGGTGAAACCCCGTCTCTACCAAAAATACAAAAAAATTAGTCAGGCATGGTGGCGGGTGCCTGTAATCCCAGCTACTCAGGAGACTGAGGCAGCAGAATTGCTTGAACCCAGGAGGCGGGGATTGCAGTGAGCTGAGATCATGCCACTGCACTCCAACCTGGGTGATAGAGTAAGACTCCGTCGCAAAAAAAAAAAAAACGGTGTTCATTACCCCACATTCACATTCCAGGCCACCGGGATGAGAAACAAGGAAGTTAAGAGTTTGGTATGGTAGAGGTCAGGTTCCTGGCCCACACCTGTAATCTCAGCACTTTGGGAGGCTGAGGCAGGAGGACACTTGAGCCCAGGAATTTGAGACCAGCCTGGGCAACATAACAGGATCCTGTCTCTACCCAAACAATAAAAAATAAATTAGCCTGGTATGGTGGTGCATGCCTGTAGTCACAGCTACTTGGGAGGCTGAGGTGGGAGGATCGCTTGAGCCTGAGGAGTCAGAGCTGCAGTGAGTTGTGATTGCTCCACTGCACTCCAGCCTGGGCAACAGAGCAAAACCCCATCTCAAAAAAAAAAACAAACAAGCAAACCAAAAAAGCAAAGTCGGGGAGGAGGGAAAGTATCAGGAAGAATAGCTAATGGCTGCTGGGCTTAATACCTAGGTGATGGGATGATTTGTGCAGCAAACCACCATGGCACATATTTACCTATGTAACAAACCTGCACATCCTGTACATGTACCCCTCAATTTAAAAGTTGGAAATAAAGAGTATGATGAGGAAGCTGCATTGCTTCCTGTGCTCCTGTCCCATTGGCCAGAACTTAGTCACGTGGCCATGCCTAGCTAGAAGGCCCTTGGCTCTGTTTTGCTCCATTTTCTTTTTCTTTTTACTTTTTTTGAGATGGAGTCTCGCTCTGTCACCCAAGCTGGAGTGCAGTGGCGCAATCTCAGCTCACTGCAACCTCCGCCTCCTGGGTTCAAGTGATTCTTGTGCCTCAGCCTCCCGAGTAGCTGGGATTACAGGAGTGCGCCACCACACCCGGCTAAGTTTTGTATTTTTAGTAGAGACAGGGTTTCCCCCATGTTGGCCAGGCTGGTCTTGAACTCCTGACCTCAGCCTCCCAAAGTGCTGAGATTATAGGCGTGAGCCACCGTGCCCGGCCTGTTTTATTCCATTTTCCCCAACCCTCATGCCAGCCCAATTTCTGTCTTCTCTGCCTCCAAACTCAGCTATCTCTTACCACATTGAAAGTGGCCTTCACCTCAGCATGCATCCTCCTCCTCCCTCAATCCCCTGCCTGGAAGTGGGAGCCTGTCACCCTACCTCACGCATCTTTTCCTTTCACTCTTTCCCATCAGTCTTAGGAAAGAGACCATAAATTGTTCCCCAGTACCTATTTTCCCCTTCTTCTCTTACAATAGAGTTTAGCTGAGTATATGGCTTCCCAGCTAATCACTACATTTCCCAGTCTCCCTTGCAGCCAAGTGACTTCTTGTGACTAAGTTCCGGCCAATGGATGTGAGCAAGAGTGATGTGTGCCACTCTCAAAATGTGCTATTAGAAGGAATGGGGGTACCCTCTCACTCCTCTATTTCCCCCCTTCCATGACCCTTAATGCAATGCCAAATGGAAATGTAAAAATGAGCCATTTTCCAGCTTTATTGAGGTATCATTAACCAATAAAATTGTATATACTTAAAGTGTACAATGTGATGATTTGATATATGTATACATTGTAAAATGATTACTGCAACCAAATTAACACATCCATCACCTCACATTGTTACTTTTTCTTATGTGAGAATGCTTAAGATCTACACTCTATAGTACAGTATTATTAACTATTAACTATAGTCACCATGCTGTACAAAAAATGAGCATTCTTGACCACGTGAATGAAGGAATCTTTTAGTCACAGGGGTGCCCTCAGACTGCCGGGACCAATTTGCCTGCATCACGTTGGAAGTGCCTGGGGCTTCCCCATTCCCCAGGGGCGGGTTTAACCAATGACTGATGAATTTAGGGGCATAAACACTTCAGTTTGCCTCTGATTTGTATGACTTGAGATGTAGTCAACAGGTGTTACCTGGAAAGTGCAATGGGCATTTTTTGGGGGGCGGCACACAGCTGCTGAAACAGCCATCACAGTAGCAGGCGAGGGCAAGGGCACCAATGCCCTCGTTCAAGTCTAAAGGGCCTGGAGAAGTTCTTGTCCCCTGAGCTCTCAGCACTGACCCGCCAGGGCTCCCTTATGGTACTGAACCCACAGATAAGCCACTAAGAGCAGGATCAAAATTAAGCAGCACAGAGACAAGAAAAGGGGGAGAAAGAGATCCAGATAAAAAGGGGAGAGAGGAACAGAGCCAGAAAAAGCTCAGACCAAAGCCACCGTCATTTTCACATTACGTGAAAACAATAAAAGGAAGAGATTTGTGAAGTTAGAAAAACTCTCTGGTGAAGCCTCCTTCTGAAAATTCAGGAAAATTAGTTTCACATAAAAATTAGCAATGTAAAAGTATTAAGCTCAAATCCCATACAAAACTATTATGAGAAAAATAGCCCTGAGCTGGGCACGGTGGCTCATCCCTGTAATCCCAGCACTTTGGGAGGCTGAGGCAGGCGGATCACTTGAAGTCAGGAGTTCTAGACTACTCTGGCCAACATGGTGAAACCTCGTCTCTACTAAAAATACAAAAATTATCCAGGCGTGGTAGCACACACCTGTAATCCCAGCTACTCAGGAGGCTGAGACAGGAGAATCACTTGAACCCAGGAGGCGGAGGTTACAGCGAGCTGAGATCATGCCATTGCACTCCAGCCTGGGCAGCAGAGTGAAACTCCATCTCAAAAAAAAAAAAAAAGAAAGAAAGAAGGAAGAGAAGGAAGGGAAGGAAGGAAGGAAGGAAGGAAAAGAAAGAAAGAAAGAAAGAAAGAAAGAAAGAAAGAAAGAAAGAAAGAAAGAAAGAGAAAGAAAGAAAAGAGAGAACAGAGAGAAAAGAAAGAAAAAGAGAAAAATAACCCTGACCAGGTGCAGTGGCTCACGCCTGTAATCCCCCAACACTTTGGGAAGCCGAGGTGGGTGGATCGCTTGAGCCCAGGAGTTCGAGACTAGACTGGGCAACATAAAGAGACCCTATTTCTACCAAAAATACAAAAAAAAAAATTCTGATATGGATGGTCAAAATAGGAAAAAAATACAAAAAATAGCTGAATATGATGGCATGCACTTTTAGTCCCACTACTTAGAAGGCTGTGGTGGGAGGATTGCTTGAGCCGAGATCAAGGCTGCAGTGAGCTGTGAACGTGCCACTGCACTCCAGCCTGGTGACAGAGAGAGACCCTGTCTCTATAAAGAAAGTTATGTTATATTACCATCATTTTTCTTTCTTTCTTTTTTTTGGGGCAGTGTGAGGGGACAGGGTCTTGCTCTGCCATCCGGGCTGGAGTGCAATGGTGCAATCAGCCTCCTGAGCAGCTGGGACTACAGGTGCATACCACCACATCTAGCTAATTTTAATAGTGTTTTATTCTTTTATTTTTGTAGAAATAGAGTCTCAATATGTTGCCCAGGCTGGTCTAAATTTCTTGGGCTAAAGCAATCCTCTCACCTCTACCTCCCAGCTATTCTGTCCTTCAAATGCATAATCAAACTATTATCAGCATGCAAGATCTCAGGGAATATTATGCCCATAAGCTTTTCCTGAGGAATCTACTAGAGAATAAACTTCAGACAACCAAAATGACTAGAAAAACATTGACATAAGGCCTGGTGATGAGCATTAAGTTCAGTTATGTAGAACTAATGCTGGCTGGATGCGGTGGCTGACGCCTGTAACCCCAGCACTTTGGGAGGCCAAGGCAGGCGGATCACCTGAGGTCGGGAGTTTGAGACCAGCCTGACCAACATGGAGAAACCCCGTCTCTACTAAAAATACAAAATTAGCCAGGCATGGTGGCGCATGCCTGTAATCCCAGCTACTTGAGAGGATGAGGCAGGAGAATCGCTTGAAAATTAGCTGTAATCCCAGCTACTCAGGAGGCTGAGGCAGGAGAATCGCTTGAACCCGGGAGGCGGAGTTTACGGTGGGCCGAGATTGTGCCATTGCACTCCAGTCTGGGCAACAAGAGTGAAAGTCCGTCTCAAAAGAAAAAAAAAATCAACTGTTTTCCGTAATAACTGGTGGTGCCAGTCCGTATTTATTCTGAGACGTCTGTGTAATATAGATCAAACAAATGCTATTCTAAAATAAATGGGATTTTTAATGCTACCATCTCCTGTGTCCTTGAGAACAAGAATTTACAATGTGGAAGAAAGAGGACACAGATGTCATATAGAAGAGGTTAAATAAACACCCGTCAGTCCTGACTTTGATTTGGAAATCTCTGTTTACAGAAAAGGGCTAGAAACAATGTTGAAACCAATAGCAATGAACATCCTTAGCATCCAGACTAGTCTTTTTTTTCTTTCCTTTTCTTTTCTCTTTTTTTTTCTTCCAGGTTTATTCTGGAATAATGGACAAATAAAAATTGTATATATGGCCAGGCATAGTGGCTCACACCTGTAATCCCAGCACTTTGGGAAGCCGAGGAGGGTGGATCACTTGAGGTCAGGAGTTCAAGACCAGCATGGCCAACATGGTGAAACCCCATCTCTACTAAAAATACAAAAATTAGCTGAGCATGGTGGCAGGTGCCTATAATCCCAGCTACTCAGGAGGCGGAGACAGCAGAATCATTTGAACCCAGGAAGCAGAGGTTGCAGTGAGCCGAGATCATGCCATTGCACTCCAGCCTGGGCGACGGAGTGAGACTCCGTATCAAAAAAAAAAAAAAATTGTATATATTTGGCCAGGCATGGTGACTCACACCTGTAATCTCAGCACTTTGGGAGGCCAAGGCAGGCGGATCACTTGAGGTCAGGAGTTCGAGACCAGCCTGGCCAACATGGTGAAACCCCGTCTGTACCCAAAATACAAAGTTGCCAGGCATGGTGGTGTGTGCCTGTAATCCCAGCTACTTGGAAGGTTGAGACAGGAAAATTCCTTGAACCCGGGAGGCGGAGGTTTCAGTGAGCCGAGATCATGCCACCACACTCCAGCCTGGGCAACAGAGTGAGAATCCATCTCACAAAAAAAAAAAAAAAAAAAAAAAAAAAAGAGAGAGAAACAAGTAAAATTATATTTTTTTCTAGCCATTGTAAGTACAAAACAAAAAATGATTTTTTCCTGGCATTTCCTGTTTCTGCCTATTTACATTGGTGCTCCCCAAGATGAGATGCTTGGCTCTCTTTTCTTTTTTCTTCTTCACTGTAGGGTTGTCATCTACCCCCAAGATTTTAATCACCCCCAAAATCCCTGTAATTTGCTCCTCTGCCGAGTTCCCTATCCACATAGTCCACTGTTTCTAGACATATCCCCATGGATATCTCTCAGTCAGCTTAAAGTCAATGTAGCCTAAATAGCAAAAATAATAAATCAATCTTTCTTAAGTGCCTACACTGTGCCAAGTACTATGCCAGGTACGTCTCACATATTATTTTAGTCTTCACAACACATAATGTACCATCATTAGCCTGGTTTTACAGAATATGAAACTGACACAGAGAGAGGTCAAGTCAGTAGCTCACCCTTATCTTAGCTTGTTATCTGAATTCCCAAATCTCCAGGGACCTCCAGCTCCATGAATGGTATCTCCATCTCTTCAGGTGACTGAGTTGGAAATCTTGACTTCACTCCACCAATGACCTGAGTCATTCTTAGAAAGTCTGAAGAAGGAGCATGCAGTTCTGAGGGTGGCAGCAGGTCCAGGAATTGGAATGTGACCACAGGGGAATTCCTCATAAAGGGCTGAACTTGCCTGAATGAGTTTCCTCTGGAATACAAGGAAGTCATATGAAATCGCAGTTTAGGCAGTGCATTCAAGAGTACATGGCAGACATCGTTTCGTGTTAATAACTATATCCTGCCCTTTACCCCAACACTCCCAATCCTCCTTATCTGCCCTGTTTATTCCCCAGCACTTAGCACTTTCTAGCATTCTATGTAATTGACTTATTTGTATGCTTGTTGTCTGACTACTAGAATGGAGGCTCCATGAGAGCAGAGGTTTTTGTCTGTTTCTTCACTGATATATCCCCAGTGACTAGAATAATGTGTGATACATGGTGGTGGCTCAAGTACACTTGCTGAATGAATGGATCCACATCCTCACTGTCCATGGCTGCATGGTTTACACACAGGCACATACATAAGCATGTATACACACATACACACACATGCACATACATGCATATGTCTTGAAGACAGAAGGCTATTCCTATCCCACCACAGTCCAGATCTTCATCAAAGAAGAAAGCAAAAGGCCAGACGCGGTGGCTCACACCTCTAATCCTAGCACTTTGGGAGGCCAAGGTGGGTGGATCACCTGAGGTCTGGAGTTCGAGACCAGCCTGGCCAACATGGTGAAAATCTGTCTCTACTAAAAATACAAAAATTAGCTGGGCGTGGTGGCACGTGCCTATAATCCCAGCTACTCGGGAGGCTGAGGCAGGAGAATCACCAGAACCTGGGAGGCGGAGGCTGCAATGAGCTGAGATCACACCACTGCACTCCAGCCTGGATGACAGAGTGAGACTCTGTCTAAAAAAAGAAGAAGAAGAAGAAAGCAATTCCCTAAACACTATGCACTCTCCCTTCACACACTGTGCAGGT
This sequence comes from Homo sapiens, assembly GCF_000001405.40. NCBI lineage: Eukaryota > Metazoa > Chordata > Mammalia > Primates > Hominidae > Homo > Homo sapiens. Next base: position 43,967,372 of record NC_000017.11, read on the forward strand.
TAGAGGGAGTGAGATATCAGGGCCTGTCCACAGCAGGCGAGCCCCATACCTCACCCCACAGAGCTGTCACATTCAACTCCCTCTGAAGCTGTGGAACTTGCAGCTCAGACCACAAACTCTGGGGCTAGGATGACTGGGTTGGCCACTGACTAGCTGTGTGATCTTAGGAAAATTACTTAACCTCTAAGGGCCTCAGTTTTGTCATCGGCCACATGTATATAACAATAGCATCTACTTCATATGGTTGTGATGGTTTAAAAAGCTATTAGGTTCCAGATGAGATGGAGTAAGCAGCCTCCACCCTGTCTCTCCTGCTGAATGCTGCTGTGAAACATGGACAGACACGCACGGGGCAGCTCTCTGAAGAGTGTGAAAGTAAACACAGCGGGGAAACGGGGGAAGAAAGCCAGAATTCAACGTTCCACTGAGCTGAAATGAGTTTCTCATTTTTCCTCTGATATTCCCCAGCCTCGATACAAGACAGCGCCAAATCCAGAATGGGCACTGGGGCTACGAGAGGGATCAACAGGAGAAATGCTCGTTCTGCCTCGAGGAGTGGAAAGGGAAGGTCTAGCACTGAGAGAGAGAAAAGGAACTCCATTTTTCTCTTCTTCATTCTCCCGTGCCCCAGCCCCGAGACAATTCCATGGGAGTAGCAGTGGTGACAGTAGTATCAGTGGCTGCAGGGTCCACAGACAACCAAATCTTTCCCTCTCCGATCAAGAGTTGTGGGCCAGGGGCTGTGGATCATGTCTGTAATCCCAGCACTATGGGAGGCCGAGGTGGATCACTTGCGGGCAGGAGTAAGACACCAGCCTGGGCGTGTATGTGTGTGTGTTTATTTTTAAAAACAGTTGTAGTCCCAAGAAGGAGAACCCCTATAGCTTTCTTCTCTCTGTGTCCTCCTGCCACCTGGCCCTGAACACGGACACAATCATAGGAAGTGTGCAGTAGAGCGGGATAACTAAAGAAGAAATAACACTGATTTTACACAATCTCTTCCAGAAAATAGAACAAGAGAAAATACTCCTTCGTTCATTTTATGAGGGCAACATTACCCTGAGACCAAAATGAAACAAAGATATTGTAAGAAAAAAAAACTACAGATCAATATCTCTCATGGACATATATGTAAAAATCTTCAACAAAATATTAGCTGGCCAGGCGCGGTGGCTCATGCCTACAATCCCAGCATTTTGGGAGACTGAGGCAGATGGATCACTTGAGGTCAGGAGTTCGAGAGCAGCCTGGCCAATGTGGTGAAACTCTGTCTCTACTAAAAATACAAAAATTAGCCAGGTGTGGTAGTGTGCACCTGTGGTCCCAGCTACTCGGGAGGCTGAGGCAGGAGAATTGCTTGAACCCAGGAGGCAGACGTTGCAGTGAGCCAAGATTGTGCCACTGCACTCCAGCCTGGGCAGCAGAGTGTGACTCCATCTCTAAATAAATAAATAAGCCGAGCTCAGTGGCTCAAGCCTGTAATCCCAGCACTTTGGGAGGCCAAGGCGGGTGGATCGCCTGAGGTCAGGAGTTTGAGATCAGCTTGACCAATATGGTGAAACCCTGTCTCTACTAAAAATATAAAAATTAGCCAGGCATGGGGGCATGCGCCTGTAGTCCCAGCTACTCAGGTGGCTGAGACAGGAAAATGCCTTGAACCTGGGAGGCAGAGGCTGCAGTGAGCCAAGATCGTGCCACTGCACTCCAGTCTGGGCGATAGGGTGTGACTGCATCTCAAAAAGAAAAAAATATTAGACAACTGAACTCAGGAATATATAACAAAAAAAAATGTATATGTTACAATCAGGTGGGATTTATCCTGACAATGCAAGGCTGGTTCAATATTCAAAAATCAATCACTTGGCCAGGTGCAGTGGCTCACACCTGTAATCCCAGCACTTTGGGAGGCCGAGGCGGGTGGATCACTTGAGGTCAGGAGTTCTAGACCAGCCTAATCAACATGGTGAAACCCTGTCTCTACTAAAAATACAAAAATTAGCTGGGCCGTGGTGGCGGGCACCTGTAATCCCAGCTACTCCAGAGGCTGAGGCAGAAGAATCGCTTGAACCCAGGAGCAGAGGTTGCAGTAAGCCAAGATCTCACTACTGCACTCCAGCCTGGGTGATAGAGCAAGACTCTGTCTCAAAAAAAAAAAAAAAAAAAGCAAATGCTCATATTGATTGATAAAGAAAAACCATTTGACAAAAATTCAAAATCCACTCACAATTAAAAAACAATACTCTTAGGCCAGGCTGGGTATCTCACGCCTATAATTCCAATGCCTTGGGAGGCTAAGTCAAGAGGTAGGTATTGCTTGAAGCCAGGAGTTCAAGACCAGCCTGGGCAACATAGTAAGACCCTGTCTCTACAAAAAAAACTTTTTTTTTTTTGAGATGGAGTCTCGCTCTGTCACCCAGACTGGAGTGCAGTGGCGCCATCTCAGCTCACTGCAACCTCTGCCTCCTGGGTTCAAGCAATTCTCTGCCTCAGCCTCCCGAGTAGCTGGGATTATAGGTGCCCGCCACCGCACCCGGCTAATTTTTTGTATTTTTAGTAGAGATGGGATTTCACCATATTGTCCAGGATGGTCTTGAACTCCTGACCTCATGATACATCTGCCACGGCCTCCCAAAGTGCTGGGAATACAGACATGAGCCACCACGCCCAGCCAAAAGTTTTTTTAATTTGTTGGGCATGGTGGTGCCTGTAGTCTCAGCTACTGGGGAGGCTGAAGTGGGGGAATCGCTTAAACCCAGGAGTGTGAGGTTACCGTGAGCCATGATCACACCACTGTACTCTGCCTGGATAAAAAAACAAGACCCTGTCTCTTAAAAAAAAAAAAAAAAAAAAAAAAAGCTGGGGAAGGTGGCTCATGCCTGTAATCCCAGCACTTTGAGTGGCTGAGGCTGGAGGATCATTTGAGGCCAGGAGTTCAAGATCAGCCTGGGCAACATGAAAAAACCCCATCTCTACTAAAAATACAAAAATTCCTGGGCGTGGTGGCACATGCCTGTAATCCCAGCTACTCAAGAGGCTGAGGCATGGGAATTGCTTGAATCCAGGAGGCAGAGGTTGCAGTGAGCTGAGATTGCACCATTGCACTCCAGCCTAAACGACAGAAGGAGACCCTGTCTAAAAAAAAAAAAAAGACAGTGAGTGTAGTACAGGTGAAATGACAGATAGCTAGGTCAATGGAACAGAATAGACAGTACAGAAATAGACCCATGCAAATATGGCAAATTGATTTTTGACCAAAGTGCAAAGACAACTGAATGGAGAAAGGACTCCTAGAACCGCCAGCATAGTCAGGACACAGAAGGACTGTATCACTCCGAAGGACCCCCTAGTACTATCCCTGTGTGGTCAGGCCTCTCAGCCCTAATGTTTGCACCCACTACCATCACTATAGTTCTATCTTTTAGGGAATATCACACAACTGGAATAATACAGTATGTGACTTATTGAGACAGGCTTTGTCCACTCCTAATGCCCTTGAGATGACTCCAATTTGTTCTGTGTATCAATAGTCCATTCCTTTTTCTTGCTGAATAGTAAATATGCCAATATATTAATGTGGTTTGTTTACTCAGTTACCCATTGAAAGACATTAGGGCTGTTTCCATTTTGGATCAACTATGAATAAAGCGGCTATAAACATTCATGTGGGCATATTCATCTCTCTAGGATAAATACCCTGAAGAGAGTTTTCTGGGTCATATGTAATTGTGTGCTTAATTTTAGAAAAAGTGCAAAATGTTTTCCAGGATGGCTGTACCATTTTGCATTCCCACCATCAATGGACAAGAGTTCTAATTGCTCTGCACCCTCTCGGCACTTCGGATTGTCAATATTTTTTATATTACCCATTCTAATGTGTGGATAGTGCAGCTCATCATGGTTTTAACTTGCATTTTCCGGCCAAGCGTGGTGGCTCACACCTGTAATCCCAGCACTTTGGGAGGCCAAGGTGGGCAGATCACGTGAGATCCTGAGTTCAAGACCAGCCTGGCCAGTATGGTGAAACCCCATCTCTACTAAAAATATAAAAATTGGCCGGGCATGGTGACACAAGTCTGTAATCCCAGCTACTCAGTAGGCTGAGGCAAGAGAATCACTTGAACCTGGGAGGTGTAGGTTGCAGTGAGCCAAGATCATGCCACCACACTCCAGCCTGGGTGACAGAGCAAGGCTCTGTCTCAAAAAAAAAAAAAAAAATTGCATCTTTCTGTTGTCTAATGATGTCAAACATCTATTCATGTGCTTATCTGCCATCTTTATATCCTCCTTGGTGCAGTGTCTGTTCATGTGGTTTTTTTTTTTTTAAGTGGGTTGTTGGTTTTCTTATTGTTGAGTTTGAAGGGTTCTTTATATATTCTGGATACAAGTCTTTTGCTGAATATGTGATTTGCAACTATTTTCTTTCAGTCCGTAGCTGGTTTTTTCGTTTTCTTAACCCTGTCTTTCATAGAACAAAAGTTTTTATTTATGATGAAGTCCAATTTATCAATTGTTCTCTTTTGTGACTCATTCTTTTGGGTGTCCAGTCTAAGAACTATTTGCCTAAACTGAGGTCATGAAGATTTTCCCCTACTTTTCTCTAAAGTTTTATTATTTTACATTGCTTTCCCTTTTGAGCTAATTTTTGTATAAGGTATGAGGTTTCGGTTGAAATTCTCTTTTTTGTGTATGAATGTTTATTGTTCAGACACCATTATTGGGTCTAGGAATCTATACATGTGTTAAAGCTCATAAAGCTGTACACCAACAAAATGGTCAATTTTATTTTATGTTACTTTAGTTATTTATTTATTTTATTTTATTTTATTTATTTATTTATTTATTTATTTATTTATTTATTGAGAGAGGGAGTCTCATTTTGTCACCCAGGCTGGAGTGCAGTGGCGTGATCTTGGCCTGCTGCAACCTCCACCTCCCAGGTTCAAGTAATCTCCTGTCTTAGCCTCCTGAATAGCTAGGACTACAGCTGTGTGTCACCACGCCGGGCTAATTTTGTATTTTTTTTAGTAGAGATGGGATTTCACCATGTTGGGCCAGGCTGGTCTCAAACTCCTGACCTCAGGTGATCTGCCTGCCTCAGCCTCCCAAAGCACTGGGATTACAGGCGTGAGCCGCCACACCCGGCCAACTTTATGTTACTTTAAAAAACATTTTTTTTTTTGAGACAGGATCTCAATCACCGAGGCTGGAATGCAGTGGCACAGTCATAGCTCACTGTAACCTTGAACTCGTGAGCTCAAACGATCTTCCCACCTCAGCCTTCCTAGTTGCTAGGCAAACAGGCATGCACCACTATACCCGGCTAATTTGTATTAGTATTTATTTTTGGTTTTGTTTTGTTTTTTTGAGACAGAGTCTCACTCTGTCGCTAGGCTGGGGTGCAGTGGCGTGATCTCGGTTCACCGCAACCTCCGCCTCCTGAGTTCAAGCGATTCTCCTGCCTCAGCCTCCCAGGTAGCTGGGACTACAGGCGTGCCACCAAGCCCACCTAATTTTTGTATTTTTAGTAGAGACGGTGTTTCACCATGTTGGCCAGGATGGTCTTGACCTCTTGACCTCGTGATCCGCCCGCCTCAGCCTCCCAAAGTGCCGGGATTACAGGCGTGAGCCACCGCACCCAGCCTATTTTTGTTGAGACACGATCTCACTATGTTGCCCAGGCTGGTCTCAAACTCCTGGCCTCAAGTGATCCTCCTGCTTCAGCCTCCCAAAGTGCTGGATTACAGATGTGGGCCACAGCACTCTGCCAAAAAAGTCATTTAAAAAAAAAAAGTTATTTCTAAAGTGCTTAGAACAGAACCTGAAAGTAAGTTTTTAAAAAGTGTTTGTCACTTAAAGATAAATTCCTGGCTTCCTAGGCAAGCCACCCTCCTACTGTAAGCACCCATGGGTGGCTACTGACAGATCAGGAGAGTCTCTGGGGTTTGTGCCTGGTGTGGGATCACATCCTAGGTCGTTGTGGAGGAAAAGTTAAATATTAAATCTGAACTCAATTGAACATGGACACAAACAATGGTCACCAAGTACCAGAAGGGGCTGTGTGAGCCCCTTGAGGCATTCATCCAGCGCTGTTTTGGAGAAATCTCTATTTCAATCTATTCCTATACGTTACTGAAAAACAAAGCTGGGCGTGGTTGCTCACGTCTGTAATCCCAGCACTTTGGGAGGCCAAGGTGGGTGGATCACCTGAAGTCCAGGAGTTCGAGATCAGCCTGGCCAACTTGGTGAAACCCCGTCTCTACTAAAAATACAAAAATTAGCCAGGCATGGTGGCGGCCACCTGTAATCCCAGCTGTTTGGGAGGCTGAGGCAGGAGAATCACTTGAACCGGGAAGGCAGAGATTGCAGTGAGCCAAGATCGTGCCTCTGCACTCCAGCCTGGGTGACAAAGCACGACTCCGTCTCAAAAAATAAATAAATAAGTATATAAGAAAAACAACAGACAATCGCAAAAACAAGTTGACCTTTTTGTGTTCCTTGAGCCTGGTCACGAAGGGCCTTCGTGCCTGGACCTCATGCCAAACAACTCGTTACAAAAGAGCTAGGGTCCTAGATTGTGCCAAAGCTTCATGAGACCTCTTCCTTGTCTGTGCACGGACAAGTGGCCGACTCTGGAGCCGACCCAGGCTGTTGCTTCCCAGTCTGGTGGTGAATCCTCCATAGTCTGGTGAGTATGAATATCTTTTCCCTTCTCCCCTTCCCATTGCAATTTGCTTATTATATCAATCTGCTTATTATTATATCATTTGCTTATTATATCTACATTGCCATTTACATGGGATAAAGGTTGTTTACCCTTAAAGGTATCGTGGGTGTGTCTTTTCTTCCCTCGCGCATTTCCCGCACATAACATTTGTGTCCCCGGATGCTACTGTGCAAGCAGAAGAGAAGCAACAGGCAGATTCAGACCGTCCTGCACAAACTGCCCCCTTTACTAGTAGAGGGTGGGGTGGAAGGGCAGGCAGTGGGGGATGGTTCTAGGTGAACACGCAGGCACCTTTGGAGGGAGGTGTCCCATGGTTGCTCAAAGCCCCACTCCAGAATCCGACAAAACCTGCTTCAAACCCTGTGTCAATTGTTCACCCAGTCTCTGTGGTGTGAGCAAATCATTTCATCTCTGAGCTTTGGTTTTGTCATCTGTGAAAAATAGGTCATAAAAGTGCCCGTAAAGGGTTAGGAGGATTGAATGAAATAATGGCTGTCAGAAGCTCAGGACTGTTGCCAGCTCAATGTAAGCACCCCATAACGTGCTACATTTTCTTGCTATTGTTTGCAATAAAGAGACTGGCAGGATGCGCCCTCAGTGTGAACAGTGGAGTTATCTTTTGTTGCGGGAATTCGGGTCCTAACATTGTATTCTAAAAATGTTCAGAGTTACAGCAAATTGAAAAAGGCTGTTCAGCAAGTGGTGCTGGTGAGGATTAGGATGCTTTTTCTTTCTTTTGGCTTAGCTATAGTTTATATTTTTCTACAGCAGACATATATTATTTCGATAATTAGAAATAAATATGGGGGGGAGGATAGGGAAAAAAAAGTTCAACAGAGTAGGACAAAGGACAGAGCCCTGTGGTGCAAAGCCGCCATCTCCCGCTTTCAGTCATGGATTGCCTTTAGAAGCAGCCTCTCATTTAATTAGAAATTCTTCCAGCCGTTGAGCCATTTCGCCCACACATCACCCCATGTCTGCAGGATGTCAGGAGAGATTGTGCTGTGTGCCTTGCTGAAGTCCAGACATGAGGAGTTGCGGCACTCCTATCCCCGACCAAATAATTCCATCAACGGGGAAAATCAGATCAACCCAGAACCATCTGTTCTTAATGGTTTCTGAACATGTCTTTCCTTTCCACATACTTACAAACCTAGGGGTGGTGGAAAGGGTATGGATTCCGGAGTCAGATGTTCTGGGTTTGAATCCCACTCGCATTTCTTAGCTGTGTGACTTTGAGAGAGTTTGCTTGGCCTCTCTGAGCCTCACTGTAAAAAGAGAATAGTAAAGCTCGTGTCACAGGCTTCTTTTGGCAATTAAACAGTGGGTAGGCTGAGCACAGTGGCTCTTACCTGTAATCCTAGCACTTTGAGAGGCCAAGTTGGGCGGATTGCTTGAGCCCAGGAGTTCAAGAGCAGCCTGGGCAACATAGCGAAATCTTGTCCTACTAAAAATAAAAATAAAATAAAATAAAATAGCTGAGTATTGTAGCACGTGCCTGTTGTCCCAGCTACTTAGGAGGCTGAGGCGGGACAATCACCTGAGCCCAGAAAGTCAAGGCTGCAGTGAGCCGAGATCATACCACTGCACTCCAGCCTGGGTGACAGGAGTAAGACCCTGAAAAAAAAAAATATATATATATATATATATACACACACACACACATATATATATACACACATATATACACGTGTACATACACGTGTCTACGTACGTGTACATACACGTGTCTACGTACGTGTACATACACGTGTCTACGTACGTGTACATACACGTGTCTACGTACGTGTACATACACGTGTCTACGTACGTGTACATACACGTGTCTACGTACGTGTACATACACGTGTCTACGTACGTGTACATACACGTGTCTACGTACGTGTACATACACGTGTCTACGTACGTGTACATACACGTGTATACGTGTATAAGCGTATACATGTATATGTATAATACGTATACATGTATACGCGTATGTACATGTATACATGAATATGCATATATACGTGTATACATGTATACGTATATATGTATACATATATGTATATATACATATGTATACATGCATGCATATATGTATATATACGTATATGTATACATATATACATATACGTATATGTATACATATATACATATGCGTATATATACACATATGTATACATGTATACATGTACGTATATATACGCATATGTATACATGTATACATATACGTATATACACATATACATGTATACATATACGTATATACACATATACATGTATACATATACGTATATACACATACATGTATACATATACGTATATACATATTCATGTATACATATACATATATACACATATACATGTATACATATACATATATATACACACACACACATATATATATATGCCAGCCACGTGTGGTGGCTCACGTCTGTAATCCCAGCACTTTGGGAGGCTGAGGCGGGTGGATCACCTGAGGTCAGGAGTTCAAGACCAGCCTGGCCAACATGGTGAAACCCCATCTCTACTAAAAATACAAAAATTAGCTGGGCGTGGTGGCGCATGCCTGTAGTCCCAGCTACTCAGGAGGCTGAGGCAGGAGAATCACTTGAACCCGGGAGGTCAAGTTTGCAGTGAGCCAAGATCACGCCACTGCACTCCAGCCTCAGTGACACAGCGAGACTCTGTCTCAAACCAAAAACATAAAAACAAAAACAAAAACCAACCAGTGACTATCTCTATATGTTTCTCTACCCCCTACCAAAATGTGGTTTCCTCAAGGACAAGGCAGGGGCTTCTGATCTTTGTGCACCAGTGCCTGGCACAGAAGGGGACCATCACTCCACCTCACCCCACCCTACCCGATACACATCCCTTCTTCTTGCTCATGTCTCTGCCACCGGCCTCTACCCACATTTCTCCACAATTCTCACCAACTCCCTCTCCATATATGCTTCTCCCCAGTGTTTACCTCCACCCTCTCATGTCCCCCCACCCTGCCTTCCTGGCCTAGAGTGACAGGCCCCATCCTTCATCCCCCATTCTGTGTCTCCAGTGGCCTTGAGCTGCTGTGCAGCCCATGGCCTTCAGCGGGGCAGGGAGAGGGAGGGGGAGAGGGAGGCAGGGATGGCAATTCATTTACCCAGGCACTTGTTAGCAGCTTCATTAGTTCCAAGGGCTCTGCAGAAAGCCATTAGCTGCGACTTAGTCTGTGCCATCTATCAGAGAGGAGGGTGGAAGGTGACAGCAGAGAGAGAAGAAAACAAGAATTGACCCACTCCCACCTTTCCGCCACCTCCCAGGGAGAACAAGGCCCAAGTCAGTGACCTGGAAACTAGAGTTCCAGGGGCCACTCCTGGACGCCCCTTGCACCAGGACTCATGCAAGGAGTCCTGCCCCAGCTGGGAACACGCTGCAGGTGTTCCGGCACCTGCCCGCCCAACACTGGCACTGCTGACCTGCAGTTCCTTGGCAGGTGCACCCCCGACTCTCCCTGCTCCATGCCCCTTTGTCCCTCTGTCCACTTTCTCCTGCTTACCTTCACCCTACTCTGTGTCCTCAGCCCAGTTCTGGGGTCCCTTGAAACTGCAGCACCATCTCAGAGCCACCTATGCCACTGCCACAGGGGTCTTCCCACTTAGAGTCCCCACTTTGGAGTTGGGGCCATTCAGGAAAACCTCCTGAAACTGCTGTCCCAGAGCCTGGGGCTCCTAAAACCACTGCTGAGATGGAGATTTCCTCTAGAACAAGGATTCTTAAACGGGGTTCCTCAGTGAGCCTCAGGGGCCTGTGAACCCCTTGAGGTTGCATAGTAAAACATGTATCAAAGTGAATCTTGGCCGGGCACGGTGGCTCACACCTGTAATCCCAGCATCTTGGGAGGCTGAGGCAGGCGGATTGCTTGAGCCCAGGAGTTCAAGACCAGCCTGGGCAACAGGGGGAGGCCCGTTTCTACAAAAAAACAAATTAGCCAGGCATGGTGGCACGCACCTGTAATCTACACTACTTGGGAGGCTGAGGTGGGAGGATCACTTGAGCCCAGGAGGTCAAGGCTGCAGTGAGCCATGATTATGCCACCAGACATAAGGGTGACAGAGCAAGACCCTGAAAGAAAGAAGAAAGGAAAGAAGGAAAGAAAGAGAGAGAAAGAAAGAAGAAAGGAAAGAAGGAAAGAAAGAGAAAGAAAGAGAGAGAGAGAGAAGGAAGGAAGGAAGAAGGATGGAAGGAAGGAAGGAAGGAAGGGAAGGGAAGAAAAGGAAAGGAAGGAAAAGAGAGAGAAGTGAACTGTATTTTGGCTGGGTATGATAGCTCACACCTGTAACCCCAGCACTTTGGGAGGCTAAGACAGGAGGATCGTTTGAGCCCAGGAGTTAAAGACCAGTCTGGACAATGTAGCGAGACTCTGTTCTCTAAGAAAAGAAAAGAAAGTGTATCTTTCTGGGGAAAAGCATCTTTCATGGCTTCCATCAGTATTTAAAGACCCCCCTTGCCAGCCTCTCTCCCAGATCATATCTCCTGCAGGCAAGGCTCAGTGTAATTCCCAAAACAGGCTATTACACCCCCACCCCAGTTTGGGTCTGTACCTCAGACAGAAAAGCAAGGAACTTCTCTATAGGACTTGCCACTTGTAAATCACAGTCACATCCATTTTTAAAATGTAATCTTTGCACCAACACTAAAGGTAGACAGGAATTGCTATTTGTAGAGGTCACCTCCCACTCCCACCCCTTGGCTGGGTTGGGGCCCCTCCCTGTGCTCCCAGCAGCATAGCCCTCCATACTCTGCATCAGAAGGGCCAAGGCATTGGTCGGTCTAACCCTTAAACTGTGGGCACCCCCTGTAAAGTGCCCTTATCCATAAAGGTCTGTTTTTCTTCTGCCCCTTCCTCTTTCCTGTCTGCTGGAATAAATCTCTAATGGCTGGAGCTGAAGCAGTCATTTTGGGCCATGCGATGAGTGTCGCACCTTAGGGAGCCAAAGTGAAAAGCTGGAAGGATCTCTGAACCACCAAAAGGCCTCTAGGCTTTTTACACGAGGGAAAAAAACTTGATGTGTTTCCAGCAGTTGTTCTCAAAGGGTGATTTCCAGATTGGCAGCAGCAGCAGCAGCATCACTTGGCGGCTAATTAGAAACACGCATTTTCAGGCCCCATCCCGAACCTACTGAGTCAGAAGCCCTGGGCATGGGCCCCAGCAGTTGGAGTCTTATTAAGCCCTCCAAGTGATTCTGCTGCACACTTAAATTTGAGAATCCCTGATTTAAGTCCTTGTTATTTTGAAATTTCTCTTCACTCACAGCTGAGCCTAATCTCAAACCGATAAAACATCAGGGAAGGCAGGGCTTCTAGACAATGGCTGCACCTGCCTATACAGCAGTTTTGTGGGAAAAAAATTTAAAGGACTTCTTTAACAAAAACATGCTTATGGATGACATAGTGAGACCTCTTCTCTAATAAAGATGAAAAAAAAAAAAGCTGTAGTCCCAGCTACTCAGGAGACTGAGACAGGAGGGTCACTTAATGCTGGGAGATGAAGGCTATGGTGAGCTATGATGGCACCGCTGCACTCCAGCCTGGGTGACAGCAAGACTCTGTCTCAAACAACAGAAAAAAAAATTTATATATATAATTGCATATCCTGCGCAATCAGAAGCAGACCAGCGGTGGGGGGAGAAATGGGTGTGGGGGTAGCTAGGTGAGGCCCAGGAATAGAAGAGGGGGAAGAGTAGGGGAGGGAACAACAGGGCCAAGAGAGTTTAATCAGTGACACACAGCTTCAATTTACCCAAACGCTAGCTCCATAAATGTCAAAACACATTTTCAACTTTTTATTGAAGACTAGCACACCTAAAGTGCACAGATTGTAAATGTTCAGCTCAATGGATTTTCACAAACAAAGCGCATCAATGCAACCAGCACCCAGCTTAAGAAACAGAACATTACAAGCCCCTAGGAAGTCCTCCCAGTGTCCCCTACCTTTCTATCCCTTCCCTGCTGAGGATAACCATTTTTCCTCATTTCTAACACATAAGTTATGTGGAATCAGATAGTATTCTTTTTTCTTTCTTTCCCCTCCACCTTTTTTTTTTTTTTTTTTTTTTTCTGAGACAGAGTCTCACTCTGTTGCCCAGGCTGGAGTGCAATGGCACAATCTCAGCTCACTGCAATCTCCACCTCCGGAGTTTAAGCAATTCTCTTGCCTCTGCCTCCCGAGTAGCTGGGATTACAGGCATGCGCCACCATGCCCGGCTAATTTTTGTATTTTTAGTAGAGATGGGGTTTCACCATGTTGGCCAGGCTGGTCTCAAACTCCTGACCTCAGGTGATACGCCCGCCTCGGCCTCCCAAAGTGCTGGGATTACAGGAGTGAGCCACCATGCCTGGACTTTTTGTTTTGTTTTGTTTTGTTTTTTTTGAGACAGGGTCTCACTCTGTCACCCAGGCTGGAGCGTAGTAGCGCAATCTCGGCTCACTGCAACCTCTGCCTCCTGCGTTCAAGCAATTCTCTGCCTTAGCCTCCGGAGTAGCTGGGATTACAGGTGCCCACCACCACACTCAGCTAATTTTTGTATTTTTAATAGAAACAGGGTTTCACCATGTTGGCCAGGCTGTTCTTGAACTCCTGACCTCTTGATCCACCCTCCTCTGCCTCCCAAAGTGCTGGGATTACAGGTGTGAGCCACCGCACCTGGCCACATAGTATTCTTTTAGGTTCAGTTTCTTCTGCTCAATATTATGTTTGTGAAATAAATTCATCCGTGTTGTTGTGTGTACAGTTTGTTCATTCTTATCTCTATGTAATATTCTGTGGTGTGAACATATCATTATTTATTTATTTGTTGTAGTATTTACAGGCATTTGGATAGTTTCAGGTTTGGAACTATTATGATTACTGTGGCTACGAGCATTTCTTTTTTAAGCTTGCCCATCTGAGACAGCAGAACTTTTTTTTTTCTTTTTTTTTTTAGTACAGATAAGGTCTTGCTATTGCTATGTTGCCCAGGCTGGTCTCAGACTCCTTGCCTCAAGCAATCCTCCTGCCTCAGCCTCCAAAAGTGCTGAGATTACAAGCATGAGACCATGCCTGGCCGAGCAGAACATTCTTGGAAGTGTCTTTTGGTGAACATATATACACACGTCTGTTGAGTATATACACCTAGGAGTTGAATTGCTGGGTTATAGGGTGTGTATGTGTTGCACTTTAGCAGATATGGCCAATTTCCTGAAGTGGTTGTACCAATGTACACTCCCATCAACACAGTATGAGACCTGGTTATACCATATCCTCACCAATACTTGGCATCATGTTTGTCTTTTCATTTTAGTCATTCTGGTGGATGGGTGGTGGTATCTCACTGTGGCTTTAATTTGCATTTTCCTGATGATTGATTAAAAGAGCATCTTTTCATGGTTTTGTTTGTTTGTTTTTTTTTTGACAGTCTCACTCTGTCGCCCAGGCTGGAGTGTAATGGCGTGATCTCAGCTCACTGCAACCTCTGCCTCCCAGGTTCAAGCAATTCTCCTACCTCAGCCTTCCAAGTAGCTGGGATTACAGGTGCACGCCACCATGCCCAGCTAATTTTTGTATTTTTAGTAGAGACGGGGTTTCACCATGTTGGCCAGGTTGGTCTCGAACTCCTGACCTCGTGATCCGCCCACCTCGGCCTCCGAAAGTGCTGGCATTACAGGCATGAGCCACCATGCTGGGCCCTTTTCATGTTTATTAACCATTTGGTTATCCTCTGTTGTGAATTGTCTGACCAAGCCTTTTGCCCATTTTTCTTTTGAATTGTCCACCTTTTCTTTTTAATTTGTAAACATTCTATTTATTTTTTGGAAATAAGTCCCTTACAAATATCTTCTCCCATCCTGTAGCGTGCCTTTCCATTCTCTTAATGGTATGATCAATATAGTCCAATGTATCACTTTCCATAAACATTTTAAATCAGTAGCCAGAATATATGCATCCTCCTAGCAATTAGATCAAATTGCCTCTTCATGGACAACTTCTTAGCTCTGCGCAGCTCTGCCCAGGGGAGCTCTCCAGAGCCCTGCCTACCTGCATATTAGACCCACACTCTCACCCATACACATCACCCCCCAACTCTGAATGACAGGTCAGTACCAGCTAGTAAGCACCCCCATTTCAGAGTGGATGGATTGGGAATCCCATCTCTGAGAGTGTCAGGCCGGCAGGAGAAGCCACCTCAGAAGTCTGGAGTGAGGCTAGGATGGGGCAAAAACACTTGTATATGTGTGAGTCAGTGAGTGTGCTTCCTCATGCATGGCCCTGAATGCCTGTGTGCATTTTTGTAAGAGGAGTCTCCTCTACTGATTGAGGAAGGACAGTACACACTCATGTACGCCACTTAACTACAGTGTGAACCATGCCCCTAGATGTGATGCTCTTGTGCAGTGCACAAACTGAACACTTGTACTTGGTAGGCTTGCTTACAGGCAGAGTCAGGCAAAAGCCAGAGAAGGGTTTAGCTAAGGTTGTGGTAGAAGCAGGGGGACTAGCAGGGGCTGGGGGGAAAGCAGGTTAAGGCACGTGGAAGGAACAGTCGTGACTGGACAGAACCCAACAGGACTGGACAAAATCTTTCAAGCTCATGAAATGTCATCAAGACTTGTGCCTGAAGATGGGTCAGGCTGGATTCTGTGCTCAACTGGCTGCCTGAGCCTGATGCCTGTGTTCAGTCTGTGTTCAACGGGCTGCTCCAGGCTGGGGACAGCTGCTCATTTTGTCCTGGATAAGAGGGTTTCTTCTTCAGATGACCTTTGGTAAGGGGTGTTCTAAGGAGAAGGAGGAAAGTGGTGGCCCCAAGTCTGTAGCCTCCAGCAGCCAATTGGGGTGCCAAAGGCAGCTGGAGGCCGGGCGTGGTGGTTCATGCTTGTAATCCCAACACTTTGGGAGGCCAAGGTGGGCGAATCACCTGAGATTGGGAGTTCAAGACCAGCCTGGCCAACATGGTGAAACCCCGTCTCTACTAAAAATATAAAAATGAGCCGGGTGTGGTGGTGCACGCTTGTAATCCCAGCTACTTGGGTGGCTGAG
Source organism: Homo sapiens (assembly GCF_000001405.40). NCBI lineage: Eukaryota > Metazoa > Chordata > Mammalia > Primates > Hominidae > Homo > Homo sapiens. The sequence continues at coordinate 43,983,136 of NC_000017.11, forward strand.
GCAGGAGAATTGCTTGAACCCAGGAGGCAGAGGTTGCAGTGGGCCAAGGTCACGCCATTGCACTCCAGCCTGGGTGACAGCGAGATGCTGTCTTAAAACAAACAAACAAAAAACAACAACAACAACAACAACAAAAACGCAGCTGGAGTAGGAGACAGGGACAAGGAGGGTTTTGGGGGTGGAGCTGATGCCCTGAGATAAGGGAAGCAGTAAAGGGGTGCTGGGTGGCCCTCCAGTGGCTCTCCTACCGCGGGCCCTACCTGATGGAGCCCCAGCTCTGGGGCCTGCTCAGTGCCCCAAAGACCCAGTCCTGCTGAGAACGGGAAGCTGGAGCCTCTTCTGGGAACTCAGGGATCTGGGTGCCTGTTCCCAAGGGGAGAATGAGAACTGTTAGGCAGCAGCCTGGCTACAGGGGGCACTGCAGGGATGAGGACCATGCCCTGGGGGCTCCCTCAAGGACCCCAAGCACACGTGTCATAGGCATAGCCCCTCAGATACCACTAGCTCACCCACTGCCCTCATTCAACAAGCTCAGACACCCAACGCTCCCCGGGGCCGGGTCTTAGGCGCACATTGGCTCGCGGTGCACGTCCACTCTCCTGTAGGCTCGTGCCCTTGACATATCCGGGGCTGTCACAGTCCCATGCCCCGACCCCGACCCCGCGCGAGTCTGCTTGATGACGTCGCTGTCGCACCCCACCGGCCTCCCCGGGTCCTCCCCAGGCGCGCGCAGGGGCCGCGTGTCCGGTGCCGGCCGGGCTGAGTGTTCCGAGGCGAGCGGCTGCTGTTTGCGCAGCTAAGTGGCGTCTGTGTACCCAGCGGGGCGCAGCGGTCGCGCGCTTATCTCCCGCAAACACCGCGCCCGGATCCGCCGGAACCACGGCCGCGCCGCCCCATTTGCACGCCCCGGCCGCCGGAGGCCCTTATCGCCCGCGTTTATCGGGCCATCGCTGATAAGAAACCGAGGGGGCGGCGGGGCGGCCCCTCTCCTTGGATCCAAGAAGCGATGGGGTCGCTGTTAGGGGGGGCGCCAGCCCCGGGGATGCGGGGAGCCTTCGCAGCCTCCGGGTCAGCCCTGCTCCTTTCCCCTCTGCGCGGCCGGGATGTGGCCTCGGCCTGGCCGAACCCGGTGCCCTGTCGGTCCTGGCCTCCTTTTCCTTGTGGCCCTCTACACAGCCAGGGCCCCACCTCTTGACCTGGATTCACAGCAGGTGGGAGCAGGAGGCTCCTCGGGAATTCCTAAACACAGCTACCATCGACACCACCCATAATAACCAATAATTATAATAATATCTAACTGAACTGGGGCGCGGGCCTGCCTGAGAAGCATGACTGCCATCTGCTTTCATTTTCCCAACTATTCCGTGAGGGACGCACTGTTTCCCCCATTTCGCAGAGGTGGAAACCGCTTACTTAGAGAGGCTGGAAACCTTAGGGCTTGCAGCTGGCCAGTGGCCGGGTAGGGATTTGAAACTGGGTCTGTCTGAACCCAGAGTCTGCACTTGCCTCCTAAGACACCAGCGTGTTAGCCCCACCTCCTCCTTTACAGGCGAATAAAGGGACGCAGCCTGGAAGGCCCATACCAGGCAGTCCTCTGCACTGCCACATCTATGCCCTGCCCAATGCATCTGGGTGTCAGGCACCAGTCAGCTCTGAGGTTATTGAAATTGATCATCTAAATCTACACCAGGGCTTGAGCGGCTGATTAAATCTCGATTTTGCTCTTAATTAAATCCTGCCTGGTTGTATGAGATGGTGGAACTGGGCATGACTTTGTCTGTTTCTCTTCTAAAGTTGTAGAAAAGTTGTTATATAACTTTTATAATGAAAAAGGAAAGGCTCTTCTAAATATACAAACAAAAGAAATATAAAGGAAAGGTTTATAAATTTGACGACATTAAAATGTAATAGTTCTCTGTATAATAAAAAACTAAATTAAAAGGCAACTCTCAAAATTAAGAAAACATATTCACAACGTATACAACCAAAGAAGCACTAAGATCTGGAATACATGAAGAGTACCTACAAGTAATGAGAAAATGACAGAGACTCCCACTTGTTTTCATTTTTTATTTTTTTATTTATAAATACATGAAACAAGATCTTGCTCTGTCACCCAAGCTGAAGTGCAGTGGCGTGATCATAGCTCATTGCAACCTCAATTTCCTAGGCTCAAGCAATCCTCCCACCTCAGCCTCCTGAGTAGCTGGGACTACAGGTGCATACCACCCCACCCAGCTATTTTTTAATTTTTGTAGATACGGGGTCTCACTATACTCATAGACCAGGCTGGTCTGGAACTCTTGTCCTCAAGAGATCCTCGGCCTCAGCCTCCCAAAGTGTAGCCACAGAGATGTTTTTAAATGACAATGTCCAAGGCTGCCTGGGCCATGGCAAGTTCCCTCACAACACAGTAACACCCTCACTGGTGAGACTGTAACAGGCCTCACAGGAGGCTGGGTTAGGGTAAATGTACCTATCCTTCAATCCAAGGCTTCCATGTTTGTGAATGTAACCAATGGATATATCCAGAGATAGCACAAGGCTATTCATCAATGTGATGAACAGTAGCACACACACAAAATAGGAAACAGCACAAATTTCCAAATTTGTTCCATGAACAAATTATAGTATAAATGAGGTGTAATATTCCAATGGAATCATTAAAAATCATGTTTTGGAAAAATGTTAAATGACATGGAAATATTTATGAAATATGATTTTATGGGGGAAAGCAGAATACAAAAAAATACCTATATATAATAATTCCAATTTCGTAAAATATATGTCTATACACAGGAAGAAAAGTCTGTAGAGGTATTCTATATATGAAAATGTTGGCCAGGCGCGGTGGCTCACGCCTGTAATCCCAGCACTTTGGGAGGCTGAAGTGGGCGGATCACCTGAGGTCAGGATTTTAAGACTACTAGCCTGACCAACATGGTGAAACCCCGTCTCTACTATAAATACCAAATTAGTCGGATGTAGTGGTGCATGCCTGTAATCCCAGCTACCTGGGAGGCTGAGGCAGGAGAATTGCTTAAACCCGGGAGGCGGGGGTTGCAGTGAGCCGAGATCATGCCATTCATTGCACTCCAGCCTGGGCAACAAGAGCAAAACTCTGTCTCAAAAAAAAAGAAAAGAAAAGAGAGAGAGGGTGAGCGTCTAGGTCTTTCTTTCCTGAACACGTCGTGCCCATATGCCTGTTCAAGACAGATGGCATGGAGTGTGCCTGAGAGGTCAATGCCTGTTGCTCTCCATGGTTCACCCCAAGACTGGGTCATGTGGCTTCCTGTGCACCCCAAGACTGGGTCATGTGGCTTCCTGTGCACCCCAAGGTTCTGTAGCCTTGCAGCTTAAAGGAAAGGAGTTTGAATATTGTGGCACCAGACAAGCCTGAACTGAAATTCCAGCTCTACAGCCCACTGATTTTCAGCAAGCCACTTTGCCTTCCCAAGCCCTGGTTTCCTCATCTGTAAATGGAAAGAACAATAATAGCCTTGCAAGGTCATGTAAGGACCACAGATATTGGGGAAAAAAACACAGAGCAGGGGTTCATTATACCCTTCCCAGGGCTGCTGTCTGCCTCAGGACTCAGAAACCAGGAGCCACCGTCAGCGCAGCCTGCGTGTTCCTGCCCTCTGCCCACATACCTGCTGACACGTGGATTCTCAACACCAGCTGTCACAAACTATTTTTGGGATCCCAACTCTAACTATCATCCCAGTTTTGTTGCATGATAAGCACACTGCTAAGCATTTTACATTTAATCCCACAGCAATCCTATGAGGTTCACATTATTAGCTCCACATTACTCATAGGGAAACTGAGGCTCAGAGAGATTATGCGACCTGCCCAAGTTCCTACAGCAAGTCAACGGCAACACCAGGGCTCAGCTCAGGCCGGTCTGGCCCTGGCCTCATGAAGCCAGATGCTAACACATTCCTCGGGCCCCTGTGTCCACCCCTCCTCTGGTGGTCAGCACAGACATGGTGACCGTGGCCCTGAAACCATGTCTCTATTACCAATATCATCAGACTGGGCAGAGCTCTCCCCTCCCTTGCCCTTATTAATTGCACCTGGAGACTCCTGAGAAAATGGGGCTTCCCTCCCTCCCCGCCGCTGCTCTCTGACTTAATTACTTCTCCTCCTGGCTGTAATGAATGTTTCTGAGCCCCTGAGACTGAGCTTCATCAGAAGCAGCTGCCTCCAGGACTCTAGCCCTGTCTCCCCAGCCCTATTCCTCTGGGCCCAGCCCATCGCCTCTACCCTGGGACTTCAGCTACAAAAGGCATCTGGGCAGGGGAGACTCCCAGCCTCTCAGCCTCCCTGCTACTGATGGAATTCAGCTCGAAGATCAGACCTTGAGAGGTCGACCCATACTGGGGGTTCTGAATCCTCAGTCCCCCATCCAGCAATCTGTCTCCAGGTCTTGGAGCAGACAGCTCAGAATGACCACTCTTCCCAGCTTCCCACATGCCACACCCCTGTGGGGCTGGCATGAAGAGGCCATTTCTTCCCTTTGTTCATCCAACCAACATTCACTGGGCCCCTCGTCTGTGCCAGTCCTTGCTCCAGGCACTGAGAGGAGGCCAGTGCCTGTTGTTCTGAGCAAAACAGACATGGCATGTGCCCTCTAAGAGCTTACAGTCCAGCAGGGAACACAGCCCAAAACAAACAGATGAACAGAGAACTAAAATTAGCAATAGGGAGGGAGGAAGGGGGCAAGGATGGAGAACGAGTGCTTCGGTAGCAGGGAGGGGCAGAGAGCGGTGGGACATATGCCTCCATCTGTCCTGTCCAGTCCCCACGCCGGAAGTCCTCACAGCAGTCTGCTCTGCATCCCTCCTAATTCAGACCAACATGGTCTACTGGACCATCACCTCCAATCACCCAGGGCCACAGCCACACGCCATCCCACTCATCCATCACTGAAATGACCACAGGGAGAGGAGAAGGTGACCCGTGGGAGCCCCAGAGCCACCAAGTCAGGAGGAAGGGCAGCAGAATGAAGACATTTCCTCCTGTTTCTGCCTCTTCATCCTTCCACCAGGGTCTCATCCCACTGCCAATCATCAAAATAATTTCCAGGTAGATTAAAGAGTTAAATATAAAAATAAATTGAACTGTGGAAAACAGGACGAAATGGAATCATCAGACCTCTTGCGGAAAGGGAGCTTTACGAGCGTAAAAGCTCTGGAAGAAATCACAAAAAGAAAGGTCAACAGCCTTGCCCGCACAAGCGTTAAATGGTGTGCATGTCATAAAAGCGTAACTGAAATCACAGATCAGACCACCTCGCTTTGCCAGGCTAACTTTAATTTATCCTCAATTCAGCTCCCCGGGGAAGCTTCCCTGACCACTTCACCTGCCCTGGGTTGACTGCCACCCTGAGCACTCCAGGGCACTCAATCCTCTCTCAGAGCGGAGTTGAAACCATGTTGTGATGATTTCTGTATATTTCCATCCCCATGGACCATGGGCACCTTGACATTTTATTGTTTTGATAATCTCCATGGCCAGCACACAGAGATATTTAACACAAAGTAGAACTCAATAACATCTTTTTTTCTTTTTAGTGGATATTTTCTGGTTCTCTAGCTTTTTTTTTTCTTTTTCTTCTTTCTTTCTGTCTTTTTTTTTTTGAGACGGAGTATCACTCTGTCACCCAGGCTGGAGTGCAATGGCAAAATCTCGGCTCATTGCAACCTCCACCTCCTGGGTTCAAGTGATTCTCCCACCTCAGCCTCCGGAATAGCTGGGATTACAGGCATGCACCAACACACCGGCTAATGTTTGTATTTTCAGTAGAGACAGGGTTTCGCCATGTTGGCCAGGCTGGTCTTGAACTCCTGACCTCAAGTGATCTGCCCGCCTCAGCCTCCCAAAGTGCTGAGATTACAAGTGTGAGCCACCGCACCCGGCCCTAGCATTTTAATTGTAAAAAACACATAACAGGCTGGGCGCGGTGGCTCACGCCTGTAATCCCAAGACTTCGGGAGGCCAAGGCGGGCGGATCACGAGGTCAGGAGATCAAGACCATCCTGGCTAACACGGTGAAACCCCGTCTCTGCTAAAAATACAAAAAATTAGCCGGGCGTGGTGGCGGGCGCCTGTAGTCCCAGCTACTCGGGAGGCTGAGGCAGGAGAATGGTGTGAACCCAGGAGGCAGAGCTTGCAGTGAGCTGAGATCATGCCACTGCACTCCAGCCTGGGTGACAGAGCAAGACTCCGTCTCAAAAACAAACAAACAAACAAACAAAAAACACACATAACATAAAATTTGCCATCTTAATTTTTGGAGGAACTGCCATACTGCTTCCATAGCAGCCACACCATTTCACATTCCCACCCAGAGTACACTAGGATTCCAGTTTCTCCACATCCTCACAACACTTGTTGTTAGCCATCCTGATGTGTGTGAAGCAGTTTTGATTTGCATTTCTCAATAACTGTTTTTTAAATGAAGGAATCAATAGACTAAGAAAAATTCAGATGGCAAATATGACAAAGGGTTAATACAAGGCCAGCATGGTGGCTCCACACCTATAATCCCAGCACTTTGGGAGGCTGAGGTGAGAGGATCCTTTGAGCTCAGGAGTTTGAGGCTGCAGTGAGCTATGATCACACCACCGCACTCCAGCCTGGGAGACAGACCAAGAGGCTGTCTCTTTAAAAAAAAAAAAAAAAAAAAAAAAAAAAAAAAAAATATATATATATATATATATATATATATATATATATATATATATATATATATATATACACACAAATCTATAAGTAAGACATTAGGCTCCCCCAAAGGTAAATGGACATGAACAGACAAGTCCACTAGCAAGGAACCATACCAACATTGGCAACTAAAAAAGGCAAAATGGGATGCCATGTTTTACCTGGTAAGATTTCCAAAATAAATTAATCAAGCTCACAGATGGCAAGAATACAGGAAAACGGGCACACTGGCTGGCTCGTGGCTGGTGAGAGTGTACACTGGCACAACTCTTTGAAAAGCAGCTTCTCGACGGGGCGAGGTGGCTCACACCTGTAATCCCAGCACTTTGGGAGGCTGAGGCGGGCAGATCACTTGAGGTCAGGAGTTCGAGACCAGCCTGGCCAACATGGTGAAACCCTGTCTCTACTAAAAATACAAAAAATTAGCCAGGCACAGTGGCACACACCTGTAATCTCAGCTACTCGGGAGGCTAAGGCATGAGAATTGCTTGAAGCCAGGAGGTGGAGGTTGTAGTGAGCCGAGATCGCACCATTGCACTCCAGCCTGGGTGACAGAGCGAGACTCCATCTCAAAAAAAAAAAAAAAAAAGAAAGAAAGAAAAGCAACTTCTCAAGACTCAAGAGCATTAAAAATATTCATGCACTCTAACCCAGAAATTCAGCTTCTGGGCACTTGCTGAAATATTACTTCTAATGGCAAAAACCGCAATTACTTTTGCACCAACCTAATACATGCAATCGGGAGATACAAGGCACAAAATGTACACCACAGTTCATTTATAATAGCAAAAACTTGGAAGCATCATAAATCTCTAATAACAGCATATTTGATATAAAATTATGAAACATTCCTACAATGTAACACTATGCAGTCACCTAAAAGATGATTACGAAATTTATGATATGAGAAACTAGGATTTAATGTTGTTTTTTTTTTTTTTTTTTGAGACAGAGTCTTGCTCTGTCACCCAGGCTGGATGCAATGACTCGATCTCGGCTCACTGCAAGCTTCGCCTCCCGGGTTCACGCCATTCTCCTGCCTCAGTATCTCCGAGTAGCTGGGACTACAGGCGCCCGCCACCACGCCCGGCTAATTTTTTGTATTTTTTAGTAGAGACAGGGTTTCACCATGGTCTCGAACTCCTCACCTCATGATCCGCCCGCCTCGGCCTCCCAAAGTGCTGGGATTACAAGCGTGAGCCACCGCGCCCGGCCTAGGATTTAATGTTATGCGGGAAAGACAGGATACAAAATGTCACCTGCAATAAGATCTCAACTGGGGCCAGGCACAGTGGCTCATGCCTGTAATTCCAGCACTTTGGGAGGCTGAGGCAGGTAGATCACCTGAGGTCAGGAGTTCGAGACTACCCTGGCCAACATGGTGAAACCCTGTCTCTGCTAATAATACAAAAAATTAGCCAGGCATTGTGGCAGGCACCTGTAATCCCACCTATTTGGGAAGCTGAGGCAGGAGAAACACTTGAACCCAGGAGGGAGAGGTTGCAGTGAGCTGAGATCTTGTCATTGCACTCCAGCCTGGGCAAAAAGAGTGAAATTCCATCTCAAATAAATAAATAAATAAGATCTCAACTGGGAAAAGAAATAAGGGTAGTAAGTCTATGTAAAACTATATGGTCAGGCTGGTGGATGCTGCCTCTGGCAGATGGGCTGTAGCAAATGCTTTTTTTCTTCCTTTTGCTTCTCCATGCTTCCTCTCCCCACAACATACGTCTTCCTGAACCAGTAATGTCATTAAAATATCTTGTGTAGCCTGGGCAACATGGTGAAACTCCATCTCTACAAAAAATTGGCTGGGCGTGGTGGCCCATGCCCATAGTCCCAGCTACCTGGGAGGCTGAGGCTGGAGGATCACTAAGCCTGGTGGTCGAGGCTGCAGCGAGCTGTGATTGTGCTACTGCACTCTAGCCTGGGCAACACAGTGAGGCCTTGTCTCAAAAGAAAAAAAAAAAAGGCCGGGCGCGGTGGCTCACGCCTGTAATCCCAACACTCTGGGAGGCCGAGGCAGACGGATCACGAGGTCAGGAGATGGAGACTACCCTGACTAACACGGTGAAACCCCGTCTGTACTAAAAAAGTACAAAAAATTAGCTGGGCGTGGTGGCGGGCGCCTGTAGCCCAGCTACTCAGGAGGCTGAGGCAGGAGAATGGCGTGAACCTGGGAGGCGGAGCTTGCAGTGAGCCAAGACTGTGCACTGCACTCCAGCCTGGGCAACAGTGCAAGACTCTGTCTCAAAGAAAAAAAAAAAAAAAAAAACCTTTACCAGATATTCCCTCTTCTGAATATTTATCCTTCAAAAAAATATTTCAACAATATAAGGGAACGTTTTATGCACAAAAGTGCTCATTACAGCATCATTTATAACCATATATAAATTGGATGATAATCAAGTGCTTAATAATAGGAAACTGAGGCCAGGCACGGTGGATCATGCCTGTAATCTCAGAACTTTGGGAGGCCGAGGCAGATGGATCACTTAAGGTCAGGAGCTCGAGACCAGCTTGGCCAACACGGTGAAACCCCGTCTCTACTAAAAATACAAGGCCAGGCGCAGTGGCTCATGCCTGTAATCCCAGCACTTTGGGAGGCCGAGGTGGGCGGATCACCTGAGGGCAGGAGTTTGAGACCAGCCTCAGCATGGAGAAACCCCGTCACTACTAAAAATACAAAATTAGCCGGGTGTGGTGGTGCATGCCTGTAATTCCAGCTACTCGGGAGGCTGAGGCAGGAGAACTGCTTGAACCTGGGAGGCGGAGGTTGCCGTGAGCTGAGATCACGCCATTGCACTCCAGCCTGGGCAACAAGAGCGAAACTCCATCAAAAAAAATAATAATAATTAAAAATACAAAATTAGTCGGGTATGGTGGCAGGCGCCTGTAATCCCATCTATTCGGGAGGCTGAGGCACGCGAATCACTTGATGGCCATGTGACCACAGAAGCAGATTGGAGTGATGTAGCCACAAGTCAAGGGCTGCCCGCAACCACACAGGCTGGAACAGGGGGAGGATTGTCAGAGGAAGCGTGTCTGCCTTCCGGCCTCCAGACAGTGAGAGGACACACTTCTGTTGTTTAAGCCACCAATTTGTGGTGCTTTGTTATGGTAGCCTTAGGAAATGAATACAGAAAGTAATATGAAAAATGCTGCGCCGGGCGCTGCGACGCACACCTGTAATCCCAGCACTTCAGGAGGCCAAGGAGGGTGGAATGCTTGAGCCCAGGAATTTGAGACCAGCCTAGTCAACATGGCAAAACCCTATCTCTACAAAAAAATACAAAAATTAGCCAGGCATGGGCTGGGTGCTGTGGCTCACGCCTGTAATCCCAGCACTTTGGGAGGCCAAGGCGGGTGGATCACGAGGTCAGGAGATCGAGACCAACCTGGCTAACACGGTGAAACCCCGTCTCTACTAAAAATACAAAAAATTAGCCGGGCGTGGTGGTGGTGTCTGTAGTCCCAGGTACTCGGGAGGCTGAGGCAGAAGAATGGCGTGAACCCGCGAGGCAGAGCCTGCAGTGAGCCGAGATTGCACCACTGCACTCCAGCTTGGGAGACAGAGCGCAACTCCATCTCCAAAAAAAAAAAAAAAAATTAGCCAGGCATGGTGGGGCACATCTGTCATCCCAGCTACTCAGGTGGCTGAGGCAGAAGGATCATTTGAGCCTGGGAGGCAGAGGCTGCAATGAGCTGATATCGTGCCACTGCACTCCAGCCTGGGCAACAGAGTGAGACTCTGTCTTAAAAAAAAAAAAATGCTGTGACATACTGATAAGTGAAAAATCAGAAAAATTAATTCTATATACACAATAATACAGCCATGTTTTTAAGTGTAAAAAGAGCTTGAAAAGAAATAGACCAAAAGCAAACTGCAGCTGTATTTGTGGGCCAGGTAGGTTTTGTTTATCCAATTTTCAACATTTTTGGTAACTTCTCTAAGTTACTTTTATTTTTTGAAATTATTTATTAATTATTATTATTATTATTTTGAGACAGGGTCCTGCTCTGTTGCCCAGGCTGGGGTGCAGTGGCACAATCTCTGGTCACTGCAGCCTCCACCACCTGGATTCAAGTGATCCTCCCACCTCAGCCTGCCCAGTAGCTGGGACTACAGGCATGCGTTACCAGGCCTGGCTAATTTTCAAATTATTTGTAGAGATGAGGTCTCTCTACATTACCTGGGCTTGTCTCAGACTCCTGGGCTCAAGTGATCCTCCTGCCTCAGCCTCCCAAAGTGCTGGGATTACAGGCATGGGCCACTACACCCAGCCTGAAAAAAAAATTTTAAAAAAATTATAAGTATACTGTGCTGTAACCATCAGCCCCCTCTGTCTGTTCCCACTGCCAGGCCCCCCTCTCTCTGCCTGGGAACTGTTCTTATCTCCCAAGTGCTCAACACAAATCAAGGCACTCCCTTCCTCAAAACCCTGCAGCGGCTCCCCAGGTCTCCTTAACCTACACCCCACCCCTGGCCTCAAGCTACCGTCGGCTTTACCCTTCCCCTGCCCCACTCACAGTAACAGTCAAGTCAGCGAACATTGCCACTTTCTTGGTTTCTCTGTTTGAGCCGCAGCCACCGTGTAAGGTAGGGAGAGAAGCTTTCTCCCTACTGAGAAGATGGAAGGATCCCCAGAGTGGGAGCAAAAGTCCTGCACAAAGTCAGCCCGAATCCAGTGATTGAGGCTAGGACTCGAACCTCGCGTTTTGATCCAGGGTGCGGCAAGGGCGCCCCATTAACGTGTCCCGCCCGAGGATGCCTGAGCCCCCTCCTCCGTGGCTCAGCCTGAGGGGAGAACTCCCCACCTTCGTCCCAAATAAAACCTCCTGCTCCTCTCAACGCCTTTGCCCCTGATTCCCCCGTTAGGCTGCACCCTCACTCCCCCACCCACGAGCTGCGTTTTCCCGGAAGGGTTGGGGTCTCGGGATCCGAGACAGAGCCCTGCCTGGGCCCAACGAACGGGAGGGCGCTGGCTGGGGCCGGGGGTGGCCAGGGCCCCGGGGGAAAGGCGGTAAGCATGAGCAAGAGGGTATCAGGAGTCGCCCCAGCCTCGCCGCCCCGGGGCGGTTCCCACTAGCACCTCGGGAGGATCCCTTCACTCCGCCGGTCCCCGCAGGGCAGGCGGACCCCACGCGGCCAGTCCGGGACTACCCGGGACTACCCGAGACTTTGCATCGCGTGGCCGGGCCGGCATCGCCCCTTGGTGGCAATTGTTTGTCATTACAACCTGGGGCGCAAAGTGGAATCCCTGTCCTCTATCCACCGAGGACCCCTGGGGTATTTTGGCGGCTGGACCTGCGCCCTGAGTCCAGGAGGCTCGATATTCACCCTTAGGATATTTTCCTGAACCCCGATACCCCACAATCTCCTATCCGCACATTAACTTTACCTTGGGATATGCAAATATTAAGTAGAACCCTATGAAATTTACATTAGTTAACCGTTTTTGTTTGGTTTGGTTTGGTTTGGTTATGTTTGAGACAGAGTCTCGCTCTGTCACCCACGCTGGAGGCGATCTCAGCTCACTGCAACCTCCGCCTCCCGGGTTCAAGTGATTCTCCTGCCTCAGCCTCCCGAGTAGCTGGGACCACAGATGGTTATAACAATACCTCCCATCCCACATGCCCTTCCACAAGGAGGCCCTGACATCTCCCATCAAGAAATGCAGACGGGCCGGGCACGGTGGCTCACGCCTGTAATCCCAGTGCTTTGGGAGGCCCAGGTGGGTGGATCACTTGAGGTCAGGAGTTCAAGACCAGCCTGACCAACATGGTGAAACCCCGTCTCTACTAAAAATACAAAAATTAGCCGGGTGTGGTGGCAGGCGCCTGTAGTCCCAGCTACTTGGGAGGCTGAGGCAAGAGGATTGCTTGAACCCAGGAGGCAGAGGTTGCGGTGAGCTGAGATCCAGCCACTGCACTCCAGCCTGGGTGACACTCCATCTCAATGAAAAAAAAAAAAAAAAACGAAAAGAAGAGAAATGCAGGCATGCAGGCGGCGACAGTGGCTCACGCCTGTAATCCCAACACTTTGGGAGGCCAAGGCAGTTGGATCGCTTGAGCTCAGGAGTTTAAGACTAGCTGGGCAACATAGCAAAACTCTGTCTCTACAAAAAAAGAAAGAAAAAAATTATATATATATATGAAAGAAATGCAGCCCATGACCCCTTCCCTTGAGTCTGGTGGGCTTGTGACACACTTATAACCAATAGGATGGGTCAGAAGTAATGCTACAGGACTGCTAAGGTTGAACTTTAAAAGACAATGCAGCAGCCACCTTTTCTGCTGGACCAGGTGGGCTTGAAGCCTCCAGCTGCCCTGTAAGCAGCCCAACTGCCCTGAAGCTGCTCCAAATCAGCCTGCCCAGAGAGACCACTCTGAGACTACGTGGAGAGAGAGAGAGAGATGCTTGTCCAGCCCCCAGCTGGACCCAGGCCCCACCCTTGCTGTCCCAGCTCCAGCCATCATCTGACTGCAACCACATGAGAAACTCTGAACTAGAACCACCAGGTAAGCCCTTCCTGAATTCCTCATGGAGAGCATCCATGAGCAAATAAAATGGTTCTTTCAAGCCATGGGGTTTTGGGGTAATTTTCATTTTTTGAGACAGTGTCTCACTCTGTCACCCAGGCTGGAGTGCAGTGGTGTAATCTCAGCCCACTGCAACCTCCACCTCCTGGGTTCAGGTGATCCTCCTACCTCAGCCTCCCAAGCAGCTGGGACCACATATGTCCACCACCAGACCTGGCTAATTTCTTGTTTTTTATTTTTACTTTATGCTGGGTTTTTTTGTTTTTGTTGGTTTGTTTATTTGTTCATTTGTTTTGAGACAGGGTCTTGCTCTGTTGCCCAAGCTGGAGTGCAGTGGCGCAATCTCAGCTCACTGCAACCCCCACCTCCTGGGCTTAGGCCATCCTCCCACCTCAGCCACCCGAGTAGCTGGAACTACAGGCGCACACCACCACGCCCAGCTAATTTTTGTATTTTTTTATAGAGACAAGGTTTTGCCATGTTGCCCAGGCTGGTCTCAAATTCCTGAGCTCAAGCAATGTACCTGCCTCAGCCTCCCAAAGTGCTGGGATTACAGGTATGAGCCACTGCACGTGGCCTAATTTTTTACAGTTTCTTTTTTTGGGGTGATGTTGTTGTTGTTGTTTGGTTGTTTTTTGTTTTGTTTTGAGACAGAGTCTGTCTCTGTCACCAGGCTGGAGTGCAGTGGCATGATCTCGACTCACTGCAACCTCTGCCTCCCAGGTTCAAGTGATTCCCCGGCCTCAGCCTCCTGAGTAGCTGGGATTACAGGCATGCACCACCACGCCTGGCTAACTTTTTTGTATTTTTAGTAGAGACAGGATTTCACCATACTGGCCAGGCTGGTCTAGAACTCCTGACCTTGTGATCCACCCGCCTTGGCCTCCCGAAGTGCTGAGATTACAGGCATGAGCCACTGCGCCTGGCCGGGTGTTCCAATTTTAAACAGGGTGGTAACACTTGAGCAAACCCTGATGGAGGTTACCATGGGGATACCTGCAGAAAATGTCCCAAGTAGAGGACACAGCCAGTGCCAAGGCAAAAGTAATTGTACCTGACATGCTTAAGCTATGTGAAGAGGTCCTCATGGCTGGTGAGGAGTGAGCTGGCTGGAGGGGCAGGGGCAGTAGGAAATAAGGTCAAACAAGTGCCTGGCAATCACAAGGACTTCGACTTTTACTCTCAGTGAGATGGAAGCCATGAGAGTTCAGAACAGAGGAATGACACCATGGGACTCACCTTTCAAAAATCACTGAGGCAGCTGTGTTGAGAATAGACTCTAGTGGGCAAAAATGGAAGCAAGAAGGCTACATAGAAAAATCCACCCCTTACGAATGCGGCTTCGACCCTATATCCCCCGCCCGCGTTCCTTTAAGGCCATTTAGGAAGCTATTTCTTCAACTCAGGGTGGTATCCTGGAGGAGGTGGGAAAACATTGGATATTGGATATATTTTATGGGTAGAATATATACTGACTAATTGGACATAGGGTATGAAAAAAAAAATCAAGAATGACCATAGATTGGTTTTTTTGTTTTTGTTTTTTGAGACAGAGTCTCACTCTGTCGCCCAGGCTGGAGTGCAGTGGCAAGATCTCGTCTCACTGGAACCTCCACCTCCCAGGTTCAAGTCATTCTCCTGCCTTAGCCTCCTGAGAAGCTGGGATTACAGATGCCCACCACCACATCTGGCTAATTTTTGTATTTTTAGTAGAGACGGAGTTTCACCATGTTGGCCAGGCTGGTCTCGAACTCCTGACTTCAGGTCATCTGCCCACTTTGGCCTCCCAAAGTATTGGGATTACAGGCATGAGGCACCATGCCTGAACCCACAGATTTTTTTTTTTTTTTAAGAAACAGCTTTTCAGCCAGACACAGTGGCTCACACTTGTAATCCTAGCACTTTGGGAGGCCAAGACAGGCGGATTTCATGGGCTCAAGAGTTCGAGACCAGCCTGGGCAATACGATGAAACCGTGTCTCTACTAAAATGCAAAAAATTAGCCGGGCATGGCAGCATGCACCTGCAGTCCCAGCTACTTGGGAGGTTGAGGCAGGAAAATTGCTTGAACCTGGGAGGTGGAGGTTGCAGTGAGCTGAGATCAAGCCACTGCACTTCAATCTGGGTGACAGAGTGAGACTCTGTCTCAAAAAGAAAAGAAAAGGAAAAAAAAGAAACAGGGTTTCACTGTGTTGTCCAGGCTGCAGTACAGTGGTGCATTCATAGCTCACTGCAGCCTCAACCTCCCTGGCTCAAGAGATCCTCCTGCCTCACTCAGCCTCCCAAGTAGCCAGGATTACAGGCATGAGTCACTACGCCCAGCTGATCATAGATTTTTGGCTCTGAGAAAAGAGGAAACTGAGCTGCCATCAACTGAGATGGGAAGATGTGAGTAAAGTAGATTTGGCCACAGCATGGGGGAATGGCGCTCTGATTTAGATGCCTGGAATGTGAGATGCCTACTACATGTCTATTATATTAGGTCCAAGGGGTCGAGTAGGTAGTTAGAGACACAGATCTGCAGTTCAGAAGAATGGTCTGGGCTGAAATTAAAAACATGACAGTCATCAGCTTAGAGATGGTATTTAAGTCATAAAACTACACAGGATCCCGAGAGAGAGAAAGTAGAGAAAAGGACCAAGGCCTGAGCTCTGTGGTTCTCCATCAGGAAGACAGCAGGAGAAAGAGGAGGACCAGGAAGGGAGTGTGAGGAAGAGCAGCCTGAGGCCAGGTGAAGGGGGTATCGAGGAGGAGGGAGGGAGGCAAAGGTGGCCAATAGGCTTAGGGGGAGGAGGGCTGAGAATTGACCCTTAGATTTAGCAATGCAGTGGTCACTGGTGACCTTGACAGTGACTCTGGTAGGGGTGGGGGAGATGGCCTAAGTGGATTGCGCCTAAGGGAGAACGAGAGGGAGGACCTGGAGGCAGCAATTTTGTTCGCTTTTTCCAGGAATTTTGAAGGTAAAAGGAGCAAAGAATTGGGGCAACATTTAGTTGATCCCAGAGTGGGGTTGAGGGGTGGCGGGGGAGGTGAAGTTAGAAGTTTTGTTAGAGGCCGGGCACGGTCGCTCACGCCTGTAATCCCAGCACTTTGGGAGGCTGAGGAGGGCAGATCACCTAAGGTGAGGAGGGCAGATCACCTAAGTTCAGGAGTTCAAGACCAGTCTGGCTAAAATGGTGAAACCCTGTTTCTACTAAAAATACAAAAAATCAGCCAGGCGTGGTGGCGCGTGCCTGTAATCCCAGCTACTCGGGAGGATGAGGCAGAAGAATTGCTTGAACCCAGGAGGCAGAGGTTGCAGTGAGCTGAGATCACGCCATTGCACTCCAGCTTGGGCAACAAGAGTGAAACTCCGTCTCAAAAAAAAAAAAAAGAAAAGAAGTTTTGTTAAGATGGAAAATAACTGTGTTTATATGCTGGTGGGAATTTTGATGATGGAGCAGCAGAGGGAAGACTTCCTGGAGCAATGCTCAGGAGGAAGGAAGGGATGGGGCCTGTGCACCACGACAGGAACTGGCTTTAGATGACACCTGTGCTGTCCATCTACACTAACAGGTGGAGAGCAGAGACATGGGTGCCTATGTTTTCCGAGAGCTTCCTTTTTCTTTTCTTTTTTTATTTTTGAGAAAAGCCTCACTCTGTTGCCCACGTTGGAGTGCAGTGGCGTGGTCATAGCTTATTGCATGCAGCCTCAACCTCCCAGGCTCAAGCAATCCTCCCACCTCCGCGTCCTGAGTAGCTGGAACTACACATGCACACCATTATGCCCAGCTTGTAGTTGTAAATTTAAAGTGAGACCAGGCGTCGAGGTTGTATGTCTTTCTCTAGCCATCATGCATGCTCAGCTGTGTAGTGCAGGCACAGGATAGATGGAAGGTGGATTTGATCAGGGTTTCTGTCACATGAGCATGACAAAGCCGGAGGACTGCCCTGTGTCTGCCTTTGGTTGGGCCTGGGTGTATCTGTGTGCCTTTGTAGATAAGGGCAGATGGCACTGTCAAGAGGTCTGTGCTACTCTGGGTGTGTCAAAGTGTCCTGTAGCTGTCAATGGCCACAGCTGGGTGTGTTTTTGTGTTCTTGGTGTCTTTTCACGTCTATGTCCATGTGTTCCTATATGACACAGTCGCTGAGAATGCCTGAGAATGCCTAAGTGTGCACTTTTTTTTTTTTTTTTTGAGACTGAGTCTTGCTCTGTCACACAGGCTGGAGTGCAGTGGTGTGATCTTGGCTCACCGCGACCTCCACCTCCCAGGTTCAGCCTCCCGAGTAGCTGGGATTACAGGTGTCAGCCACCACACCTGGCTAATTTTTGTATTTTTTTTTTTAGCAGGGACAGGTCTTCGCTACGTTGGCCAGGCTGGTCTCAAACTCCTGACCTCAAGTGATCCGCCCGCCTCAGCCTCCCAAAGTGCTGGGATTATAGGCATGAGCCACCACACCTGGCCTATGTGAGTGCACAATTCTGTATCCAAACGTGTATGAGTGGATCTGTGTACCTCTGTACACCTGTATGGTGTACAGGGGCATTCCTCTACGTACAGATGAGTGTCTGTGTGACTGTGGCTGGTGTGGGTCTCCAAGTTTGTCTACTGTGTCTCTTTGTACACCCGTGTGTCTACACATCGTTTATCTGTTTGCATCTCAATGCTATGGGGCTCTGTATTTGTGTACTGTGCATGTTTGTGTGTGTGTCTCCCCTCAGGAGCTGTGATGTGGTACTGTCAAATGTCAACCCCAGCCCCTCACCCTGGCCAATTCCTGTCACATTCATGCCCTGCTGGGCTGAGATGCGGCCAAGAAGGGCTGTATTGGGAGGGAAAGCCTTGGGCTTAAACCTGGCTACTGTGCTCGGGGCCCAGGACCCTTCTGGGTGGAAGTTATGTCTCTGCTCCCAGGATCTCCAAGACCCAAGCCTGGTGAGAAGCTGGGCCCCTGAACCTGGGCACAATGACAACAGGCTCTGCTCTAACAAAATAACACCCACCTTTAAAGGAAGAAAAATGTGAGCTGGACCCATACATCAACAATGATCCTGTAGGCCTTCAACTCAGAGGGGTGGGGCTGGGTAGGAGTGCTGACCCCAGACACTCACACTCTTCTCCTCCAGAAAGCAGGGCCAGTCCCCAACCAGAGGAGAGGTGGAGGGGACACAGTGGCCCCAGGGTCAATGGGCCTGGAGTTAATCATCTACTCTGGTATCTCTGGGCCCCATTGGCTGCCTGGGGACACGGCCCTCTGGGATGAAGCCCAAAGGAGTCAGAAGCCGCTTCCCAGCCCATTTCCACCTCATAGGCTCAGGGGCAATGGAGCTGATTCAGTCAGCAGGGACTGAATTGGGTGGATCCCTAGGAAGCCCCCATCTGAGGGAGATACCAGTCCTGCCCTCAGGGAGCCCCAGTCTGAGTCAAAGAGGACAGAGACAAGAAGGAATTCTGAGTGGAGAGGGGTCAGCAGGGGTGGCCTGCTGTGATGAAGAGCTGGCCTTGCAGCCTAGGGAAAGAGAAGCACATTTGGGTTGAAGGAGTTTGGAGAGGAAAACTATTATGCCCCTGGAGGCTAAGACCTCCTCCTCCAGTGGATTCTGAGAAGTGTGTGTGTGGCCGGGCCTGAGAGTAAAGAGGGAAGAGAAAGAAGGCCCTGGAGGTGGCCCCACCAGGTAGGGGGTGCAGCCCCTCCACGCCATTGCTTCATGCTTTGCCTTGGAACCCAAGATTTCTAAGTGGGAAAACAAAAAAACTCAATGAGGAGGTCCTATGTCAGCCCCTCCTTCCACTACAGAGTCTCCCCCCCGGGACAGTGTGTCCGAGGGGTGGGGGACTGCGGGGAAGATCCCAGAAACGGGTAAGCGCACTCACTCGGCCTCCCCTGGAGACTCCTCAGGAGGGAAGTAGCCCAAGCCCTGCTCCCCAAAAAGGCAGAGCCCCAGGTGTCAGGACTCCAGCATGGGGAGACAAAACCACGTGCAAGAAAGCAGGGAGGAGCAGGGGTAGGAACTGAGGGTGCTTAGGGTCTGGCCATGCCACTGACGAGCTGTGTGACCTTGGCCAGGTCACCTCCCCTCTACAACAACAGAGGGTCCTCTTTCCCCCTCTACAACAACAGAGGGTCTGACTGGATCAGAGTGTACCCAAGGGCAGGATGTGTGCAGCTGACAGTGCCCAGCACATGGACACAGTATGAAGTAACATTGAATCATATCCTGTGAATGTTTTCAAGCCTTTCAACTCCTTTCCAAAACTTGCTTAACAGCATGGATCTGGAGCAGAACTGCTTCCTAGACCAGCTCCACGGCTTGTGAGCTGAGTGACCCTGATCCTCACATATTTCTGTACCTCCATTTTCTCATCTGTAAAATGGGAATAATGATAATAGCTATCCTGGAGTCACTGAGAGGATTAAATGAATGACTATTTGTGAAGTCCTTTGCATAGTGCCTAGCATTCGACATGTGTTAGCTATTCCTCTACCACACAGAAGGCTTTGCTTGGTGCTAGGGTATCTTTAACACATGGCACCTGCTAACCTTCCATGTTACCAAGAAAGCAGGCAAGCTATGCAGATGGAATATAATGGAATGTAATAACATTGTTTTCCTCTCACTTGATTCTTTTTTAATTTTGATTTTAATTTTAATTTTAATTTTTTTGAGACAGGGTCTCATTCTGTCGCCCAGACGGGAGTGCAGTGGCACAGTCTCAGTTCACCGCAATCTCCTCCTCCCAGGCTCAAGTGATTCTCTGGCCTCCTGAGTAGCTGGGATTACAGAAACATGCCACTACTGCCTGGCTAATTTTTGTATTTTTAGTAGAGATGGGGTTTCACCATGTTGGCCAGGCTGGTCTTGAACTTCTGACCTCAAATGACCCACCCGCCTCCTCACTTGATTCTTAAGGCTTATGGCAAGTGATACTGGCCTAGTTACAGACCTAACATGGATAAACTTTAAGTTTAAAAAGGTTAAAGAGGGCCGGGCGTGGTGGCTCACGCCTGTAATCCCAGCACTTTGGGAGGCTGAGGCAGGTGGATCACGAGGTCAGGAGTTTGAGACAATCCTGGCCAACATGGTGAAACCCTGTCTCTACTAAAAATACAAAGATTAGCCGGGTGTGATGGTGTCTGCCTGTAATCCCTGCTACTCAGGAGGCTGAGGCAGGAGAATCGCTTGAACCCAGAAGGCGGGGATTACAGTGAGCCGAGATCGCAACACTGCACTCCAGCCTGGGCAATAGGGTGGGACTCCATCTCAAACAAACAAACAAACAAAAAAAAAAAAAAAAAAAAGGGTTACAGAGGTCGAGTGAAGTAGCTCACACCTGTAATCCCAGCACCTTGGGAGGCAGAAGTGGGAGGACTGCTTGAGCTCAGGAGTTCACGAACAGTCTGGGCAACATGGTGAACACCCGTCTTCAAAAAAAATAATTTTTTTTTAAATCAGCTGGGCATGGTGGTGTGCATTTGTGGTCCCAGCTACTAGGGAGACTGAGGCAGGAGGATCATTTGAACCTGGGAGGTGGAGGCTGCAGTGAGCTATGATTGCACCACTGTACTGCAGCCTGGGCAACAACAGAGTGAGACCCTATCTCAAAAACCAAAATAAAAAACTCTATTTTATTTTATTTTTACCAGATGTGATATTCGATAAAGAAAAGCATTAACACTAAAGTATTATAAGTTTTGAGGGGTGTTTTGAGGATATCACAGAATTCCTCAAGCTGGTACCCAGTGACTGGAGTTTGGCAAACCCTGGTAACCTCATGGTCATTCATTAGGATCTTTTTTGAGCTCAGGCAACAGGACAGACAAGGCCAGCACCACCCGCCCCCGCCCTCCCACTGCCCCCCTTCTTCTACTCTTTCCAGCGCCCTCCTTCCAGCCCCCTGCCCAGCCCTGTGCTCAAAGCCACCTACAGTCCCTTCTTCTCTGGTCAGAATGCCAATCATCCAAGGCCCTGCAGACTCCCAAAGCCGCCCCTGGAACCTACCTTGGCAGCAGATTAAAGACAACCCGCCACATTTAGTCTCGGCCCCATGACCGATAGTGGGTTCAGTTCCTCCAGGGGCGGGGGAGCCTAGTGGCCCCGCCCCCTGACTCATGGCCTGACCCTCCTCAAACGCACCCAGAGGAGACTCCTGGTCCCCTGTCCGGACCCCGCCCCGACCAGGTCCAGCCCCGCCCAACGGCAAGTTAAGAGCCCCCCAGTGCCAGACGCTCCAGACAGACTGCCACTCTTGGGGGGCAAGAGTTGGTTGTCGTCATGGCGACGGCGCTGATGGCTGTGGTTCTGCGGGCAGCTGCTGTAGCCCCGAGGCTGAGAGGCCGGGGAGGCACTGGGGGCGCCCGAAGGCTGAGCTGTGGCGCGCGGCGGCGGGCGGCGAGGGGCACCAGCCCGGGGCGCCGGCTCAGCACCGCCTGGTCGCAGCCCCAGCCCCCGCCCGAGGAGTACGCGGGCGCGGACGACGTCTCCCAGTCGCCCGTCGCCGAGGAGCCGTCGTGGGTGCCGAGTCCCAGGCCCCCGGTGCCCCACGAGTCCCCAGAGCCTCCTTCGGGCCGCTCGCTGGTGCAGCGGGACATCCAGGCCTTCCTGAACCAGTGCGGGGCCAGCCCTGGGGAGGCGCGCCACTGGCTCACGCAGTTCCAGACCTGCCATCACTCCGCGGACAAGCCCTTCGCCGTCATCGAGGTGAGCGGAGCCCGGCGTGGGCCGTGACGCAGCGAGGGGATGGGGTTGTGCGGCCACCTGTCCTCAGGCATGGCAGGATACGCTGCGGGCTCTGCGCAGCGGAAGCGGGAAGGAGCCCGGCAGGGCCCAGACCAGCGCCGCCGGGAATGGGAGAGGCCGTAAGCTCCTCCGGAAGCCTCCCGCCCAGCCCGAGTGAGGATCCTGGGGGACCCCACCCGCCAGGTGTGATGCTCTGAAGAAGGCCCCCAACATGGGCGCAGTTAGGGGTTCAGAAGGACCTGGACAGGAGCCGCTTGCACTGCCCCTCCCCCAAAGATGTCCCGGAGTCCAAGGTCGGAGGGAGGAGGGCGGGAGGTACCCCAGCGTGAGACAAGGGAGTGGCAAGACCCAACGGGGCAAAGGGCGGAGCAGGTGGGCACTGGTGGCCAGAACTGGGTCCTGACAGCTTCTGGAAGGGTAGGGTCACCGAGACGGCCCTGCAGGCCAGGCTGTGGGAGCCAGCGGCTCAGGTCCGTGTCACGCTCCTTGAAAGCCCACTCCTCCGCAGGTGGACGAGGAGGTGCTCAAGTGCCAGCAGGGCGTATCCAGTCTGGCCTTTGCCCTGGCCTTCTTGCAGCGCATGGACATGAAGCCGCTGGTGGTCCTGGGGCTGCCGGCCCCTACGGCTCCCTCGGGCTGTCTTTCCTTCTGGGAGGCCAAGGCGCAGCTGGCCAAGAGCTGCAAGGTGCTGGTAGACGCGCTTCGACACAACGCCGCCGCTGCTGTGCCATTTTTTGGCGGCGGGTCTGTGCTACGCGCTGCCGAGCCGGCTCCCCATGCCAGGTGAGTGCCCGCCCTGCCCGCCCAGGCGTCCTCAGAGCGTGCTACTCTGCCCGCCCTGCCCCGTCCGGCAGGCCTGGAGGGGGCCCTCTCGAGCACCACGTCTGGCCCACAGCTACGGCGGCATCGTCTCGGTGGAGACAGACCTGCTGCAGTGGTGCCTGGAGTCGGGCAGCATCCCCATCCTGTGCCCCATCGGGGAGACGGCCGCGCGCCGCTCCGTGCTTCTCGACTCCCTGGAGGTGACCGCGTCGCTGGCCAAGGCGCTGCGGCCCACCAAAATCATCTTCCTCAATAACACAGGCGGCCTGCGCGACAGCAGTCATAAGGTGCGGCCCTTTCTTTCACCTTCCCCCACGCCGGCGATCCGGGCCTTCTCTTGCGCCCCTCGCACTTCTCCCCGACGGGCCGCAGACTCACTAGCAAGCCGGGTGGGTAGAAAAGCCTAAGGGAGTATAGGGGAGGAGTTCAGCCCTGGGTGCCCAGATCTGCGCCCTCCCTGGCTAAGGACTCCGGGCGGAAGTAAGGATAAAGGGGTCAGAGAAAAGAGAGGTCCGTGGGGGTAGGGGGGCAGTCCGTGCCGGCTGTGGGCCAGGCTCACCCGCTGACTCCGGACACAGGTCCTGAGTAACGTGAACCTGCCCGCCGACCTGGACCTGGTGTGCAACGCCGAGTGGGTGAGCACAAAAGAACGGCAGCAGATGCGGCTCATCGTGGACGTGCTCAGCCGCCTGCCCCACCACTCCTCGGCCGTCATCACCGCCGCTAGCACGCTGCTCACTGAGCTCTTTAGCAACAAGGGTGAGGGCGGTGGGCGGGCCGGGGACTGGGTCCCGGGAGTGAGTACTGGCCGGGGCTGGGTGTCTGCGGTCAGGAGGAGCGGCTTCTCCTCCTGTCCAGGAGCCGTAGGGGGAGGCGGGGGGTGTCACAGCAATGGCTCCTGCTGCTGCCGAAACCCGGGGGAGGTGAGAGAGGAGGAGACCCAGTGTACTGGAAGGGAACTCCGAAGGAATTAAAGGAATGGGCGGGACTAGGGGGGAGAAGGAGGGGCCCCCCGGTGGGCGGGGCCAGGGGCGGGACCATAAGGGAGGTGTTCGACCGGGAGAGATGGGCGGGGCTTAGGTGGGTGGGCCGGGTCAGCGGCGGGAGACAGACTTCAAGGAGCGAGGCAAGACTAACGGAAGTGGGTGGGGCTCCAGGCGACAGGAGGAACTTGGGGCACAATCTCTGCCTGGGGAAAGCATCTCCTTGAATGAAAATCACAGACAAATCTATGCAGACCACTGAAATCATTTCACTGTGGAGGTCTCCCAAAGACGGAAATTGTCCCACCAGCGCCTGTCCTACCTGCAGTCCCCACCAGGCTGCGCAAACGGCCCTCCAGCCAGACTAGCCCCTCCCCATCCTCCTCCAGGGTCCGGGACCCTGTTCAAGAACGCCGAGCGAATGCTACGGGTGCGCAGCCTGGACAAGCTGGACCAGGGCCGTCTAGTGGACCTGGTCAACGCCAGCTTCGGCAAGAAGCTCAGGGACGACTACCTGGCCTCGCTGCGCCCGCGGCTGCACTCCATCTACGTCTCCGAGGGGTAAGCCTGCGGACCCCAGAGGGCGGGGTCTGGGGGGCAGTCGGGCAGCTTCGGACCAAGGAGAGGTCCCAGCCTGCCGCTCTCCCGCTGCGCCAGGTACAACGCCGCCGCCATTCTGACCATGGAGCCCGTCCTGGGGGGCACCCCGTACCTGGACAAATTTGTGGTGAGCTCCAGCCGCCAGGGCCAAGGCTCCGGCCAGATGCTGTGGGAGTGCCTGCGGCGGGACCTTCAGACACTTTTCTGGCGCTCCCGGGTCACCAACCCCATCAATCCCTGGTAGGTCCTGCCACTCCCAGCTCTGGGCTGGGCCCTGACTTCCCTCCCCTCTCCCACCCTTGCCAACCATGCCAAGAAGGCTGGGCTTCCTCTTCTTCCACTGGTCTCCCTTTCACTACCTCCCAGGGGCAGAACACACAGAAAGCCTGAGATTTCCCGAGTTAAAGCATGCTTAACACTCCTTTTCTGGCAGCAAGTGACACCTCCTAAGCCCCACGCAGCCCACCTCTCACAGGGGCCTGAGGAATCCTAACCCTTCAGGGTCTATTGGAGGCCTGCGGCGCCTCCAGTGGAACATCCCTCCTCTCTCCTTCAGTAACTACCCCCTCACCCCTACACCCTGCTCTGTGAGCACTAGGAAGTGAGCAAGAACCCTCCTCTTTGCTGCACAGCCAAGGCAGTGTGGAGAGCAAAGCACCCGCTCCCTTCCTGTGTGCGCCTGGCAAGGTACCTAACTTCTCTGAGCCTTAGCTGCTTCTCTGTGAGCTGAGCATCACAATGCCAGGCTCAGGCCTCTGCTGTGAGGATAAAATGAGATAACACACAGCAGGACCAAGCTGGGTGCCCAGCATGCAGTAGGTCCTCAATCAATGTTTTTTAAAGACAGAACCAGTGAGTAATGAACACTGGCCTTGCCCTAAAAACTGTTTCCTACATCACCTCCCCACACCCAGGTACTTCAAACACAGTGATGGCAGCTTCTCCAACAAGCAGTGGATCTTCTTCTGGTTTGGCCTGGCTGATATCCGGGACTCCTATGAGTTGGTCAACCACGCCAAGGGACTGCCAGACTCCTTTCACAAGCCAGCTTCTGACCCAGGCAGCTGACCCTCACCATGGACACTACAGGCCCTGGAATGGCCAGGGTGGACCAAAAGCCATGCCAGCTGGGCATGACCCCAGGCAGCCAGCCACAGGCTGAAGGGGGCTTGTTGGCTGAGTGATCTGCAGAGGAGAAAGCAGCCCCAGCTCTGCCCAGAGGAGGCGCTGAAGTGGGACAAGCACAGGAAAGAAGGGGACCAGTCTAGGACCCCAACTCGACTCACTCTAAAGCTACAACCAAATGGCCTTCGATTTTCAACCTGGGGATTAGGGGAGGGGAGGGTGCCTTCCAGGGCTCTACTCAGGACTAACCCTAAGGGTGAGCTAGTTTCTGTGCCTCTGTGCTATGTTTTGAGGCTCCCTTACCCAAAATAATACCCCTGCCTGCGTGATATTCTACCATTCATTTTAATTCCTTTGGGTCTTGCAGTTTTTCAGGAGGCCTTGATTAAAATGCAAATACTTGTCTGAGAGTCAGCTTACACTTGAAAGAAAATTAGAAGTGACCCCGTGGGAGCAAGATTTTTTTTTTTTTTTTAAAGACAGGATCTTGCTCTGTTACCAAGGCTAGAGTACAGTGGTGCAATCACAGCTCACTGCAGCCTTGACCTCCCAGGCTCAAGCAATCCTCCCATGTCAGCCTCCTAAATAAGCTGGTACCACAGGCATGCACCGCCACACCTGGATCTTTTTTTTTTGGTAGAGACGAGGTCTCACTATGTTGCCAAGGCTGCTCTCAAACTCCTGGGCTCAAGCAATCCTCCCTGCTTGGCCTCCCAAAATGCTAGGATTACAGGCTGGGAGCAAGATCTTGAGGGCTGGGGAATCAGGGGACTCCTGGAGGGAGTAGAAGACTTCTATGATGAATGCTGCCACCATCTCCCTCCCAGAGATTAGGAAGCATCCTCCCTTCCACAGACCAGGCCACAGCAGCCCCAGCTCCCCTTGCCTGTGAGTGCCTCCACCCACAGCTCCCTTTCTAGGCTGGGCTCACAGCCAGACCCAGGCATCAGTGGCGGACCGTTTACCTGCAAGAGCCCAGAGAAGTTAAAAGATGGCTTTGGCTTAAAAGCTCAAACTTGGACGTTTTCCCCTAGGCCCTACTAGTGGTTGTGTCCAGTCTCTACAGGACTCGATGGGCAGAAATCCAAAGCCCAGGGGTTTCATTTGACATTTTTTGAAGCTCCATAATGTAGCAGGCACCATACCGGCTGCTGCTGGGGTGACTTTCTGGCAGACACATAGACAAGAAGGGAGAAGGTCGCCGGATGCGATGACTCACGCCTGTAATCCCAGCACTTTAGGAGGCCGAGGCGGGTGGATCACGAGGTGAGGAGATCGAGACCATCTTGGCTAACACAGTGAAACCCCATCTCTACTAAAAATACAAAAAATTAGCTGGGCGTGGTGGCGGGCGCCTGTAGTCCCAGCTACTCAGGAGGCTGAGGCAGGAGAATGGCGTGAACCTGGGAGGCGGAGCTTGCAGTGAGCCAAGACCGCACCACTGCACTCCAGCCTGGGCGACAGAGCGAGACTCCGTCTCAAAAAAAAAAAAAATTAGCCAGGCATGGTGGCGGGCACCTGTAATCCCAGCTACTCAGGAGGCTGAGGCAGGAGAATCACTTGAACCCGGGAGGCAGAGGTTGCAGTGAGCCGAGATCACACCACAGCACTCCAGCCTGGGTGACAGTGAGACTCTGTCTCAAAAAAAACAAAAAACAAACAAACAAACAAAACCGTAGTCCCAGCTACTCGGGAGGCTGAGGCAGGAGAATGGCATGAACCCGGGAAGCGGAGCTTGCAGTGAGCAGAGATCACGCCACAGCACTCCAGCCTAGGTGACAGAGCAAGACTCCGTCTCAAAAAAAAAGGGAGAAGGTCAACAGGGAGACCATCATGGCACAGTAGGGGCTGGAATAGAGCAGCCTCTGTCTCCCCTCAGGAGATGGGTCACAGTGAGTACATATCTGGACTTCACCATTAGACAGACCTGACCTGGAATCCAGCTCTGTGGGCTGGATTTGCTCTGTGGCTTGACCGAAACTGCTTATCCTCTCTGAGCCTCCATTTCCTTCATGTATAAAGTGTAAAATATTCCACTTCACAGTGGACACTTCACAGTTCTCTCCCTCTAGCTGCTCTCACCAAAGATGTCTTCATAAGAACCAGCTCCAAATGGGGAGAAAAAGACAACCTACAACAAGAGGGACTGAGGTGAGGGATTGAAAGCATATAGTACAATGAGGATTTTGAGATTCTTGAAAAAGAGAGCCACTGGGCACAGTGGCTTATGCCTGTAGTCCCAGCACTTTGGGAGGCTGAGGCTGAGGCTGGAGAATCACTTGAGCCAAGGAGTCTGAAACCAGCCTGGACAACAAAGTGAGACCTTGTCTCTAAAAAATAAAGAAGTGAAAAATTAAAAAAAAAAAGAAAGAGAGAGAGCCAAAGAACTGTGGGAAATCTTGGAACAGGGGAAAGATCACGGGAGGCCCAAGGTGGGGCTTGACCAGATCTAGTGTTTCAAGAAACCCAAGATCAATCCCAGCCAATGGCAGAGTTCCCTGTTGGGGAGAACAGAAAAGCAAAACCAAATGTCTATATAAAATGTTTATTTTTGGAGGACTGTGTGGTCTGGTGTTTGGGAGGGAACTCCACCCCCACCAGGCCAACCATGGAGCTAGAAACAGAGACAGCAGGAAGGGCAAAGCTGGCCACTGCCTGCTCCACCCCTTCACAGCCCAGAGCAGAACAGGGTCTGCTCTACTCTCAAGGTGAGTGACAGAGAGCCGGTACTGTTTCTGCCCCTGGCATACCCTGAGAACCCATGTGACTTCTGTAGTGCTCAGCCCCTGTGCCCTTCCTGGGCCTGATCCACATGTGTCAACACACGCACTCCCTCTCACAGTCTCCAAACAGCACTGCAGAGCCTAGCTGCATCTGCCAGGTTCAAAGAGGAATTTTTCACATTTGCTCACTTCCAATCTCCATCTTCCTTCCTCTGTCTCCCACTCTCCCACTCTCAGTAGCCGCATCCCAGCCCTGCCATACTCCCTTCTCAGGGACAGGAGACTCAGTGGGCAGCTGGCCTCAGCTCTCCTAACAGGAAAAAAACCTGTACAGCATTAGTGCCAGGGCTCCTGCCCTCCCAAGCGCTGAGCCCAGAAATTTGGACAAATGAGCTGCCTCTTAACTGCAAAAAACAATTTTAAAAAAGCAAAAGATCAAACAAACAGACCAAAAAGCATAAATAAACAGCAGCTGGGCCAGCAAGGAGGAAGGCAGGGTGACCCTCAGTGGCTCCCTGTGCCCATCTCAGCCTCTTGCCATAAAACTCAGCCATCAGTGGCCAGGATGACAGCAGTTCCGAAGATGCCCACACTCTCTCCAAGGAGCTTCATCTGGTTCCAGAACTCAACACGCCGCGTGTTGTGCCAGTAAGCAACATTGCCATCAATGAGCAGCATGACAGGGGGCAGCAGTACAGCCAGGATCTGGGCAGCGAGGGTCACGTAGTAGCCTGACAGAAAGGCCAGGGCCAGGATGCCATACAGCACGAAGAACAGCTGGATCATCAGCTCCCCTCCTGGGAGATGGTTCAGATACGCCAGCCGGTCCTCCTTGCTGTGCTGCAGTGAGTAGGCCTGGAGACATAACATCCTCTAAGACTCTCCAACAGGCTCAGAAGCCTGTCTGGGGTAAACCACCCCTGAGATGGCACCTGCAAATGAGTCCCTGCAGATGGGCTTCTGACTCCCCTCTTGGACTGGGGAACCTCTGAAAGTAGGGCCTTTGTCTCCCCCTCGGACTATGGAGCCCCAGGAGATTAGGGCCCATGTCTCCCCTCACCCTAGGGGCTATGAAGGAAGTGTATTTCCACAGTCAGACTAGAGCTCCCACCTCTGAATATGGGAGCCCACACAGAGAGCTGTACAGAGATATACTCGGTAATTAAGATAAGACCTAATGGCCTGGCGCCTGTCCATGTCTCCAGTCACCCTGGCCTCCCCTAGCACCAGGGAGAACCATAAGTGGCTACCCTAGAGCTCTCATCAGCTCTAGGGGGCAGAGTCCCAGCTGGGGCCTGACCCCCACCAAACCTCTCCTTTATCCCCTTCTAGTCCTTTGGGGGCTGGAGCCATGAGAGAATCACCCCATCTTGTTCTCCTGGCTCTCAGGGTTGAAATTTAATGGCCAGTCTACCTCGTGGCAACACTGTTGGAGGAAGGGCCTCTCAACAGGCATTTGGAGGGCCCCTGAGGCCTAGAAGCTGGCCAGGGCAATTCCCAGGGAACTGGGCCATCAGGAACTGCACTCAGGGCCTCGTTCTGTGTCTACCTTCCTGGGGTTCTGCCATGCCTAGACTCACAGTTCACTCCCAGCCAGGCACCTCCAACCAACAGTCCCCCAACATACCACACAGATGAGGTAGATACCCAGGAACACCTGGCCGGTGGACTGCAGGGAGCGGCTGCGAGGTTTCCGGCGGTACAGCTCCCCAGCACCGCTGGCCAACACAAGAAAGCCGCCGATGATGGCAACTGTGCGCGAGTACATACGGACCTAGGCCGGGGTAAGGGGACCCCAGTCAAGAACTGCAGCCGCCACATCTCTCCTGGCTTCCCAGAGTGTAGAACCACCCCTCTCTACACATCCCATTCCATCTGATGAACCCTCTTACATTTCCAAGCTTGGTGGGCAGGTGCAACAGAGACAGATCATTCTTTTTATATATATATAGAAGTAGAAACTGAGGCCCAGAGGGTTAAGAAAACTGTCAGGTCTGGCCAGGCGCAGTGGCTCACGCCTGTAATCCCAGCACTTTGGGAGGCCGAGGCAGGTGGATCACCCTGAGGTCAGGAGTTTGAGACTAGCCTGGCCAACATGAGGAAACCCTGTCTACTGAAAATACAAAAATTAGTCGGGCGTGGGGAAGGGCGCCTGTAATCCCAACTACTTGGGAGACTGAGGCAGGAGAATCGTTTGAACCTGGAAGGCGGAGGTTGCAGTGAGTTGAGACAGCGTCACTGCACTCCAGCCTGGGCGACGGAGAGAGACTCTGTTTCAAAAAACAACAACAAAAAAGAAAACTGGCAGGTCCTACCTGCCAGTAAGTGGCAGAACCCAGACACAATGTGTTTCTCCCTTCCCCACTCTCAGATCTGTAGACTCTAATCTTGGTGTTCTTTATTCTACATGGCATGGGATCTATGCCACAAAAACATTGATCTTGCTGCCCTGTAGCTGTTCACACATCTTCCTCCCCTAAGGGTCTGACAGTCTCTTCCTCAAGGACAGTGCCTTTGTCCAACCTTATCTCCAGCCTGCAGGGCCTGGCACAGGTTCTGGCTTAAATGCTATACTAACAGTAATTACATTTTCATAAAATTTATTTTATGAAAACTAGGTACTCTCCAAGGTCCTTTGTACCCCATGAGTCTGAGATTACTAAACTAACAGTTTAAAAGATTCTGGGAACCAGGTGACCGGGGTTCTGGTCCCACCAGTATCCTGTATTGTGGCTTTGGGAAAGTCTGTTTCCCATCTCTAGACCTCAGTTTCCACACTTTGAAGAGGAAGTTTGTGTGGTCTCTAAGATCCATTTCTGCGCTCTGTAATCTCCATAAGCCAAGGGGTTCGAACCTCCCAGGCTTCACACTGTGCAGCTGGCCAGCACCATTCATCGCCCACCAACAGCCCTGGGCATTGGCCTCTGATTCCCCGTCACCCAGAGGGAAGACCCTTTTGGGGCCGAGGCGCTCACCTTCAGCCAGTCCCCGTAGTGGACGTAGCCCCCGATGTAGGCGGCGTAGGTGCTAATGGCCAATTGGAGTGCGGCCCCCAGCGCGAACCAGCGCCGCTTCACGCCAAAGGACATGAAACTAGCGCACAGCACGGCTGCCCCCATGTCGAAATACAGGTAAGGCACTGGGATGTCGGGCTTCCTGCGAGCCGGGAGTGGGGAAGCAACGAGGACAGAATGAAGCGGTGGGGGAAGAAGCTTGAGACCCCTTGAGTTCCCACAGGCTCCACTGCTCCCCCAAACCAGACTCCCCTCCCATGGGCAGGACCGCCCTACCAGATTTGGTCCGACACCCAGACCAGAACCCCTCCCAGGGAGGTCCCAATTCCTCCCAGTTCAAGGGTCCCGACTTCTAGCCCCCAATTTCTTGCCCACATCACCGCCCCCTGCCGCGTTTAGCGGCTGCGTAGGCCTGCTCACCGGCGTGCCTCAGCCCTCTCAGCGTACAGCATGAGCTGGCTGAAGCAGCCCCAAAAGGGGCAGCGTGTGAGCAGCACCGAACCCAACTGCATGATCAGCTGCAACATCCACCGTCTCGAACCTATCTTCGACGCCATCTTGGGAAAGGGCAGTCCGCTGCGGCCTCACCCCAGTCAGAGAAGCAGGCGCGGGGATGGGACACGCAGCTTCCGGGTCAAGCGCTTTTTCTTTTTCCTCCCGGAAACAACGGTGTCATTCTCTAGTTCCGGATCTAAGGTGACCCAGTTGCGAAGTCCAGCCTTCTCGTCTGCTCATGGAGCCTTCAGGGCCATATTTGTCCCTGCGAATTTGAAAACTAGACTAGAGGAAGGAACAGTGGGTTCAGGATAGCAGAAGTCTTGGACCGTAGTATGATGTATTGAAGCAAACTGGTCTTTGAATGCAGCCCGATCAGGGCCCTAATCCTGATTCCAACCCTGTGTGATTCTGGGCACATCACCTAAACTTTATGAGACTCATCATGAAATGGGGATAATTACACCTACCTCAGAGTTGTGAACTTTTTTTTTCTTTTTTTTTTGTTTTGTTTTGTTTTTGAGACGGAGTCTCACTCTGTCGCCTAGGCTGGAGTGCAATGGCACGATCTTGGCTCACTGTAACCTCCGCAACCTGGGTTCAAGCGATTCTCCTGCCTCAGCCTCCTGAGTAGCTGAGACTACAGGCTCTCGCCACCACGCCCGGCTAATTTTTTGTATTTTTAGTAGAGACGGAGTTTCACCGTCTTAGCCAGGATGGTCTCGATCTCCTGACTTCGTGATCCGCCCGCCTCGGCCTCCCAAAGTGCTGGGATTACAGGCATGAGCCACCGCGCCAGGCCAGAGTTGTGAACTTTAAATGTGACAAGGTCGGTCCTAGTACATAGTAGTGGTTCAATAAATGATACACATAACGCACCAGAGGAAACCCCCGTTTCTGTTAAGATCAAAGTAAGGGGTCCTCCTGGCTCAAAGTCACCTCTTTGGGTTTGCCTTTTGCCTGTGCCCTGAGAGAAAAAGGAGATCTGAACATCTGGGACATCTCAAGTCAGTCCATTTCTCCAGCTGCCATGCTCCCGCTGTAACCCAAATTGTCATACTTTGTCAGTTTAATTGCAGCAGACATCCAGGTGGTCTCTGCATTCCCCTCCAGTGTGTTCTCAGCCCCTTCTCCCACGCCCCACCCGTTTATATGTTCTCATAACATCAGCTACCTTCCTTTGAATCACTTGGCACGGTGGCAATTAGATAGATAGATAGATATAGATACACACGCACACACACACACACACACATATATATATATCTGCTTTACATATATATGCTTTTTTTTTATTTTTGAGACAGGGTCTCACTGTGTCACCCAGGCTGGAGTGCAGTGGTGCGATCTTGGCTCACTACAGCCTACACCTCCCAGGTTCAAGCGATTCTCCTGCCTCAGCTTCCCAAGTAGCTGGGATTACTGGCGCTTGCCACCACACCCGGCTAATTTTTATTTTTAGTGGAGACAGGGTTTCACCATGTTGGCCAGGCTGCTCTCGAACTCCTAACCTCAAGCGATCCAACCGCCTTGGCCTCCCAAAGCGCTAGGATTACAGGCGTGAGACACCGCACCCAGCCAATATATTTGTGATTGTTTTATTGACAATCTTCCCCTACTAGATCGCAAGCTCCCTAAGCACAAACACGGTGCCTGGGTTTCTGTTTACTGTTTACAGATGCTCCTTGACTTGTGATGGAGTTATATCCTGATAAACCCATCATAGGTTGAAAATACTGTAAGTTGAAAATGTGTGGCTGACTGGAAGCTGTGGCTTGCTGACACTGCCCAGCATTGTAAGAGAAATACAGTTTCCACTGAATGCAGATCTGCTTTCGCACCAATGTAAAGTTGAAAACTCCAATGCTGGGAACCATCTGTAGTATACAGGATGCCCTCAGGACCTAGTATACAGGATGCCCTCAGGAAATATGTGCTGTACAGATAAATGAAAAGGTGTTGGGCTGGGCGCGGTGGCTAACGCCTGTGATCCCAGCACTTTAGGAGGCCGAGTCGGGTGGATCACGAGGTCAGGAGTTCAAGACCAGCCTGGCCAAGATGGTGAAACCCCGTCTCTACTAAAAATACAAAAATTAGCCAGACGTGATGGCTGTAATCCCAGCTACTCCGGGCGCCTGTAGTCCCAGCTACTTGGGAGGCTGAGGCAGGAGAATCGCTTGAACCTGGGCGGCGGACCTTGCAGTGAGCCGAGATCACGCCACTGCACTCCAGCCTGGGCGACAGATTGAGAGACTCTGTCTCAAAAAAAAAAAAAAAATTCCCACCAGGCCGGGTGTGGTGGCTCACGCCTATTATCCCAGCAGTTTGGGAGGCCAAGTGGGGGGTTGGATCACCTGAGGTTAGGGGTTCGAGACCAGCGTGGCCAACATGGTGAAAACCCATCTCTACTAAAGATACAAAAAATTAGGCTGGGCACGGTGGCTCATGCCTGTAATCCCAGCACTTTGGGAGGCCAAGGATCACGAGGTCAGGAGATCGAGACCATCCTGACTAACACAGTGAAACCCCGTCTCTACTAAAAATACAAAAAAAATTAGCCAGGAGTGGTGGCAGGCGCCTGCAGTCCCAGCTACTCGGGAGGCTGAGGCAGGTGAATAGCGTGAACACAGGAGGCAGAGCTTACAGTGAGCCGAGATCGCGCCACTGCACTCCAGCCTGGGTGACAAGGTGAGACAACATCTCAAAAAAAAAAAAAAAAAAAAAAAGCCAGGCATGGTGGGAGGCACCTGTAATTCCAGCTACTTGGGAGGCTGAGGCAGGAGAATTGCTTGAATCTGGGAGACGGAGGTTGGAGTGAGCCAAGTTCGCGCCATTGCACTCCAGCCTGGGCGACAAGAGCGAAACTCTTGTCTCAAAAAAAAAAAAAAATTCCCAACCAGCCAGTGAAAGGTGGGCAATAAAACCCCTTTTCACATTTCATTTTAAACCGGCCACTAGGGTCGGGCATGGTGGCTCACACCTGTAATCCCAGAACTTTGGAAGGCAGAGGCACGGGTGGATCACTTGAGGCCAGAAGTTCGAGACCAGCCTGGCCAACATGGCAAAACCCCATCTCTACTAAAAATTAGCTGGGCATGGTGGCGGGAGCCTGTGATCCCAACTATTCAGGAGGCTGAGGCAGAAGGATCGCTTGAACCTGGGAGGAGGTAGTTGCAGTGAGTCGAGATCGCACCACTGCACTCCAGGCTGGATGACAGAGCAAGACTCTATCTCATAAATAAACAAACACAGTCACTAGGATAAGGTCTGGGTAAATCAGAAAGACCATGAGAAGCCAGGCATGGTGGCCCACATCTGTAATCCAGCTACTCAGGAGGTTGAGGCAAGAGGATTCCTCGAGGAGTTTGAGGCTGCATTGAGCTATGATTGCACTACTGCACTCCACCCTGGGTGACAAAGCAAGACCCCCATCTCTAAAAAGTAAAAAAACACGAGAGAGGAACATATAGATGCAAAGAACTAGGGAATGAGATTGTATACGTGTATGTTGGAGGGTGGGGAGGTCTCTAGGCAAGGAGAATGAGAAAAAGTCTGGGTTAAAGGTAATTTTGTCTATCTCTACCCACCAGTGACAACCACACAAAACAAATTTCCTTTACCACAATATAGGCACATAGTACAGAATCAACTTTCCAGTTGGTTTTATTTTTCCAGTCTCCTCACCTCTCCGTTTCAAATGGCTGAGGTGTACAGCCCTAAAGTGTTGACGAGGACCAGAACCAGGATTGTGTACAACATGTCCATAAAATAGTCCTAGGAGTCTGCCTGGGTTGTCCCTATAGGCACAATGCCCCACCCTCCCATCATAACCTTAGCAAGCAGTTTCCAATCAAGTCTCCAGCAGCAGTGGCCAGGGACTTGTGTCAGGGGGAGGGGAAGATTGGATTGAGGAAGCTTGCCTTGGTACCCACTGCGCCCCTTCTCAGGGCTGAAGTCCCTCTCTACCTTTTCCTGCTCTTTCCTCTTTCCCAGAGGGATACTGAGAAGGGAAGGACCTGGGGCCAAATCCTCATTTCTAGGGTTGGGACAGATGCTGGCATGCTATCAGGCCAGAAGAGGGGGATGGGTGGGTGGCCTGGCCCCTGAGAAATGAACACAGCCATTTGTCCCTGTGGTCCCCCCACTCCCAGTTCCTCCTACCCCTGCCTAGTGTTCTGTGCGAGAGACGAGTGAGGGGAGAAGAAAAGGCACACATACAATACCTTTAAGGGTAAACAAGCTTTATCCCACATAAATGGCAATGCAGATATAATAAGCAAATGATATAGTAAGCAAGTTGCAATGGGAAGGGGAGAAAGGAAAAGAGATATATGTATTTATACTCACCAGACTATGGAGGATTCACCACCAGACTGGGAAGCAACAGCAACAGCCTGGGCTCGAGAGTCGGACACTGCACTCACCAGACTATGGCGGATTCACCACCAGACTAGGAAACAACAGCCTGGGCTCCAGAGTCGGCCACTCGTCCGTGCACAGACGAGGAGAGGTCTCATGAAGCTTCGGCACAATCTAGGACCCTAGCTCTTTTGTAATGAGTTGTTTGGCATGAGCTCCAGGCACGAGGGCCCTTCATGACCAGGCTCAAGGAACATAAAAAGGTCAACTTGTTTTTGCGATTGTCTGTTGTTTTTCAATAACTAACATATAGGAATAGATTGAAATAGAGATTTATCTGAAACAGCGCTGGATGAATGCCTCAAGGGGCTCACACAACCTGTTCCGGGACTTGGTGACCATTGTTTGTGTCCATGTTCAATTGAGTTCAAATTTAATATTTAACTTTTCCTCCACATTTGGCCTCAATCTGATACTCAACTGTAGGAAAATACTCTTACGGATACACAGGGAAGCCACAATTGATATAGATTACAGATACAGGGTAAGCACAGGAGAACTAAAAGCATAATTAATAAAAACCACACCCCTCATGGCTTTGCAAGGAGATTCATATTGTGAGAATTGTCAGGGATATACACATAACATTCAGGATGCAGTAAGGGGCAAACCTTTCCTTGGGCTGCAGTAAGCAAACCTAATGCCATTTGACTTTGCAACATGACAGTACACAGCTGAGCAAATTTATCTGATTACAACATAAGTTCCATGCTACTATCATTAAGAGCTTTTTCTACATGTAAGCTGAATGTTTGAATTTGTTGCTGAAGCAGGATTGTACCGGTGGCAGGGGAGAATACTGTGATAGGGTACCGTCACCAGGGAGTCCGGCGCATTCATAACCAGCAATGTTTGTAAGCATCTAGATTACTGGGGAGAGAAATATTATCCCAGATGGTGAATGGAATTAATGGCCACCCCCAAGTGTGTCTCCCCGTCCAAGCAGGTATTGCCACCTGTAGGATTCGCATACCTAGAGGGCCCCCCAGGGAACAGGAAGAGTTCTCCTATAATTGTATCGCTGTAATGTGTAATTGAAGTAACAAAGGTGCTGTGTTTTGTTTGGGCAAGGGCAAAAATAGACTGTTTGGTTAAAAGAAGTCCAGGTTGGATTTCAAGTGTTATCCCGGGCCAGGCGCGGTGGCTCACACCTGCAATCCCAGCACTTTGGGAGGCCGAGGAGGGCAGATCACCTGAACTCAGGAGTTTGACATCAGCCTGGGCAATATGGTGAAACCCCGTCTCTACTAAAAATACAAAAAATTAGCCAGGCGTGGCGACATGCACCTATAATCCCAGCTACTTGGGAGGCTGAGGCAGGAGAGTCGCTTGAACCCAGGAGGCAGAGGTTGCACTGAGCCAAGATCGTGCCACTGCACTCCAGCCTGGGCGACAGAGAGACACTCTGGCTCAAAAAATCAAAACAAAACCAAGTGTTATCCCACTCCC
Source organism: Homo sapiens (assembly GCF_000001405.40). Lineage (NCBI taxonomy): Eukaryota > Metazoa > Chordata > Mammalia > Primates > Hominidae > Homo > Homo sapiens. Next base: position 44,020,759 of record NC_000017.11, read on the forward strand.
ATTGGTATTGGCATATCCATTCAGAAATGTTAGCAGGGACAATTCTCCAAGGTAGCCCATTCCCAGCGGCCTCTGGCAACTCAACACAGAGCCAGCACTGACTGCAGTTGGCTTCTATTGCAGCAGTGGCTACCCAGTTGATGAACTCATTCTCAGCCTCAGACATGGTGATCCAGGTGCTGATTACTAGCAGACAGGTTATTCTCTGTAGTAACAAAAATGGAGGGGAACATGATACTGTTTTTCATCTTTAGGAAATTGTACTGTGCCTTCATATTCTGCTCCAATAGCTACAAGGTCAGCAGTCTTAGGGGCAGGATCTGATGGACACTGTACCCATATTTTAGCTCCAGGATTTAAGTTGCCCACTCTGGTGGACCTGAATGTTCCGTTCTATATGTTGTTTCTATTGGGGTGGAAATTTCCTCGGGGGTTGTTGACAAGATACCACTAACAATTGAGCAACCTGCATCTGCGGTTTTATAGCAAAAGAATCTGGAGTGGTATTGTATAAAATGACCTTTAACTCTCCCCGGTAATCACTATCAATTATAGCACCATACATTATAATGCCTCTCATTGCAAGGTTTGACCATGTTGTAATCCATTCATCCGCATTCAAGTTTGCAGTTATGGTGGAAATTTTGGCCTGTTGATCTGCCTGCTGATTAAATAGTCTGTCAAGAAAAAGCAGAGACGCATGAGCACCAACATGGCAAACAGAGATAATGGTAGTGTGCGCAAGGATTCAGATATCTTCCCAGTATTGTTTTCCCCAAACCTCTTTATTCCCAATTAACCATTTGTTTCGTTGCCACTGGGGCATCCTAGTAGTGAGACCGTTTGCTACTGACCAAGTTTTTCTACAAGTGACAAATCCCTCTGGCCTCCTCCTGAAGAGCTTCGAGGACGGCTACCAATTCAGCCAGCTGGCTGCTCCCACCACTTCCTTCATCAGAACCGGTGAGTTTTGGGAGAACTCATGACCCAAGTCATAATCATAAAGACATCATGGTTGAAGCAGAGGTGCTCCGTTTCCAGCAAAGCCCAACAGCAAGCTAACAATTTCTTGAAAGGGGTATAAGCTTTGCCGGCCTCTGGCAGCTTCCAGGTCCAAAACTCCAAAGATACCCTCTTCCCATCTTGTTTCTGCCTAAGGCTCCAATTAGCATGTTGATTTAGGACAGTTACTTGCAGTTCTACTGGGCCATCACCATAGGGACCACAGATCTAGGGTCAGTTGCACTGCTTGTTTAGCTTGTTCAAAAGCCATGGTCTCTTTCTCTCCCCAGTGAAAGTCATAGCGTTTTCTAATGACTGCATGCAGAGGTTGTAAAATGTTACCCAAATGGGGAATATGACGTTTCCAGAATCCAAACAAGCCAATTTCTGGGCTTCCTTTTTATTGGTAGGGGTTGCAAATTCTAGTATTTTAGCCTTAGCCTTTGGTAAAACGGATTATTTCCCTTATTCCATAGGATGCCAAGGAATTTGTTTGTGCAGGTCCTTGAATTTTACTAGGGTTAATTTCCCATCTTTGAGATAGGAGCTGGGTTTGTACCTGCTCCAAACCCTGGCTGACTACTTCTTCAGTACTTCTACTTCCAGTACACTGACTGGGCCACTCAAACAGATGCTTTTTTCATCAATAGGCTGATAGCTTTGAGCCTGATCAGTCAAGACATAGGCCTGGCATTGGGCCAGGACCAGTCTGGAAGTCAGATTAGCATTTTCCTTTTCCAGCTTACATTTCTCCTGTAGCAACCAGTCCCTATCTTGACACATTAACTTATAAGCAGTAAGCAAGCACCATCCACGCAGGGAAATTCCCTCAGCATCCCCTTTACCAACTGGGATTCCCTGCAGCACTTCACGCACAAAGGTTCAAATTGCACTAATTTAGATTCCCAATTTTCACAAAGGCCAATTCCCTTGGACCACTCAATGGCCACGGGGAAGAACTGGGGGAGTTCCCATCCTTGGATATGGGAAGTCTCCAAGCTCCCAGCCTGGTCCTTGCAGCCGAAAAATGGCATGCTTTTTCTTTCGGATTCTGTTTGTGACACCAAAAATGTTCTGTGTGAGAGACGCATGAGGGGAGAAGAAAAGGTGCACACACAAAATACCTTTAAGGGTAAACTAGCTTTATCCCATGTAAATGGCAATGCAGATATAATAAGCGAATGATATAAGCAAATTAATATAATAAGCAAATGATACAATAAGCAAATTGCAATAGGAAGGGGAGAAGGGAAAAGAGATATATATATTTACACTCACCAGACTATGGAGGATTCACCACCAGTCTGGGAAGCAACAGCCTGGGCTCCAGAGTCGGCCACTCGTCCGTGCACAGACGAGGAGAGGTCTCATGAAGCTTCGGCGCAGTCTGGGACCCTAGCTCTTTTGTAACGAGTTGTTTGGCATGAGCTCCAGTCACAAGGGCCCTTCGTGACTGGGCTCAAGGAACACAAAAAGGTCAACTTGTTTTTGCGAGTGTCTATTGTTTTTCAATAACTAACGTATAGGAATAGATTGAAATAGAGATTTCTCCGAAACAGTGCTGGATGAATGCCTCAAGGGCTCACACAACCTGTTCCAGGACTTGGTGACCATTGTTTGTGTCCATGTTCAACTGAGTTCAAATTTAATATTTAACTTTTCCTCAGACAACTGAGGAAAAGTGTTTCCTCAACTTTTCCGCAGACAACTGAGCTCCACAGACTTCTGAGGAACTTCCCTTTTCCTCTCTCACACCTTCCTCTGCTCTCCCTCCTCCAGCTGCCTTGACCTTGCTCTGCAGCACCCCTTACCTCTCCAGAAAGCTCCCCAGCTCCCCGGCTTCTTGCGGGCCCTGTCTTCGCTTGCGCTCAGCCATCAGCACAGCCACAGCCACTGTGAGCAGCACGGTGCCTGTGATGCCCAGCACAGTGGCAGTCTCAGCCAGGCAAAGCTGGGCCTCCACACCACTCAGCACTGCCCCTGACAGCCTTTCGGGCCCAGCGCAAGTCAGGATGCCCAGGTCTACGACACTCAAGTGCCGCAGGTGACCCAACTTTCCGAAGGCTCACTGCAGGTCAGTCACGTGTCCAGGGGTTATCCAACAACAGCAGCCGCATGCCTGCTGTCCGGATGCCTGCCACTGCCTTGACCTCCAGGTGCTGCAGTCGGTTACCCAGGAGAGAGAAGGCCCAGTGCTCCTAAGGTTGCAAACGCCTCGGCCTCCAGCTCACTGATGTCATTCCCAGCTACAGAGAGGACTTCCAAGCCCGGCACAGTGGTCAGGGCAGCACCCTTCACCCGCTGCAGCTGGTTCCCAGCCAGCGAGAGCCAGTGTAGGTGGAAGAGGCCCCCAAAGACCCCTGCGGCCAGTTCAGCCAGCTGGTTGTGGCTCAGGTTGAGCTGCTCCAGGCCCCCCAGGCGCCACAGGCTGGTGGGGTCCAGGGAAGTGAGTAGGTTGTGAGAGAGGTCCAGGCAGAGCAGAGAGCCCAGGGTAGCCGAGAAGTCTGTGGGCAGATGGGCCAGCTGGTTATGGCTGAGGTTCAGCTGCTCCAGGAAACTGAGGCCCCCTAGGGCCCCATCAGACAGATCCCGCAGGATATTGAGAGAAAGCAGCAACACCCGCAGTCCCCAAAAGCCCTGGAGGCGCCAGCCGGCAGATGGCTGAGATTATTGTGGCTCAGCTCCAGGAGCCAGACTCCATCAGGCAGCCTGGAAGGGAGACAGAGCAGGTGGAGGCCCCCACAGTCCACCACGCTGCCTGAGGTAGGGCAGGTGCATGGTATTGGGCATGCTGCCACCAGACTCCTGAGAAAGACTGATGCCACCATGACTATAGCCATTGTGAGGGAGGTGTGGCCACACCCACCCCGTCCTTGCTGCATGAAGGGCTGGGGTGAGGATGGCATCAAGCACTCATGGCTGCTGAGACCTTCAGGCCTCACTCCTCCGCCTGGGACCCTGGCAAGCACAGTGATGCTAGGGGAGAAAAACACAAGTAGATGCCATTCGGGGTCTCACCATTTGCTGGGTGCCCAAACATCAACTCAAAGACACCCTGTCTCCACCTCCCATGATTTTAAATGTTACCTAAGCTTCTGGCAAGAACCCTCTTGGCCTGAGACCCCAGCATTCGGATCCCCCTCCCTTAACCACCTCTCATTCCTTCTTCCTGCTGGATGAGGAGCAATCAGGGAAGATGGCCTGTAATCCTCTGCACCTCCTTCCTCCCACCCCACACTGCAGCTCACTGACTTTCACCCCCACTCAGACTGTTCTCTCCCTCTTACTTTCCCGAAGGAAGAGGAGCAGGATCATCAATGGCACACGGCAGCTGCAGCAAAGCCACACCAACAGCCAGAGTCATGCTCAGGAGAGACTGTGCCTCCTCATAGTTACCACTGCTCTGCATGTTCAGAGAAGCTTATCTCGTAACTACAGCAATGATCACTGAGAGTACAAGCTTCTCACTGACTTTCTAGAGGGACCCAGGAGAAACTCTGCCTTCCCCGGCCCCCAAACATGCACTCAATTGCTCTCATGCAGCCAACATTTGTGGAGCTCCCGTTCTGCCAGAGGTCAGAGCATCAACTAGATCCTGGCCCTGTCTGGCCACTGAGGATAGGGCCTCAGGCTGTGAAAGTCCAATGCACTCACCTGTGTTCCTGGCAACACCTGCACCTGAGTGCAGCCCCAGCCCAGGAATGGCAGTGGAAAGAATCTGGGCTCTAGTTTCCTGCCTATCTGGCCTCCTCCCAGAGCCCAGCTCTCAGGGAAGCCGCAGCCCCAAGGGTGAGCATGTGGGACAGGCTTAGGAAATCCCCAGCCTTAAGGCCTTGCATCCAGGGGAGCAGAGCTCACCCCCAGCCTCTTTCCTCACTTCCTTCTGGAGACCCACAACCTGCTCTGTATCATCAGAATGGCAGCTTGAGGCCCCTTGGGGCCCTCCCTCAGTTCGGATAGGAGTCAGGTGTCTCCTCCTTCATTCTATACTGCCTGCCTGAGAAATCTGCCATCATCTATAATTCACCCAGGTCTTGTCTTAGGCACAAAGGAAGGGAATGCTTTTTCTTCTCACTAGGCCAAAAGTCAAAACACTTCATCCTGGCACTTGAGGGGTGCCCAGCATCTCCTGGAACACAGTATTTGTGCCTAGTACCTCTGCCTTGCTCTAGGAGCCCAAACGTCCTGTCCAGGTTTCCCAGAGTGCTCACTAGCCCTGCCCAGTGAACTCTTAAGAGAATAGTAACGGCCACACAGAAGGGCCAGGCATCTCGTTAAAGGCTTCATTTAATCCTCAACTGAGGAAAAGAACTCTTTTTTTTTTTTTTTTTTTTTTTTGAGACAAGATCTCACTCTGTCACCTAGACTGAAGTGCAGTGGTGTGATCATGGGCCACCACAGCCTTGACCTCCCAGGCTCAGGTGATCCTCCCACCTCAGCCTCCTGAGTAGCTGGGACTACAGGTATGTGCCACCAAGCCCAGCTAATTTTTGTATTTTTTGTAGAGATGGGGTTTCGCTGTGTTGCCCAGGCTGGTCTCCAACTCCTGGACTCAAGCGATCCTCCCACCTCAACCTCCCAAAGTGCTGGGATTTACAGGCGTAAGCCACTGTGCCCAGCCAGGGACTCTGATTTTACAGATGAGGAAACCAACGTTTGACAAAGCTAGTTAAGTTTCCAAGTCATACTGCTAGTTAGGGGCAAAAGTAAAATCTGACATAACTCAGGCCTGACAGAATCTAGTCATGCTTGGCAGAGCATGGTGGCTCATGCCTGCAATCTAAGCACCTTGGGAAGCCAAGGTGGGCAGACCACCTGAGGTCAGGAGTTCAAGACTAGCCTGGCTAACATGGTGAAATGCTGTCTCCAAAAACACAAAAAAATTAGCTAGGCGTGGTGGTGTGCGCCTGTAGTCCCAGCTACTGGGGAGGCTGAGGCAGAAGAATCACTTCAACCCAGGAGGTGGAGGCTGCAGTGAGCTGAGATTGTGCCACTGCACTCTAGCCTGGGCGACAGAGCAAGACTCTGTCTTAAAAAAAAAAAAAAAATTAGCTGGGCATAGTGGCACATGCCTGTAGTCCTGGCTACTCGGGAAGCTGGGGTGGAAAGATTGCTTGAGCCCAGGAGGTTGAGGCTGTAGTAAGCTGTGATCACACCACAGCACTCCAGCCTGGGTGACAGAGGGAGACCTTGTCTTAAAAAAAAAAAAAAAGTCAAGGTCTACTAGACAAGAGCGAAGGGGTGAATAACATAGATTATCCCTAGAATGGGAAGAGAAGCAGAACTATTATCAACCTAGGGCATGAATCTGAGCCTCTGGTTAATCTCAAGCCCCTCAGAATTAGTTCAAGTGATCTGGTACAAGCAGATTATACTGGAAAAAACTTCAGGAATCATTGTCAATAATCTTTAGAAAACATTACCAACAGAAGGTTGCTAGAGCCTTGAGCTCCGCAAAATTTCCAATTTTCAAGTCACATAGCAGTTCACAAAACTCAAAACGGGCTCATTTAACATATTATGTCTGAGCAATTTCCTAAAACATGAGGACCACTAGTGCCCACGAGTTCACTAAAAATAAGTTTTACAACCAGGCGCAGTGGCTCACACCTGTAATCCTAGCACTTTGGGAGGTCAAGGTGGGTGGATTGCCTGAGCTCAGGAGTTCAAGACCAGCCTGGGCAACATGGTGAAACCCTGTCTCTACTAAAATACAAAAAAAAAATTAGCCAGGCATGGCGGCGTGCACCTGTAGTCCCAGCTACTCGGGAGGCTGAGGCAGAATTGCTTGAACCCGGGAGGCAGAGGTTGCAGTGAGCCATAATCGTGCCACTGCACTCCAGCCTGGTGACAGAGTGAGACTCCGTCTCAAAATAAATAAATAAATAAATTTTACTCAAACGACTTTATTTCCTTTTTTGATAGGGCTACCAGATGTCTATCATAAACATCTGGATGTTATTAAAATCTCTCAGGATATCCCTTTGGATAAGATGAAAACACAGAAGACAGTTTATCAAAATTAAGAATAACACAACATTGGGATGGACAACTAGTAGACTGCGATACAGAATCAAGATTTTTTTAAAGCTCTTAATAGGTTAAAATTGTTGGTTAAAAATATTTAATAACGGGCTGGGCGCGGTGGCTCACACCTGCAATCCCAGCACTTTGGGAGGCCGAGGTGGGCGGATCACTTGAGGTCAGGGGTTTGAAACCAGCCTGGCCAACATGGCAAAGCCCTGTCTTTACTGAAAAATACAAAAATTAGCCAGGTGTGGTGGCGCATGCCTGTAATCCCAGCTACTCGGGAGGCTGAGGTAGGAGAATCGCTTGAACCCAGGAGGCGGAGGTTGTAGTGAGCCAAGATCGCACCAGTACACTCCAGCTTGGGTGACAGAGTGATACTCCATCTCAAAAAAAAAAAAAATTTTTTTTAGCAGCGATAAATATAAAATTCAGTATTTAGGAATCTAAAATCTACTTACACAAGCTGGAGAAGACTTGGCATAATAGCTACTTCTGTAAAGAAGTCTGGGCAGATTTTGCTGATCACATCAAACTGAATCAACAGTGTGATGTATCTGCCAAAAGAAGCTAGTTGCTATAGCGTCCAACATTGCAGTAAATGGTTGCAGGAAAGGTCCCAGTGTGCTAACAGACCATGTCCAGTGCTGGGACCACACTCAAGAACTAGGAAAGCATCCTTCAAAAGCCATCTGACTGGAGAAGATAGCTCTGAGTCACATTTGCCGATTTAGCAATGTCCATGCCCCTCACCCAGGGGCTGTCAGCAAAAGAAAAACCCCTGAAAGAGGGACTACCATGCAGGACACCTGAGCATTAACCTTAGTTCTAATGGTGAGCCGCCACTGGAGGTCAAGAAGGGCACGGACAGCTGCCACATGTTGCCTCCTTGAGTAATGGGTGCCCCATCAATGAAAGTTCAAGTAGAGGCAGTCTGCTGAGGATGCTATAGAGGGGATATGTAAAGTGGGAGGCGGGACTATACTGTATAAACTCTAAGAGCCTGGCATCATTAAGTGCTAGAAAATCTGTTCTAAACTTCTGATACCAGCTCCAGCATGGGACACATCCTGTTTGCACCGTCGACACTGAATGCTGAGTTACATGGCTACATGTCCTGCCTGGAGCCAGTACATAAGGGCAACAGCAGGACACTTTCAGAAAAGTCTCATCTGAACAAACTGAAGCGTACATGATGACAGCACACATTTACAAGAGTGAAGGATCCCATATTATACTCACTCCCTTTCATAAATATCCTCAGCTCAACCCCTCTCCCTCCACAGTGCAGACTGGACACGTCTCTCAACCTGGCTGTACCCAACTATTCACCTTCTCTGTGTCTGCACTAAGGACACTCGATATGATTGGCAGAGGCACACAATGGGTGCCTGTTTACCCCCAAAATTCATGAGCATGCATCTCTAAACGGACACTCAATAGTCTTACCCTATTCCCCTTTCAGGTTAACTGGGCCACCAGATAGGAAGTCACTTACCCTCACCTCCCTGACAAATCTAGACTCAGCTCCTAGCACTGCCCTGTCAGGGAAGAAGGGCCCCTCCTATCTGAGGCAAATCTACCCACTGTGGCCAGAGATCCCAACCTCGTCTTCTCAGAGTTCACAGGTGACGTGACAGTCACTGGATGTCTAACTCCATCCCACGCTTCTCTAAGCCCAGGCTTGTTATCCAGCTGCCCATTTGCCATCTGCTCTTCAGTGTTTCCTGGGCAAGATAAAATGGCAATTCAAAAATTCCAGATTCTTCCACAAACTTCTTCCTCTCCTATTGTTTGCCACCTACCTAGAAGGCATCCATCGTTCCTCTCTGTCCCTCACCACCTTGCCCTCACATTCAGTGCATCAAGTCCTGTCAGCTCTGAAACCAATTCTCTGCCACCACTGTCTCCCACCCAGACTGCTGCACCGACCCCTAACCCAGCAGCCTCCTTGCTTCCGCTGCCACTGTCTGATACTGGACCAAGTCCCATGGCTGCCCATGGTGCCAAAGAACCCAGTCTCTAGGATAACTGTAAGGTCCTGCACCACCTGGCTCCACCTACTTCTCTATCGTGCTGCTCAGCAGGCTTCAGCTGCCTGTCTTCTGTCAGTTCCTGAACATCCCAAGCTCTTGTCAACCTGACTTTAGCACCTGCTGTTCCCTCTATCCGAACACTCTTGGCTAGCACTTTGTTCTTCAGATTTCAGCTGAAATCACATCTCAGTGGCCATCTATAAATATTCTCTCTAGAGACATACACGCCCCTCCCTCCAGTAAGCATAAGCAACAACTTTAAGCTACGAGACAGACCAGAATAAAAGAGGCCAGATTAGTAAAAGAATCCACCACTTGCTGGTCCCTCCACGAAAGACCTATAAGAAGTTCTTGTCTAACACTGCAGAAGTCCGCACCAGAGGACCAAAGAAAAAGGAGAGGTTAGTTGATTAGTCACTGGAAATATGCCTTAGCCTCACCTTACCCAGCCAATTAAGAAACTTAGCTCCAATTTAGACTTTTCAACAAAACTGGAAATTATAGAAAAATGGGAGAGGCCAGATAGGAAGGGGGACTACAATCTGACCAGACTTGGTCCCAGCTGCCAGAGTCTGCTCTAGAGAAACCTGAGGTAGATTCCTGCTGCTTTCCGGTCTGGAACCAGGTGCATCTCTCTTTCTTCCCCTGTATCCTTTACTGGTTGTCCTCTTTCCAAACTTGAACTCTAAGCTTTCCTCAAAACCTACTCCTGGATCACTTTTCATATTGACTCAGGCAACATATCCAGTTATCATGCTGATGACTTTAAAAACTCTATTTTCCGTTCTGTCTCAACAGCTGGGTGCTAGCAAATACACAATGAGTGAGTAACTTTCCCTGCCTTGGAGCCTCAAGACACCCCAATAGACCACTAAAGATAAATCTAAACAAATACCGAAAAGGCAACTCACACATGCCAAATGACATGAGTGACAGAAACAAATTACTGAAGGTATCAGTTTCCATTCCAATTGTCAAGAATGGCTTCACGGGTAGCCCTGAAGCAGGGCATTGTAGAGCAAGATAGAGATTACTGAGGTTGCAAGTAATCTTAGAGATCATCTAGCCCCTTACCTTATATATATATCAATTCTAAGATGCTAATAAATTGGAGTATACCGTTGACTTAACTTTGTGGACTGGAACCAGTTGGCAAGTTTCTTTTGACATCATGAACTGCACTTTCAGAAACACAACGGGCAAGGAAAGGTGTCTCAAAATCTAGAAAACAACATTTGTATAGGAACGAATGTGAAAGGATAAAAAAAGAAGTTAACAATGTTTTAGGGGGTGGTAGATGAAAATGTCTGCCTTGTTTTCTAGTTTTTCTGTAATGAGCCACGTAAGGTTGTTTTTCGTTTGTTTTTGAGACAGAGCCTCGCTCTGTCACGAGGCCGGAGTGCAGTGGTGCGATCTCAGCTCACTGCAACCTCCACCTCCCGGGTTCAAGCAATTCTCCTGCCTCAGCCTCCCAAGTAGCTGGGACCACAGGTGCACACCGCCACGCCCAGCTAATTTTTGTATTTTTAGTACAGATGGAGTTTCACCACATTGGCCAGGCTGGTCTTGAACTCCTGACCTCAAGTGATCCACTTGCCTCCGCCTCCCAAAGTGTTGAGATTACAGGCGTGAGCCACAGCGCCTGGCTGTGTAAGGTTTTTATAACATAAAAAAACAAATTTGTTTTGAAACTATTACAGCCACACAATGTATCACCAGTGGATGGCAGCCAAAGAGCATCTTTTTCAGATACTTCATACTGTTTATCTGATTATGTTAAACACCTAAAATTTAGGCAATATATGCAGATGATTCCAAGTTTCTTTTTTTTTTTTTTTTTTTTGAGGCGGAGTCGCACTCTGTCGCCCAGGCTGGAGTGCAGTGGCGCGATCTCGGCTCACTGCAAGCTCCACCTCCTGGGTTCAAGTGATTCTCCTGCCTCAGCCTCCCGAGTAGCTGGGACTACAAGCATATGCCACCATGCCCGGCTAATATTTTTGTATTTTCAGTAGAGACAGGGTTTCACCATGTTGGCCAGGATGGTCTCGATCTCCTGACCTCGTGATCGCCCGCCTCAGCCTCCCAAAGTGCTGGGATTACAGGCGTGAGCCACCACGCCCGGCCAATTCCAAGTTTCTTAAAGAGGAATTCTCTGGCACTGATGGCCTCCAGCAGTGATAGGAAAGCAAACCTACCATGTAAATCTAACATCTTCCAACCAGGCAACCAGCTCCCTCCCACACTCCCACTTCTACCACTGTCCTTACCACTCATCCTGTACATTTCAGCTTCCAGCACTACACATTCTCACCACAGTACCCTCCATGCTGTAGCCGCCACACCACGCGGGATAGCACACTCGATCTGTGTATGAATGAAATGCCTCTATTTCCTTTACCAGTATGTTTCAACACAACAGATTTTGAGACACACATTCTTAGCTTCAAATATGTCAGGGAGCCTTTACCCTCCTCAATCAGTAGTTCACAGGCTGCAGCTACTGAACTCATACTGAAGTGCTTGAGCAATTTTCAAATTTTCAAAACACCAAACAGAAATCAGTAATGAGCTGCTGAGACTTGAACGGCACAGATTCAGTATCAACTCACTGTGGTAAGGCTGTTTATACAATAATTGGATGCTCTAAATAGCATTAACTCCAAAGGCGTGTGCGTGGTGGTGGCGAGATAATCAGGTGCTGGGTATAGAGGTGTGTGTGTGTGTGTATATTTGGGGAGAAAGGAGAACACCCCAAAACAAAGCCGAGGAGACACTGCAAAACTACTGCCCATACTGCATCATAGATGTAAGCTCTCTGCACCACGCTCTTCCATGGTTCAATATGCTTTCAATCTAGGTGGCAATTTCTGCCATTCTCACTAGTCTCCCGTGTTCCAGCCTCATTCTGGCAAACAAAAGTGAGCAGTACACATGCCATCACTTTGGAAAGTCCCACTGCATTAGGAACCCGTGAGTGTTAAGCCTCGGGCCTTCTTCCAGCTCCGCTACCACAGGCAGGTGGGGCACTCTAGACAAGTCACTTGGCCTCAGTGGAACTCACTCTCTACTCTGAAAAATAGTTTTGAAAATTATCAAGGCCAGGTGCCGTGGCTCGCGCCTGTAATCCCAGCATTATGGCAGGCCGAGACGGGTGGATCACCTGAGGTTGGGAGTTTGAGACCAGCCTGACCAACATGGAGAAACCCAGTCTCCACTAAAAATACAAAATTAGCCAGGCATGGTGGCACGTGCCTGTAATCCCAGCTACTCGCGGGGCTGAGGCAGGAGAATCAGTTGAACCCGGGAGGCGGAGGTTGCAGTGAGCCGGGATCGTGCCATCGCACTCCAGCCTGGGCGACAAGAGTAAAACTTCATCTCAAAAAAAAATTATAATCAAAAGCATTCTTAGGCACTCCAAGGAAGGGTTAAGGGGTGAGATCTGTGAGACCCAGGGCAGGGCTCTGAGACCCCTACCCCTGCCTGAACCAGATCTGCCCAGGTGCTTTACATATTAGCCTCCCTTCAAATACCATCTAAACAAATTTTTTTTTTTTTTTTTTTTTTTAAAGAGACAGTATCTTGCTGTCACCAGGTTGGAGTGCATCCTGGAGTGCAGTGGTACGATCACAACTCACTGCAGCCTCAACCTCCCTGGCTCAAGTGATCCTCCCACCTCAGTCTCCCAAGTAGTTGGGACTACAGGCATGTACCATCGCATCTGCCTAATTTTTTTTAAACGTATTTTCTGTAGAGATGGGGGGTCTCACTATGCCACCCAGAATGGTCTTGAGCTCCTGCCTTGGCCTCGCAAAGTGCTGGGACTACAGGCATAAGCCACTGCACCTGGTCTAAACTAAGGCTTCTAAAGCAAACATGGAACTTCTAGAAATCATCTACTCCAATCTCACCTCCAGATTTAACTGTCCAAGGATCAAGCTAACATTTATACTAACATTTACAGAGCACTTTCTAAGTATTAGGCTTTTAAAATATCTTATTAACCCTTCATATCAACCCTAGGAGATGGACATTATTTCCACATTTACAGTTGGGAAATTTAAGGCTAAGAAAGATGAAATGACTTATCCAGGAACAACATGAGGAATGAAGTTATCAAAGCCCTTGTTCTTTATTCCACACCTCACTGCCTGCCTTTCCAACCACACTAACTCCACCTCCTGAACTGTTTAAAGTTCCACATCATTTAACAACTAAAACTAAGGAGTCAAAAGTGCTTCCTGCCAAACCCAGTTGGTACTCACTTCCCCCCATTTACAGAATTAAGACCAATGGGGGGGGACAGGAAGATGTGGGACACATGATGAAGAGCTTCCTCCCAGGCTTGCTGTTTCCCATTAATTAATCACCTCCACTCATCGTATCTCTTAGGTTTTATAGATCTTACAAGGTCTCTTCCCTTCTCCCTCTCTCACCTTCTCTAAGTCTACATTCCCATGTAGGCTAAATCAAAGGCTCAGTTCTTTAAATCAAGTTCAGACCAGTGGCAGGTGGATCTGAAAGTTTACTTCTCAGCTCGCCGACCATTTGTGCCTCCAAACAGTCCTGTAACAAATGGTTCTATGTATGTGACTACAGCCTTTTCCCCACACTCCACCTACACACCACTCCAAACCCTGGACCCCCATCTTAAATTATACCCTGCATTATATTTCTGGATGAGTCCTCGGGGGTGAAAAGAGAGGGTAAATAGTAGGAAGAAGAGACTCTAAAGAGAAAGGTCAAATCAGACAGACATACCTTGGATCCTCTCCCCTGGGGCCTCTGAAGGACGCACAAACCTGAGACATGAGTGATGGTTAAAAAAATTTGGGTTTTATTGTTTTTGCTAAATAATACTAAAAAAAAAATTTCATTTTGAAGGCAGGGCTTGAATTATTTAATTTGATCCATTTATTTAATTAAAAAAAAAAGGAAGGGGAAAGAGATCATGGCCAAAAAAATAGTAGTTAACCCCCACCCCACCCCCAAAGCTCTAGCCAGTCATGTGAGCATCACCCACATCCCACTCAGTGCCTGATATTCGGATGGTGGCATACTCTGCCCCAGGAGACTGCCTGAAGGCACGGGGCAATGGGTGCCAATTTTAGCTCTCAGCAGGTTAGTCAACCAGACAAACTGGTGGGCTAAAGTCCAGAAATTCTTTCCAGGTTTTCTGCTCATTGGCTGAGCACATACAAACTGTCATAAGCCTGTAAAATTTAAGGGGAGTTGGGGTGGGGCGTAAGAGCAAAAGGACAGCAGGAGAAGAGAAATTACGGGTCACCCAAGTTTTTCCTGGGCTAGTGGCTCTGGATATAGATTTAAAGAGAGGTCAGAGTAAATGGACTCCAGGTTTCTTATCAAAGAAAACTATCCCTCAATGAGGAGCTGAGATGTGCCATGCAAGAGAGTTCTTCCTGCAGAGGCACAGGAGAAAGGGCAGCTGACTCTCTCATGTGGAGAGAGTGGCGAGGAAGGTCTTCTAGTACCATGAAGTAAGACAGGCAGAGGGAGAATCCTGAGGTTTGGGCCAAATGTGAGACTGGTACACACACAGTTAAAGACTAAAAAGCCATCAGGAACCCTCAAAGCCAAATTCTATCTGCACACTGGCTCTACAAAGTTCGCAGCAAGAATCTCTTGCACCAAGTCAAGTTAGTGGCCTGGCTATGATGGATGGTGGGGAGGGCAATACATTTTTATTTTCAGAGGGATGAGGTGGGAAGAACAGCCATGATCTAGTAAAAAGAGACCTGCAAGAAGCAGAAAATATTTAGAGAACATTTTAATATATATTTTCATATATATATTTAAAGTTAAGAAAAATAAAACTAATTCAAGCCATGCCCTGTGCAAAAAAAAAAAAAAAAAGAAAAAAGAAAAAAAAAGGAAAAGAAAACAAAAATTTAAAGTGAGACGTTTGCTGCTCTGGTCTCAATTTAAGAATCACAGTCAGCTTGTTACTTTTATTTTGGAAGAAAAGATGTAAAAGTTTCTTTCAATCATTCAGAAGGCAAGTGTAGCCACTTATAAAAACAGAATGGCAGGAACAAACTAGGAAAGGAAAGTCAGAAGTAAAGGGCAGAGTGGGAAAATAATTTTCAAAAATAAAATTAACAAGGTGACTGTTCCAGAAGAGGGCTGTGAAAAGGACATGGTGGACCGAAGTCTGTTAGTCAAGTAATGATTCAACTTTTAAATTATTCTCTTGTTCTTTTTTGTTGGGTGTTTTGTTTGTTCAAGTCTAAGATTTGGAAATGCTGACCCTTTGTTAAGAGCCAACAGGACATATAGGATCCCTTCCCTCCCCCGGCCTGCCTCCGCTGAAGCCACCACCAGCGCCTCCTTGGCTGGATGCTGGAAGAGTCCTCCATGTGTACGGACTCAGGATGACAGGGCAGCCTCCTTCTGTGGTTGCTGGGCTTGTGAACGTTGCAGTATCTTTTGGCTTTCCACGTCTCTAAAATGTTTTTCAACCTGAAAAAGACCAGGCAACCCAGGTCAACAAAGGAGATGCGGAAGAAAGGTCTCCCAAACAATCCAACCCAGGTTTCCACAGCCCCATCCTGGCTGTCCAGCCCATTGGTGTCCAGGCACCTTTGCCCTTGCTGTCTATTGGCCTTCCCAACCACAAGGTAGGCCAGGGCCTCCTGCTTCAGCCACATTTTTTTGCAGTTTCCACTAAGATTGGCTAGAAGAAGGTGAATCTACAAACTAAACTATAAAATATAATAAGGGGAGATTATCATGACCTAAACTCCTCCTCTCTTCTATACCCAAGTACAAAATGAAAAGCTGCTGGGGGAATTACAGTCTTATCAAACCTCCTACATCTACAATGTTGGTCTCTCAATGTTCCTCAGAGGAAAAAAAAAAAGCAGGAGTGTTTTTTAAGTTTGTTTTAACAAATGCTAAGTCCAGTGACATATGTAGGGTCAGAGACACCGACGGCAACTGATTTATACCAACCAGATCTTTCTAGAATGGTACCTGCAGCTAAGAAAAACCCAATATGGGGCCAGGCGTGGTGGCTCATACCTGCAATCCCAGCACTTTGGGAGGCCAAGGTGGGCAGATCACTTCAGGTCAGGAGTTCGAGACCAGCCTGGCCAACATGGTGAAACCCCATCTCTAGCCGGGTGTGGTGGCATACGCCTGTAGTCCCAGGTACTCGGGAGGCTGAGGCAGGAGAATCGCTTGAACCCGGGAGGCGGAGGTTGCAGTGAGCTGAGATCGCGCCACTGCACTCCAGCGTGGGCGACAGAGCGAGACTCTGTCTCTAAAAAAGAAAAACTCAATATGGGATGAGAGAAACTGCTCAGGCCCAATACCATGGAACAGTCTTCCTAATTCCAAAAAGCCAGCAAAGGACATAGGGTCACCCACTCACTTCTTTCCACACCACCCAGTGGTTCCATTCCCACAGGACTGCAGAACCCCACAGTACAGGGAAGGCAGGGAGGCCAGACAGGGCCTCTGCTGCTAGAGGAGGCAGAGACTGTAGCACAATGTCCTGGTCTGGTGCTAAAGACTGAAGGCCTGAGGAACCATCCTCTCTCCCCTAAAGTCTGAAGGCTCCTTTACTTACTATTTTGCGTACATGGCTCAGTGCACTCCCCTCTTTGCCTTTACAGTTTTCCACTTGATATGGGGGTGTAATAACAACTTCTTCCATGACTACGATGTTTTTTTCTTGCCATTTACAGTCTTTAATGCTGGAAGGAGAAGACAGCAGGCGAAATGTAACCTCTTGGGGGCATCCCACATCTCCTGTCTGATGAATAAATAACTCCAGAAGGCTGATCCCAAGTTCCCAGCTCACCACTCAGCCAACAACTAGATGCCAGCAGCCCATATAGTAGCCAAGAAACATTCCTTGGGTGCCACTGGCTAGAAAAGCAATGAAACTCATGCACATTTATTCTTGGGAGAGCCCAGAAATTGTTACTCTGAAGCATCAGAGATCTGGAGAGCCATAAAAATGTGATAGTGGCCTCAAGAATCCAAATTAAGATAGCAGCCTAGGGCAGAGGCTGGCAAACTTTTTCTCTTAAGGGTCTTGTAACAAACATTTTAGGCTTTGCAGTCCATATCATCTGTTACAACTAGCACTGAGTTCTGCCATAGTTGTACAAAAGTAGCATGGACAATAGGTAAAACAGATGAGCAGATGTGGCCTGCTGGCATAGTTTGTCAACCATTGGCCTAGGGAGAAATACCACCTTTAGAAAGACAGGAGAACAGGTCGGGCGCGGTGGCTCACACCTGTAATCCCCGCGCTTTGGGAGGCCGAGGTGGGTAGATTGCTTGAGTCCAGGAGTTCGAGACCAGACTGGGCAACAGGGCAAAAACTCGTCTCTACTAAAAATACATACAAAAAATTAGCCGGTAGTGGTGGCATGCGTCTGTAGTCCCAGTTACTCCGGGGGCTGAGGTGGGAGAATCACCAGAGCCGGGGAGATTGAGGCTATAGTAAGCTAAAATCGCACCACTGCACTCCCAACCTAGGCAATAAAAGTGAGACCCTGTCTCAAAAAAAAAAAAAAAAAAGAAAGGCCAGGCACAGTGGCTCACGCCTGTAATCCCAGCACTTTGGAGGCCGAAGTGGGCGGATCATGAGGTCAGGAGATCGAGACCATCCTGGTCAACATGATGAAACTGTCTCTACTAAAAATACAAAAATTAGCTGGGCGTGGGACTGCGCGCCTGTAGTCCCAGTTACTCAGGAGGGTGAAGCAGGAGAATCGCTTGAACCTGGGAGGCAGAGATTGCAGTGAGCCAAGATTGCACCATTGGACTCCAGCCTGGTGACAGAGTGAGACTCCGACTCAAAAAAAAGAGAGAGAGAACAAACTCCCCATCTTCCTATGATCTGTACTCTGACCCTTATCACCCATAATGGGAGCTGCTCTTCAGACTGGCTCTTCTCAATTATCAGACAGTTGGGCACTTGCCAGACTGGGAAAACCCATTCCAGTTCACACTTGGGAAGCCCCAGGGCAGCTGATGCGACTGGGAGTTCCTTCACATACCTGTAAATGTTCAGATACTCACACCACAGCCTCAAACAGCTCTGATGCCAGCTGCCATCTGTGCACCAGATCCAGGGTGGTTAAACAGAGTAACAGATGGCAGTGTGGGGTGGGGGGAGGCGGGGTGGAGAGGGGTGTCAAATGTTCCAGTTTTTCAGCAGCTAGGGAAGCTAGTGGAGAGTCAAATGACTTCTGCTGTGACAAAATGTTTTTTTTTGAGACGGAGTTTTGCTCTTGTTGCCCAGGCTGGAATGCAATGCACAATCTTGGCTCACCACAACCTCCACCTCCAGGGTTCAAGCGAATCTCCTGCCTCAGCCTCCTAAGTGGCTGGGATTACAGGTATGCACCACCACGCCTGGCTAATTTTGTATTTTTAGTAGAGATGGGGGTTTCAACATGTTGGTCAGGCTGGTCTGGAACTCCCGACCTCAGGTGAACCGCCCACCTCGGCCTCCCAAAGTGCTGGGATTACAGGCGTGAGCCACCGTGCCCGACCAACAAAATGTCTTTTTTTTTTTTTTTTTTTTTTTTTTTGAGACGGAGTCTCGCTCTGTCGCCCAGGCCGGACTGCGGACTGCAGTGGCGCAATCTCGGCTCACTGCAAGCTCCGCCTCCCGGGTTCACGCCATTCTCCTGCCTCAGCCTCCCGAGTAGCTGGGACTACAGGCGCCCGCCACCGCGCCCGGCTAATTTTTTGTATTTTTAGTAGAGACGGGGTTTCACCTTGTTAGCCAGGATGGTCTCGATCTCCTGACCTCATGATCCACCTGCCTCGGCCTCCCAAAGTGCTGGGATTACAGGCGTGAGCCACCGCGCCCGGCCCCAAAATGTCTTTTAAGAGGTGGTAAGAAGGTGGCCTGCTCTAACTCCCTGTGTTCATCCCAATCTACAATGGGAAAAGTGATATAGATATAACTTTCCCTTAATAAAAACTGCATCAGCTTTTAAAGAAAGGCACAAAACAACAAAATCAAAGAGAAGAAATCACTAGTTCTAAGTTATGGACTACTAGGTCTAGAAGGGATCCTTAGGGATAATCTAATCCAAAACTAAGTTTTACAGACAAGCAACTAAAGACCAGAGAAGACAACTTGTCCGTGATTACACTATTCTTCTGTGTGGAAAGGGGGCTACAGCACCTGCACCTCTGGATGCTGGCATATTGCCAATACCCTACCCAGCTTCCCCAGTAGACTTTTAGGAAGACAACCACCCAAAAGCCTGCCACCAGACAGCACAACCAGGTAGCATTACCCCAGGACAAAGGACCTCTCCGATCCCAACTCACGTCTTGTGAATGGTCTGGAAGAGCTGCTGGCCCTCTAGAGAGACACCAGCACTGATTGCATAGGCCTGGCTCAGCTTCTCCTCCTTCTCTGTCCGTGCTTTGCTGGCAAGCTAGGGTGGAAGAGAGGAAAGAGACTCAGAATAGGATTCATCTTCATTCTTGCCAACAGTCAGGACCTAAGCTGAAGAAAGGAGGCCAGGAAAGACTTGTTTGGACAGATTCTGTTTTCTCAGAAATGAAAAGTGAAACAAATTTTAAAAATCCACGACATACCTGAACAGTTACTGGTATTCCAAGAAAACGTTCCTTCCTTCCTTCTAATACTTACTGCATACCTACCATGTGCCAGACATTCACTATGCTAGGCTAAATATAGCCTGAAGTGGGTGGGGGAGACAGACTATAAACAAGTAACTGAAATCAAGGTGATTTCAGACAGTGATAAGCACTAGGAAGAAAATAAAGCACTTTTAACATTATAGAGTGTGGCTGGGGGACTATGTGATGGCAAATGATGGTCAGAGATTTAAAAATATATACATTTCCGGCCAGGGGAGGTGGCTCATGCCTGTAATCCCAGCACTTTGGGAGGCCGAGGCAGGTGGATCACGAGGTCAGGAGGTCAAGACCAGCCTGGCCAAGATGGTTAAAACCCTGTTTCTACTAAAAATACAAAAAAAAAAAAAAAATTAGCCAGGCGTGGTGGCGGGCTCCTGTAATCCCAGCTACTTGGGAGGCTGAGGCAGAGAATTGCTTGAACCCAGGAGAAGGCTGCAGGGAGCTGAGATCGCGCCACTGCACTCTAGCCTGGGTGACAGAGCAAGACTCCGTCTCAAAACAAAACAAAACCAAACAAAAAAAAATACATACACATACACACACACACACTTCTAACTGGGTGCATCACTGAGGTAGGGAGTTCGAGACCAGCCTGGCCAACATGGTGAAACCCCGTCTCTACTAAAATTACAAAAATTAGCCGGGCATGGTGGTGCGTGCCTGTAATCCCAGCTACTCAGAAGGCTGAGGCAGCAGAATCACTTGAACACAGCAGGCAGATGTTGCAGTGTGCCGAGATCATGCTACTGTACTCCAGCCTGGGCAAAGAAGTGAGACTCTGTCTCTTTAAAAAAAAAAAAAACAAACACACACACACACACACACACACACACACACACACACACACAAACACACACACACACACAGAATTTCCATTCAAGGCGAAAATTAAGATTTATCAGCTGTTGTGCTAGAGCCTCCAGTTTAAAAATTAATACATACCACACCTTCACAGACCACAATCTGAGACTCTAAAAACTCTTACAGAACATTATCTGTGCTCACATAGGGAGCCAGGACTCAAGTAAATCTAACCATAAACGCTGTCCACCTTTAACTTTAGCTAAAGGCAACCCTGTCCTGCTTTTGAGAAAAACGAAGAGTCTGAATTCTACGTCATGTCTGTTCCTTCACTGCCCTCTGGTGGAACCATCCACAAACTGATCAAAAGAAAATCTAGTAAAATCTGGTAGTCTACTACAATCTCGTAACTTCTACCCTGTCAATCCCTATCACCTCTCCAGCACATTTCTGATCCCTACCCCACACTACTGGTTGCTAGAGATTCCAGAGGTACAAATTTGTTTGAGTGTAAGACAAAACAAATGTGCTAGACAAGGTAGTTAAAACAAATTAAAGGCAAACAATGCATCTTAAAAGTCCAACAAATAATCTGGAGACTCTTCAGACCCATGAACATGAACAGCTGAGTCTAACAATGCTGCAGCACATGTGCAAACACGCGCGAGAACACACAATTTGTCCCCAAACATCAGTTCCTTAAATAAAAAGAGGCACTGGCTGGGCCCAGTGGCTCACGCCTATAATCCCAGTACTTTGTGAGGCCGAGGCAGGCGGATCACCTGAGGTCAGGAGTTTGAGACCAACCTGGCCAACATGGTGAAACCCCGTCTCTACTAAAAATACAAAAATTAGATGGGTGTGGTGGTGTGCACCTGTAATCCCGCCTACTCAGGAGGCTGAGACAGGAGAATCGCTTGAACACGGGAGGCAGAGACTGCAGTGAGCCGAGATTGTACCACTACACTCCAGCCTGGGCGACAGAGCAAGACTCCGTCTCAAAAAAAAAATGGGGGAGCCATACCTACAGCATATTCCAAAAGTACCTTAATGCTTGGAATCTTCAAACATTTATATTCTGCTTTTACAGTGATCCATCAAACCATAAACTAAGCATAGCTTTTTTTCTTGGGATTGAGTTTCACTCTTGTTGCCCAGGCTGGAGTACAATGGCACGATCTCAGCTCACTGCAACCTCCGCCTCCTGGGTTCAAGCGATTCTCCTGTCTCAGCCTCCAGAGTAGCTGGGATTACAGGTGCCCGCCACCACCCCCAGCTAATTTTTTTTTTTTTTTTGAGACGGAGTCTCGCTCTGTCGCCCAGGCTGGAGTGCAGTGGCGCAAGCTCTGCTCACTGCAAGCTCCACCTCCCAGGTTCACGTCATTCTCCTGCCTCAGCCTCCCGAGTAGCTGGGACTACAGGCGCCTGCCACCACGCCCAGCTAATTTTTTTGTAGTTTTTTAGTAGAGATGGGGTTTCACTGTGTTAGCCAGGATGGTCTCGATCTCCTGACCTCGTGATCCACCCACCTGGGCCTCCCAAAGTGCTAGGATTACAGGCGTGAGCTACCACACCTGGCCATTTTTTTGTATTTTTAGTAGAGACAGGATTTCACCATGTTGGCCAGGCCGGTCTTGAACTCCTGAGCTCAGGTGATCCACCCACCTCAGCCTCCCAAAGTGCTGGTATTACAGGCGTGAGCCACCACGCCTGGCTCCAAGCATAGTTTTATAGCAGAGGAAGTAAACCAAGTGTCTAATTCTTTGTTTATAAAATTAAGCACTTTCTCAAGGCTTAGGTTTGACTATGAAAAAAAAGGAGGCCTTCAATTGCCATGGGTATTCTTGTCCTTGCAAGTTTCAAAGACTGTCTTAGGAAGGAGGAGCAGGCGTGAGCACAGAAGGCCAGCTCACGCTGTCATTTCAGCCTCCCCGGGTAAGAGAGGGAAGAATGGCAAAACCCTGCAGTGATCTGAAGCCAGAGCTCCTTTTTCACAGGATCTCTAGGACATGGAGAGAGACAAATACAGCAGCAATATATATATAATCTTTCAAGACTGGCTGCCATTCTGGCCCTACCAGGCTATAACTTTACAGACAAATAAACACACAGGCTGACAGCATTCCAAGCAGTGGCAATCCCAACTGTAACAAGAAAGCCTTGTAGTTTCTATGGAAAGAGCTGCTGATGATGTATTTTAAGCAGCAACAAGCAACGCTTACTCAAGCACCAAAAAAACCCCGGTAACAAGGAGGAGTTTCCTTTTTTTTTTTTTTTTTGAGATGGAGTCTTGCTCTGTGGCCCAGGCTGGTGCAGTGGTGCAATCTCAGCTCACTGCAACCTAAGGAGGAGTTTCCTTGAATCTTGCTTTCCAAACAATGCCTTAAGAAAATCTGAAGTCGGCCAGCGCTGTGGCTCACGCCTGTAATCCCAGCATTTTGGGAGGCTGAGGGAGGAAGATCACTTGAGCCCAGTAGTTACAGACCAGCCTGGGCAACATAGTGGGACCCTGCCTCTATTAAAAAAAAAAAAAAAAATCTGAAGTCTTTAAGGAAAGAAGGAAAAACTGGAGGGTGGCAGAGCTCCTGGGAAGCATCTAGTGGACAGGCGGGCATTTACCTTATAAGCAGGCTGGAAGATCTCACTTTGAAACCTCAATCCCCTTTAAAAACGTTTATTCCTGAAAATCCAAATCATCTCCGAATGCTGGGTCAGAGAAAGCTGCTTCTATAAAGCTTGTGTTGACTAGATAGTCTGAACGTTCAAAGAGTAAAATGTCGTTGTCACCTACATAGCAGCTTAAAAACATAACATCACCCCATTTAGTAAGAGACAAGAGTTGGCTCAGGAAACCAGGCATCTATGCAGAATGTTTAAGAATGGAACTGACAAATTAAGCTAGAGAAGGGGAGAAAAAAAAGCTGGAAGAAGAGCCACTTGAATTTTTGCCAGAGAGAAAATAAAATGGATATAAATCTCAGCCAGAAGTGATTCTTTAGACAGGCTGAGTAACAATGACACACTGGTTATAGAACAATGATTTCAAAATACACCCCCCACCCCCGCCAAAATACCAGTTGTGCAAGTGCAATCTCCCCTAAAGTCTCCAAAAGCAAAGGAGAATGGACTAGACAATTCTCTATTTCAATTCTAATGCAAACATCCCAAATGCTAAATGATGTAAGGGAGCACTTAGAAAAGTCAGCAGAAATGACTGTAAGCTGACTGTATATATTTTCAGTTTGCCCCCAATATACTCAACCTACAGTAATGCTTTAGGGATCCGGACTCAGCTACACAGATCTGCTTTTACCAGGAAGCTGTACAAATGGGATAAAATCTCCTAGAGAGGACCCCATCAATTAGGGGTCCCCATCAATGGGGGAGACCGCTCTCAATAAAAGAAACTAGAAGTGTTTCCTTTTTTCAAAATTGAGGGTGGGGAGAAGGAGATTACCTTGCCCTTTTTTGTCATGAAAACTCATGCAGAACATGAATATGCCTTCTTTTGTAAAGCAAACGATTATCACTCTACCCTCAATTTAGCTGCTGTACAAATCTAAATTTTCCCACATATTTTTGCAAATGACTATATACCTATAAATGGCCCAATTATTCCAAGTTAGTAAGTTTATGGTTTTTGCCAAACCACTGGAGAGAACCAATAAAAGCTGCCCTCAGTAGAGAAAGTGTAGAATGTGCCTTTTAGGCTTGGGAGGGCCACCAAGATTACTTTTTAAAATCTATTTCTTTTTTTTTGAGACAAAGTCTTGCTCTGTCGCCCAGGCTGGAGTGCAGTGGTGCGATCTCAGCTCACTGCAACCTCCGCCTCCCAGGTTCAAGGGATTCTCCTGCCTCAGCCTCCCAAGTAGCTGGGATTACAGGTGCCCACCACCACGCCTGGCTAATTTTTGTATTTTTAGTAGAGACAGGGGTTCACCATGTTGGTCAGGCTGGTCTCGAACTCCTGACCTCGTGATCTGCCCGCCTCAGCCTCCCAAAGTGCTGGGATTACAAGCGTAAGCCACCATGCCTGGCCTTAAATCTATTTCTATAGTTTTTCCTTTACTAGATATTTCATATAAATGGAATGATACAATGTGTTGACTTACGTCTCTGGCTTCTTCCACTTAGCACATTTCTGAGGTTCATCCATTTTGTTTCATGTACCAATAGTTTTTTAAATTGCTAGGAAGCATTCCACTATGAGGATACAGTTCTACCTTTTATATATTCATTCACTAGTTGATGGACAGTTGATCAAAATCTGAATTGTTTCCAGTTTTGTTTTTTGTGTTTTCTGAAACAGAGTCTCACTCTATCACCCAGGCTGGAATGTAATGGCACAATCTCAGCCCACTGCAACCTCCACCCACTGGGCTCAAGCAATCCTCCCACTTCAGCTTCCCAAGTAGCTGGGACCACAGAAGCACACCACCACGCCCAGCTAAGGTGTTGTATTTTTTTGTAGAGACAGGGTTTCACCGTATTGCCCAGGATAGTCTTGAACTCCTGAGCTCAAACGATCCACCCACCTTGGCCTCCTAAGGTGCTGGGATTACAGGCATGAGCCACCCTACCCGGCTGTTTCCAGTTTTTGGCAGCAGTCACACACAAGTCTTTGTGTATGTAAAAGTAAAAATATTTTACTTTTTTTTTTTTTTTTTTGAGACGGAGTCTCGCTCTGTCTCCCAGGTTGGAGTGCAGTGGCGCGATCTTGGCTCACTGCAAGCTCCGCCTCCTGGGTTCACGCCATTCTCCTGCCTCAGCCTCCCGAGTAGCTGGGACTACAGGCGCCCGCCACCACGCCCGGATAATTTTTGTATTTTTAGTAGAGACAGGGTTTCACCCTGTTAGCCAGGATGGTCTTGATCTCCTGACCTCATGATCCGCCCGCCTCGGCCTCCCAAAGTGCTGGGATTACAGGTGTGAGTCACCATGCCCAGCCAACGTTTTACTTTTTAAAAGTAAAAAGATTTTGCTTTTTAAAAGTAAAAAGTCTCTGTGTGTGGACATGTTTTTACTTTTGTTAGGTAGATAACTAAGAGTAGAATTTCTGGGTCATATGGTAAGTGTATGTTTAATTTTTAAAGTAATTGTTTTCCTGCTAGTGAAGTTTCCTTAAAAACAAAACAAAATGGCCGGGTGCAGTGGCTCACGCCTGCAATCCCAGCACTTTGGGAGGCCGAGGCGGATGGATCACGGGGTCAGGAGATCGAGACCATCCTGGCTAACACGGTGAAACCCCGTCTCTACTAAAAATGCAAAAAATCAGCCGGGGATGGTGGCGGGCGCCTGTAGTCCTAGCTACTCGGGAGGCTGAGGCAGGAGAAAGGCGTGAACTCAGGAGGCGGAGCTTGCAGTGAGCTGAGATTAATGCGCCACTGCACTCCAGCCTGGGCAACAGAGCCAGACTCCGTCTCAAAAAAAAAAAAAAAAAAGGAACTGTCAAACTGTTTTCTTTTTTTTTTTCTTTTTTTTTTTTTTTTGCTGGAGTGCAATGGCGCGATCTTGGCTCACTGCAACCTCCGCCTCTGGGGTTCAAGTGATTCTCCTGCCTCAGTCTCCCGAGTAGCTGGGATTACAGGCGCCCGCCACCACGCCTGGCTAATTTTTTGTATTTTTAGTAGAGATGGGGTTTCACTATGTTGGCCAGGCTGGTCTCGAACTCCTGACCTCGTGATCCACCCGCCTCGACCTCCCAAAGTGCTGGGATTACAGGCGTAAGCCACAGCGCCCGGCCCTAATGTTTGATAGTTCTAAATCTGCCACCTACTCACCAACACTGGGTACTGTTAGCCTTTCTGATCTCAGCCATTTTAGCAGAAGTATAGCAGTTTCACACTGTGGTTTTCACTTGTACTTCCCTTTATGTCTAATGATATCAAGCATCTTATGTGCTTATTTGTAATTACTGTATCTTCTCTGATACAGTATTCAAAGCTTTTGCCCATTTTTAATTGGACTGTCTTTTTTTTGAGATGGAGTCTTGCTCTGTCACCCAGACTGGAGTGCAGTGGCACCATCTCAGCTCACCACAACCTCTGCCTCCCAGGTTCAAGCAATTCTCCTGCCTCAGCCTCCAGAGTAGCTAGGACTACAGGCCCACACCACCACGCCCAGCTAATTTTTGTATTTTTAGTAAAGACAGGGTTTCACCACGTTGGCCAGGCTGGTCTCAAACTCCTGACCTCAGGTGATTCACCTGCCTCGGCCTCCCAAAGTGCTGGGATTACAGGCATGAGCCACCATGCCCAGCCTGGATTGTCTTATTATCATTATTATTTTCTTTTTTGAGATAGGTCTTGCTCTGTTGCCCAGGCTGGAGTGTACTGGCATAATCATGGCTCACTGCAGCCTTGACCTCCTTGGCTAAAGCAATCCTCCCACCTCAGCCTCCCAAGCATCTGGAACCACAAGCAAGGACCACTATGCCTGGCAGGTTTGTTTGTTCTGTTTTTTTTTTTTTAATTTTATGTAGCGATGGGGTCTCCCTGTGTTCCCTAGGCTAGTCTCAAACTCCTGATCTCAAATCATCCTCCCACCTCAGCCTCCCAAAGTGCTGGAATTACAAGCATAAACCACCAAGCCCGGGCTGCCTTATTAAGAGTTCTTGGCTGGGCGTGGTCACTCACACCTGTAATCCTAGCACTTTGGGAGGCTGAGGAAGGCCGATCACTTGAGCCAGGGGTTCAAGACCAGTGTGGACAACATAGACAGTGTCCGTATTAAACACACACACACACACACACACACACACACACACACACACACACACGCAAATAAAAAGAGTTCTTTATACATTCTGGACACAAGTGCTCTGTAAGATGTATGTTTTGCAAATTATTTCTCCCAGTCTATGGCTTGTCTTTTCATTTTCTTTATGCAGCAAAACATAGAAAAATTTTTTCCAGGCCAAGAGCAGTGGCTCATGCTTGTAATCCCAGCACTTTGGGAGGCCAAGGCAGGCAGATCACTTGAGCCCAGGAGTTCGAAACCAGCCTGGTCAACATAGCGAAACCCCATCTCTACAAAAATTACAAAAATTAGCCGGGCACAGTAACATGCACCTGTAGTCCCATCTACTTGGGAGGCTGAGGCAGAGGAATTGCTTGAACCCGGGAGGCGGAGGTTTCAGTTAGCCGAGCTTGCACCACTGCACTCTAGCCTGGGTGACAGAGAGAGACTCCATCTCAAAAAAAAAAAAAAAAAAAGTAACCATAAAAATTCAATGACTATCACCCATACTACACCCATTTTCAATGCAAACATGCTAGCTGCTGGCCTCACTACCAATCAGTTAGAAGCACTAACTGGTTAGCATCTCAAAGAATAAAAAGCACCAAGTTTAAGAACACACTGGGTTCAGGCAAACCAAGAAGCATAAACTTACAAATATTTGTTATTAATGTGCATATGGCTTACTTGAAATCACTGCACATGACAATCTGTGCTTACCTGGCTCTCCTTTCATTCTGCATGATTCCCAGTGAAAACACAGTCCTTGTATACTAACCAGTGTTTCCTCCTGTGCCCGTTTTATATATAGCACCTTGATGTGGGCAAAGGAGAAAAGTATATGCATTCGATATCAAAGCACATCAATATTAAAAGGCTTCTAGGCCAGGCACAGTGGCTCATTCCTATAATCCCAGCACTTTGGGAGGCCAAGGCAGGAAGATCACTTGAGGCCAGGAGTTCAGACTAGCCTGGCCAACATTGTGAAACCCTGTCTCTACTGAAAATACAAAAATTAGCACCGGGCATGGTGGTGTGCACCTGTAGTCCCAGCTACTTGGGAGGCTGAGGCAGGACAATCACTTGAACCCGGGAGACGGAGGCTGCAGTGAGCTGAGCTTGTGCCACTGCACTCCAGCCTGTGTGACAGAGACTCTGTCTTTAAAAAACAACAACAACAACAACAAAAACAAAACGAACAAAAAAAACCGGCTTCTAATCATGCCTGATGCTGGGTAACCCTTATTTTTGTTTGTTTGTTTTTGTTTTTAAGAGACAGGGTCTCACTCTTCTGCCCAGGCTGGAGTGCAGTGCCATGATCCTACACAATGCAGTCACAAACTCCTGGGCTCAAGCGATCTTCCCACCTCAGCCTACAGAGTAGCTGAGACTATAGGTGTGCGCCACCACACCCAGCTACTTTTTTTTATTTTTGTAGAGATGGGGTCTTGCTATATTGCCCAGGCTGGCCTTGAACTTCTGGCCTCCAGCAATCCTCCCGCCTCAGCCTCCCAAAGTGCTGGGATTAAATGCATGAGCCACTGCGTCCCACAAGTGAGTGATTTAATGAACACCAAGGACACATATCTTGTCTGCACGCAGTGACATGGAAGGAAAAGGGAGGAGCCAAAAGAACAAAATCCAAGCAATATGCACTTCATCTTGTTATTCAGTCACCAGCTGGGCCATCTTATTTCCACATGCCCAGACCAGGAAGGCACAGGTGCCGTGGGGAATCCAGAGGGATTCCTACTACAAGTATTTAACAGGCTGAGACAGCTGATACAACAAGGGAAACAGAGAAGCCAGAGAGGAGCCTGCTGGGTGTGACCTACTGACTCCAATGAGCCACTCTCAGTTTGCCTTCTCTGTGTATTTGGGTCTTCCAACCAGCTGCCCTCACAGAGGGCTTAGGAAACACTGCAGCTGCTGCCCGGAACTGCTTATGACGCCTGCAAGCCTGGTGGGTGTCAAGGGATGGCAGACCAGAGTGGCAAAGAACTGTCATCGTAAGGGCCCTTGCATGTTCCCTATGTTTTGAATCTGGGGTAGGCTCTTGGAAAGCCTTCATTCTTTTTATTTTTATTTTTTTGAGATGGAGTTTCTCTCTTGTTGCCCAGGCTGGAGTGCAATGGCACGATCTCAGCTCAATGCAACCTCCACCTCCTGGGTTCAAGCGATTCTCCTGCCTCAGCCTCCCAAGTAGCTGGGGTTACAGACATGTGGACACCATGCCCGGCTAATTTTTGTATTTTTTTTTTTTTTAGTAGAGACGGGGTTTTGCCATGTTGACCAGGCTGGTCTCGAACTCCTGACCTCAGGTAATCCACCTGCCTCAGCCTCCCAAAGTGTTGGGGTTACAGGCATGCGCCACCGCACCCAGACAAAGCCTTTATTCTTAGCTAGCAACAAATAGGCTCTCAAAAATATATCTTCTGAATATCAGCATCCCCAGGGCAACTGTTCCCTAGCTGAAAGCTTGTGCCTGAACATTTTTTTTTTTTTTGAGATGGAGTCTCGCTCTGTTGCCCAGGCTGGAGTGCAGTGGCATGATGTAGGCTCACTATAACCTCCACCTCCTGGGTTCAAGTGATTCTCCTGCCTCACTGCCTCAGCCTCCAGAGTAGCTGGTATTACAGGCACGTGCCACCACACCCAGCTAATTTTTGTATTTTGAGAAGAGATGGGGTTTCACCCTGTTGGCCAAGCTGGTCTCGAACCCCTGACCGCAAGTGATCTGCCCGCTTCAGCCTCCCAAAGTGCTGGAATTACAGGCATGAGCCACCGCGCCCAGTGTGCCTGAACATTTCTAATAAAATACTGTTCCTGGACAGGCATGGTAGCTCACAACTGTAACTCCAGCACTTTGGGAGATAGGCGGGTGGATACTTTGAGCTCAGGGGTTTGAGACCAGCCTGGGCAACATGGCAAAACCCTACAAAAAATTTTTTAACAAATTAGCTGGGGGGCTGGACGTAGTGGCTCACGCCTGTAATCCCAACACTTTGGGAGGCTGAGGTGGGCGGATCACGAGGTCAAGAGATTGAGACCATCTTGGCCAACATAGTGAAACCCCCTCTCTACTAAAAATACAAAAATTGGCTGGGAGTGGTGGCTCACACCTGTAATCCCAGCACTTTGGGAGGCAGAGGAGGGCAGATCACAAGATCAGGAGTTCCAGACCAGCCTGGCCAATATGGTAAAACCCCGTCTCTACTAAAAATTAGCCAGGCGTGATGGCGGGCACCTGTAGTCCCAGCTACTGCTGAGGCAGGAGAATCGCTTGAACCTGGGAGGCAGAGGTTGCAGTGAACCAAGATCGTGCCACTGCTCTTTAGCCTGGCGACAGAGCGAGACTCCGTCTCAAAAAAAAAAAAAAAAAAAAAAAAAAATTAGCTGGGTGTGGTGGCGCACTCCTGTGGTCCCAGCTTCTCGGGAGCCTAGCTTGTGCCTGGGGGGAGGAGGTGGCAGTGAGGTGAGATTGCACCACTGCACTTCAACCTAAGTGACAAAGTAAGACCCTATCTCGGGGAGGGGGAAATATATATATATATAGTTCCCTACAAATTGGACAGTTAGGAACTAAAAAAATACAGTACTCTACTTGAAGTTCTGTTCTAGAATACCTAAGAGTAAATAAATAACAATGAATCAAAATATTGAATCAGGCCAGGATTAGTGGCTCATACCTGTAACCCTAACACTTTAGGAGGCCAAGACAGGAGGATGGCTTGAGTCCAGGGGTGCAAGACCAGACTGGGCAACATAGCAAGGCCCCTGACTCTACCAAAAAAAATGTTAGGGCAGGCACAGTGGTTCACGCTTATAATCCCAGCATTTTGAGAGGCCGAGGCGGGTGGATCACTTGAGGTCACGAGTTCAAGACCAGCCTGGCCAACATGGTGAAACCCCATCTCTACTAAAAATACAAACATCCGCTGGGTGTGGTAGCATGTGCCTGTAATCCCAGCTACCTGGGAGGCTGAGGCAGGAGAATTGTTTGAACCGGGGAGGCGGAGGTAGCAATGAGCCAAGATCATGCTACTGCACTCCAGCCTGGGTGACAGCAAGACTCCATCTTAGAAAAAATTTAAAAAGTTTAAATTAGCCAGGCACGGTGGTGCACGCCTGAGCCAAGGAGGTCGAGGCTGCAGTGAGCTATGATCATGTCACTGCATCCCAGTCTGGGCAACAAAGCAAGTCCCTATCTCTAAATTAAAAAAAAAAACAAACAACAAAAAAAAAACCCTGAGCCCAGCCTGGGCAACACAGTGAGACCCTGTTTCTACAAAAAAAAAAATTAAAAAAAATCAGCCAGGTGTGTTGGCATGCACCTGTAGTCTCAGCTACCTGAAAGGCTGAAGTGGGAGGATCGCTTGAGCCCAGGATGTCAAGGCTGCTGCAAGCAGAGCAAGACAACAGAGCAAGAACTTGTCTTTACAAAAACAAACAGGCCGGGTGCGGTGGCTCACACTTGTAATCCCAGAACTTTGGAAGGCTGAGGCAGGCGGATCATGTGAGGTCAGGAGTTCGAAACCAGCCTGCCCAACATGGTGAAACCCCATCTCTACTAAAATTACAAAAATTAGCCGGGCATGGTGGCGGGTACCTGTAATCCCAGCTACTTGGGAGGCTGAGGCAGGAGAATCGCTTGAACCCGGGAGGTGGAGGTTGCAGTGAGCTGAGACCGTGCCATTGAACTCCAGGCTGGGCAACAAGAGCGAAACTCTGTCTTAAAAAAAATATATATTTATATAAATAAATAATCTATTTATATTTTATATAAACGTATATTTTTATATAAATTTACATAATTAATAAATAAATAAATCACCACTCTGGCCTGGATGACAAGAGCAAAACTCTGTCTTAAAAATATAAATAAATAAATAAAGTGTTACATGCTGTCTGAAAAATAAATACTGTTCTTTAATAGTATCTTCCCTCCTTTTTGAGAACTAACAACCTCCAGTTCAGCTCAACAGAAAAGCATCAAGTTCTAAATTGCAGAGGTGGACAAACTGAGCACTCCCAAATCAGCTTGATCCCTTTTCTCTTCCTTCCCTTTCTCTGAATAATTGCCATTTATTTTTCAAGCCCCTCCTCCACTGTCACATCTGAAGTGTCTTCCCTAAAATGCTCACTACTCTATACCAAGGGTTGGCAAACAGCCTCCTGTGGGCCAAATTCAGCCAACCACTTGTCTTAGATAAGTTTCATTGGAAAACAGCCATGCCCATTTGTTTACACATTGTCTAGGGCTGCTGTGCTACAAGAGCAAGGTCGAGTAGATGTGACCAAGACCATATGGCCAATACAGCCTAAAAGATTTACTATCTGGCCCTTTATAGAAAAAGTTTGCTCCTCCCTGCTCTATGCTGTCACGTACCTTGGACATATGACCACTAGTGCAGAGCGGGTCTCACCATATTGTTATCACTAAGTTAAATGCTGCTGTCCCTCACCACTCCCAACAAATGTGAGATTCTGGAGGGCAAGAGGGGTGTTTTAATCATCCTGGCATTTCCCAGCACCTTGAAGGGAGAGAGTGCAAGAGGGAAGACAGAAAAAAGGAGAAACAATGACTATCAGAGATTCAGAGGACCAATCACAAAACAGTTCCCAGAGGTCACACATTCATTAACAGCACAGTTGGAAAAACACTGCTGTTCTTCAAACTCCCTATATCTTACTCCACAGTACTTTTAGCATAATGTGTAGATCCTTTAATTTTCCAGCTTAGGTAGAATTTGCTTCAATCTCCAGGGTAGTTTCTGATATTTACCTGAGCTAGTCTTAAAATTCCATTGCCAGAATTTGACTCTACCACTTGTTTGGTTCCCCTATCCCACCCCAAGCCTGTTCTCTGCCAGAAAAAGTTTTAGTTAGAATACTGTTCTCTTAATACTGGAGGAATTACCACCACTGACCCACCCTAATGTCCTTGTTTTGAACTGTCTCCACGTCAAGGGTAGGGTGCAGAGGTGGCTGCAACAACACACCTATGGCACAACTCTGCCAGACTCACCTGGGCTCAGCAATTTATCTTTTCAGGAGGACAACAATTCTCCTACTCCCCACTTCCATGTCCTATAAGGCCAAGAAGGTCCCCTTGGGAACTAAACTCTTGGCTTAAAAAGAGCCCCACTTTGTCAGCAGACTGCCATGCACTATAACCTGAACTGAGTCATGAGTTCTAGCCTGCAGCACTGTACCCCCATCATGATTCTGTCAGGTTGACCCCAAAGATTGAATGCCACTGAATCTCACTTCAAAAAGCCAATGGGTTTTGTTGTTGTTGTTTTTAGACAGGGTCTCACTCTGTCACCCAGGCTGGAGTACAGTGGCATGACTACAGCTCACTGCAGCCTTGACCTTCCCAGGTTCAAGTGATCCTCCCATCTCAGTCTCCAAAGTAGCTGGGACCACAGGCACACCACCACATCTGGCTAATTTTGTATTTTTTGTACAGACAGGGTCTATGTTGCCCATGCTGGTCTTGACCTCCTGGCCTCAAGCAATCTACCCACCTCAACCTCCCAAAGTGCTGGGACTACAGGTGTGAGTCACCACACCCACCAAGTCGGTGATTTTTAAAATGGCAATAAATTATTCCACCTTTCTGACCCATTTGACACCACTCACTACTTGACATGCCCCTGCCACTCAGCAGTGATGGGATCTTCCTCTCCATCTCCCACCTGTATCTTCCTGATGCTTCTATGATGAAACAGCTATCTGCTCAAAGCCAGGTGCAAGTTTTACCCATGGACTCTCACCAGGGACTGCGGCCTTGGCGACGTTTTCTTTTTCTTTTTTTTTTTTTAATTTTGAGACAGAGTCTCAATCTGTCGCCCAGGCTGGAGTGCAGTGGTGCAATCTCGGCTCACTGCAACCTCTGCCTCCCAGGTTCAAGTGATTCTCCTGTCTCAGCCTCCCAAGCAGCTGGGACTACAGGCGTGTGCCACCACGCCCGGCTAATTTTTCATTTTTAGTAGAGTATTTTTCTATTTTTAGT
The DNA here is from genome assembly GCF_000001405.40 of Homo sapiens. Lineage (NCBI taxonomy): Eukaryota > Metazoa > Chordata > Mammalia > Primates > Hominidae > Homo > Homo sapiens. The sequence continues at coordinate 44,055,043 of NC_000017.11, forward strand.
ATTTTCACCATATTGGCCAGACTGGTCTCAAACTCCTGACTTTGTGATCTGCCCGCCTCGGCCTCCCAAAGTGCTGGGATTACAGGTGTGAGCCACTGCACCCAGCCAGAAACATTTTTTAACTAAGTTAATCATGAGGTTACAGCCTCTAGAAGCCAGAAAAACTATCTGTAGTAAAAACTTGCTTGCCTTAGACAAGTGGTTCTTCCTTCCCACATTCACATACCTTCTTACTTCCTAGTAAAGTATACATAGCTAAACATAGGCTGGCCAGGCCATCTCTGACTTTACTGGACACGTCCATACCTCAACATATTAGGGTCAAGATATGACAAAGGGCCAGGCACAGTGGCTCACACCTGTAATACCAGCACTTTCGGAGGCTGAGGTGGGTGGATCATCTGAGCTCAGGAGTTCAAGACCAGCCTAGGCAACATGGTGAAGCCCCGTCTCTACCAAAAATACAAAAAAAAAAAAAAAAAAAATTAGCCGGGCATTGTGGCGCATGCCTGTAGTCCCAGCTACTCAGGAGGCTGAGGCAAGAGAATTACTTTAGCACAGGAGGTAGAGGTTGCAGTGAGCAGAGATCACACCACTGCACTCTAGCCTGGGTGAGAGTGAGACCCTGTCTCAAATATATATATATAAAATATATATATATAATATATAAAATATATATAAAATATATTATATATATAATATATGTGTATATATATAAATAAAAAGATATAACCAAGAGCCCTGCTAATAGGCTATGTCCACAAACATAGGCCACAATGCAATAATTATCATATCAACTCCAGGAATTTACTGATACTTGGGTTTAACCCTCAAATCACCAGAAAGCCATAGGGTTATACTGAATTTTAACCGTGAAACTGGTAGAATTCAGAATAAAAACGAATTCTTCCCTCAATGTGACATGATACCTAAAGGTACCCTGGGTAGGGCGTGGTGGCTCATGCCTGTAATCCCAGCACTTTGGGAAGCCGAGGTGGGTGGATCACCTGAGGTCGGGAGTTCAAGACCAGCCTGACCAACACAGAGAAACCCCATCTCTGCTAAAAATACAAAAAAAAAATTAGCCGGGCATGCTGGTGCATGCCTGTAATCCCAGCTACTTGGGAGGCTGAGGTAGGAGAATTGGGAGGCTGAGGTAGGAGAATTGCTTGAAACCGGGAGGCGGAGGTTGTGGTGAGCCGAGATCGCGCCATTGCACTCCAGCCTGGGGAACAAGAGTAAAACTCTGTCTCAAAAAAAAAAAAAAAAAGTGAACTCTGGCTGGGCACAGTAGCTCACTCCTGTAAATCCACCACTTTGGGAGGCTGAGGTGGGAGGATCACTTGAGGCCAGGAGTTTGAGACCAGCGTTGGCAGTATAGTAAGACCATGTCTCTACTCCCCAACTGACAAAAAATTGTTTTTTTTTAATTAGCTGGACGTGGTGGCACACACCTGTAGTCCCAGCTACTCAGGAGGGTAAGGCAGAAGGACTGCTTGAGATTGGGAGGCATGATGGCGTGTGCCTGTGGTCCCAGCTACTCAGGAGGGTGAGGCAGAAGAACTGCTTGAACCCAGGAGGCAGAGGTTGCAGTGAGCTGAGATTGCACCACTGCACTCCAGCCTTGGTGACAAAGGAAAACTCCTCTCCAAAAAAAGAAAAAAAAAAAATACAGCCTGGTACAGTGGCTCACACCTGTAATCCCAGCACTTTGGGAGGCCGAGGCAAATCACCTGAGGTCGGGAGTTCAAGAACAGTCTGACCAACATGGAGAAACCCTCTCTACTAATAATACAAAATTAGCCAGGTGGGGTGGCACATGCCTGTAATCCCAGCTACTTGGGAGGCTGAGGCAGGAGAATCACTTGAACCCGGGAGGCAGAGGTTGTGGTAAGCTGTAATCGTGCCATTGCACTCCAGCTTGGGCAGCAAGAGTGAAACTCTGTCTCAAAAACATAAAAAAATAAGACGGACGTGGTGGGGCGCACCTGTACTCCCAGCTACTCGGGAGGCTGAGACAGGAGAACTGCTTTAGCACAGGAGGCGGAGGTTGCAGTGAGCTGAGATAGAGCCATGGCACTCCAGCCTGGGCAACAGAGTAAGACTTTTTTTTTCTTTTTTTTTTGAGACGGAGTCTCGCTCTGTCTCCCAGGCTGGAGTGCAGTGGCGCGATCTCAGCTCACTGCAAGCTCCGCCTCCTGGGTTCACACCATTCTCCTGCCTCAGCCTCCCAAGTAGCTGGGACTACAGGCACATGCCACCACGCCCAGCTAATTTTTGCGTTTTTAGTAGAGACGGGGTTTCACCATGTTAGCCAGGATGGTCTTGATCTCCTGACCTCGTGATCCGCCCGCCTCGGCCTCTCAAAGTGCTAGGACTACAGGCGTGAGCCACCGTGCCTGGGTGAGACTTCATCTTAAAAAAATAAATAATAATGTGCCAGGTACAGTGGCTCACGCCTGTAATCCCAGCACTTTGGGAGGCGGAGGTGGGCGGATCATGAGGTCAGGAGTTCAAGACCACCCTGGCCAAGATGGTGAAACCCTGTCTCTACCAAAAATACAAAAATTAGCCAGCTGTGGTGGCAGATGCCTGGAATCCCAGCTACTCCGGAGGCTGAGGTAGAGAACTGCTTGAACCTGGGAGGCAGAGGTTGCAGTGAGCTGAGACAGCACTACTGCATTATAGCCTGGGAGACAGACGGAGACTCTGTCTCAAAAAAAAAACAAAGTAATAATAATAATAATAATACATAAAGTCAAAGTTTCCAAGAACCTACCAAAGACGTTAAGTGAGAGCCTAGTGTAATGGCATAAATCTTCTATGGGCCCTTTGTCACAATGCCCTCCTTCCCCTGCCTTATCTCATCCCATAATTCAATGAGCATTAGTTAGCTACAATAAAAAAATCTGGGCCGGGCACAGTGGCTCACGCCTGTAATCCCAGCACTTTGGGAGGCTGAGATGGGGGGATCATGAGGTCAGGAGATTGAGACCATCCTAGCTAACACGGGGAAACCCTGTCTCTACTAAAAATACAAAAAAATTAGCTGGGCGTGGTGGTGGGCGCCTGTAGTCCCAGCTACTCGGGAGGCTGAGGCAGGAGAATGGCGTGAACCCAGGAGGCGGAGCTTGCAGTGAGCCGAGATCGCGCCACTGCACTCCAGCCTGGGCGACTGAGCAAGACTCCGTCTCAAAAAAAAAATAATAAATAATAATAATAATAATAATAATTTGGGAGACATTAACTAACATCTGCCAAGTCTAATGACTTTAAAGACTGATCTACTTGGTTCATTCCTAAGTCTTTTCTACTAGACTACCCTGCCCCTGACCACAGAACATAGATGTTTTTCTTTACTTAGAAACGTTACCTAGGGGCTGGGCCAGTGGCTCATACCTGTAATTCGAATACTTTGGGAAGCCGAGGAAGGAGGATTGCTTGAGCCCAGGAGTTACAGACCATCCTGGGCCACACAGTAAGACCCTGTCTCTACAAAAAAAAACTAGGCTGGGCGCGGTGGCTCACGCCTGTAAACCCAGCACTTTGGGAGGCCAAGGCGGGTGGATCATGAGGTCAGGAGTTCGAGATCAGCCTGGTCAACATGGTGAAACCCCATCTCTACTAAAGATACAAAAAATTAGCCAGGCATGGTGGCGCACGCCTGTAATCCCAGCTACTTAGGAGGCTGAGGCAGGAGAATTGCTTGAACCTAGGAGGCAGAGGTTGCAGTGAGCCGAGATCACGGCACCACCGCACTCCAGCCTGGGCAACAGGGCAAGACTCCATCTCAAAAAAGAAAGAAAAATTAGCCAGGTGTGGTGGTTTGTGCCGGTAGTCCCAGCTACTTGGGAGGCGAGGTGGAAAGATCACTTGAGCGAACCCTGGAGGTCGAGGCTGCGGTGAGCTGTGACTGCATCATTTGCACTCCAGCCTGGGCACAGTGCGAGACTAACTAAAAAGAAACAAAACAACCACCCAGGTGTGGTGATGGGAGATTGTAGTCCCAGCTACTCAGGAAGCTTGGGCGGATCACTTGAGGCTATGAGCCAGGAGTTCGAAGCTGCAGTGAGTTATGATCATGCCACTGCACTCTAGCCTGGTCAACAGAATGAGACTATATCTCTAAAAAACAGAACACACACACACACATACACACACACACGAAACATAACTTAGCATTGTACATTATTCAGGGTACTTCATGTTGCCAAACTATGAGTTCCTTGGGCTAAACACAAAGTAATAGAAAAACAGGGGACTTGGCCAGGTGCAGTGGCTCACGCCTATAATCCTAACACTTTAGGAGGCCGACGCAGGTGGATTATCTGAGGTCAGGAGTTCAAGGCCAGCCTGGTCAACACGGCAAAACCCCATCTCTACTAAAAATAGAAAAATTAGCCGGGCATGGTGGCAGCAGGCGCCTGTAATCCCAGCTACTCAGGAGGCTGAGACAGGAGAATCGCTTGAACCGAGATCACACCGGGCAATGGACTGAGACCCTGTCTCAAAAAAAAGAATTCCCCCTACTGCAACCCTACTGTCCTCTCTCAAGCTTCCTCTTACATGCTACTGCTGGAGATAGAAATAAGACTTCTTAGCCTGAAGTGAACTATCATTCGAAAGCAAAACAGGCCAATTTCCAAGAAGTTGCTAGTTTATACCTTCCCTAGTTGAGCTATTATTAAGTATTTCCTGTATAAGCCCTTCTCTTCCATTTCCTGCTAGGTCAGAGTCAACAAATATCCGGTTTTTATCAACAGGTTTAATTAAGCAGATCACTTACTATGTCAGCAAGATGGGCCAATATGTGATGATACCTTTGACTAAAGTTAGAGTAGGCCGGGTGTGGTGGCTCAAGCCTGTAATCCCAGCACTTTGGGAGGCCGAGGCGGGCGGATCACAAGGTCAGGAGATCGAGACCATCCTGGCCAACATGGTGAAACCCCGTCTCTACTAAAAATACAAAAAAATTAGCCGGACATGGTGGCGGGCGCCTGTAGTCCCAGCTACTCGGGAGGCTGAGGCAGGAGAATGGCATGAACCCGGGAGGTGGAGCTTGCAGTGAGCCGAGATGGCGCCACTGCACTCCAGCCTGGGCGACAGAGCAAGACTTCGTCTCAAAAAATAAATAAATAAAATAAAATAAATAGAGTAGGCTAGTGCTTCTCCAGACTGCAAGCAACTGAAACTTCAACAGTTTTCTTCCAGACATCCCAGAGTACATTAGTTCCCTTCCATATGCTTAAATGATCCTCCATCTTAAGAAAAACTCAAGTCCGTGATCTTAAAAATGAGACTAACTTTTCACGTCATTCATGCAACATGTTAATAGCTGCCCGAAATAGCTGTTTTCAGCAGTAGCCCAAAAGGCTCTCTCTAATTCTAAGTCAATCTCCAAAAAGGAATCGCAAAGCATCCTAAAAGGTTGATTTCAAGGGAAAGCCAATATAGCTTACTCATAAACATCTCTGCAAACGGAAGAATGAATAAACGAAATCCAAAGATAACCCTCCAACCTAATTTTAGTTTTTAGTTTCTGACTCCTCTTCCCAGCAAACCTCTTTCAAGATTTGGCAAGCAGGCCACAGAGTAAGAAAAGTAAAGATTTCTGGTGTTCCCCAAGCTATTACTTCCTGCTGCTTTCCTCAAAAACTGGGTAATCAGCTAGTTTACAACAATGCTAGTAAACAAGGAAAACCCTAAAGGCAAAGATAATCCACAAACTAACCAAGAGCTATATCTACCTGAGGTCAAACATAAGAAGAGAACTGCTTCTTAACAGCTCCTGCTTAACAGTCCCATCCACACTACCCCACCCCCTCTAAATGGTGGCACTCATTGGTCACAAGAGCCAACTTTCTAACTTCAGAAAATCACCTCTCTTTCAGATCTTTACTACTCACTAAAGATCTAGTGACAGACTTATCATACCCTATAAACACCAAAAAATAACTCAGAGCCTATTTGGTTCTTTAATACACTAGGAATAATGCTGGGCACAGTGGCTCACGCCTGTAATTCCAGCACTTTGGGAGGCTGAGGCGGGCGGATCACCTGAGGTCGGGAGTTCGAGACCAGCCTGACCAACACGGAGAAACCCCGTCTCTACTAAAAATACAAAATTAGCTGGGTGTGGCTGTGCATGCCTGTAATCCCAGCTACTCAGGAGGCTGAGGCAGGAGAATCACTTGAACCCGGGAGGCGGAGGTTGCGGTGAGCCGAGGTTGCACCATTGCACTCCAGCCTGGGCAACAAGAGCGAAACTCCATCTCAAAAAAAAAAAAAAAAAACACCAAGGAATAAATTATTTAACAAGTCTTAAAATTTCATGAGCTTATAGAAGACACTCAAAGAGCTCCTATACTCTGGTAGAAGGTATATTACTAAGCCAAGGTTTCAAAAACCTATAAGCTTCAAAGAATGGGACATCCCATACAAGACAACACCCATATGAACTCAATAGCCTTCCAAATCTGTCCCTGGCCATCACTAAAAAATGTGTGGCATTTCCCTAGAATCTGACAAGATAGGAACTCCAGATCTGAGGTAACGACATTCACTAGCCTCAGCATCAGTTACCCTCTATTATTTTAGTTGCCTAAGTGTTTCCTTGCTTTGCTGAACTGTACAGAACACACCACATTCCCAAGAGAGGCAAAGTAATACACATTATTGCAAGATTCCTCTAGAGGGAAAAACTTCCACCACATTAATTCAAGAGACTTAATGAAAAGCACCTGCTACTAAAATTGGAGGCATCTTATTCATCCAACAAATATTTATTAAATACTCTGTGCAAGGCTCTGTATATTCAATAGTAAATAAAATAGGTATGGTCCCCATCCCTGCAGAATAAAGTTTAGTGAGACAGACACTAGACAAGTAAACAACTATGGCCAGGAGCGGTGGCTCACGCCTGTAATCCCAGCACTTTGGGAGGCCGAGGCGGGCGGATCACAAAGTCAGGAGATCGAGACCGTCCTGGCTAACACAGTGAAACCCCGTCTCTACTAAAAATACAAAAAAGTTAGCCGGGCGTGGTGTCGGGCGCCTGTAGTCCCAGCTACTAGGAAGGCTGAGGCAGGAGAATGGCATGAACCCGGGAGGCGGAGCTTGCAGTGAGCTGAGATGGCGCCACTGCACTCCAGCCTGGGCGACAAAGCGAGACTCCGTCTCAAAAAAAAAAAAAAAAAAAAAAGCTATGAATAGGGTAACCTAATCTATACCTGTTGTCCCTGTGTAAAATAAAAGCATTCCCCTTTACTCTCAAAAATGTCCCAGGTTGGACTACAAATGATATGGTCACCTTAACTGTGAAGGACAAGGTACTATGAGAGAGAATAATGCAGGCAAATTACTTCAGCCTGGGTGATCAGAGAAGACTTCTTGGAAGACGTGCCATTTAACTGAGTGCTGATGGGTGGTAAGGCTCCAGTCATTCTGGAAGGAAAAATGTTCCAAGTACAGGGGACAGCACAGGCTATGACAGGGCTTGAGGCATTATTATGATCAACTTCAATTTTGACTAAATAAACGGAATTGTCAAAAAAGTGACTTAGGGCCGGGCATGGTGGCTGACACCTGTAATCCCAGCACTTTGGGAGGCTGAGGCAGGCAGATCACTTGAGGTCAGAAGTTCAAGATCAGCCTGGCCAGCATGGTGAAACCCCATCTCTACTAATAATACAAAAATTGAGCCAGGAGCAGTGGCTCACACCTATAATCTTACCACTTTGGGAGGCCGAGGCAAGCAGACTGCCTGAGCTCAGGAGTTCAAGACCAGCCTGGGCAACAGAATGAAACCCCGTCTCTACTAAAATAAAACAAATTAGCCGGGTGTGACAGTGTGTGCCTGTCTCCAAAAAAAAAAAAAATTTGGCCAGGCGTCGTGGCACACACCTGTAGTCCCAACTACTCCAGAGGCTGAGGCACGAGAATCACTTAACCTGGGAGGCGGAGGTTACAGTGAGCCGAGATCGCGTCACTGCACTCCAGCCTGGGCGACACAGAGAGACTCTGTCTCAAAAAAAACGCCGGGCGCAGTGGCTCCAATAAAAAGAAAGACTTGGGCAGGCATGGTGACGCATGCATGTAATCCCAGCTACTCAGAAGGCCGAGGCAGGAGGGTCACTTGAGCCCAGGCGTTCAAGTTCAACCTGGGCAACAAAGCAAGACCCTGTCTCACACATACACACACAAAAGTGACTTGGGGGTTCCCAGAGATCAACTTTTATGTGCAAGATTAAAATATGCTAAGCATGTAACTGTTAGAACTCAAAATTCAAACATAAAGACAAAAAAGAACCTTTAAGACAGTGGCTTTCAAACTTTTCTAAGTCATGAAACCCTCCGAGAATCTGAAAAACACTTTAGATCTTCAAGCAGAAAATGCATATATTCACGTATGCACACATCCACATATACACAATTTGAAGACATTCATAGGTAACGCCACCACCCAAACCCCAGCAGCACTATTAGTTCATCATGAACTCCAAGATTTAAAAAGTCCTCTTTCATAAAGGCAGAAGCAAGCTCTCAACTTATTTGGGAGTTAAGCTACTTCTTAAGATCTACTGATAACATCCAGGAATAAAGAGAAAAACTAAACCTACATTTTTTAAAAAGATATCAGAACAAACAATTTTAAGTCAATTTTAAAAAATAAAAAATAGACAACAATGTATCACTAAGACTCAATGAGACTCATCTTTCCCACCATTTTAGAGAGCCAGATCTGCCCTTGAGTCCTTACCTTACTAACATTGAGTGAAGCTAGGGGAGGAGGGGTTTCTGTTCGGTCATTAATTATTTCCACTTCTGAAACATACTGTAAGTTTATGAGCAAGATGTCTGCATGGTTGGGCTTTCCACTGGAAGAGGGACATTCTGGTGAGAAAAAAAAAAGTTAAGGAAAAATAGGACAAGCAGAGGCACTGACACATCCCAAAAGGGGCATAGAAAACACGATTCACACAAGGCTTGTAAAAGGCAGGCCAGGAGCATGAGGGCCTTATAAGAATCACGGTTCTCCTCAGGAAATCTCTGCCTGTCACCTTCCTCCTGCCCAAATCCTTGGAAGCTTCCAAAGGAGTTCTGTCACTTTCTCTCTACTGGCTTTATGGAGAGGCATAATGCAGATTTAATGCGTTTGTCTTGAACCTATGAGCCAGACAAAAGAGCTAGACCTTTCTGTTCTTCGTATAATACTCTCTGTGTCTGCACAGTATTCTTTTTACTCTTTCAGATGTGAGCTTTCCCATTTTGCAGAGGAGAAAACTACACACTGGAAAGGAAATTCACCCAAGGTGACCCAGCCAGTTAATCCATTCATTCATTCACAAACTCATTCTCCAACCATTTAAGAGCCTACTGTATGTCAAGTAAAAGTTGAGTAATTCAGCCAGGCTCACGTGATGGCTCACGCCTGTAATCTCAACACTTTGGGAGGCTGAGGCGGGCAGATTACTTGAGGTCAGGAGTTCAAGACCAGCCTGGCCAAAGTGGCAAAACCCCGTCACTACCAAAAAAAAAAAAATTAGCCGGGTGTGGTGGCACATGCCTGTAATCCCAGCTACTCTGGAGCCTGAGGCAGGAGAATCACTTGAACACGGGAGGCGGAGGTTGCAGTGAGCCGAGATGGTGCCACTGCACTCCAGCCTAGGTGACAGAGCGAGACTCCGTCTCAAAAAAAAAAAAAAAAAAGTAATTCCTAGTTACAAGACCCTTCCAACTAAACCACTAATGTAAAAGGTCTTATTTCTTCCAGGTGTAACCTCTTATTTTTTTAAAAAAGCAACTATTCTTAGGCCGCGCGGTGGCTCACGCTGGTAATCCCAGCACTCTGGGAGGCCGAGGCGGGTGGATCACGAGGTCAGGAGATCGAGACCATCTTGGCTAACACGGTGAAACCCCGTCTCTACTAAAAATACAAAAAATTAGCCGGGCACGGTGGCGTATGCCTGCAATCCCAGCTACTCGGGAGGCTGAGGCAGAAGAATCGCTTGAATCCGGGAGACGGAAGTTGCAGTAAGCCGAAATCACGCCATTGCACTCCAGCCTGGGCAATAAGAGTGAAACTCCGTCTCAAAAAACACAACAAAAAAAAAAGCCGGGCGGTGGCTCAGGCCTGTAATCCCAGCACTTTGGGAGGCTGAAGCCAGCGGATCACGAGGTCAGAAGTTCGAGACCATCCTGGCCAACATGGTGATACCCCATCTCTGTTAAAAAAAAACATATACAAAAATTAGCTGGGCGTGGTGGCGCGTGCCCGTAATCCCAGCTACTCCGGAGGCTGAGGCAGGAGAATCGCTCGAACCAGGGAGTCGGAGGTTGCAGTGAGCCGAGATTGCGCCACCGCACTCCATCCTAGCGACAGAGCGAGACTCCATCTTAAAAAAAAAAAAAAAAAAAAGATGCCATAAAAAATTACTCCTCCAAAAAAAAATTCCAATAAACCCACCTGTGGCTCACATAAAAAGGGAAGCCGTGGCACATTTATCCCAACAAGGAAGTGTTTCATTTCCAAGACTGAGTTTCCTGGAGTAATTCAGAAGTCACTTCCACCCCAAAGAAGCAGGCCACCTTTTCCAATCAGTTTAACATTGCTACTTTCAAAAGGGAGGCTGCTACTACGTAAAAGGACTCCATGTGCTGGACTGATCAAGGCAGCATGAGAACTTCACTCTTTCACCTGTAACTCACACATCCCCAAACCACATAAGCCCCTGGCAAGCCCTCTCTGGAACAGGTTTCCAGTGCAAACATCCCCTAAACAGCAACTTCCAAATGACCGAGAAGCCTAAAAATCAGCACAGCCCCCCCACCACACATACACACGCATCAGCGAAACAAGCCACTATCCCTAGCTCAGATACAAACTCTGCCCTGAACTTACTCTCCCCCAAAACAGGCAAGGACCAATTTGGTCACCATCCCACCGCCCTTCCTTGGACGAAATCCCATCAGTGCACATGCCCTCCTAAATTCCATACCTTTGCCCTACCAGCAGTTCCTTACCCTAAACACCCCTCCCCATAATATTTCACCCGCCCCTCCTTTCCATCCGGGCTCCAATCCATCAGCCCCCTCCCACCACCACCCCCTCTCCTAATTACTGTGTCCCCTCTCATAACGTTCCCCCCAAAAAGCCATCCCCGTGTCAAGCCCTCCTCCACCCACTGATCCTCGGTAAAGCCCCAGCTCCCGCAAAGAGAGAGAGACAGGATCCCCAAAGCTGACCGAAGGGCCCGCGGGAGGGGGAGGGGAGCTCAGGGCCGTGCGCATGCGCCCCGGGCGCCGCGGTAGCCGGTCGCCCCTAGGCCCGGAGAGAGCCCCAGCCGCCGCCGTCGTCCCCCACCCCCCGACCACCGCACCTACACGCCGGCCCGGACTCGGGCTTCACGCAGGGAAGGATACTTAAAGCCAGCATTTTGGATTGGTAGTCAAAGGCTACCACCTCGCCCTGCAGCCGCTGCTCCTGGCACGTCCGGCACGACACCTGGCTCCCAACGCTGAAGTACTCGCCCGGAGGAGCCGCCATCTTGGGAGTGCAGCCGCGGCCGGCGGCGGCGGCGGCAGCAGCGGGCGAAAGCCGGGCCCCCAGTGAGCGCCGCGACGCGACGGCGCGCACGGAGCGTGCTTGCGTCACACGCCGGGGCGTGGCCTGGCGCTGGTTGGGGCGGGATCCTAGGTGGAGTGGGAAAGAAGAGGAAATAAAGGGGAATCTGAAAAGTATTTGTATAGCTGCGTCCGCTCGGTTAAGTGCTTGTAGAGTCCATTTTAGAAGTTAAGGATAAATGACCTACGTGGAATGAAAAGGGGAAAGAGGAGGGAGCTGCAGTCTCCATTATATGCACACCTTCCACACAAGAGTTTAATGAATGAATTTTATAAAATATGTTAACCCCATTTTGCATATGAGGAATCAGAGCCTCAGAGGACTTAACGATACTTGGACAAGATGATTATAAGGCTGGGAGCGGTGGCTCACGCCTGTAATCCCAGCACTTTGGGAGGCCGAGGCGGGTGGATCACCTGAGGTCAGGGGTTCGAGACCAGCCTGGCCAACATGGTGAAACCCCGTCTCTACTAAAAATACAAAAATTAGCCGGGTACGGTGGCGCGTGCCTGTAATCCCAGCTACTAGGGGGACTGAGGCTGGAGGATCTCTTGAACCTGGAAGGCGGAGGTTGCACTGAGCCAAGATTGTGCCACTGCACTCTAGCCTGGGCAACAGAGCGAGACTCTGTCTCAAAACAAACAAACAAACAAAAAAAGATGATTATAACTACTGAGTGATAGTGGAAAGAACATTGGCTGTGGAGTTAGATAAGCTGGAACCAGAATCCGAGGTCAGCCTCTTACTAAATCACCTGACCTTGAGCAAGCAAATTACCTGATCCTGTTTCTTCATAGGCATTTGTATTGTCACTTCTTGAGCATCTAACAGCCCTTTGAGGTAGGAATCAATGTCCTCCTTTTACATAAACTAAGTTTTAGACTAAACTTGTCCACGGTTCCACAACTAGCAAAAACAGTCTGCCTATTTCCAAGGACGGTGCTATTTACTGCTATACTCTGTTACATAATAATACCTACCTCATAGTTAGGAGGTTTAAATGCGGTAACGGGTATAAGTGCATGGCATGTACTAGGTCTTTAATAAATGGTAGTTCCCCCTTAGTCACCCATCACTCTTAGAAGTCAAGACACTTCCCCTTCTCCCTTTTTGCCCTCTCTCCCAGAAAGCCAGGCAAAAGGCAGGAATGAGGAGCAGCGGATAGTGACAAAAAGGGGCTTGGAGGAGGGGTTTTGCGCCCCTGCCCTTGAATGTCCGTCTGATGTACAAAACAGTCGTTTTCTTAATCTTATGCAAAGGACTATGAGCGTGCATTTTCAAGCCCTACTACCACCAATGGCTGTCGCTAACCCACCCACCGCTCACTATAGAAATTTTGGATCCTCGCTTCATGTATAAGAAACAGGTTGACCTTTCTCTAGTCCAGAGGGAAGCAAAGGGCCAGTCTTGGCGCGGCTTAACCTGAACAAAGTTCAAAAGTATTTCCTTGCCCTCCAAGAAACATAAACTTCCTGGTGTTGGAAGTATTGATACACTCATTATAATAGGAATAAAAATTCTGCTCCTTCATAGTGTGCTTTTTCAGAGAACTTTTTTTTTTTTTTTTTTGAGATAGAGCCTCGCTCTGTCACCCAGACTGGAGTGCAGTGGCGCCATCTTGGCTCACTGCAACCCGCACCTCCCAGGTTCAAGCGATTCTCCTGCCTCAGCTTCCGGAGTAGCTGGAATTACAGGCACGAGCCACCATGCCCGGCTAATTTTTGTACTTTTAGTACAGATGGGGTTTCACCATGTTGGCCAGGCTGGTCTCAAACTCCTGGGCTCAAGCAATCTTCCCGCCTCGGCTGGCCTCTCAAAGTGCTGGGATTACGGGCGTGAGCCATGTGGCCGGCCTCAGAGAACTTTCATGCCTCTCATCCTTGTTCTGGCCCCCATAATAAATCATACATAATTGCCATTCCAGTTTTCCACTTTTTATATGGAATCGTGATTATAGGTTTTCATATAAGACTTCTAGGAGCCATTAGGAAAGGCCTTCTTGGAGGAAGTGAAAAATCTCTACTGAGACCTGAAGGATTGGCAAGGAAAAAGAGTGGCCATGTTCCAGGCAGAGGGAACTGCACGGGCCAGGACCCCTAAGAGGAGAGAACTTGGTGATTTCAAGGAATGTATAGGTCAGAAATATTACAAAGCGGAGTGTGGGAGTAGGCTGCTTAAGGTTGAGGGCAAACCTCAAAGACTCGGTAAACAATGTAGGCTTTCTCTTCGGCAATTAAAAACTTCCTGGTATTGTCCGGGCACAGTGGCTCACGCCTGTAATCCCAGCACTTTGGGAGACCGAGGCGGGCGGATCACGAGGTCATGAGATCAAGACCATCCTGGCTAACATGGTGAAACCCCGTCTCTACTAAAAATACTAAAAATTAGCCAGGTGTGGTGGTGGGTGCCTGTAGTGCCAGCTACTTGGGAGGCTGAGGCAGGAGAATGGCGTGAACCCAGGAGGCAGAGGTTGCAGTGAGCTGAGATCGCGCCACTGCACTCCATCCTGGGGGACAGAGCGAGACTCCGTCTCAAAAAAAAAAAAACTTCCTGGTGTTGGAGGTATTGGTATAATCATTGTAATAGGAATAAAAATTCTGTTCACTACAAAGGCAATAAACGAAGATTTATATCCAGCTTCCCTCCTTTACACCTTTTTTTTTTTTTGGAGACGGAATTTCTGTCTTGTTGCCCAAGCTGGAATGCAATGGCACAATCTTGGCTCACCACAGCCTCCACGTCCTGGGCTCAAGCGATTCACCTCTCTCAGCCTCCTGAGTAGCTGGGATTACAGGCATGTGCCACCACACCCAGCTAATTTTGTGTTTTTAGTAGAGACACGGTTTGGTTTCTCCACGTTGGTCAGACTAGTCTCCAACTCCTGACCTCAGGTGATCCACCCACCCTGGCCTTCCAAAGTGCTGGGATTACAGGGGTGAGCCACTGTGCCCAGCACCTTTTTTATTTTTTATTTTTTTTTATTTTTTGAGATAGAGTCTCGCCCTGTCGCCCAGGCTGGAGTGCAGTGGTCCCATCTCGGCTCACCGCAACCTCCGCCTCCCGGGTTCAAGCGATTCTCCTGCTTCAGCCTCCCTAGTAGCTGAGACTACAGGCGCGTGCCCCCACGCCCAGCTAATTTTTGTATTTTTAGTAGAGATGGGGTTTAACTATGTTGGCCAGGCTGGTCTGGAACTCCTGACCTTGTGATCCGACCGCCTCGGCCTCCCAAAGTGCTGGGATTACAGGTGTGAGTCGCCGCGCCCGGCAAAAAAAAAAAAAAAAAAAAAACTTTTCAAGAACAAAGTTGATTGAGGTAGGAAGAAACTAAGGAGACACTGTTCAACAGTATTCTAGGCAGGACCTCGCCTAGAATAGCTGAGATTTCTATTTTCTATGTGAGTTCCCCCAGATGACTGTTTCAAACTCTGTCGCGGGTGTGTGCCAATCCTCTTCCCATACCAACACTGTTACTATCTCTTGGTTTCATCTGCCTAAGCAGGGTTTTGGATGGCAGGAGGATGGGGGTGGGGGAAGCAAGGGAAGAACTGGAAGGAAGTGTGACTTTGCGCTATATGTGAGAATTCGCCTTTTTAGGGAAGACCCCTCAAAATCAAGAGACTTATCTGTCAGCCTCCAGATTAATAGCAGGCGAATTAGAAAGGGGGAGTCTTGAGGCTGGGGAGGAAGGAGTGAACTGATTAGGGGTGTATGCAAATTTAGGATCCCGCTTCAGCTCCCAGGAGGAGGGGCTGTCTGCAGCCTTTTCTCCAAAGGATCTCAGATTTATTTATTTTTTTGCTGTTTGTTTTTTTTTTTTTTTTTTTGGTGGGTATTGGTGCTGGAGAAGAGAGGTCCGGTGGGGAAAGAATCCCGGCCCTGGAGATTATATATCCGCCTTCGCATCAGCGGAGCAGGGACGCTGGGAGCGCGCGCGGCCCGCCGGCTAGTCAGTCCCCTGACCCGGAACCGCACTGGTGCCGCCGCTAGCCGGCTGCCCACGTGCCTGCAACAGTGGCCACGTGGGGCCCTGAGGAAACGCCTTTACAAAGGTTTGTCCCCTGCGCTGCCCAGTAGGGAGGAAAACCGGAGGAGAGCGCAGGAGGAAACAGTACCGGCTGGAGGCCGGTCTTGCAGGAGCGGGGGACTGCTGGGGGCGGGGCTTGGTGGTGACCGCTGGCGGGGCGGGGCCTGGGGCTCAGAGGGGTGGGCTTTGGAGATCAGAGGGTCGACGCTGCTTCGTTGCCTGGACTCTGGTTTCCGCCCTGGAGCAAGCCGGGGCCTGGTCGGCAGCTGGGCCGCCATGGAGTCCACGCTGGGCGCGGGCATCGTGATAGCCGAGGCGCTACAGAACCAGCTAGCCTGGCTGGAGAACGTGTGGCTCTGGATCACCTTTCTGGGCGATCCCAAGATCCTCTTTCTGTTCTACTTCCCCGCGGCCTACTACGCCTCCCGCCGTGTGGGCATCGCGGTGCTCTGGATCAGCCTCATCACCGAGTGGCTCAACCTCATCTTCAAGTGGTGAGACAGAGAAGCCCTCCGGCATCCTGGTCCCCACCCCCGAGGGCCCTGAGTCATGTGTAAGCCCTGGTCTCTTTCAGCAACTGTCTCAAGGGCCTTCCCACCCCTACTCTGTAGTCCCTGATTTTTTTTCCCCTTGAGCATCTTTGTGCAGCTTGGACTCAAACCTCAGAGTCCAACCATCCTACTCATTAGACCAGTGTTCTTCAAACTGGTCTGATGGAAAAATCACCTAAGGGGCGTGTCTAAAATGTAAATATCCCATCCTCATCTCACACTTACTAATTTAGAAACTCCAAGGGGTTGGGAATTTATTTTTTATTTTTTATTTTTGGTTTATGGGAATTCATATTTTAACAAATATGGTGATTTAAGTAGTGGAGAGTCCTACCTCTCAACTCACTTTTTCATTCATGTATTCATTCATTTGCTATAATTTTTCAGAAGCATGCTTTGTGCTGGGCATCACGGTAGCTGCTAAGGACAGAGACACCTTGCAGATTAAGGTGTGGTCCCTGGACCATGCCCAACGGCATAGGCAGCACTTGAAAACTGGCTAAAAACGCAGACTCTCAGGCCCCGGGCCAGAGCTACTGAATCAAAATCTGCATTTTAACAAGGTTCCCAGGTGATTCCCTGTGCGTATGCAGTAAAGTTTGGGCTAAAGCACTGCTTTCCAGGGAACACTTTCTCTTCTTTCTCTTTCATTCACCAGTAGACTCTTCACACTGAGACTTAGAAGCCAGGAATCCCAGGGACATGGGTGGAGGCCCTGTGGCCCCTGGGGCTGGGCATGCAGCCACACCTCCCTTCACCTCAGCCTCTGTTGCCAGATCCTCAGCCTGGGGGAAGGAAGGGAGGCTCATAGGAGGTATTTCAATGAGCTGGAATGACTTGCTGAAAAACAACATAGAGTTCCCCTCCCTTCCACTCTTTTCCACGAGGGCCTCATCCTTATGTAAAGGGAACCACAGTGATCTGTTCACTTCTTTCTTGCCTAATTGCCCTTTGCTTTGTGCTCTCCTCTCTCAAAGTCTGTATAAGCCTCCCCCTCTATTCCTTGTCCCCCAAAGATCACAATCTCCTTCAGACACTATTAATGTCCCCCAAGTGGCAAAGTCCCTATTCATTTTCATTTTCTCTTTTTTTTTTTTTTTTTTTTTTGAGACGGAGTCTCGCTCAGTTGCCCAGGCTGGAGTGCAGTGGTGCAATCTTGGCTCACTGCAAACTCCGTCTCCCGGCTTCATGCCATTCTCCTGCCTCAGCCTCCCAAGTAGCTGGGATCACAGGCGTGTGCCACCACACTCGGCTAATTTTTGTATTTTTAGTAGAGAAGGGGTTTCGCCTTGTTGGCCAGGCTGGTCTCAAACTCCTGACCTCAGGTGATCCGCCCGCTTCAGCCTCCCAAAGTGCTGGGATTATAGGCGTGAGCAACCTGGCATTCTTTTTTTTTTTTTTTTTATTCTTTTTGAGATGGAGTCTTGCTCTGTTGCCCAGGCTGGCGTGCAATGGCATGATCTTGGCTCACTGAAACCTCTTTGTCTCTCAGGTTCAAGAGATTCTTCTGCCTCAGCCTCCCCAGTAGCTGTGATTATCGGCACCCACCACCACGCCCGGCTAATTTTTTATTTCTAGTAGAGACAGGGTTTCACCTTGTTGGTCAGGCTGGTCTCAAACTCCTGGCCTCAAGTGATCCACCCTCCTCTGCCTCCCAAAGTGCTGGGATTACAGGCGTGAGCCACCGCGCCTGGCACCGCCGTTCATTTTCTGTGTGAGCACTTGTTGTATATATACTAGGCTCAGTTTTCAGAGGGGAGAGGCAAGTGCCTTCTGTATATCCCTCCCCAGCACGTGGCTTCCTGCCAGCATCTCTTTTGCTATCCCATCTTTTCTCTTTCTGGCCACAGCAGCCTCTTCATTGTGTGGTTCCCAGGGCCCAGCCAAGCACTTGCTAGACCAGAGGATTTTGACATTTTTTTGTCCTCCTTATTCTTTCTCAGCCTTCTCTGTCCATTTCCCACCCCCATTTTCAGACCTGAGAGGCTCACCTAAATAATTTAGGTGTGGATAATTCAGGCTGTAACTGGGGACATGGAGGCAGGGGTAGCAGGAGGGTTAGTGAGGGCCTGGAGGAGAGAGCTGGGTCCTGGACTCTCTGTGGATGATAAGAGCTGGCCTTGCAGTGAGAGGGGGTAGAGTGGGACGGCTGAGTATCTCAGAGCACACACACGGCTTACCACAATCTCTTGCCTCTGTATCAGTTTTATTTTTTATTTTATTCACTTTTTCTTTTTTTGAGACAGGATCTCACTCCATCACCAGGCTGGAGTACAATGGCACAATCACAGCTCACTGCAGCCTCAACCTCCTGGGCTCAAGTGATCCTTCCCACTTCAGCCTCTGGAGTAGCAGGGACTACAGGCACACCCCAAGATGCCTGGCTAATTTTTGTATTTTTTGTAGAGATGGGGTTTTGTCATGTTGCCCAGGCTATTCTCGAACTCCTGGGCTCAAGTGATCTGCCCGCCCAGCCTCCCAAGTAGCTGAGACTATAGGTGTGCACCACCACTTCCAGCTAATTTTTTGTTTTTGTTGAATCTGGGTCTTGCTATGTTGCCCAGGCTGGTCATGAACTCCTGGCTTCAAGTGATCCTCCAGCTAAGGCCTCCCAAAGTACTGGGATTACAGTCATGAGCCACTGTACCTGGCCCCAGACTAGTTTTTAAAAATAGTGTTTCCACAGGCTGAGGGTTAGGAAAAAAAAAAGAAAAGAAATAGTGTGCTTTCTTTCTCCTGTTCTAAGGTAGAAAACCATGGCAAGGTATCCATGGATACCTTGAGAGCAGTGGACAGAATCGTAGTCCCTTTTTGACTTCACCCCTCAGGCCCTCCAGAGTACTCTGTGTCCTGCCCGCCTTGTACCCCCCCTGGCTGTGTGTGCATGTGGAAAGTCATCTTGCATCTGTTCTCTTCCAGGTTTCTTTTTGGAGACAGGCCCTTTTGGTGGGTCCATGAGTCTGGTTACTACAGCCAGGCTCCAGCCCAGGTTCACCAGTTCCCCTCTTCTTGTGAGACTGGTCCAGGTGGGAAGCCTCAAACATTCTCCCTTTCCCAATGTGGTTAGGGTTCGGGTGAACATTTCAGAGTACTTTTCAGCCTGGGTGGCCCAACCAAAGGACCAGCCTCTCAATTACTGGCGCAGAGAACAAAAGAACCCCAGGGAGACCAAGCTGAGTTATGGGAGGAGGGCACTCATGCTAT
This sequence comes from Homo sapiens, assembly GCF_000001405.40. Classification (NCBI taxonomy): domain Eukaryota; kingdom Metazoa; phylum Chordata; class Mammalia; order Primates; family Hominidae; genus Homo; species Homo sapiens. Next base: position 44,074,445 of record NC_000017.11, read on the forward strand.
GTACCAGCTGCCCACCTTGTATAGAGGACAGCCAAGAGACACAGATCAGGACAGAAACCTGAGCACAGTGACCTCAAGTGGCAGTAAAAAGGCCTCAGAGCAGAGCGAGTTATGAATCAGTGCTGGGGAAAAGCTCTTCTCAGCCAGGAAAGGCAGCTGTATTATTGAGGCATCACCAGGGGCCCCGGGGTTCTGCCTCCATCTTCTCACCACGAGCTTCTGGATTTGCTGGCAGGCAGCCCTTCTGGACACTGCATGATCACAGGAGCAGCCCTCTGGCCCATAATGACGGCCCTGTCTTCGCAGGTGGCCACTCGGGCCCGCAGGTATACCCTTGGCATTGCCCACCATTGGGAGCAGGGGTGATGGCACCCTGTACCTAATAGACACAGCAGCATGGCAGCCTGGGAGCTGGAGTTTTGGGGACCCTAGGTTGTGTGGTTCAACCATGGAGTACCTGGGTGCTGCAGGAGGCCAAGCTGTGTATGGACACGCTCTGAGCTCCTTGCCTCTCTTCTTTCTAGCCGCTGGGTAAGGGTGATGCCTAGCCTGGCTTATTGCACCTTCCTTTTGGCGGTTGGCTTGTCGCGAATCTTCATCTTAGCACATTTCCCTCACCAGGTGCTGGCTGGCCTAATAACTGGTGAGCAACTGGGGCAACGGGGTGGACTGAGAGGATGCCTTTGGCAGTGGGAGGATCAGTCTAGGATCTTCCCATCGCTCCCAGCTTCTGTAGAGCCCACCCCAGAGGCCCCCCGTTATGTCTCAGTTTATTCTCTTGCCAAGCTGCACTGCAGCTGGGGGTCGGGGTGGGGAGGGTCATATCCCCAGACTCCTTGAAGCTGTTGTCACTCCACTCTCCTAGGCGCTGTCCTGGGCTGGCTGATGACTCCCCGAGTGCCTATGGAGCGGGAGCTAAGCTTCTATGGGTTGACTGCACTGGCCCTCATGCTAGGCACCAGCCTCATCTATTGGACCCTCTTTACACTGGGCCTGGATCTTTCTTGGTAAGTCTCGCTTTGAAGCCTGGGCAGGCTGGGCCCTGTCCTATCTCGCCTGCACCTAGCCTGGTGTGTCTCTGGTTCATTATAGCTAAAAAAGGACACATTACCTATTCACATAGACCCTCACAGGCACAAAACAGAACATGGGAGTGGGCCCCAAGGGCAGATGGCCAAGAGCCAGTGGCCTTCTATGTTCCAGCCTCTCCTGGCAAGAACTCTTCTTCCCCACAGGTCCATCAGCCTAGCCTTCAAGTGGTGTGAGCGGCCTGAGTGGATACACGTGGATAGCCGGCCCTTTGCCTCCCTGAGCCGTGACTCAGGGGCTGCCCTGGGCCTGGGCATTGCCTTGCACTCTCCCTGCTATGCCCAGGTGCGTCGGGCACAGCTGGGAAATGGCCAGAAGATAGCCTGCCTTGTGCTGGCCATGGGGCTGCTGGGCCCCCTGGACTGGCTGGGCCACCCCCCTCAGATCAGCCTCTTCTACATTTTCAATTTCCTCAAGTACACCCTCTGGCCATGCCTAGTCCTGGCCCTCGTGCCCTGGGCAGTGCACATGTTCAGTGCCCAGGAAGCACCGCCCATCCACTCTTCCTGACTTCTTGTGTGCCTCCCTTTCCTTTCCCTCCCACAAAGCCAACACTCTGTGACCACCACACTCCAGGAGGCAGCCCCATCCCCTTCCAGCCCCTAAGTAGGCCCTCCCCTCCCTAAATCTGCTTCCGCACCACCTGGTCTTAGCCCCAAAGATGGGCCTTCTCTCTCCCAGATAAGTTGGTCCTCCCTCTGCCTTTCCTCTCAAGCCCCCAAAGAGCAAAGGCAACAGCAAGACCAGCGGGTTCTTGCAACACTGTGAGGGGCAGCCAGGGCGGCCCCAATAAAGCCCTTGAATACTTTGAGATTCCTTTCTTGCCTATGCGCACATCTCCATGGGCCTTGCCTGTGTGTGCACAAGTGGAACCTTTGCCAGGCTGCTCCAGTAGTCTCTGTGCCATCTCCAGCCCTGTTTCCAGGGGCAGAGAGGCAGGAAAGGAGAGGGCTGTAAACTCAGGTGAGACCTCTCAGCCCTGGGTCCCCTGCCTCATCACTGCCTAGGCCACATGAGAGGTCCCATGAGATGCTGTGACTATATTCGGTATAACCCTGTCTTTTCACTTACAGGACAGATCTTGCGCCCCAACCTCCAGTTTCCTAAATCGGCTTCTAGTCCAGGGGCTGGAGAAAAGAGTAGTGTGTTTGGCTAGGAAGGAGGATGAGAACCTCTACTCCATTTGGGAGCCCAGAGAATAGAGACATTGGCCCCAGAAGGCACTGCCAGAAACAAGTTTATTTACACAAGGACACACAGTGTAACGGGTTACAAAATACTTAACTGAAATCCATATCCAGGGAGACAAAGCAAGGAGTGGGTTTACATGAGAACCAGACCAGCCACAGGGAGAGAGTGGGTAAGGGGCCGGGAGCCTGGGGCTCAGCACAGAGAGGCCTAGTACACTGAGCCTGGCCCCATCCCCATCCCCCAGGAGGATCTAAAACAAACACACAAGCACACTATGAACCGATGGTGCTGGGACTCCTGCCCCTCCCCTGGCTCCCTCAATCCTGCTCAGGCCCCCATAGGATAATAAATATGTAAACAGATTGGTGGGGCCCTGGAGATAGAAGGAGAGAAAGTATATGTGGTACTGGGGAGGAGGAGGAAGGAAGAGTCAGCCCCCTAGGAGCCACTTCCCATCTTTGGTTTCCTACAGGCTGGATGGCATCCCCTGGAAGCCTTGTAGGCCCACAGCCCCTGGCAGGGCTCCTGGGAAAGAGAAGGGACAGCGCCCAGCCCCCTCCTGGTCTTAGCTCCCTTGGGCTGGTGGTCAGCAAAGGGAGCCCAGAAGGTATGGAAGCTCCAGCTGAGAGCCGACTCCTGGATCCCTGGGTTCTGGCCTTACCCCTTCTAGAACCTCCATTCTCACCATCCCCAGGATCCAAAACAAAAGGCCCCAGGAGGGAGGTGAGCCTCTGCCCCTTCTCCCCGCAGCATGCTGGATGGCTGGGAAAATCTGGTCCTGACAGCAGGGGGGCTCTCACCAGCCTGGAGCCCCTCTGCAGGGACCACCTTCTCCCCTTGCCCAGGCTGTGCCAGCAGAGGGGCAGGGAGGCCATCCGAGTAAGGTGGGGAGCAGACCTGGTTCTGTTACTCCTCCTGGCCCCTGAGAACCCAGGAAACCAGTCCTCTCCTTCCCCACACACTTTCACCCTCTCAGCCCCGGGGAAGGGGAAGTAGGCTGTGAGGAGTGTGAGGCAAGACAGCCCTCCTCACAGACTGCAGGCCACAGCTTGGGCACCAGCCTCCCATCAGTGCTGAGACCAAGAGGAAGGAGGAGGAGAGGGGTCTGCAGAGATGGTGAGGACGAAAGAAGGGGAAAGGGTGGAGAATCGCAGGGTGGGTGCCCACCTCCCCTCCACTCTGCATCTTAAAGACAGTAGTGGATCCTCCAGATCCTCCCCTGAGGCTGGAGAAGGGAGGAGAGTGAAATTAAGGCATTTCCCCCCAAATCAGCTGAAACCAAGGCACCGACTTCCCGTTCCCTCCTCACTCGGGGGGCCCCAGAACTGGAGAGTACTGTCTGGGCCCCCGTGCCCACCTTGAGCTGGCCCAGGCTCCAAGGAGGAAAAGGACAGACAGAATGCAGGAAAATGGGGGGAGGGACACATGGGACAGGGCTGGGAAGACACCACCACCCCCTGCAGAGGGAGCAGGCTTCTAGAGCTGAGGTGGAAGCCACAGGGCTGGGGGCCTGAGGCAGCGTAGAGGAGCAGGAGGGGCAAGGCTGAGAGACCCACACGGCACACCTTGTTGAATGTGTGACTTTTTGTTTTTAATAGAAAAAATAAACAAAATCACAATGGTGAAGCCCAGAGGGATGGGGGCCGGGGCGTCACAGGGCAGGCTCCTGCTCCATGGGCTCCTCTGCCGGCCTGTGGGGCAAGCACAGGGGAGGGTATTGAGTGGGGCGCACCAGCAGGGGTGAGGGCAGAGAGGTGGTGCGGGTTGCTGCTTACCTGGGGCTGTGTTCCCGGGCTGCCGCAGCCTGGGCCTGCTCGGCCCCCACCGACAGCAAGGCCATGGCGCTCACAGTCTCGGCCTCCTCGGTCTCACCTGCTTGGGCCTCTCGCAGGGACCGGCCCAGACCAGCGGCGAACTTCTGCACACAGCTCCAGTGTTTGCCTGTGGACGAGAGACAGGCAAGGGGTCAGGGAGGGCAGAGGACACCCACATGAACAGTCCCAGTCCTGGTGCTCCCACAAGCTCCGTGCCCCCTTGGCAGCCTGAGCCCCTCTACGTGTCCTCACGCACTCTGGATCTCGATGACTTTCTCTAGCGTGGCCACTGCGTTGATGTTGGGCTTTTGCTGCAAGACTGCCTCATCCAAGGGCTGCAGCTGGCAGGGGAAAGAAGAGAAGGCTTAGGGTGGGGAGTAGGGTTGCCATGCATACCCCTCTAACTGCCCCACTCAGCCCCAGATATCCCTCACAACAGGGGCAAACATGGCCTTTTTGGACAAACGCATACTCAGAAAGCCTGGCCATTAGCTGTTCCTTAGGACCAAGGAAAAGCTTCCTAAGGGGCTCCCAGTGCTGGCTGACCCCTTGCTGGCCCCTCAGACCTCTGGCCTGCCACCTCCCAGCTCCTTCCCACCCCTTACCTCTACACTGAGCAGAGCCGAGACACAAGCCTCAGAGGCATCACAGATGGCGGTCAAGTCATGGCCTCCCTCCAGGGCCAGCACCACCCGGCCCCCTGCCAGGGTCATCAGCTGCCTGGTCAAGTGGCCAAAACCTTTGAGGATGGGTGAAGGGAGGAAGAAGAAATGGCGAAAGGTAATCAATCAATTCAAGAGCCAGTAAGAGGAGAGAAAAAAGGCCAGGCGCGGTGGCTCACGCCTGTAATCCCAGCACTTTGGGAGGCCAAGGCGGGCAGATCACAAGGTCAGGAGTTCGAGACCAGCCTGACCAACATGGTGAAACCCCGTCTCTACTAAAAATACAATAATTAGCCGGCCATGGTGGCACGCGCCTGTAATCCCAGCTACTTGGGAGGCTGAGGCAGGAGGATGGCATGAACCCAGGAGGCGGAGGTTGCAGTGAGCCGAGATCACGCCATTGCACTCCAGCCTGGGTGACAGAGTGAGACTCCACCTCAAAAAAAAAAAAAAAAAAAAAGAAAGAAAAGGAGAGAAAAAGAAACACAAGAGGTGGGACAAATAGCACAAAATGTGATGGGAGATATAAACCCAAATATATCCATAATAAAATACAGCATCAGTGAACTAAATGCCCTATCACAGTCAAAACATTAACAGACTGGCTGAAGACTCCAATCCAATGACAAGGAGCATCACTGAAACACCAGGGACCAACAAGCCCATCTCTACAGCTCCGGCAGGATACATCCTCTATCCTCTGCTACCCCACTGCCACCTCCTATCCCCTCAAGGCCGGGGTTGGCAGAGGACAAGTTGGGGGAGTTACCAAGATGATTCCAAGTCTAGGCCCTGCCCCCTGCTTTCCCCGTCTGCTGCAATATCAGTCTGTTCCCTGCCCCATGCCTCACTGGACTCGATATCCTCACTGTTTCACTTCCTCCCTCAATCCCCCAGCAGGCTTACATCTGGCGGTGACAGAGTAGCCACCCAGAGGAGACAGATGTCCTTCAACAGCATCAAACCCGGCGGAGACTAGGACCACATCAGGTGAGAACTCGTGGGCAATGGGCATCACCACTGTCCTGCAAAGGGATGGCTCAAGCTGAGCCCGGCAGATGACCAGGCCAGGCCTCGCCCCACTGTTATCCTCCCAGAGACAACCCCCTCTACCCACACTGAACTGAGTGCCTTCTGCCCCTCCCACTGCAGGGCCCAGAGGGGCTCCCACTGACTACCATGGCCCTTTTCAGTCCCTACCTGAAGGCTGTAAGGTACTCCACGTCTCCAATGGGGGGGTCCACACCTCCTGTCCATGCCACGTTCACATTGTACCCCACGCCTGGTCCTCCACCAACCTGGCACCAGAGTTGGGGAGAGGGCTATTCTCACCACCTGGGAGTCCCAAACATTGCCCCTGCCCTCACCCCTGCCTCCAGATCTCACTCCACTGACCTCTGCTCTGCCTGGAGGGGCAGTCAGATCAGTGTGGTCCTCCCACTAGGAGCCCAGACTCCCCAGGTACCAACACCACCATGGGCCTCCGTGGCTCCCCGCCAGGTCCCATTGTGCCACCTCCCAGAGGGGCCAGGAGGGTCTGCATTTACGCCCAGGAGCTGTACCTCTTCAGGAGCCCCAGAGCCTGGAAAGAAGTTCCCGTTGTCATAGCGATGCAGAGAGATGTAGAGCACAGAGGGGTCATTGTAGAACGCCTGCTGGGTGCCATTGCCATGGTGAATGTCCTATGAGGGGAGGTAGAAGCATCGGGAAAATGGCCCGCGCTCTGACCCAATGGTCAAATTCCACCTGTCAGCTGAGCACTGTAGCTCATGCCTGTAATCCTAGCATTTTGGGAGGCTGAGGGCTGGGAGGATCGCTTGAGCCCAGGACTCCACCCTTGGCCACAGGGCATCCATATTCTGTTCACAATGGTATTGCACACCCCACACTTCTCTAACTAGGTCTGAGCCTCTGTGGGGTGGCACTGTGTAGGTGATATTCAAAACCATGGGATAAATGTGGCATATCTCCCTACAGAACCCATTCCACCTCACAGTTTTGGGGAAAACATTAAGGCTAGTAGGGAATTTAAAACAGGCAGATGAGATTCTTTCTTTTTTTTTTTTGAGACCAAGTTTCACTCTTGTTGCCCAGGCTAGAGTGCAGTGGCACGATCTGGGCTCACTGCAACCTCCACCTCCCGGGTTCAAGCGATTCTCCTGCCTCAGCCTCCCGAGTAGCTGGGATTACAGGCGCCCACCACTATGCCCGGCCAATTTTTTTTGTATTTTTAGTAGAGATGGGGTTTCACCATGTTGGCCAGGCTGGTCTCAAACTCCTGACCTCAGGTGATCCACCCACCTCGGCCTCTCAAAGTGCTGGGATTACAGGCATGAGTCACTGTACCCGGCCTTTTTTGTTTTCCTTTTTCTTTTCTTTCTTTTTTTTTTTTTTTTGAGACAGAATCTCACTCTGTCATCGAGGCTGGAGTGCAGTGGCATGATCTTGACTCACTGCAACCTCCACTTCCCAGGTTCAAGGAATTCTCCTGCCTCAGCCTCCCCAATAGGTGGGATTACAGGCTCCCGCCACCACACCTAACTAATTTTTTTGAATTTTCAGTGGAGACAGGGTTTCACCATGTTGGCCATCCTGGTCTCGAACTCCTGACCCCAAGTGATTCACCCACCTTGGCCTCCCAAAATGCTGGGATTACAGGCTTTGAGCCATTGTGCCCAACCACAAGCACGTAAGATTCTGAAGGAGGATCCAACATTTACATGAATTTTTAAGCCAGAATTGGGCTTCCAAGAGATTTTGTCCTTCCTGAGGCTTGGTCCTGGCTACTTCCCCAGCTCACAGAGAGTGGTGTGTGCCTCTGCCTCCACCATTAGGAGCAGGGTTTGGGAAGCACCCATGGTAGCAAGAGCAGAGTGCTGGGGCCAAAAGCCTTGGTCTGAAACCCAGTGCCGACATCCCCAGCTGAGTGGCCTTGGGTAAGTCACGCAACAACACCTTTGTTCACAGAAATGGACATCCTCGTTCTTACTACTCGAGGTGGCCATAAAGTACTCATTGTGTTCCTGGTATACAGTCTGCTCCTAATTGTAGGGGGTGGGAGGAAATATCGGCTACTAGCAATGGCGGCAGCGTCACTACCGTTCAAGGTAGGAAATCCCCTTCGTTGCTTGAAACTGCAACGTGAGGGCCAAGATGGAACAGGAGCTAAATGTCTTTCATAGTTGAGGAGGGAGCCCTGTTGGAATGTGACGTTAGTCATCCGGCAGGAGCCCCAGCGCCCTTCCTTCTGCACCCACACCCAGCACCCGAGGATGAGGACGACTGGGGTGCTTGAAGGTGGGGCTGGGGGAGGAGACTTCCTGAAGGCTGACCCTGGTCCTAGCTCTACCCGCCCCTGCCCAGCCCCACCAGCTCACTGCCTACCCAGTCCACGATGAGGACCTTGCCCACGTTCAACTTCTGCTGTAGGAGTTTTGCGGTGATGGCTACAGAGTTGAAGAAGCAGAATCCCCTGAGGAGGGGAGAAAAGGGCAGGAGGTCAGCCTCAGCATGACGTTTGCAAGAGACAGGAAGGGGCGAGGGCAGAGAATCTAGGGCACTCACATGGCTGTGGATTCCTCGGCGTGGTGTCCTGGGGGCCGGATGATGGCAAATCCATTCTGAAGAGGTGCAGGCAGAGGTGAGGGGCAAGATCCAGGCAGGAAGGCCGTGGAGGGGGTAGCACAGGACAGAAGCACAAGCCAGGCAGGGAAGTGAACACAAACCAGAAAAGCAGATCCATATGTTTAATGCACAATTTTGTTGGGGTTTCTTTGTTTTTTTATGGGTTTTTTTGGAGACAGAGTCTTGCTTTGTCACCCAGGCTGGAGTGCAGTGGCGCGATCATGGCTCACTACAACCTTGGCCTCCCAGGCTCAGACAATCCTTCCACCTCAGTCTCCTGAATAGCTAGGACTACAAGCACACGCCACCACACCTGGTTAATTTTTTGTAGAGACAGCGTTTTACTATGTTGCCCAGGCTGGTCTCGAACTCCTGGGCTCAAGCTATCTGCCCACCTCGGCCTCCCAAAGTGTTGAGATTACAGGTATGAGCCACTGTGCCCAGCCTCAACGGACCATTTTGAATGCCAACCATGAGGCTTGAGCAGGCAGACACTATTTCTGCCTCGAGACACCCACGAGAGCACTGGGCATTAGTGTCTTTTTGTTGGTCCCTCATAACCTGAATTCCCAGCTGGCAACTCCTTCCCACCCTGGTGCCTGAGAGTTGAGCTTGCAAAGGACAGTGCCTCACTGAAAGGATCCCAAGGCTGCCCCTGTCCTCTGCCTCTGAGGAGCAGGGCCATGCCAAGGGGCACCGAGGTCACAAGCACACGCTCACCTTGAGCTCTCCTGCAGCCACCTTGAAGGCCAGCTCCAGCAGGCAGCCCACTGCCATGCGCACAGCACTGGAGGAGTGCATCTCATTCCACACGGTGTCACTGTCCACCTGCAGGGCAGGAGAGCAGGTTTCAGTGTGCCCCCTGCAGGGCAAGAACAGGGGAGGGCACCTGGACAGTGGGCCAGCGGCTGTGGTAGGCAGGGAAGAGACAGACCTAGGAGAGCCGCCCGCCCACCCCCACTGCTGTACGCCCTACTCACCCCGATGCCCCCACAAGGCAGCACAGCATACATCTTCTGGCTGATGGGGCCTGCATGGAAGAGGAATAGAGCTACTCTAGAAGTGGCCTCGGGCGGATCACCTGAGGTCAGGAGTTCGAGACCAGCCTGGACAACATGATGAAACCCCATCTCTACTAAAAATACAAAACTTAGCTGGGCGTGGTGGCACACACCTGTAAACCCAGCTACTCAATAGGCTCAGGCAAGAGAGTTGCTTGAGCCTGGGGAGACAGAGGTCGCAGTGAGCTGAGATCGCACCACTGTACTCCAGCCTGGCCAACAGAGCAAGACTGTCTCAAAAAAAAAAAAGGCACCTCAACTGCCACAGGGCTACAGGCTTAGCCACCAAAAATGAGGGCTCAGACCCAAGTACAAGACAGGCCTCTGCAGCCCACACCAGTTGGAAGCTGTCAGTCCTCTGTCCTTGGGGACGTCTTACCTCTGGGGGCAGGTGGCAGGGAGAGAGGAGCATGATAAGCCGTGGAGGAGGGGAACAAAGCAGTCCCCCCAACCGAGCACTTCCATCCTCCTGCACCGCGCCCCACAGCATGCTCTATTTTAGTGGCGCCCTCTGGAGGTGTGTGACGTGATAATTGTGCCACCTCTGCCGCAGCAATGCCCTATGCCCGTGGGGACAACCCTCCTAGCCTGGTCAGGCAGTCTTCCTGAGAGCCCCCATCCCACCCTGACACTGAACATGCCTGCCCGCCCACCCATGTGCCAGCTCACCGAGCAACTTCTTGCTGTCTAGCTTCTGCCGGTTGAGGGGACTGGTCCCATAGAGCAGGGTGTGGTATTCAGAGTGCACTGTCTGGATCTCATCTAGCGTGGCTTTGCGACCTCGGATCCGCTGCCAGGAGGATCAGTAAGAGGGGTCACACAAAGGCACAGCTCTCTCAGAGCCTCTCTGCCCCATAGCCAGGGCACACAGAGCCACTTCCTGGCCTCAGGAGATCCAAATATTTTCAGAAAGTAGATCCTGGCTCTGTCATGACCTTACTCCCGGATCCCCCCCACTCAGCTGGGGACCATGGGGGAAAACAGGCTGCAAGGGATGGAACGGGGTGGTGGGAGAACTGGCCCCGAAGTCTGGGGCTGAAGAGAGGATGAGGAAGAAGCATGAAGAGAGGCTTATCTAACAGGGAAACAAAGGCTGGATTTAAGTTGAGAGCCAGAAGAAGGAGGGGCTCCCTTACCTCGCACTTGCTAAGCAGGCCTGTCTCCTGCAGCCGGGACCAGATGCTCTGGATCCGGCCAGCATGCTCAGGGTGCACGTGTGTGTTCCCGCACATGCACTGGTGCTTTAGCATGAACGTGTCGTAGACCACACCTGGGCCACAGACCTATGTGTCAGCCAGCACTGCTCTGGGCCCAGGATCCCAGCCTGGCTACCATGATCCTCAGCAGGGCTCATGGAGCTGTCTCCAACCCCCAGGTCCAAACACCTCCCCATGGCCACTGCAGCCACCCTGCCACAAACCTGCCCCCTCTCCTCTCCAGCTTTTTTTTTTTTTTCTTTGAAACAGGGTCTCACTCTGTCACCCAGGCTGGAGTGGAGTGTGTAGTGGTGCTATCATGGCTCACTGCAGCCTCAACCACTGCCCCCACCACCCTGGGCTCAAGCGATCCTCCCACCTCAGCGTTCTGAGTAGCTGGGACTATAGGCACTACCACACCTAGCTTTTCTTTTGTTTTTTTTTGAGACAGAGTCTCGCTCTGTCGGCCAGGTCCAGTGGCACGATCTCGGCTCACTGCAACCTCTGCCTCCTGGGCTCAAGCAATTCTCCTGCCTCAGCCTCCCGAGTAGCTGGGATTACAGGCATGTGCCACCACGCCTGGCTAATTTTTGTATTTTTAGTAGAGACGGGGTTTTACCATGTTGGCCAGGCTGGTCTCGAACTCCTGACCTCAGGTAATCCACCCACCTCAGCCTCCTAAAGTGCTGGGATTACAGGCGTGAGCCACTGCACCCAACCTATTTTTTTATTTTTTATTTTAAAGAGACGGGGTCTCACTATGTTGCTCACGTTGGTCTCAAACTCCTGGGCTCAAGTGATCCTCCCACCTTGGCCTCCCAAAATGCTGGGATTACAGGTGTGAGCCACTGCACCTGGCCTTTCCTCTCCAGCCTTTGCCCCCTCTTGACTCCTCCTGAAATTCCTTTGCTCCATTATTGCCTATCAGAAGCTTCCCTGCTCCTCAAGCCCCAGCAAGGCTGCCCTGGACACTCGCATGAGTCTCATCTCTGCCAGCTGTGCCTCCTCAGCTGCACCCTTCTCACGGCACCTCCTGCTTTCCCCCTCCTGCCAAACCCGTGTCTTACTCTCCACGGGTGATACAGGGCCACCCTCAGGCACGTCTGTGTCCCCCCAGAGCCCAGCCTGTGGCAGCTTCATAGGGAAGAGGACTCTGGTCTCATCCCAGACCTCACAGGGAGAAGGAAGGGAAGGTAGAAGGTCAGGGCCCAACAGGGACAGCAGGCTCTCTCTACCCAGCACTTCAGGCTGTGGGGCAGTCCTTCCTTCAGCGGGGTGAGAAAGACGCTACCCACTCTCCCGGCTGAGGCAGAAGGCCCTGCCGCTACCATGAACAGCTCTGGGGTACAGGGAGAGAACGAAGGCCTGTGTCCCCTCCTTTCAGGGTGCCTAAGGGGCCCCAGCAGCCTCTTCCCCCTGCCATGGGGCAGACACCACACACAGGCCCTCTGGTGCCTGGCAGAAGGACCTAACAGTTGGTGGGGGCTCACCTGTGGTGAAGAGGTGCTTGACGGGCTGGTCTGGGGGGCTCTTCATGCCCCCAGGGGCAGCAGGGGAGGACTGGGTACGGCCCAGGGCCTGGTGGGGCACAGTGGCCAGGCTGAGGGGCGCCTGGTACACCTGCAAAGGCTGCAGCGGCTGGGCATCTGAGAACAGCTGGAGGGGAGAATGGGAGGGGGCCTGGGTCAGACTCAGCCAGGACAGGGGTGAGGGCAGGCCCTGTCAGGGCCTCCAGTGGGGCCCCAATCCAGCCCTTTTCTTCCAAGTCTCCTTCCCCCACCTCCTCCCACTTGCTCCCTCCAGGGACAGGAGACACATCTCCTCTGAGATGGGGAGGGATGGGGGAGATGTGATGAGTCACATCAAAGAGTAGCATTGAGGTAAGAGGCTGGGAGGGGTGGGGGCGGGGGCGGGGTGGGGGCGGGATGAGTCAGGCCCGGAGGGCTCGGCTGTGTCCGCAATGAATGGAGTGCCAGCTAGGCGCGAGGCAGACAGTAGTAACAGCGGGGGCGTGTGTGTACACACACGCACAGGCACGCACAGGGACCGACGCATGCATACACAGACACACAAGCAGAGAGGCAGGCCAGTATCACAGACACAGGGAGGGAACTGGCAGCCTAGGACAGACACAACTCTGAGATCAACACAAACAGCTCCCCCTTCTCCCCACCGGCCTCCTTCCCACTCCCCTTTTGCTCTCTACAGAAAGCTGCTCCTGCACAGCCTGGAAACTGCAGATGGGGGAGAGGGAAAGACAAGGGCAGAGGCAGGGGTGGAGAAGGACAGAGGGGTGGTGACCAAGGACTGGGACCAGGGACGGGGCTCACTTTTTTGTATCCAGCACCAGGCTCCTCCAAGTCGGGCCCCTCCTCAGCACCACTCTCGCCCTCCTCGTCCTTAACCTGGATGCAATCCTCCTCCTCCTCCCCATCGTCTTCCTCGTCCTCCTCCTCCAGGTCTTCCTGTGTGCTCTCACTCTCTGTGGAGCCCTCCCGGGGCATGGTCAGGGCTCCCTCCCCCAGCAAGACCTCCTGCTGCTCCGTCAGCTCCTCCTCTGTCTCCTCAGGGTGGGTGGTGGGCTGCCTGGGCAGCTCCCCTGTCTTGGTGAGGATCTGATAACAGAATATGGGGGCACATCAGCTGGGAGTTGGGGAGCAGCTGTGCAGCCTAAAACCCAGAACAGTCTATCCTTCCCTCCCTCCCTTCTTCCAGGTAGAGCTTCTATGTGAATTAGAAAAAGGTGAGGTAGCTCCTCTGAGAGGACTTTTTTTTTTTTTGAGACAGAGTCTCCCTCTGTCGCCCAGCCTGGCATGCAGTGGCACGATCTCGGCTCACTGCAACCTCCGCCTTCCAAATTCAAGCGATTCTCCTGCCTCAGCCTCCCCAGTGACTGGGGTTACAGGCGCACGCCACCACGCCCAGCTAATTTTTGTTTGTTTTTTTGAGACGGTCTCGCTCTTCTCACCCAGGCTGCAGTGCAATGGTGCGATCTGGGCTCAGTGCAACCTCCATCTCCCAGGTTCAAGCAATTCTCCTGCCTCAGCCTCCCGAGTAGCTGGGATTATTATAGGTGCCTACCACCACGCCTGGCTAATTTTTGTATTTTTAGTAGAGACGGGGGTTTCACCATGTTGGCCAGGCTGGTCTCGAACTCCTGACCTCAGGCGATCTGCCCACCTCGGCCTCCCAATCAGGCGCGAGCCACCGTGTCTGGCCTGAAAGGAGGACTTTTCTGCCAGCCTGGTACTCTCCTGTGTCCTGCCCCCACCACAGCCCCAGGCCATTCACCTTTCCAGGCTCACCTTGCCCAGCTGTAGCTGCTGCTGCTTCTGCTTCTCCAGGAACTGCTGGTGCTGTTGTTGCATGACCAGCTGCTGCAGGGCCTGGGGACTCTGCGGCAGCGGTGAGGACTGAGTGCGGCTCAGGGGCCGATGCCGCGGGAGCTTGCCTACCGTCCGCATGCTGGTGGCCACACGTTCACCCGTCACTAGTGGGGACTGCCCGTGGAGTGGCACTACGGAGTTGGGGGTGATGACTAAGCACCATTGTCAGGGCACCTGACTGCCCTCCCACCGACCCTGCATCTTGCCCCCACAACCCCCTCTGGCATATCACCACCTATATACTCAGGAAAAACCCTGGGGGACCTGAAGCACCCCCCACCCAAACCTGAGCTCCATTCTTCCTCTTCCCCATGAATGAAGAGTTTCACAGCTCTAAGGTACCACCTCCAGCAAGCCTTCCTGGATTCACCATCTTTTCCCTTCGATTTCCTTAACTGAATAAACTGAGTATACATTTAGTCTTGAGCCCTCTGAACGAACAATGACTTTTCTCCCTAAGTGCAACAAGGCCTCCCTGATCATGGATCCTCCCCGTGGATCCCGCCAGGCTAGGAAGCCCTAGGGCCAGGATCATGTATCTTTCAAGCAGAACCTCTTCTGGTGCCAGGGCTCTTTAGACAGCCCTGGTACTTAAGGGCTGTCTAAAGTTGTGCTGTCTAGTCCCATAGCTACTAGTTACATGTGACTGCTGAGCCCTTGCACACAACCTGTCTAAACTGAAATGTGATATAAGTGTGAAGTATACACTAGATTTCAAAGAGTATGAAACAAAAACCAAAATATCTCATTGGTAACTGCATATTGGCCAGGCACAGTGGCTCACACCTGTAATCCCAGCACTTTGGGAGTCCAAGGCAGGGGGATGGCTTGAGCCCAGGAGTTCAAGACCAACCTGGGCAGCTGGGTGCGGTGGCTCACACCCGTAATCCCAGCGCTTTGGGAGGCCAAGGCAGGTGGATCACTTGAGGTCAGGAGTTCAAGACCAACTTGGCCAACATGGTGAAACCCCGTCTCTACTAAAAATACAAAAATTAGGCCAGGCGCAGTGGCTCACGCCTGTAATTCCAACACTTTGGGAGGCCAAGGCGGGTGGACCATCTGAGGTCAGGAGTTCAAGACCAGCCTGGCCAACGTGGTGAAACTTCTTCTCTAATAAAAATACAAAAAATTAAGCCAGGCATGGTGGCACATGCCTGTAATCCCAGCTACTTGGGAGGCTTAGGCAGGAGAATCACTTGAACTCGAGAGGCAGAGGTTGCAGTGAGCCGAGATCTTGCCACTGCACTCCAGCCTGGGCAACAAGAGTGAAACTTCGTCTCAAAAAAAAAAAAAAAAAAAAAAAAAAATTAGCTGGGTGTGGTGGCACACGCCTGTAGTCTTAACTACTCAGGAGGCTGAAGCAAAAGAACCGCTTGAAGCTTGAACCCAGGAGGTGGAGGGTGCAGTGAGCAGAGATCCTGCTTACTGCACTCCAGCCTGGGCAACAAAGTGAGATTCTGTCTCAAAAAAAAAAAAAAAAAAAGGATGAGCATGGCGGCTCACACCTGTAATCCCAGCACTTTGGGAGGCCGAGGCGAACGGATCACCTGAGGTCAGGAGTTCAAGACCAGCCTGGCCAAGATGGTGAAACCCCAGCTCTATTAAAAATACAAAAATTAGCCAGGCGCGGTGGCAGGCGCCTATAATCCCAACTACTTGGGAGGCTGAGGCAGGAGAATTGCTTGAACCCGGGAGGCAGAGGTTGCAGTGAGCCAAGATCACGCCACTGCACTCTAGCTTGGGCAACAGAGCGAGACTCAGTCTCGAAAAAAAGACCAGCCTGGGTAACATAGCAAGATCCTGTCTCTACAAAAATTAAAAAATAGAAAGAATAACTGCATATGTATTACCGAAATTGTAATATTCTGGATATAATGAGTTAAATATATGTGGTGAAATTAATTCCACTTGCTTCTCTTTTTTTTGAGACAGAGTGTCGCTCTGTTGCCCAGGCTTGGGTGCAATGGAGCGATCTCGGCTCACTGCAACCTCCGCCTCCTGGGTTCAAGCAATTTTCCTGCCTCAGCCTCCCGAGTAGCTGGGATTACAGGTGCCCGCCACCACGCCCAGCTAATTTTTGTATTTTTAGTAGAGATGGGATTTCACCATGTTGGCCAGGCTGGTCTCAAGCTCCTGACCTCAAGTGATCCACCTGCCTTGGCCTCCAAAGTGCCGGGCTCACAGGCTTGAGCCACCATGTGTGGCTCCACTTGCTTCTTTTAATTTTTTTATTTTTTTGAGACGGAGTCTCACGCTCTGTGCCCCAGGCTGGAGTGCAGTGGCACGATCTCGGCTCACTGCAAGCTCCGCCTCCCAGGTTCACACTGTTCTCCTGCCTCAGCCTCCTGAGTAGCTGGGACTACAGGTGCCCACCACCACGCCCGGCTAATTTTTTGTATTTTTAGTAGAGACGGGGTTTCACCATGTTAGCCAGAATGGTCTCAATCTCCTGACCTCGTGATCCACCCGCCTCAGCCTCCCAAAGTGCTGGGATTTCAGGCGTGATCCACCGCGCCCGGCCTTCTTTTTACATTTTTTAATGTGGATGCTAGAAATTACGTATGTAGATTGTGTTATGTTTCTACTGAACAACACTGCTCTGGGATGTGAACGCCAAGATGGCAGCAGATTTTGTCAAGAACAGTGCCTGGCATCCTGTAGGTATCCCATGTTTCCAGAATGTGGAAGAAATCACTGATGCTGTTGATTCTGCTAAGGGGAACTGTGACAGGGTTGGAGAGTATCCCTGACAGTTGGTCCTGACCTTAGCCCCCTCCCTTGCACAGCTACCTGTCCACTCACCAGCAATGAGGGTGCTCTGCTGCCGGGCCTGCTCCAGCAACAGCACATGCTGCAGCAGGGAGGCATGCCCGTGGGGGCTCCCGTCGCCCTCCAGTGCCACGCCCAGCAGGCAGCCAGGAATAGAGGATGTGCTCATGAACTTGCCGGTCAGCGTGCCACCCTGCCGCAGGGACTGGAGGGCCTGCCTCTCGGCCTCCTGCTGTGTCGACAGCTTCGGGGAGGCCTGGGGGGTGAAGGGAGGGGCTTATACAGCCTCAGTCCTGCCAACTTTGGACTAGCATCCCCATCTACCCACTATCTACCCCCCAAGCTCTGGGTAGGGCCAACAGATCTCCCTTAGGGCCTTGGAAGGGGAAAACCCCAGCTGGGGGCATGCAGGACCTGTGACCTCAACACCAGAGGGAAGATGGGGTATATGCCCTGTACTTACAGTGAGGTGTGAGTTGGTGACAGTGACCGTGGCCTGCAGCCCTAGGGAGATGTTGGGCAGAGAAGGAGACGTGTAGAGGCTGAACTGGTTGGGGGAGCTGTCCAGAGGGAGGGCTCGGTGCTGAGGGAGCATCTGGGGAGCAGTCAGAAGAGACAGGCATGAGAGTGCACAAAGGGGAGGCAACAAGGGAGGGCAACCTGGGGCCAAGGCCAAGGTCTCTGAATGGTGCCCAGTTCCCTCTACCCTGAGCTCCCACTGAGGGAGACTGAGCCATCAGGGCTCTTCATAGTCCTGTGGGACAAATTCCCCTTCAATGCAATTAAGTCCAAGCAAGGATCCTCCAGCCTATTCATGTGGGCAGAGAGGTCTCTGCTGGGCACTCAGGCAGACAGACTGGAAGGAGCTGCACTCTTTCTTCCATGGGAAGGAGCAACTCTGTCCCCGCCCCACCAGCCCCCAGCCAGGCCTGTACCTCAGTGGGGATGTTGGGGACTGAGCCAGTAAAGCCATTCTCAGCGATGGTGCTGTGGGAGCTGTTGGGAGAGCTGGGGCCGGAGCCGGGTGCGCTGTTACACACGGACGACGCTATAGGAGAAGTGGCTGTCACCTGGGCCTGCTGTGAACTACCCCCGACCCCTGATTCCCAGACCCTCAGAACAGGTACATGAGAGCAGCCCTTACCCCCAGGCCCGGCACCTGTGATCTCAACAGCTCTCTTCTTAAAGGTGCTAATAACAGTCCCATCCTTGCGACGCAGGAGGGGACTGCTTCTCCGCTCAGCCACCTTCTGTTTTAGCCTTGAACGCACTTTCAAGTTGGGTTCAGAGGCTGGAGAGAAGGTAACCGAGGTTCAGATACGCGCACAGCAGCACACATCTGCAGCTGAGCCCACTGGGGTCAGGGCTGACACTGCCACAAGCCCACCTCTGCCTCCCAGGAGCCATATTCTGGGAGGCCAGGTGGGGGACTCACTCACCTGTTTTGCGGAGGGGGAAGTCGTCTCGACTGTCGTAGGGCCCAGGCAAAGGCAGTTTGTAGGAGGGAGGCGTCCCAGGGGGGCCGCTCTGGGGAGGGGAACTCTGGTCCAAAGAAGCATGGTGGGCTCCCCTGGGGTGGGGGGGGGGTGGGGATGGAAGCAGATCTAGGTTATCACCCAGTCTGCTGGACCTGCCACCTGGCAATCTACATTTATGAAAAATCGTTTGTATATAGGAAGAGGACGTGGATCTTGGGGAAGGAATGAGGAAATAAACCAGGGATGGGGGTCCTGTCTCTAAGGAGAGATTGCAGGGCCCGTATATGGGCACGGGGAAGAAGCCCCTTGCCATCCTATAGCCAGGCAGCCCCTGAGCGGCTCACCTATGCCCACCCATGCCTGCCCAGGGCCATTACCAGCATTTGGGGTGCTGTGGGAGGGAATGGTTGAGGCCGCCTGGTGTGGGCTCCTTTGACTTCGACAAGAGGAATTCCTGGAGCCTCAGCTTTACCTCAGTGCTGGCAATGGCACCTGCAGGACAGGGCACAACTGACCTGGCTGCTTGGGGCCAGACCCCCCATGGCAGGGGCAGGCATCACGGGCGGGGCCCTACGAGGTCCCAGGAGGCCCTGCCTTACTCTCTTTGCTCTTCTCCTTGTTCCGCAGGATGAGCAGCTGCTGCTCCAGCCGCTGCTTCTCCAGCTCTTCCTGCCGCTGCTGCTCCCGCTGCCGCTGCTGCTCCAGCTCCTGCTGCCGCTTGGCTGCCAGCATCTCCTGCTGCTGCTTGGCTGCCAGCATCTCCTGCTGCTGCTGCAGGGGCATGGGAACGGAGGCACAAGTGAGCCAGGCCCGGGCGGGGATCGGAGGTCTGGGCGGCCCCCCGCACCCCCCTCGCTCACCTTGAGGTGCTTCTGCAGCTGGACCTCATGCTGCCTTGTCAGGTGGTCATGCTGTTTCTGGAACTCAGCGAACAGGAGCTGCTTCTGCAGCTGCTGCTGCTGCTTGAGCGCCAGGAGCTCCTGCTGCAGTTGCTGCTCCCGCAGTGTGGGGTCCACAGAGCCCACCAGAGCCCCCCGTAGCTCCACAGGGCTGGGGCTGCCTCCACCCCCACCCCCCATGGAACTGGGCATGGCTCTTGGCAGCACCGGCTTCACCTCCACTGTGGGCAGAAGAGACAGGAAGGAGTTAGTGGGCCCAGCCCCAGACTCCAGTCATGCCTGAGGCCCAAAGGCTACCACGCAGGATTCTAGGAGACCCAAAGAGAACAGAGACAGAGAGGAAGTCAAATCCCTCTGCTCCATGGATGCAACATTTTACCTTAATTAAATGAGGCTGAAGCCATGAACTTCAATAGGAAAATACAGGCTGAGCACGGTGGCTCACACCTGTAATCTCAGGTTAGTTTGGGAGGCTGAGGCAGGCAGATCACCTGAGGCCAGGAGTTTGAGACCAGCCTGGTCAACATGATGAAACCCCCTCACTACTAAAAATACAAAAATTATTTGGGCGTGATGGTGCACACCTGTAATCCCAGCCACTCAGATGGCTGAGGCATGGGAATCTCTTGAACCCCGGGAGGCGGAGGTTGCAGTGAGCCAAGATCATGCAACTGCACTCTAGCCTGGGTGACAGAGCAAGACTGTCTCCAGAAAAAAAAAAAACAAAAAACAAAAAGGGGGAGGCCGGGCGCGGTGGCTCTTGCCTGTAATCCCAGCACTTTGGGAGGCTGAGGCGGGTAGATCACGAGGTCAGGAGATCAAGACCATCCTGACTAACATGGTGAAATCCTGTCTCTACTAAAAACAAAAAAAATTAGCTGGGCGTGGTGGCACACGCCTGTAGTCCCAGCTACTCAGGAGGCTGAGGCAGGAGAATCGCTTGAACCCTGGAGGTGGAGGTTGCAGTGAGCCAAGATCGCACCACTGCACTCCAGCCTGGGCGACAGAGCGAGCCTCCATCTCAAAAAAATAAAGAAAATGTGCATAAGCATGAAGCTGTACCTGACAGATTGTGACTACTCGACGCATTTTATGTATCTGTGTGTGTGTGTGTATATATATGTGTGTACGTATGTGTGTGTATATATATATATACACACACACATACATATGTGTGTGTATTTATCTCTCTACCTATATATATATCAGAGACAAGGTCTTGCTCTGTCGCCCAGGCTGGAATGCAATGGCATGATCGTGGCTCATGACAGCCTCGACCTCAAGCAACCCTCCCACCTCAGCTTCCCAAGTAGCAGGGATTACAGGAGCATGCCAATGCACCAGGCTAATTTTTAATTTTTTAGTAGAGACAGGGTCTCACTATGTTGCCCAGGCTGAATTAAACTCCTAGGCTCAAGCGATCCTCCCACCTCAGCCTCCCAAAGTGCTGGGATTATAGGCGTGAGCCACTGCCCAGCCTTCAACACATAATATTATCATTGATAGTCAACATCTCTGGGCATTTTACAATGACTCATTTAAATATCACAGTTACCCTATGACTTAGATGCTATTATTACCCCATTTTACTGATGAGGAAACTGAGGTTTAGAGAAGTTTAAGTAGCAACCAGACACAGCTAGGTGATCCAATAACTAGAATATGAGTCCAAATCCTAAGCTTTTAACCACTGTGCCCGCTCCCATTTCTCAACACCGTGCCCCATGCAAAGCCTCATACTAGAAGAGAAACTGAGGCACAGAGGTTGGTTCTAGGACTGACAGTGCCCTTGGTAACCCCAGGAGAGGCTGGTGGAGACCTTCTGGATATCTCTACCCTCTGTCCCCTTCTGGGGCCTCATCCCTATCTGGGGCAGACTGGGCAGGAGGGAGAGGCTGTGGGAATGGGGGTGGGGTGGGAACAGGAGGCCTCGGGGAAAGGGGGTGCAGGGCTGCACCAAGCCAGGGACAGGAGGGGGCTGGGAGTCAAGACTCGCTTCCTTTGCTGGATTATCTCCTTTCAACAGTTTTATTGTAATTACCCTGAAAATGCCGCTATATATAGAGTGAGCCAAACAGCAGCTGTGCCTGGGGGGAGGGGGAATAAGAGGATGGGCGGGCAGGCAGCAGGGAGGAGGTGGGAGGAGGAGACAGGAAAGGAAAGGGAATCAGACAGGAAGAAGGGTAACAGCAGGGGGAGGGCAGGAGCTTCGGCAGAGATCTCAGAACTCTGGTCTTACGGAGAACCGGCTGGGGAGAGGAAGGCTGCTGGGGAGGGGAAGGCAGTGGAGGGCCTGCTGGGTTCCAAGACCTTGGGTCCAGTCCCCACATGGACAATGGGCCGAGTGGCTCAGGGAGTGCACGAAGTTCCAATGGGCTTATGGGAGGGCTAGGTCTCCACTTCTTTGTACCTACACACAGTTCTCAGGTCACTGCATGTCACTCCTCACCACTGCCCTGTGGTTGCCAGGACAACTGGGCAAACACCACACCAGCAGGGAGCCCCAAGCCCAGCCCAAGCCCCACAAAGTCTCCAGCCAGGAAGGGGAAGGCAGGATACCACTGCCTGGGAAGGCGGAAGTGAGAGAGGCAGGCCAACCCATTCCTGTTTCTCTTCTACTTCTTTCTCCAAAGAAAGCCCTCACTCTCCTCGCTACAGCCCAGGGAGGTCACGAGGGGCTGGGAAGACTCCTGTGGCAAAGTGGCCCACTCCAGCCCAGGCCTGAGAAAAAAGGACCCCGAAATCCTTCTGGCTACCAGTATCTTCTGCCTTCATGAGCTGGCCTCTCTCCAGACCACCCCCCAGCATTAAGAGGCGAGAGAGGGAAAAAAAAAACAAAAAACAAGTTTTGGTTTTTTTTTGTTTTTTTTTTTTTTGGAGATGGAGTTTTGCTCTTGTCATCCAGGCTGGAGTGCAGTGGCACAATCTCGGCTCACTGCAACCTCTGCCTCCTGGGTTCAAGCAGTTTTCCTGCCTCAGCCCCGCAAGTAGCTGGGATTACAGGCACCCGCCACCACGCTCAGCTAATTTTTTTGTATTTTTAGTAGACACAAGGTTTCACCATGTTGGCCAGGCTGGTCTCAAACTCTTGACCTCAGGTGATCCGCTCGCCTCGGCCTCCCAAAGGGCTGGGATTACAGGCATGAGCCACTGCCCCTGGCCTTTTTTTTAGATGGAGTCTCACTGCAACCTCCGCCTCCTGGGTTCAAGCAATTCTCCTGCCTCAGCCTCCCAAGCAGCTGGGATTACAGGCGCCCACCACCAGGCCTAGCTAATTTTTGTATTTTTAGTAGAAACGGGGTTTCACCATGTAGGTCAGGCTGGTCTCGAACTCCTGACCTCAGGTGATCCACCCGCCTCGGCCTCCCAAAGTGCTGGGATTACAGGCATGAGTGACCACACCCAGCCGAACAATTTTTAAAGAGAAGAGAGGGAGGTGGGAGGTAGGAGGTGGCAAAGGGTGGGCTAAGAGAGGCCCCCACACCTGTTTAGATGGGTCTGGATCTCTCCAGAGAACCTAGCACTGAATGGGTGTCACCAAGGCAGGAGCAAGGCCTGCTGGAGGCCGAGGCCAAGGCCATGCCACCCACATGCCTGGAGTATGGCCTCTGGAACCCCCTGCAGGCAGGGTGGGGTGGGAGAAGGTAAAAGCTCAGCATGATGTAGCAGTCCCCACCAGCCTCTTCTCCCCCAGGCATGGTTGGGAACATTCCTCTGTGGTTTTCCCGCCAGCCATACTGACGACTCTGTGGCCACAAGGCCAGAGCCACATGTGCAGAAGTGGCCAGATGTGGCCAGAGGGTGGGGTTACACATACTCATCTTCATTCCCAACCCATGTCCTGCCCCAGCACCAGGAGAAAGGGTCCTTGGAAACTGCAGAAGGCCTTCCTGGAGGTAACTAGCCACAGCCCACGATGGTGGCAAGGAAATGGCAGCCAGCTCAGGTCTCCCCAGCCCGTGAAGTGCTCAGCAAGGCCCTGAGCTGGCCGGAGGGTTATCTGTTCTTAGTCAAGCTTGGCTTGGCCCGTGGCACTCTGATCACTCAGCCAAGCAATGGACAGCCGTCAACCTGCTGCTCCCGGCAATGCCGGGGTTGTAGGAGCCAGATTCCAGCCTGCCTGCCCAGGGAAGGGCAGAGGTCCAAGCACTCCTGGCTCCCAGCAGATAACCCTGCCTAGGGCTGGAACTGTCGCCAGCAGTACTGGCTTCCCTTGCAGGAGCCCTGCAGAGAGCACATGGGCTCAGGCAAGGGGAATCTCCCACCAGCCTGTCACTGCCACTGCAGCAGCAGAGATGTTAGGCCCGGAGCTGCAGCGGGAACCACAGCCCTATTGGTATGCAGGTGGCAGGGCAGGCAGAGGGCTCTGCCATGCAGCCTCGTTCCCATGCAAACAGGAAGCACAGGCGACTCCAGAATATTAATTTGCAGGACCTGCAGGGACTGGGTGACATGCAGCACCCCAGGGGTTTGCCAGGTAGCAACCTGCTCCACCCAAAGTGGAAGGGGCCATGGCTACTCTGCCTGAGTCAGGGAAAGGAGGGGCATGGAGCCCCATGAATAGAGTCTGCCCAGGCACAGACCCTGGAGCCTGGCGGGCCTTGCACTCTCTCAAGGATCTGTGCCCTCTGCCAGCCTGGCATGAGCAGAGCAGGTGGCAGCAGTTGCCATCAGCACCAAGCACCTGGAAGGGGAAGTGGTTGTGTCATGATAGGAAGAGGCTCTTGGCCGCCTCCTGGTGGACTAGGAAGGCTGGGGAACCTCTGGGAAAAGAAGAGGATAGACAGGCCCGGGGCGTGGTGGCCAGTTACCCAGGGCTGTCTCTTAAAAAAAAGGGAACCTGGGCCAGGCGCAGTGGCTCATGCCTGTAATCCCAGCAGTTTGGGAGGCTGAGGCGGGCGGATCACCTGAGGTCAGGAGTTCAAGACCAGCCTGGCCAACATGGCAAAACCCCATCTCTACTAAAAAATACAAAGATTAGTTGGGTGCGGTAGCGGGCACTTGTAATCCCAGCTACTCAGGAGGCTGAGGCAGGGAGAGTTGTTTGAACCCAGGAGGCAGAGGTTGCAATGAGCCCAGATCATGCCACTGCACTCTAGCCTGGGTGATAGAGCGAGACCCTATCTAAAAAAAAAAAAAAAAAGAGGGTAGACGAAGGGGCACTGTTCCCTAAGAGGACAGGCCAAGAGCTCTGGCTAGCAAAGAGCCCCACTGAAAGGCCAGGGAGAGCCAAGCGTTGGTGGCTATAATCCCAGCATTTTGGGAGTCCGAGGCGGGAGGATCACTTGAGGTCAGGAGTTCAAGACCAGCCTGGCCAACATGGAAAAACCCCATCTTTACTAAAATTACAAAATTAGCCGGGTGTGGTGATGCATGCCTGTAATCCCAGCTACTCGGGAGGCTGAGGCAGGAAAATCACTTGAACCCGGGAGGCAGAGGTTGCAGTGAGCCAAGATCGCGACATTGCACTCCAGCCTGGGCAACAAGAGTGAAACTCTGTCTCAAAAAGAAAAAAATGAAAAGAAAAGAAAGCCAGGGAAAGGTTCACAGGGGAGGACAAGGACCTGGGTCCTTCCCTCACCTGCCAGGACTTCACTCTGATGGGAATCGAGAGGCCAGTAGAGCCACCTCCTGCAGAGGTCAGAGGCAAGGCTCTGGGGGAAAGCCTTGGGCCCCCCGCACCCAGCTCTATACTTTCCTCTTTCCCAGCACTGAGAACCTTCCTTCTCCTGGGAGTGGTGGCCTCAGTAACAAGCAGCAGCACCATCCTGACCTCTGGTTTTCTGCAGGGCTGACCACCCTGCCTCCATGGGAAGTCCCAGCCTGGGTTGCTGAGTGGGTGGGGCTGTGTGTGTTTCGTTTTTTCTTTTTTTTTTTTTGAGACGGAGTCTCGCTCTGTTGCCCAGGCTGGAGTGCAGTGGCGCGATCTCGGCTCACTGCAAGCTCCGCCTTCCAGGTTCACGCCATTCTCCTGCCTCAGCCTCCTGAGTAGCTGGGACTACAGGCACCCGCCACCACGCCCAGCTAATTTTTTGTATTTTTAGTAGAGACGGGGTTTCACCGTGTTAGCCAGGGTGGTCTCGATCTCCTGACCTCGTGATCTGCCCACCTCAGCCTCCCAAAGTGCCAGGATTACCAGCGTGAGCCACCGTGCCTGGCCTTGGGGCTGTGTGTTTCTAGCCATGCGAGGGGCTGGAAAAATAGCAAGCTCTGGCTCAGGAGCTGCCCTGCCCAGCTCACGAGCACAAGTGGCCATGGGCAGTGCACCACCTGAGTGACACTTCTTTCCCATCCCGCTGGGTCTGCCTCCTCTTCAGGAACCCCATCAGCCCAGTGGGGACTTCTGTGGTAGATTCTTCAGGCAGCATGAGGGAGAGCCTGGTCCTCTGGGGGAGATGATGTAGGTGCTCGTGGGGCAACCCCTGAGACTACTGCCAGCACAGCCTTAGTCTAAAAAAACGGTGTCCAGGCAAAGAGACACTGCCTCCAAATAGACGAGTGGCCCTGGGCCATGAGGCACAGGTTTTAGCAGTGCCTTGGGAACAAGAATTCACAATAAAAAACAGATCTAGCTTCCCAAGAGCAAGGCCAAGCCTTCCGCCTGCTCTGAACACACCATGAGCTGCACCCCAGGTCCAAGCCCCCTCTCAGAGACAACATCTCCAACTCAAGAATCCCTGTGACAAGAACCCCGGCCAGCAAGGAAATGGGAACTATAGTTCCCCCTAGAGAAGCCCTGGGGGGAGGGAGCTGGCACAGTGTGGACCTGCCTGGCAGACCCAAGAGGCTTAGCATCTAGCTCTAAAAGACCCTGCTCCATAAAATAAATATAAAAATAAGGCCAGGCACAGTGGTTCATGCCTGTAATCCCAGCACTTTGAGAGGCCAAGGCGGGCAGATCACGAGGTCAGGAGTTTGAGACCAGCCTGGCCAACATGGTGAAACCCCGTCTCTACTAAAGATACAAAAAAAAAAAAAAAAAAAAAAATTAGCTGGGCATGGTGGCCCACACCTGTAATCCCAGCTACTCGGGCAGCTGAGGCAGGAGAATCACTTGAACCCAGGAGGTGGAGGTTGCAGTGAGCTGAGATCGCGCCATTGCACTCCAGCCTGGGCAACAACAGGGAGAGACTCCGTCTCAAAATAAATAAATAAATACATACATACATACGTAATTTTTTTTTCTTTTTTTTGGAGACGGAGTCTCGCTCTGTCGCCAGGCTGGAGTGCAGTGGCGTGATCTCGGCTCACTGCAACCTCCGCCTTCTGGGTTCAAGCGATTCTCCTGCCTCAGCCTCCTGAATAGCTGGGACTACAGGCATGTGCCACCACACCCACCTAATTTTTTGTATTTTTAGGTAGAGACGGGGTTTCACCATGTTGGTCAGGATGATCTCAATCTCTTGACCTCATGATCCGCCCGCCTCAGCCTCCCAAAGTGCTGGGATTACAGGCGTGAGCCACTGCGCCTGGCCTAAAATAAAATTAATTTTTAAAAAGACCCTGCTCCAGCCGGGCACAGTGGCTCATGCCTGTAATCCCAGCACTTTGGGAGGCTGAGACAGGCAGATCACGAGGTCAGGAGATCAAGACCACCCTGGCTAACACGGTGAAACACCGTCTCTACTAAAAACACAAAAAATTAGCTGGGTGTGGTGGCAGGCCTGTATTCTCAGCTACTTGGGAGGCTGAGGGGCTGAGGCAGGAGAATGGCATGAACCCGGGAGGTGGAGCTTGCAGTGAGCCAAGATCACACCACTGCACTCCAGCCTTGGCGACAGAGCAAGACTCCGTCTCAAAAAAAAAAAAAAAAAAAAAGACCCTGCTCCAGGAGCCACCAGCCCCAGAAAGCTAGGAGGAGGGGAGGGGACCCAAGGGGCGTAGAGTACAAGGCATGGGACATTATTACGCTGTTTGGAATGTCTATACATAACATAAATGAGGTCCGTGCAGATACTCCCTGGATCTGAGGAGCTGCCTTCACAAGAGGAGAAAGTGAAAGGGACCTTGGAGGTCATCTGTTTCAATACCCTCAAGACACAGGTGAGGAAACCAAGCCTCTTAGAGAGGCTGCTCTGCAGATGATCCTACCAGCTAAGTAGCAGCAAAACAGAGATCTGAACGCAGGTGTCCTGACTCCTGGCACAGGCAGGTTCCCTCTGAACACACACGTGTGCAGTCTGGCTCCCATGTGGGATGTCCTATGTGCTCAGTGTAAGCCAGCCCTGGGACAGGTGAGGGTCTCAAAAACAATAAAGAGGAGATGAGGTAGGGGGAGGGGGGCAGGGAAGGATGTACAAGGGCTGGTGTTCAACTTTATTCCTGAGCCCCCTTCTCTCCTTGGGCTAAAATCCCCTCAGGGAGGAAGATCACCGACCAAGTGGTCCTCAGTATTTACAAAAAACAAAGCCTCCTCTCACAACCCCAGGAGGCCCCCGAGGCTAGAATGGTTCCTGTGCTCTAGGAGCACAAACTGTGGACGCACACTGACAGGCCCAGCACTTAAGGCTGTGTAGGTGGCATATTGCACATGGGCTCTCGTCTAAAGGGGTGAGTTGGGGCTGACATCTAGCCCAAGCTCCAATCGCCAGGCCATGCACACTGGCATGAGGACGTATCTACCCAGAAGAAGGGCCACCTTTTTAAAATCTGCACAAAAGAAGCTTTTATGTGGATTAGCAACGTTCCTACCCAGAGACCTGAGTTCAAATTCCAGCTCTCACTTACTCTATGACCTTGGGCAGGTTCCCTTTTTCTTTTTTTCTGACAGAGTCTCGCTCTGTTGCTAGGCTGGAGTAGTGCAGTGGTGCAATCTTGGCTCACTGCAACCTCCACCTCCCGGCTTCAAGTGATTCTCCTGCCTCAGCCTCCTGAGTAGCTGGGACTGCAGGCATGTGCCACCACACCCAGCTAATTTTTGTATTTTTAGTAGAGACGGAGTTTCACCATGTTGGCCAGGCTGGTCTCCAACTCTTGACCTCGTGATCCGCCTGCCTCGGCCTCCCAAAGTGTTGGGATTACAGGCATGAGCCATATGCCCGGCCAGGTTCTCTCTTTTTTTTTTTTTTTTGGAGACAGTCTCTCTGTTGCCCAGCTGGAGTGCGGTGGGGTGGGGTGATCTCGGGTCACTGCAACCTCCGCCTCCTGGGTTCAAGCGATTCTCCTGCCTCAGCCTCCCAAGTAGCTGGGACTACAGGCACATGCCACCACACCTGGCTAATCATTTGTATTCTTAGTAGAGACAGGGTTTCACCGTGTTAGCCAGGATGGTCTCTATCCCCCGACCTCAGCTGATCCACCCGCCTCGCCTCCCAAAGTGTTGGGATTACAGGCTTGAGCTACCGCCCCCGGCCCAGGTTCCCTTTATTTAAGAGACAGCCCTAGGTAACTGGCCTACCCTAGAGGGCAGAATCTCCCACCAGCACCCAGGCCCTCAGGACCTCCCTCACCAGGTGGGGGAGACAGCAGCTTCTAATTACCTTGTTCTGTCTCTTGGAGATTGGGGAAAAGCTCTTGTTCCTGTCCTGGCCTGAGGGAGTTTGGAAGGAGGCGGAGAACAACATTTCACACCCTGAGCCCATGACGCTGTGACACCGATGACCCCTCCCCACCAAGGACAGTTTCCCATGATCTATTTCTGTGCTCTTGTGTGACTAGTGAGGCCAATTTAGGCTCAACAGGTTCTACCACAATTCAGATACTATTTCCACATAGGCAAGCTGGGTCTGACTCTCACCTAGCAATTTTCACAATTCCTTAAGTAACACAAGTGAACACACATCACGTAGTGGTTGAGAGCAAGGGCTCTGGAGTGAGAGGACGCTGGGGTTCAATTCAGGCTCTCCCCTTCCTAGGGCAAGACACAGGGCACCACCCTGCGCTCCATGCAGGCATCTGTAAACTGGCAGGCAGAACAGCACCCAACACCCAGGGTAGTTAGGCTCGGGAGAATGTACGCGGAGGAGCTTGGCACAGGGCCTGGGAAGATCAAGAGGTGCGAGGCAGGGCTATTATTAATGGCTCCTCATATTTTTTGTGTCCTGAACTCTTTTGGCAATCTAGTGAAGCCTGTGGACCACTTCTCAGAATGGTTTTTTCTTTTTTTTTTTTTTGAGACGTAGTTTCGCTCTTGTTGCCCAGGCTGGAGTGCAATGGCACGATCTCGGCTCACTGCAATCCCTGCCTCCCAAGTTCAAGCGATTCTCCTGCCTCAGCCTCCCAAGTAGCTGGGATTACAGGCATACGCCACCATGCCCGGCTAATTTTGTATTTTTAGTAGAGATGGGGTTTCACCATGTTGGCCAGGCTGGTTTCGAAGCCCTGACCTCAGGTGATCCGCCTGCCTCGGCCTCCCAAAGTGCTGGAATTATACGCGTGAGCCACCATGCCTGGCCTTCTCAGGATGTTTCTGAAGTGCATAAAATCGGCTGGGTGCAGTGGCTCACACCTGTAATCCCAGCACTTTGGGACCCCGAGGTGGGCAGATCACTTGAGGTCAGGATTTCAAGACCAGCCTGGCCAACGTGGTGAAACCCCGTCTCTACTAAAAATACAAAAATTACCCAGGCATGGTCTCACATACTCGGGAGACTGAGGCAGGAGAATCGCTTGAACCCAGAGGCGGAGGTTGCAGTGAGCTGAGATTGCACTACTGCACTCCAGCCTGGGCAACAGAGCGAGACTCTGTCTCAAAAAAAAATTAAAAAAATAAATAAAAAATAAAGTGCATAAAATGAAATACTTAAGAATTCCCAAATCTTTTAAGTGGGGCCAACTTCACAGACCACCTGGATTCTAAGGGTGCCAGCCTCAGAATCCCACCAGAGGGAAGTCTTAGCACTCATTTCAGACTGTCTGAATGTCACTCTGCGGTCCTGGCACAAACAAAGCCCTTCTTGTGGGTCCCACACAACACAAACCCGTGCAGCCAGCGGCTGGGTGTCGATGCCAGAGGAGGAATCTCTGAGAGCAGCTTCCTTCCCACTCCCGCACTTCCAGGCCATCTCACCTGCCTCGCTACCTCCAGGAAGGGCCACTCTGTGCTCTTGGCTCAGGCCACAATTGTGGGATCCCTTTTGTCCCTCAAAAACATTACTTAGCACAGATAAGCACAAGTTTTGGGCCTTGCTCTCGGGGCCCCCAGCTGCAAGCAGTCCAAAATTCTTCCCTGGGCTCCAACCTCACTGAGCCCCACTGCAGGTGACACCTCTCTCCCCAGTTCTATTCCACATCCTCCCGGGCTGAGGACATAGGAGGCCCTAAGCCCCTCTTCCCACAAAGCAGACACAATGTGAAACTGACCTCAGAGACCCTTAGAGTGTCAGGGAAGGAAAGGCCTGAAGACCAGCAACTCAATTCCCCCTGTTTTCAGAGGGAGGAAAGTGAGGCCAGAGAAGGAAGAGACTTGTCCAAGGTC
Source organism: Homo sapiens (assembly GCF_000001405.40). Taxonomy (NCBI): domain Eukaryota; kingdom Metazoa; phylum Chordata; class Mammalia; order Primates; family Hominidae; genus Homo; species Homo sapiens. The sequence goes on from NC_000017.11 coordinate 44,105,030, forward strand.
ACCTGGAAAGGAGATGGAGGACCCAGGGCTTAATCCCAGCTCTTCTGGCTCTCTGTCTTCTCCCCACTAAAAAACAGAAGGGGAAACATTAAGGCCCGGTCTCAAACTGAATGAGAGATGCAACAAGGGGCCAAACTCTGTATTAAGGATCCAGAGGTCTAGACAAGGGCACCTGGTTGGTCCCCAGAACATCTGAGCCCAGGGGTGCAGGGGAGAATGGGATCAAGTGCAGGGAACCCCCAGAAACCTTGAGGCAGACTGTGACTCTGAAGGACCTTAAGCTCGGGATGCAGAGCCCTGATGGAAGGCATAAAACATCTCTCACTGGTGCAAATAGAGTTAGTAGTCGATCCTGGGATGCTCTCTGGAGAAATAGACTCACATTTCCCAGTCCAGCCATTTCTAGCATATACCTGGGTACAAAGCTACAGGCAAGTAAAAGGCACACTAACCATTCAAAGTCTGCAGCTATTGCTAGGACTGTTTGCTCCACACCTGGGGTGGAATGGCAGGGGCTCCAGAGCAGATCTGCCTCCACTCCCTAAGCACAGCACAGCCCTGGGTGTCCAGCAGGGCACCCTGCCCACCTGGCTGCTTGCCATAATCCCCCATTCCACTGGGGTTTAGACACCTGCTCCCTGGCGGCTGGAAACATCCTCTCTCCTGACTGACAGGCGGCTGGGAGTTGGATTCACCTCTTTCTAGGGCGACAGCCTCCCTCCTCCTGTATAGGCCCTTCTCCCAGGAGTCCCAAGACCCACTAAGGCCTTCCAGGGATGCTGATGACATCTACTGGCTGACTGCTGGGCCCTGTGACCCATGTCCACACAGCTCTTACTCCAAGGATGGGCTCAGTCTACTCGCATCAGAATCACCTGAGACATGAGTTTAAATCACTGGTTCCTGGGCTGCCCTACAGAATCCAAACCTTTGTTGGGGGGGCAGGGTGTCAAGGCCTGAGAATCTGCATTTTAATACGCTCCCTTGGTTAATTCTGATGCGACCAAAAGTTTGAGAACCACTGCCTCACAGCGTCCCCAGGCTGCCTCCTGCCAACCTGACAGCTGTTACAGCTGTGTGCATGGACACAGTTAATCTGATTTCCTGTCTGGCAGCTGTGTGGCAGGGAAGGGACAGCTGAGGGTCTCAAAAACAAGAAGAGGGGATGAGGCAGGGGGAGGGGGACACAGGAGGTTGTATGGGGGCTGGTGTTCAACTTTATTCCTGAGCCCCTCCTCTCCTTGGGCTAAAATCCCCTCAGGGAGAAAGATCACAGACCAAGTGGTCCTCAGTATTTACAGAAAACAAAGCCTCCTCTCACAACCCCAGGAGGCCCCCAAGGCTAGAATGGTTCCTGTGCTCTAGGAGCACAAACTGTGGACGCGCACTGACAGGCCCAGCACTTAAGGCTGTGTAGGTGGCATATTGCACATGGGCTCTCGTCTAAAGGGGTGAGTTGGGGCTGACATCTAGCCCAAGCTCCAATCGCCAGGCCATGCACACTGGCATGAGGACGTATCTACCCAGAAGAGGGCCACCTTTTAAAAATCTGCACAAAAGAAGCTTTTTTTTTTTTTTGAGGCAAAGTCTTGCTCTTGTTGCCCAGGCTGGAGTGCAATGGCGCAATCTCGACTCACCGCAACCTCTGCCTCCCAGGTTCAAGCGATTCTCCTGCCTCAGCCTCCCAAGTAGCTAGGATTACAGGCATGCACCACGTCGGCTAATTTTTTGTATTTTTAGTAGAGACGGGGTTTCTCCATGTTGGTCAGGCTGGTCTCAAACTCCCAACCTCCCAAAGTGCTGGGATTCCAGGTGTGAGCCACCGAGCCCGGCCAAAAGTAGCTTTTATGTGGATTAGCAATGGTCCTACCCAGACACCTGAGTTCAAATTCCAGCTCTCACTTACTCTGTGACCTTGGGCAGGTTCCCTTTTTTTAAGAGATAGGGTCTTGTTATAGCGCCCAGGCTGGAATGCAGTGATCATGGCTCATTGCAGCCTCAAACTCCTGGGCTCAAGCAATCCTCCTGCCTCAGCCTCCTGAGTAGCTAGAACTACAGGTGCATGCTACTGTGCCTGATTAATTTTTTTTTTTACATTTTTTTGTAGAGACAGGGTCTGGCTATGCTGCGCAGGCTGGTCTCAAACTCCTGGCCTGAAGTGATCTTCCTCCCTCAGGCTTCCAAAGTGCTGGGATTACAGGTATGAGCTACCATGTCCAGTAAGTTCCTTAACCTCTCTGAGCCTTCTCAATTATACACCACAGCTATCAACACTGTCCTAAAACAGATATGGCAAGGGCCGGGCGTGGTGGCTCACGCCTGCAATCCCAACACTGTGGGGAGGCTGAGGCAGGCGGATCACGAGGTCAGGAGTTCGAGACCAGCTTGGCCAACATAGTGAAAACCCATCTCTACTAAAAATACAAAAATTAGCCAGGCACGGTGGCGTGTGCCTGTAGTCCCAGCTACTCGGGAGGCTGAGGCAGGAGAATCGCTTGAACCCAGGAGGTGGAGGCTGTGGTGACCCAAGATCGTGCCACTGTACTCCAGCCTGGGCAAAAGAGGGAGACTCCGTATCAAAAAAAAAAAAAAAAAAAAAGGGCAGGGAAAGTACCTGATAGCCTTGTCACTCAGTGCATTATAATAGTTCCACTCTCACCCCTGAGTCTTGCACTTCTTACCCTCCCGGCACTACATACCTATACACACAGCCAAACCCAGAAAGACTGAAGAGCACGAACACGAATATCCAGGGAAAGCCCTAAGACCAAACCTGGACCCCATGGCACTTCCCAGTGTCCATAGCATTCCTTCCTGGCACAAGCAGGATTCACACCCTCCCTCCATGGGAAAAGCAGACTCCTCCTCCATGCCATCTCATAAAGTCCTGCGTATTGTCTGGGCATCAGCTCCACCCAGTACAAGACAAAGGGGAATCCAGGGCCCACATAAGGGAGGCAGAGAATTCCCCACCTCTGTGTCCTTGAGAATCCCATACTAGAGTTCAAACTCCCAGGCTCCCCAAGCCAGAACTAAGCTGGGATGATGGTGGTGCCCACTGTGCACTGGGGAGCTGTGGTAGGGTGGCCAGGCAGAGACCCCATCCATCAAGGAAGACCTCTGATCGCTAAGAGCAGATGCTGAGATCCGCCCCACTCTTTAAGCAAGAACAGCAGACTGCCCCTGTCCTTCGGTAGGCTAAGGCTCTGTCTTACCCGCTGGGGTGACTCACTAAAGCTGTCTCTATTCACCCAGAGGTCCAGGCCCCAGAATAGAGCCCAGGAATCCTGCCAGCAATTCTGGACTCCAGCCCTCCCCATGCGACATTCATTCATCCATGTGCCAGGCACTGTGCTAGGTGCTGGGCAATGGCAACAACCAAGACAGCCCAGAGAGCAAAGGCTATCCCTAAAATAGGGTTCTAAAGATGCTGCTGGAGGTGGCAGGCAGGCACCACCCTCGAAAGACCCTTGCCCCAACCCCTTGGGCTTGGGAGACCTGCGCAACTCACACCATCCAAAGAAGCTTCCCTGGACACCTGCTTTTTCAGCCATAGGATCTTGCATCCTGTCTGGAGACCGATCAAGAGATGGGGAGAGGGGGTGGGGAGGGAAACACCAGGCTGCCTGGGCCCTCATGGCCGTGTTTATCCGGGGTGGATTTTTTTTAACCCAAAGGTTAAAGTGTTTCTATTTGAAACATCTATTTACATTCCAGAGTCCAAAAAAAAAACAAAAAAAAAACAAAAAAAAAACAAGGCTGCCGAGCTCCAGGCCTATATCTGTCCCTAGCCGCGTCACAGACACAGCATCAGAGCTGCGCAGGGGGAACATTCTTAGCCCTCTCCCCGAGCCGCTGAGGTGACTCACGCCTCCCTCCTGCCAGCATGGACCAAGCCACCACTCTGAAGGCCAGCCAGCGTTGGGGGTGGAGTGGGGAGACAGGGATCTGGACAGAGGGGCTGCCTGGGAGTCCATGCAGGGGCAGCCAGGCTTAGGGAGGAGATGAGAGAGCAGGGTCCCAGCCTGCAAGGTTTCTGGGGTACAATCTGGAAGCAGGTGAATGAACAAGCTGAGGAGGAAACTTCCGGCCAACTGCTGGCTGCTGCTGGTAGCAAGGAACAGAGGCGACAGGGCAGGATGGGTGGACCTGATAAGCCAGATGGCGTGGAGCTGTCCCAAGCAGATGCTCTGGGATTATTCTGCCTTCCAAGAGACCACCTTGAGTCCCAGAGGCTGTGGGCTAGGGGCCAGCAGGCAGGGTCTTTAGCTGGACCTGTGGACTCCAGACCAGGATAAGAACCAGCCCTCTGGGTTTATTCCTCATCCCAGGGACCTGTGTAGGGGGCCCCCAGGCATACGCCCCTACCTCAGGGGACTACGTGGGTATCTTGTAGAGCCGGTTCCCAAGGTTACACCCCCATCCCCACCCCAGCCTACAGGGCTGGCCCCAGGGTAATGCCCCTATCCTCGGGGCCTGCATGGATACCCTGCAGGGCTAGTCTTCAGGGTCATGCTCCTACATGAGAAAACTGCATGGGCATCCCTGCCTGGGCAGATGATAAGCCATGTTCCAAAGATTTTTTGAATCTTCCCAAAACATTCATGCTCTGACACATCCAAGTCCCACTGCAACCTTATCCCTGGGCAGCTCAGAGCCAAATCACAGGCACCTGCAGAGGCACACAGTTCCCACTTTCCAATTTGAAGCTTGGGATGCACACCCACATATCCAGAGGCAAGGACTCCCCATTCACACGCACACACACAGACACCCACACTTGAGTGCCAAGCCACTGCCAGGAGGGGCTGAGCAGGCATGGGTCCAGCAGGCCCCTCCCTGGAGGAAGCATCTTGTGGTGCCGGCCTGGTGGGGAGGCTGTGCCAGGAAGGCTTGATGCTGCCAACAGGTTCCTGGGAGTGAGGGAAGGAGCGGCCCAGCTCTGGGGGACCCCACCCCTAGCCAAGAGCCAAAAAAGTTCCTGCTGAGAAGGTGGCAGGATTAGGGGGTCCCGAAGCCCATCTGAGCCAGAGTAACACCTCTTCATCCTCATGAGATGGGAATCAACCCAGACCTGGGGAGAGGAGCGCCATCGGGAGACAGCTAGGGGCTAAGGCAGCCAAGCCCCTCAATATCCAAGCTGCCAGCCTCTGCCTAACTCCATCATGACTGCACCAAGCCTCCCCAAGTGTCTGATTCTCAAGAGACTCCTGGCTGGGGACTTGCGGAAGTCACTGTACTCGATCCTGTAGCCCCAAGAACCAAGCCAGAGGAGCTGGAGTAACCTTTATTCTTGTGGACACCCAGCTACACCTTCTTCCCTTGCCCAAACTTGGGGAGCGGGCAGCATGGAGGCGGGTCACTGACCCACTTCCTCCCCTCTGACCACAGTGCCAACTAGGCCAGGATCCTCCAGTAACCCCCAGCCCCCAGCAGTGGATGCCGACCCTGCCAGAGACTGAAGGGACTGGAAGAGATGCAGCAGAGTACAGCGGAGGGGCACCGGGGAGCAGCAGGCTCTGGGCAGGGAGGGCAGGGGCCTCTCTGAGCAGGGATCCCCCAGCCCTGTGTATTCTCAACAAAACTCTCAAGACAGATCTATGCAGGACCCTATCTGTGCAAGGCTCAGGGCCAGATGCTCAGCCCAGGGACAAGGATGCCAGATGACAGAGGGCAGGCAGGGACATCAAGGCACTTACCTGTCACAGGGATGCTGTGCAGAGAAGTCCGCGGCAGGATTTCCAAGGATGGTTCCCGACCTGACATCCCATCTGCTGAGAAACAGGATTCTGTCTCATAGATGGTCTGCAGCATCTCCACGAGCCCCTGAGCCTTGGGCACCAGCAGCATGCCAGGGAGGGGGCCGCCAGAGGCGGGGAGCAGACCGAAGGGAAGGTGGTCGGGCAGCCCGCACAGCACAGGTTCCCTCAGGCCACTGCCGACGGGACCCACACTGTAGGGAAGTGCCTCATCCGGCCTGGGCACTCCTGGCGGCAGGAGGGGCAGGGAGGCCCTAGAGCTGCAGGCCCAGCTCTGCTCTAGAGGGGCATCCGACCACCAGCCTCTCCCTGGTTCCTGGGAGCTGGGGTATGGCTGAGCACTTGGGACAGGAAGGGGAGCTCAGCGGGCAGGCGGGCTCTGTGTTCCCTCCCAACCCTGGGTGACAGCTCTGGGCCCGGCTCCCTGCTCCTCCTTCCCGAATGAGCCGCCGCCGGCAGCTGGCAGGAGACTGAAATAGCAGTTGGGGGAGGGCCCTGTCTATAAATAGGTGGAGCATGCTCAGGGAGCTGCGGGCGGGCTGCCAGGAGGCCCCATGGGGGGGGAGGCGGTTCTACCCCAGGAGGAAGCGCCAGGCGAGGGGGATGGGAACAGGGGAGGGCCTGCACTCAGGGCCAAGGCCACAGCGCTGGGTGGCCAGAGGCTGGGCTGGGGAAGGGCGCCGGCCAGGGTACCCATGCATCTGGGAGCGGCTCTGGCTGCTACTCTTGGCAAGCAAGCCAGGGGATGGAGACCAAGAAGCCAGACTCAAGCCTCCGTCTTTCTTCTTGCCTTCCAGAACAGGTAAAGGAATTGGAAGGGTCTAGGAGAGGCTGGCACACAGGCACCTTCCCTGGAGTTCTAATAGCCCCATGGAGGTTTGCTTAACTTCTGCCCTCCCACAGAGTTGAGAGGTGCCTCCCCACCCCTTCAACCAGCAGAGAGACCCCTAAACACCTGCTAAATGGCAGCTCCCTCCCGCTCATTCTGGAGTGTCGCCTCCAGAGGCTGCTCAGCCTCAGCTTCTTTCTAGGGTGTAGGGATACTCCTCCTGGGCAGACAGGTGTCCCCTGGTCCCCTTTCCTCACCCCAATCCAGGAAAAGGGACCAGGGAACATCTGCTAATTCTCAGAGCACAGGTAGCTCCTCCATGGCAATGTGCCAGGTGCAGTGCTACGAACATCATATACATCATCTCATTAATTCTGCGTGGTGACCTTGGGAGAGGCACAGATGGGAAAACTGAGGCACAGGGAGATGAAGTCACTCACCCTAGGTCATAAAGCTGCTTACATGGCAGGGCTGGGATGTCTGAGGCTCAAGTCTGAGCTCTAACCACCACACTCCACTGCCTCCCATTTCCCAGGGTTTCTATTAACAGGTACAATGACCCCTGTGCTCAAGTAGGAAGAGACTTGAGGTTGGAACCTCGCTAAGGAGAGTCAAGAGTTTTTCAGCATCCAGCCATTACCCACCAGCCAGCCTCAGGCCTGGCAGCACAGCCCCTGCTCCCTGGGTCCTGGGGCTGGTGCACCATGAGGACCAGTGGCACTCCCCCGCCCTCCCCACCGCTGGCCTGCCCCTGCTCCTCAGGTTGTGCCTCCCACTGGTACAAAGATCCCACTTGGCCCCCTGACCTCACTAGAGCCTTTTAATAGCCTGGTTATTCCTGTGTCTATATCCCCCTCCCCCTTCCTGATGTCACAGTTGCTATTTTGGAGCCCCCTCCTTGACCCCCACTCCAGGCATGGAGCCAGGGACACCTGTCCTCTCTCTGGACTGGATGACCTCACCCTCTTGTTGGGAGCCCAGGAGAAGCTGGCCAACCAAGGACACAGTGGCTGTGGCTCCTGGAGCCCAATTTCCCAGCCAGCTTCTGCCAGTCAGGGATGGCAAAGGGGTCTCCTGCCCTCAGGCTGGGAGTGGGAGGATTAGGGGGACCACACCTATAGGCAGAGGCAGGCTTTCCCAGGCCCTTGACTAGCAAGATGTATATGTTGCCAGGGGGTACCCAGTGGTGGACCAGCAAAGAAACAGGGGTCTGGAGCTGCAGCTTCTAAACCAGGGCAGATTCTAGAAAAAGGGCAGTGGAACAGTACTCCCTCAGAGGCCTAGTGCTGGTGGACATTCAGGGTATGGCTGGGGATCTTGTTCACCACCCCTTGCCCCAACCTCATCCTGGCCAACCAGGCCCTCTCAAGAGGAAGGGAAGGGAAGGTCTCCATCAGTGGGGTGATGGGCAGCAGATTCAAGGGAGCCCAGAAAGCCAAGAGCAGCAACCCCTCCCAGCCCAGGACTCCTCCCACCCACGCTAGGAGTAACCAGAAGGGCTGGCTAGCCCTGTCCCAGCTCTCTCTGCCTGCCCCAGGCATAGGAGAGTGTGGCAGGAGAGCCTTATTCTAAAGAAGAGGAAGGCGTCAGTTACCAGGACTCAAAAGCAGGGCCCCCAGAACCTGGAGCACCCAGACATTGAAGGAAACAGGACTTCCTGCTTAGGGAAGATAGTAGCACCCAGGACAGGGACACCCAGAGGTGGCTGGAGCCGGGAGCTGGGGAGCCAGCTCCCAGCACCATTACAGCCTCCAACAAGTAGGAAGCAAAGTATCAGACACAGTCAGAAAATCCTCAGTGCAATTCCCAGAACCCTCCAAGGCAATAAGAGAGGAGATCTGGGATGGGGACAAATGTCTTTTTTTCTTCTGAGATTCAGGTGATACAAGGTCCTCCTAATGTCTAACTTCAATCCTTCATGCTTTAGCCCCCCTCCTTGCAATTCACTTCTCTTTTCCGTTCTCTCCCAACCAGCACACCCATGTATCATCCCACAAACCTTATGGAGCACCCACCAAGCATGGGGTACATGAGCTTCACCCAGAGCCAGGACTGTCTTCCCCAGACTCACTCTGCCCCTCCCTCAAAGGCTGCACTCTGACCTCCTAGCCCTCTGAATCTGAAGGAGGAAAAGAGCCTAACCCTGGCTCCAGGTTCCATTTCCTGAGCCCAAAGGCTGTGGGGATGGGGGGACCTTGACCAAAGGGAAGAAAGCAAGGTCTGCTTAGTGTGCAGTGAAAAAGCCAATGGCTGGCCCAGGAGCACCCTGGATGAAGTGTGAGATGCCAGCTTCCCTGAGACCCAGATATCAGACCTGCCCACCCTCCTGTTCTTTCCTGCCCTTCGAGCCCAGTCATGCTGGAGCCCATCAGCATGGCCTGGGAGCTGCCATGTGCCAGCCAGGCCCCATGCTAGGTGTTGGCTGAACCCTCTCATTTGAAGCCAAGTCCAGGAAAAATGTGAACACCTACTTTGGCATCTTCTACTTCCCCTCAGGGTTGACCCTGCCTTCTCTGGCCATTCCATTCTAAGCCTTCAATCTCTTTGGAATGATAGAGCAGGGAAGAGGAGGGGAGAAGCAGGTCCCGCTCTGCAGTGAGCACAGAGGTGTGCCAGGGGGCATCTCAGTAGAGAAGGGAGGCCAGGAGTCTACTTCTCAGACCCCAGCCCCATGCCAGGATTGACCCACTTTCTCACTGCCTGCCTTCCCTGGGGGCTCTGAAGGAGGCAGAGCCCAAGGCTGGAAGGCAGGACACCGAGGTTCCTGGCTCCACCCCACACCCATGCCCCAGTTTCTCTGGTCACCCAGAGAGCAGGCGTGGGGGGGGGGGGCTGCTGCCCTCCATCCTGGAAAAGGGAAAGAGAGAAAGTGTGAAGGTTCTGGGAGGCGCTGGGCAGGCAGGTGTTGTCATGAAGCTTGTCTCCCTCCCACACTGGGGAGAAGGATCCTGGCCGCCTCCTCCATGGCCCCGCTGCCACCCAGACTGGCTTGCACAGTGGGCCTCACTCTTGCCTGCTCTTCTGGGCAATGGCACAAAGAGGGTACAACCAGAGCTGGCCTGGGTCCCAGGCCCCTGGGCAGCTCCTCCAACCTGGTTGGGCCGAGTCTGAGCTGAGGGAAAGTTCTGTCAGCCTTTCAGCCCCACTGAGGAGAACATGCAGAAGCAAACAGTTCCAGAAAAATAAAGACAGCCTTAATCCTCAAACCCCCTTTTGCCGGAAGAAAAGGCAGAGATCAGGGAATGGTCTCAGGGAAGCAGGCAACCCCATCAATAGCCTCCGCCTGTGATTCCAAGACTGCAAAAGAGGTAAATAAAGTCAAAGGCTGGTAGGCAGCCCGAGCCAGAGGGAAGTCATCAGCTCCCACCTTCCTGGGCAGTGGGCCCCAGAAGGAAATCACTCACAGTCTCCACCTGCTGCCCCTCACCAAAACAGTCTCTCTTGCTAACATGTTCACTGTGAGGACCAGGGATGGCCCATCTCATATTTTCTTCTGTCTTCCACAGGCTGAGCCTGTTGGTGATACTCAGTGAGGACTTGCCAAACTGAAAAGCTCCTACGCTGAGAGGACTTGAGGGGAACCAGAAGCTCTGCCCCTTACAAAGCCTACTGTCCTTTACTCTGGGGAAAGAGGAGCAAGTGTTCAGGGAAGTGAGGAAAAGGTGGGAGGCGCTCAGGGGCTGCAGCAGACCCTGGGGACTAACCATTTCCTTCCTTCCCACCTCTTATCTCCTGCCCCATGGCCCATACCTTTCCTTCTTGGGGCTCTCTACAGGGAAGTGGACACCCGCGTGCTCTGGCTTCAATCGGTGGTCTCACTTTACTTCCGCCGAGTTCCAAGGCATGTGGTTTCCAGGCTTCTGCCAGGCGCTGGGCACCCCAGCCCTAGCCCAGATGCCAGCCCAAGCTCTGGGAATAGCAGACGCTAGGCCCCTCAGAAAGGAAGAGCTGGGGGGAGGCTGACTATCTCCCTGGCCCAGGGCAGCTGGAACCCCACAACTGGGAAAGCCAGTCCAGAACCCCAGGAACACTCTGCAGGAAGGGCCTCAAGCAAACATCCCCAAGCAGTGGCCCCAGTTCCAAAGCCTCTCAACAATCCTAAAATGAGGTTCCCAATCCCTGGCCCCCTCCTTTTTTCCTTCTTTCCCCAACACAGAGAAGACAGCATCTCCCCCTGCTGGGGGGAGCTGGAAAGCCAGGCAGGACGCGGGGCCCATTCCACAGGCCCACTCAGGACGCCCCTCCTGGCCAGGGCTCAGCAGTGGCTCTCAAGCTGCCAGCCTCCTGCGTTGGTGGACACGTCCAGCTCCTCCAACACTCTTGTCAGCTCCCACAGAGGTAGCTGCAAGGGAAACTTGGACCGCCAGCATCTGGAAAGGTAACCCAATAACTTCATCTATCCTGGGTTGATTATCACATTTCCCTGCAAGGGAAAGAAACCCCAAAGCTGGGAAAAATCCTTTCCAAGCCACCAACAGATGCCGCTAGGCAGCTTCAATTCCCTTGGCCAAGAGTTAGACCCCAGCCCCATGGGAAGCAGGGACTGCAGATGGCTCCTGGACAGGTCAGCGTCACAACTCAGAGGAAAGAAGTAGCTGGCACTACTGCCCGACATGGCTGAGCTTGCTGGGGTAGTGTCCAGCCAAGATGCACGAGGGACAGATGAGGACCCAGGCCTCTCCTTTCCCTTCGCCATCCAGCCTCAGAGGGGCAAGCAAGAGGGCAGAGCTGGGCAGCCCACCTGTCCCAGCCCCTAGGGGCTGAATGAGGGCAAGGGCAGAGGGAGGAATATCTGAAGGAGAACAGCAAACCCTACAGAAAGGATGATGGGGAAGAAAATGTGGGGTGGTCTGGATTCCTCCCTGATGCTGCTTCTGTACAATCCTGCAAATGGGTATTCATCCTAGGCCCCAATTGCCCTATCTCTAAAAGGAGAAATATCCACCTACCCCTACATAAAAAAGATGAGGAGTACGATGGGCCGTGGAGAGCTAAAGTTGAGCAAGATGGACCTTTAACACTGTGTGGAAGGAGACACCCGAGGAGGAGGAGACGACAGCCACTACTCTGACCACACTGCCCCAGGACCCTCCTGGGAAACTGCTGAGGGTCCAGCTCAGGCCACTAGAACACAGCCTCACAGGCATACATCCAGACCCAGCTGCACATCAAGCTGCCTAGAGTCCCCCAAATAGACTATTTCTGGCAGCACTGGACAGGGTCCTAGGAACAAAGAGGAACAGGAAATCTCAGAGTAAAAGACCCCAGATTAGCAATCTACCATATGAAGGGCCCAAGAGGAAGAGAGGCAGTCTACCTGGACTCAGAGGAGAGCCGAGACTCCTCTACACACGTCACCCCACTCCCACCCAATGCCACGCACCTGCACACGGAGGTTAAGGCCCAGTGCCCTTGTAAACCTCCACTAAGAAAAAAGTATGGAACACAAACATTCCACTAAGTAAAGAAGCCACCATCACGAAAAGGAAGCTGAGCATTCTGCTATAGTAAAGAAATTCCTCCAACATCATCCCAGACTGCCCAGAGAGATTAAGGGATACACACTGCCCCCTCAGGCCCACCTGTCTTGGCTAGCAGGGGAAGGCGAAGCTGGAGCTGAACACCCCTAAGTTGAGAGGGCAAGCATGGGGGGCAGAGTAGGACCCATTGCCTTCCCAGGACCAGACCGGACCATCGATCCCTCGATTCCCAGGTCTACCTCATGGGCCCTTTCTTGCAACACTTCTCCACTCCTTACCCCCTCATTCCCTTATAGCTCAGACAGTAAAGGTCAGCTGGCCTGGAAGGGAAACCCACACAGCCCATTGCATCCGAAGCTACCCCAGGGTGCTCTTCTCCAACCTCCCAGCTCTTACCCGACTCGTTGGGAGAGTTCATGCCGGCTCTGGGCCTGCAGGAAGCTGGCGTTGGGGGCTGGGACGGGAGGGGGTGGAGCTGCGGTGATGTCAAGAGAGACAGACGATAACAGACAGACGGACGGGACGGGAGCCCGGGGCCGCCGTGCCTCTAATGCCCATCCGAGGCCATCCTTCGGGGCGAGGCAGTCAGGCACTCAGAACGGCATCCCTGGGGAGAGATGGAGCAGGGTTAGAGGCCCCTAACTCAGGAATCTGAGAGTCGAAGGAGACCTTGGAGCTCATCAGTTTGTACCTGGGGATGAGGGATGAGAGGGAGGGATACCTGCCCACAGCCACAGGAGAAATCTGCAGAACTGGATAGACCCTGGTTTCTTATCTTACTAACTGATGAGGCTCCCAGAGCCCAAGGGATAGGAAATGGCTATGGTGGCCAAACCCAACAGACCCCTTTTCAGGTGAGTGTCTACTGCCAGCTGGGGAGACCCTATAGACTCCCAACAGTGCCTGCCATGGGACTAGGTGTGCACCAAAGGAGAAAGTGCAGGGGGGCTTCTGATCTGTATCCATAGCAGTGGGGAGATGCAGGGCTGATCTAGAGTCCCTGGCAGAAGTGAAGGGAGAAACTGGTATCCCAGCCTCCATAGCCTAAGCTGGGACTTCTAGGGGTCTTCTCCCGACTTTCTGATCCTTGTGCCACCCAGCTCTGGAAATATGGATGTGCTTCTGTTTTGGTCTCCCACAGTTCAACAACAGACCAGGACAAGAGCTTCTCTTTCCAGGAATTGAGAAAGTCAGAGACCTCTCCATCCCAAATCTAGTACCCTTGGCCTGGCAGGTGCAGGGCCCAAGCCCAGCACTTTGTGTATATTGTACAGGTTGTGCTCTGTGTAAGGAGGTCTGGCCCAGGGAGATACGAAATCCAGCCTGTGCCCTGCCTGCCAAGCCATGGCCTGACATGCTGAGTCCACCCAAAACAAGGGACGATTTTTTCCCAGTTTGTACGAAAGCAACAAAAGGCCCAGCAGTAGCCCTGCTGAGGCCAGTATAGTAAAGGAGGAGGTATTACAGGACCACGGCTTTGCCAACCCATGCCCACTCCTCCAGTTCTCCCCCACAGTTAGTCCTCAAGCCTCAGACACTATGCATACAGACACCTGGCCCATCCCTAAACGGCCCACGATCCACCCCAGACATGATCTCATTCATTTGCTTCCAAATGAAGGCAGGCCCTCCAATACCCAATGAAAGCAAGGTAGCAGGAAGCCATCAGAGGAGGCTGTGAGCTGCTGCGAGTTTAAGCCCTAACTCTGCTCCCCAAGCCTCGAACCAGCAATCAGCTCTGCCCCCCTAGACAGCCCCACCTCCTGGCAGGATTAATTCTCAGTAAGCCTTACATTCTCATCAGATTCCCAAGGGTGGGGTCCATTTGGAGCCCAGAAGCCCAGAAGCCAGCTATGGCAGAAACACAAGAACATGAACACACATGCGCATGCACGCACACATGCACACACGAGACCCTGAGGTCCCAGGCTTGCTGCTGGGACCACAGGGCTTGGACTCTATGGCTGGAGAAAGGTGCACTCAGATTGGGGGGCAGAGTTGAAGGGGCTAAATTGCTCCTGACGGGCACAGGTATGGGATTAAGACAAAAAAGGCTGCGCAGGCAGGGCTGAGGCCAAGCTCAGGAATGTGGCAGGTAGGGCTGCTGGTGCTCTGGCAGGGCCCACGTGGGCAGGCAGTTCAGCCTGTGCCCACACCAAGGCTGGCACCCAGTCCTGCTCACACCCTTTCCCGTGGGCTGGGGAACACAGGTTCAGAAATGCCCACGATTCCCAGCAGCCTGAGTAGCCCAGTCCATCTCCACAGTGAGAGGCACCTCCACAGCAAGGTGCTCAGAAGGGGCACAGCCCCAGTGGCACAGAAACCAGGTTAAGGTTAGCCCCTAGCCCCCATCATCCTAACCCACCTACTCTCTCTGTGGGTCTTAAAGATGCTGATCCTCACCCCTGAGGCAGAAGAGGAAGGGAGCAGCTCCTTGAACTCATGGTGGGCTCGGGACTCATCTACGTCTACTCCTCCCCGTCCTATAAAATTCAGCAGGATCCCTGGGCCCCTGGGCCCTGTCCACCTGTAAAGAGTGTCTGCCAACACCCCCATCAAGTCTCCCAAGTGAACCAGAGCCACAGGCTGAGCCTCCCTGAGAAACAAAGCAGTGTTCATGGTCTGATCGGGACAAGCACAGATTCCTGTCTGGGGTGGGACATGAAGGGGAGAAGGGGAGCCTGATGTTTAAAACCTGAGCTGTTTGTTCCCACATCTGCCAGAGAAATCTGTTGGGTCTCAGTGGGAAGTCAGGGACACCAGGAGCTGTGTCCCAGATGACCTAACACTTGGATGCCAAACCAGGGAGTGGCCCAACTTCCAGGACATCATAAGCAGACAGACCCCTGCCCACCCCACTACCTCACACCAACTCTTTCTTCCAGACAGACCCCTACCCCACTCCGGGATCCAAAACCACCTCCCACATCCAGCCAAGACAGCCGGACAAGGATGAAGGAAACAGGCTACATCTCACCCTACAAGCTCAGGGCTGAGCCTATGGAAGTAGGGTGGAAACCCCAAACTCTGGCAAAGGGTGGGTGGAGGAGGGCAGACAAGTGAGGGGCACATGGTACAAAGCAATGCTCCAAAGGCCATAGGTTCACAATGTTACCCTGTAGAGATCTTGTTCCTCAAACAACTCCCTCAAAATTCCTGGGGAGTCAGGTGTCCCTTGAAGACCCTCTCTGGATCCTGGAGTCCAGTACCACCATGCAACCCCCTCCCAACACACCTGCTCTGGCCCCAGGCCAGGGTACCCCCTAGGTCATAGGTGACAGGGTCAAGCAGTGTGAATCAAGTCTTGGGAGTCTGAGATTGTTTCACTCTACCCCGACAGTTTCATCAAAAATTACAAACCGGCCAGGCGCGGCGGCTCACGCCTGTAATCCCAGGACTTTGCGAGGCCAAGGCAGGCGGATCACCTGAGGTCAGGAGTTCCAGACCAGCCTGATCAACATGGAGAAACCCTTTCTCTACTAAAAAAATACAAAATTGGCCAGGTGTGGTGGCGCATGCCTGTAATCACAGCTACTCGGGAGGCTGAGGCAGGAGAATCACTCGAACCCTGGAGACAGAGGTGCGGTGAGCCAAGATTGTGTCATCGCACTCCCGCCTGGGCAATAAGAGTGAATCTCCATCTCAAAAAAAAAAAAAAAGTTACAAGCCAAGACATCCCACCCAAAGGTCAAAGGCACTAGGAATTTATCTTGACCCCTCCTGACCATGGCCACAGCCTACCACTTTCCTCAGCCTCTGAGAGCTTCTGTTGCCTAGTGCCTCCCCCAAGCTAGGCCAACAGAAGCCCAGAAGGATCAGAGCCATGAAGGGTGGCTGACTTGGATGTCCAGGCCCCAAACCAGGGAAAGGGGGAGGGTGACAGGGAAGGAAAAAAGGCACCAGGCTGACAAATTCATTTTTGCAATCGGCCCATTTCTGTTTGTCTGCTCAGACGCAGCTCCAGGCATCTGCACAAGCCAGATGGAGGAGGCTGCTATTTCTAGAAAAAAAAAAAAAAAAAAAAAGAGAGGGGGGTGGTGAGAGGGGAGGAAGGGAGGAGGCGGAGGCAGAGGGCAGAAGACGGGGTCTGTTTGCCCTAAAACCTCAGGCAGAATGATACCCTCTTCCCAGCACTACCAGGCAGGGTCCCCATTCAAGAAAGGGCTGCGGCTGGGCCTGGGGTGAGGTGGGATAGGGAAGAAGAAAGGCAGAGAAAGTTTAATTAGCTAAAGTCGGCTACAATAGGCCCCCTCACGGGCTACATCAGGTTTTCATTCATGAGCAAGCTACAGTGCTCCAAAAATGCCAAGAACCACCCCCCCTTGCTGTCTCCCCCTTCCCCCCCCTACTGCCACCAACAGGAGTGCGTCCTCTAGCAGGCTGGCTGAGCCTAATGCTGTGTTCCAGACATCCCTCCTCAAAGGGATGTGAGTAGGAAGAATTAATTATTAAAGAGCAGCTGGTACTTCAGCACCGACTGCACTACCCCCAGCTCCTATAGCTGATGCCCCCTCCCCCACTATGCGGGAACACAAATGACCCCCGCCCAACATTCCCAGGCCCCATTTCTAAACACACAATTAAGATGCCACCCCTACGGAAGGCAAAGCAAACCTTTGTCTCTGCAGCTACTTGGGGTGGGTGGGGCATGTGAAACTGCTGCCCCCCTCCAAATTACATGATCCAGCCAAAGTAGGAGGATATATTGGAAAAGAAGGGGAGGCTGGCACAGAACTAACATTTCCTCCATCCTTGCCCCCAAGTAACCCACACTTGAGATCTGTCTCTCTGGTCTCTGGCATGCCCACATTCCCAGGACAGAGTGGAGATACTGGGGGCCCATTTCTCTAACTCAGAGAGACCCCTACTGCTTTGTCAAGAAAGCCCAGATCCAAGTTCAAGTGAAGAGAGGGCAAAGAGAGGAGTCAAGAAAAGAGGAAGGAGACAAACCAAGATCTCCCCAAGCTTTGTGTTTAGGGAGGGAGAGGAAGGAGGGAAGACTGGAATGAAGAAGCAGGCAGCCCCCAACATGGCTCATCCACCATCCAGCCCAGCCAGCCTAGCCCAGCCCAGCCCAGCCCAGCATCTCAACAGCCAGCATAGGCTCAGGGTGCCTAGGACTGGGGAGACTGAAGACCATGCCTGCCTGCCTACATCCTCTGAAACTAAGAGGAAGCCAAAGGCAGGACCCAGACCCAGACTGCAATCCTGCAAGGCAATCTGGCTAGGGGTCCCTCTGACCAAGACTCCTGGATCTCACCCTCCCCCCCACCTCCTTTTGTTCCCATAATCTGGCTCCATCCTCCCCTCCCAGTTGGACACTGAAACCAATCACCACCACCTCCCCAAGCTCCAAATCTAATCCCAGATCCCAAAAGCATGGTGGTCACTGACTGAGTGATGGGTCCCTTTTGCACCCTCCTAAAAGCAACTGCAGCTGTTACCTTTCCTCTTTAGGGACACACCTCATTTCAGAAGGGGTATCAGCCAGGGGTATCAAGTGGTCATCTCCTCTCCCAAAGGAAGCACCCAACCTCCCCACTTCAACAGCCCCCACCAAGCTCCCAGATTAATTACTTACACCCAGCCAGTTCTCATCTTCCCCAGGGCCCCAGGGAAGGGTGGGGTGGAGAAGCTGACTCCCCCCAAGTTAATAAGGCACTGGTAGTGCCCCCGCTTCCATGAGATACAGATCCAGGATGAAAAATGGGGGGCATCCACCCAAGACAAGAAGGGGTTGGGGGGGAGCTCCATTTCATCTCCTAGCTCTCGCATCCTGGCTCCAAGGTGTCAGACAGGAGAAGAGGGTGGCAACAAACGCAGTAACGCCTCACAGGAGACGGGGTGAGAATAATGGGAGAGAGAAGTAAGGTGGACTCCGCAGTCCCCCTCCTCATGCACGGAAGTCAAGGACATAAAATCAAGGATGCGTTCGTAGCTATGGGGAGAAGCGCTCTGGGTGGACAGCACCCCTCACCTCAGAGTACCAAGAAAGGGGTGTCCAGCGAAGAGGGGTCTGCACAGAATCCGGGTGCAGGGCTCAAATGGCTCTGCAACGCAACATGCGCCGCCAGGGAAGGGGCAAATCAGACAACCCCGGCCGGTCTCCGAGCCATTTGGGGGCGCAGGGCGCGAGAAGGCGGGCCCCTCCCTTACCTGTAGGGAAGGCGCCCCTGTCTGGGAGGGGCAGGGAGGGGCGCGCGCAGCAACCCCGATGTCCCGCTCACGGGCTGCCGATGCTCCCGGGGGGCGCCGGCTGGCTCCCAGGGCCGGGAGGAAGGAAGGGGGGCGCGGAGCGCGGCGCGCGCGCTGGGAGCCCGCGGACAGAGACAGCAGGAGGAGGGGGCGCCGCCTCGCGTCCCGGGGTCCGGGGAAGATGGGATCTGGGCCGGGGCGGCGCGCTCACCCGCTGCGGCTCGAGCTCCGGCTTCGCGGGCGGCGGCGGCAGCAGCGGCGGCGGCAGCGGCGGCAGCACCTCCTCGACGGCTCCTCCATCTTTGCGGCGGCTCCTCCGGCTCCGCTCGCCGCCGCCACCAACAACAACATTCGGAGACGTCACTCCCGTCACGTGACCCGACCCGGAGCTAAAAATAGACCCAGACCCCCCCCCCAGCCCCCCCCGCCTTCCCCTTGCCCGCAGCCACCACCAACCCCTCCCCTGCCTCTCGGCCCTCCCCGCCGGGCGGGGCCAGCGACGCCATCGTGACAGCTCCTTAAAGGGCCAGTGCCCAGCACAGGGTTCGGCCGAGACGGGGTGGAAGGGAAGGGATCGGAACCCAGCGAGCAGGAGTGGAAGGATCGCTGCAGGGGCCGAGTATGGATGCTGGGGCTCAACCTTTGGATTGTAAAAGTTTCCTCCTTGCGCTCCCCGGACTTTCTTTTCAAAACGTGGATGGTGCAATCGTCGCTTGCCTAAGCTGCTCCCCTAACACGCCCTCCCGCGGTCGGGGAGGGGACCTGGGGATAGATTCCCAGGGGCTGGGAGGGCCACCGCAGCCTCTGCAGCGGGGCCTGGCTGCGGGTGGATGGTTCGGACAAGTCTCGAACTCGCCAGCTCTGACCGCACACACTGCATCCGTGCCAGGGAAAGAAAAGCCTGGGAAAGGCCAGGGTATGGCTGTAACACTCCAAGGCCTTCAAAAGGGCAGACCAGCAGACCAGGAGCCGGAAAGACTTCCCTGACTTTGGTGCCATCCACGCTACATCTCCTCTTGGTACACAGTATGAACATGTTTAATTAGACCTAGACAATTTGTCAATGACCCAGCAATTCCACTAACAAAAATGTATTCCAAATAAATAAACGTTGTTATGTTAAAAAATGAACATGAGATTGTTTGTAATGATGTGAAAAGTTGAAAACAACCTAAATATCCATCGATAGGGAATTGGCAAGCAAAGCAGGAGACATTCATTCAGTAAAATATTATCCAGACATTAAAAGTTTTATAGGGGACCGGGCATGGTGGCTCACGCCT
This sequence comes from Homo sapiens, assembly GCF_000001405.40. NCBI lineage: Eukaryota > Metazoa > Chordata > Mammalia > Primates > Hominidae > Homo > Homo sapiens. The sequence continues at coordinate 44,124,576 of NC_000017.11, forward strand.
GTAATCCCCGCACTTTGGGAGGCGGAGGCAGGCGGATAACCTGAGGTCAAGAGTTTGAGACCAGCCTGGCCATTATGGTAAAACCCCGTCTCTACTAAAAATACAAAAAAATTAGCCGGGCGTGGTGGCAGGCGCCTGTAATCCCACCTACTCAGGAGGCTGAGGCAGTAGAATCCCTTGAACCTGAGAGGCGGAGGTTGCAGTGAGCCAAGATCGTGCCATTGCACTCCAGCCTGGGCAACAAGAGTGAAACTCTGCCTCAAAAAAAAAAGTTTTAAAGGGGCCAGGTGCATTGGCTCTTGCCTGTCATCAATCCTAGCACTTTGGAGGCCGAGGCGGGAGGATTGCTTGAGCCCAGTTCAAGACCAGCCTGGGTAACATGGCGAGACACTGTCTGTATTTTAAAAAAGAGGCCGGGCGTGGGCCGGGCATGGTGGCTCACGCCCGTAATCCCAGCACTTTGGGAGGTCGAGGCTGGTGGATCACGAGGTCAGGATGTCGAGACCACCCTGGCTAACACAGTGAAACCCGTCTCTACTAAAAATACAAAAAATTAGCCGGGCGTGGTGGTGGGCGCCTGTAGTCCCAGCTACTTGGGAGGCTGAGGCAGGAGAATGGAGTGAACCCGGGAGGCGGAGGTTGCAGTGAGCAGAGATCGCGCCACTGCACTCCAGCTTGGGGAACAAAGCGAGACTCCGTCTCAAAAAAACAAAAAACAAAAACAAAAGAAGAAGAAGAGGCCAGGCGCGGTGGCTCACGCCTGTAATCCCAGCACTTTGGGAGGGCGAGGCGGGCTGATCACAAGGTCAGGAGATCGAGACCATCCAGGCTAACACGGCGAAACCCTCTCTACTAAAAATACAAAAAAAAATTAGCCGGGTGTAGTGGCGGGCGCCTGTAGTCCCAGCTACTCGGGAGGCTGAGGCAGGAGAATGGCGTGAACCCTGGAGGCAGAGGTTGCAGTGAGCCGAGATCACGCCACTGCACTCCAGCCTGGGCAACAGTGTGAGACTCCGTCTCAAAAAAAATAAAAAAATAGCCGGGCGCAGTGGCTCATGCCTGTAATCCCAGCACTTTGGGAGGCCGAGGCGGGCGGATCACGAGGTCTGGAGTTCGAGACGAGCCTGACCAAAATGGTGAAACCCCGTCTTTACTAAAAATTCAAAAATTAGGCGGGCGTGGTGGTGCACTTCTGTAATCCCAGCTTCTCAGGAGGCTGAGACGAAACAATCACTTGAAACCGAGAGGCGGAGGTTGCAGCGAGCCGAGATCGGGCTATTGCACTCCAGCCTGGGCGGGTGACAGAGCGAGATTCCGTCTCAAAAAAAAAAATAAAAATAGGCTGGGCGCGGTGGCTCACGCCTGTAATCCCAGCACTTTGGGAGGTCGAGGTGGGCGGATCACAAGGTCAGGAGATCGAGACCATCCTGGCTAACATGGTGAAACCCCGTCTCTACTAAAAATACAAAAAAAATTAGCCGGGCGTGGTGGCGGACCCCTGTAGTCCCAGCTACTCGGGAGGCTGAGGCAGGAGAATGGCGTGAACCTGGGAGGCAGAGGTTGCAGTGAGCTGCGATAGCACCACTGCACTCCAGCCTGGGCGACAGAGCCAGACTCCGTCTCAAAAAATAAATAAATAAATAAAAAATAAAAAAGAAGAAAAAAAATTTTATAGGTCTATACCGACCTGAAAAGATGCCCGTGATATATTGTTTTCTTGAAAATCAGGACTCAAACAAGTATTACTGAATTGTTCCATTATTATAAAAACAACAAACTAGATTCATATGCCTGAGTATATGTGTATATCAAAAAGCCTGGCCAAGGGCCAGACCTGTGCTCACGCTGGGGGGCTGAGGTGAGAGGATAGCTTGAGCCGGAGAGGTGAGCTAACTAAGAACACACCACTGCACCCAGCCTGGGTGACAAAGTGAGATCCTGTCTCAAAAAAAAAAAAAGCCTAACCAGACATGGTGGAATGGTGGCACACACCTGTAGTCCTACCTACTTGGGAGGCTGAAAAGGGAGGATTCATTGACCTCAGGAGTTCAAGCCCAGCCTGGGCTACATATGGAGACCCCATCTCTAAAAAAAAAAAAAAAAAGGAGGACTGGGCGCGGTGGCTCATGCCTGTAATCCCAACACTTTGGGAGGCCGAGGCGGGCGGATCACAAGGTCAGGAGATCGAGACCACCCTGGCTAATAGGGTGAAACCCCATCTGTACTAAAAATACAAAAAATTAGCTGGGCGTGGTGGCACATGCCTTGTAGTCCCAGCTACTCGGGAGGCTGAGGCAGGAGAATCGCTTGAACCCAGGAGGTGGAGGTTGCAGTGAGCTGAGATCACACCACTGCACTCCAGCCTGGTGACAGAGAGAGACTCAGTCTAAAAAAAAAAAAAAAGAAAACTGAAACAAAAAAAGCCTAGAAGAATAAATACCAGAATGTTTGTCTTTACTTTGTCTTACTTATTTATTTATTTTGAGACAGAGTCATTGTATCTCCCAGGCTACAGTGCAGTGGCACAGTCATAGCTCACTATAACCTTGAACTCCTGGGCTCAAGTGATCCTCCCAACTCAGCCTACCAAGTAGCTAGCACTACAGGTGCGTGCCACTACATCCAGCTAATTTTTTTTTTTTTTTTGCAGGGTCTCGCCATGTCACCAAGGCTGGAGTGCAGTGGCGCCATCACAGCTCACTGCAGCCTCGATTTCCCAGGCTCCAGCGATCGTCCTGCCTCAGCCTCCAAGTAGCTGGGACCATAGGTGCATGTCACCACACTCAGCTAATTTTTGTATTTTTTGTAGAGATGGGGTTTCCCTGTGTTGCCCAGGCTAGTCTTTTTTTTTTTTTTTTTTTTTTTTGAGACGCAGTCTCATTCTGTCACACAGGCTGGAGTGCAGTGGCATGACCGCGGCTCACTGCAACTTCTGCCTCCAGGGTTCAAGCGATTCTCCTGCCTCAGCCTCCAGAGTAGCTGGGATTACAGGTGCAGGCCAACACGCCCGGCTAATTTCTGTATTTTCAGTAGAGACAGGGTTTCACCATGTTGCTCAGTTTGGTCTCAAACTCCTGACCTCGTGATCCACCTGCCTCAGCCTCCCAAAGTGCTGGGATTACAGGCATGAGCCACTGTGCTCGGCCGCTAAGGCTAGTCTTTTTTTTTTTTTTTTTTTTTTTTTTTGAGACAGAGTTGCTCTGTCGCTTAGGCTGGAGTGCAGTGGTGTAATCGCAGCTCACTGCAAGCTCCACCTCCCGGGTTCATGCCATTCTCCTGCCTCAGTCTCCCGAGTAGCTGGGACTACAGGCGCCCGCCCCCACACCCGGCTAATTTTTTTTGTATTTTTAGTAGAGACGGGGTTTCACCATCTTAGCCAGGATGGTCTTGATCTCCTGACCCCATGATCTGCCCACCTCAGCCTCCCAAAGTGCTGGGATTACAGGCGTGAGCCACCGCACCCAGCCTTTTTTTTTTTTTTTTTGTCTCGCTCTATTCCCCAGGCTGGAGTGCAGTGGTGCGATCTCGGCTCATTGCAACCTCTGCCTCCCGGGTTCAAGCAATTCTCCTGCCTCAGCCTCCCGAGTAGCTGGGACTACAGGAGCGTGCCACCACACCCAGCTAATTTTTGTATTTCTTTGGTAGAGACGGGGTTTCACCATGTTGGCCAGGATGGTCTCGATCTCTTGACCTCATGATCCACCCGCCTCGGCCTCCCAAAGTGCTGGGATTACAGGCATGAGCCACTGTGCCCGGCCTAGGCTAGTCTTATACTCCTGGGCTCAAGTGATCCGCCCATCTCAGCCTCTCAAAATGCTGGGATTACAGGAGTGAGCCACCACTCCTGGCCACTTCAGGGGATTTTACTGCAGCTGGTCCTTTCCTCATATTTGGGGGAAAAAAAAAAAAAGAAACACCCAAAGTTTCTACGTAATCTGATCCCTGCCCATGTCATCTCTCTTTGCTTAGCTTTCTGTACTCCCGCCATGTGACTTTCTCTCAAACAATGTGCTCTCTGCTCTTCAGGGCCTTTGCACAGGCCGTTTTTATCTTTCTAGAATGCCTCCCTCCCTTCTTCTCTTTGCCTGGCTAACTCCTGCTCATTCATCAGAGCTCTTTTTTTTTTTTTTTTTTCTTTTTTGAGCCAGGGTTTTGCTCTTGTTGCCCAGGATGGAGTACAATGCCGTGATCGCGGCTCACCTCCGTCTCCCGGGTTTAGCAATTCTCCTGCCTCAGCCTCCCAAGTAGCTAGGATTACAGGCATCTGCCACCATGCCCGGCTAATTTTGTGTTTTTAGTAGAGATGAGGTTTTTCCATGTTGGTCAGGCTGGTCTCAAACTCCCAACCTCAGGTTATCCGCCTGCCTCAGCCTCCCAAAGTGCTGATATTACAGGCATGAGCCACCGCACCCGGCCATTAGAGCTCATTTAAATATCACTGAAAGAGGTCTTTCTTGGTCCTTTCATTAGAATAGATCCCCTTGTTATATATGCTTTCATCAACCCTGCTAATAATGTGTAAATATATATCTATTTATGGCATTATGGTTCATTGTCCATCTTGTCCTCTAAATTACAAACTTCTTTATTATTATTATTATTTTTTTTTTGAGACAGTCTTGCTCTGTCACCCAGGCTGGAGTGCAGTGGCGCAATCTCGGCTCACTGCAACCTCTACATACCAGGTTTAAGTGATCCTTGTGCCTCCACCACCAGAATAGCTGGGATTACAGGCATGTACCACCACGCCCAGCTAATTTTTGTATTTTTAGTAAAGACTGGGTTTCACCATGTTGGCCAGGCTGGTCTTGAACTCCTGACTTCAGGTGATCCACCCACCTCAGCTTCCCAAAGTGCTGGGATTACAGGCGTGAGCCACCGCGCCTGGCCGGCATCACCTATTTGTTATTGCACTTGCACAGTCTTTCGCCATCTTCTGGCAGTTAGGATGAGTTGGGTTGGGAGTTTGCTTTCACAAGGCTTGTGCTTTGTCTCCCCAAACGGATTATGAGCCACTTGAGAAAAGAGATAAAATCATATGTCTTTTTGCCTTTCTAGCACCTAGCATATCACCTTGCACATAGTAGGTGCTCACTAAAAGTTTGGGGACACTGGAAGATTCCAGAATCTTCTCTCTTGGGATCTCAGAACATGGGAAAAGAATCTCCCCCTGTAATATGACAAATGATGGTCAATAACTGCCTCGTGGAGCACATTGGCTTGGCACTTCCCATTTTACAGATGAGGAAGCGGAGGCTCAGGGAAGCTTAATAATTGCTTGCCCAAAGTCTGGATCACCTGAGGTCAGGAGTTAGAGACCAGCCTGGCCAACATGGCAAAACCCCATCTCTACTAAAAAAAAAAAAAAAAAAATTAGCCGGGCATGGTGGCACACACCTGTAGTCCCAGCTATTTGAGGAGGCTGAGGCAGGAGAATTGCTTGAACCTGGAAGGCAGAGGTTGCAGTGAGCTGAGATCACACCACTGCATCCAGCCTGGGCAACAGACGGAGACTCTGTCTAAAAATAATAAATAAATAAATAAATAAATAAATAAATAAATAATTGTCCAAAGTTACAGAGTTTCTACAAGCAAGAACTGGGGTTCAAACCCAGGTTTCAGTGGCTGGGCGCGGTGGCTCACACCTGTAATCCCAGCACTTTGGGAGGCCGAGGCAGGCAGATCACGAGGTCAGGAGATGGAGACCATCCTGGCTAACATGGTGAAACCCCGTCTCTACTAAAAATACAAAAAAAATAGCCGGGCGTGGTGGCAGGCGCCTGTAGTCCTAGCTACTCGGGAGGCTGAGGTAGGAGAATGGCATGAACCCGGGAGGCAGAGCTTTCAGTGAGCCGAGATCACGCCACTGCTCTCCAGCTTGGGCGACAGAGCGAGACTCATCTCACAAAAAAAAAAAAAAAAAGCCCAGGTTTCTGTGTTCCCTAACACAAGGAACAGGGGCTGATGAAGCTGGACTCCCAACCCCAGAGCTTTAGCCTTCTTCTCTGGAGGTCTCTGAGATTATCGTGTCCATATCCCAGTGGCCGAATGTCCCAGAAGTTACAAAAATGTACCATATGGGGCCCTGATAAGTCTTCAGATTTCGTCTTCTCAGGTAAGTGGGGGCTAAATAATTCAGCATGCATTTGTCATGTTTCTGGAGTACCTGTGAGAGATGCTGAGGATATAGAGATGATTCTGCCTTTAGGGAGTCTCAAGTTCCTTACAGAAAACATAATTGTCTTTTGTTGTGAGTTCCTAGGGTAGACAGATATCCTTGCCAGGACCATTCACCATGGAAACAGGGGTCACGAGACTGTCTCCTTCACCACCACCTCAGTTTCTCAATGTAGAGTGAGCCTGCAGATGGGATCTAGAAGCTGGCTGGAGAGCTTCTGACCCTGGGAACCAGTGGTGAATTTGGCCTCTTGGTAGAAGGAAATAAATCTCAGAGAAAAGCCAGATATTTAACCGATAGCCTGAGAGATGGCAGCATGATTGGACTTTGGAAGGCAGCAAGGAGAGGAATGAATGTGTTCAGCAATGCTGCTAGGCCATCCGGGAGTTGCCAGTCCTATCTGGAATCATGAAAAAAGTCGTAGGCCAAGTGCAGTGGCTCACACCTGTAATCCCAGCACTTTGGGAGTCCAAGGGAGGTGATCACTAGAGGCCAGGAGTTTGAGACCAGCCTGGCCAACATGGTGAAACCTCGTCTCTACTAAAAAATACAAAAATTGGCTGAGCATGGTGGCTCACACCTGTAATCCCAGCACTTTGGGAGGCCGAGGCAGGCTGATCACCTGAGGTCAGGAGTTCGAGACCAGCCTGTCCAACGTGGTGAAACCCCATCTCTAATAAAATTACAAAAATTGGCTGGGCATGGCAGTGCACACCTGTAATCCCAGCCACTCGGGAGGCTGAGGCAGGAGAATCGCTTGAACCCAGGAGGCAGAGGTTGCTGTGAGTAGAGATCGCGCCATTCCATTCCAGCCTAGGTGACAAGAGCGAAACTCTGTCAAAAAAAAAACAAAACAACAACAACAACAACAACAAAACACACACACACAAAAAAAAAACCCAAAAATTATGCCGGGCGCAGTGGCTCACGCCTGTAATCCTAGCACTGTGGGAGGCCGAGGTGGGTGGATTACTTGAGGTCAGGAGTTCAAGACGAGCCTGGCCAACAGGGTGAAACCCCATCTCTACTAAAAATATAAAAATTAGCTGGATGTGGGGCCGGGTGCGGTGGCTCACGCCTGTGGTCCCAGCACTTTGGGAGGCCAAGGTAGGCTGATCACGAGGTCAGGAGATCGAGACCATCCTGGCTAATATGGTGAAACATCGTCTCTAAAAAAAAATAATAATAATAATTAGCTGGGTGTGGTGATGGGCACCTGTAACCCCAGCTACTTGGGAGGCTGAGGCAGGAGAATCGCTTGAACCCGGGAGGCAGAGGTTGCAGTGAGCCAAGATCACACCACTGCACTCCGGCCTGGGCAACAGAGTGAGACTCAGTCTCAAAAAAATAGATAAATAAATAAATAAAATACAAAAATTAGCTGGGAGTGATGGTTCAGGCCTGTGGTCTCAGCTACTCGGGAATCTGAGGTGGGAGGATTGCTTGAGCCCAAGAGGTGGAGGTTGCAGTGGGCCAAGATCAGGACACTGCACTCCAACTTTGGCAACAGAGTGAGACCTTGTCTCAATAAAAAAAGAAAGAAAGAAAAGTTATGAGGCCAGCACAATGCTAGGTACTGTGGGGAAGGCAAAAAATAAAAACAAACAAAAACAACAGGACAGGAGGTAACAAAATCTGGGTCTTAGGGATAGAGACAACTCTGGGCTGGAGTGCTGTTGGATGAGTCATTTGCCCATAGGGCCTTGGTCTTATCTGGAAAATAGGACTTGAACTTCTGTTCTCTGAGGTCCCTTTCAGTTCTGACACTTCATGAGTCCTAAATTAGATATGATGGCAGATATGACAATGTCCAGCATGGAACTGGGTGGCAAAGTTTAAGCTGGACCTTCATTCCTCCAAGATAGTCAAGGTCCAGTCCTGCCCTTGGGCTGTTTACAATGAGCTCTGAAGACAGAAGAGAGTTAATTTCCTGACAAATAAGCCATGTGCCCTAGGCACAAAGTAAAGGCAATGTCATTGAGGATGACTTATGCAGAGTGCAATGAAAACTGAAAACTGCCCCTAGGATGCCTGGGTTTGGCCCAGGTCTCCCTGTGTGACCCTGGGCAAGTCCCTTCTCTCTGGGCCCATGTTTCTTTTTCTTTTTCTTTTCTTTCTTTTTTTTTTTTTTGAGATGGAGTCTCGCTCTTGTTGTCCAGGCTGGAGTGCAATGGTGTGACCTCAGCTCACTGCAACCTCTGCCTCCTGGGTTTAAGCAATTCTCCTGCCTCAGCCTCCCGAGTAGCTGGGATTACAGGCACCTGCCACCACACCTGGCTAAGTTTTTGTATTTTTAGTAGAGATGGGGTTTCACCATGTCAGCCAGGTTGATCTTGAACTCCTGACATCAGGTGATCCACCCACCTCAGCCTCCCAAAGTGCTGGGATTATAGGCATGAGCCACCACGCCTGGCTTCTGGGCCCCTGTTTCTTTATGATTAGAGGGTTGGACTGAATTTCCTTCCTTCCAGCTGGAGACTTTTCTGGGTGGTGCAACAAGGTGAAGTTGAGAAGGAAGGGTGGAACAACAACTTCTTCTCCTTTCCCTCCTTCCCCTGACTCCTCTGGGCTTGAGGGAGAAGAAACCAGTTTCAGGCCAGCATCCACTGTGCAGTCTTGCCTGACTGTTTGAGATGTTTAGGGGGAGAGCAACAGGCAGGGACCTTGGCTAAGTCACCACCTATCTGAGCCTCAGTTTCCCTGTCTGTAAAAGGGCATGGTTGGATAGATGACATCTGAGGATTTTTCCAGCTCTGGCAGCTAACTCTAGAATTGGATCTCAAAACAAACAAACAAACAAACAAACAAACAAACAAAGGAGGACCTGGCTAGAGGCGAGAGCCTCAGTCATTCCTCACCTGAGAGCCCTACCTAACCCTTGACACCTTCTGTCCCTTTTCAGGCCTCCCACCTCCTGCCTTCCTGGCCTAGAGATCAGGAGCAGGCCACTGTCTCTACACTCAGCAATGGCCAACCCTGAGGAAAGCCAGCAGAAACATGGCTCCTAGAACAAGCTGTGAATTTGTTTAAAAATAAAGACTATTCTGGGTGCAGCTGCCACCGTTTGTCATGGCGCCTAAAGAAATAAATGATTTTTTATATATGTAGAGAGAGCAGAGCAAAGCTGTCAGTCTGCTGGTCTGTAGATCCCATATCCACCAAGAGCTGCCATCAGTAGCCAGCCACTGCTAGAGGACAGCAGATGACCAGGAGGCCTGGCACACAGTTGGGACTCCAGGACAGGCTTCTCAGCCCAGCTCCCTCCAGGTTCCTAGAGTGTCCCACAAGCCTTCTTACCCCTCCCAGCAGCAAAAATAGCAGAAGTCCAAGGAGATGGCTGAGAAGGAAGCCTATCCTCTCCCCTACCTCCCTGCTGGGATGTGGAGCTGAGGCCCAGGATTTCCTGGACTCTACAGAGTTCCTGCCTGCCTGCTCAAGAGTCAAGGCCACATGGCCACAACAGTGCAAGTGGCAGTGGTGGTCGATCATGTCCCACATGTCTGCAGGTCATTCCAGAGTGTCCTCTCTGGGCAGGGCGTGCCCAGAGAATGTCGGGAGGGGATAGTGGGAGCCCATGTACCTGCCCTCGGGGAGCTTTCCATCCTGTGGAAGCAACATGGCCACATGAAGCAGGGTGGAGCAGAGTAGGAGAGAGGGGGCCTGGAAATTTAGGCAAATCACTTGCCCTCTCTGAGCCTCAGTTTCCCTTCTGTGATTAGAGAGGTGGACCCTGTGATTCTGGAAGACCTTCTGAGCCATAAGGTCATGAAACGATAGTGAACAATACACAGTGAACTTACAGGCTATGTGGAAAGGTATGGACTACTGGCACCCCAAAACTCACCCAAATGCCTTCCCTCCAGCCTGCAGTTTTGGGTTAACGTACATTTTGCACATCTTTTATTGTAATCATTTATTGAACGACTTCTTTTCAAAAGACTGTCACATATATTATCATTGTCATAACAACTCTGCAAGGTAGATATTATGTACTCCATTGTATGGGTAAGGAGACGGAGGCTCAGGGAGCTTACAGTCAATAAGTGACAGGACCCAGACTCTCTGGGTGCATAGCCACATGGGGTCTCCCCCAAACAGGCAGAGACAGCCTGAGGACCCAGAACACCCTGGCAGGAAGTCCTGCATTGATGGCGTATGGAAGGCACATTTCATCATCCTCCAACAGCAGGATTTCTGGCCCATCCATGATGACACACTTCTGCCCAGCAGACACAGAAGCAGATATAATCCTCCCCAAAACTCCTCAGGGTGGACATTATTATTATTATTATTATTGGTTTTGTTGTTGTTAAGACAGGGTTTCCTGTTGCCCAGGCTGGAGTGCAGAGGTGTGATCACAGCTCACTGTAGCCTTGACCTTCTGGGCTCAAGTGATCTCCCTGCCTCAGCCTCCTGAATAGCTGGAACTACAGGCACATGCTTCCCTGCCTGGCTACATTTTATACTTTTTTTTTTTTTTTTTTGCGACAGAGTCTTACTCTGCTGCCCAGGCTAGAGTGCAATGGCACGATCTTGGCTCACTGCAACCTCCGCCTCAAGGGTTCAAGCAATTCTCCTGCCTCAGCCTCCCAAGAAGCTGGAATTACAGGCGTGCGCCACCACGCACAGCTAATTTTTGTATTTTCAATAGAGACCAGGTTTTACCATGGTGGCCAGGCTGGTCTCAAACCTCTGACCTCATGTGATCTGCCCACCTCAGCCTCCCAAAGTCCTGGGTTTACAGGCGTGAGCCATTGTGCCTGATGTTATACCTGATTTTTACAATTTCCTTATTTTTTGTTTTACACACTTTTTTTTTTTTGAGCTGGAGTCTCGCTCTATCAGCCCAGGCTGGAGTGCAATGGCACAATCTCGGCTCACTGCAACCTCTGCCTCCCGTTTTTAAGTGATTCTCCTGCCTCAGCCTCCTGAATAGCTGGGATTACAGGTGTACACCACCATGCCCGGCTAATTTTTATATATTTAGTGGAGATGGGGTTTCACCATGTTGGCCAGGCTGGTCTCGAACTCCTAACCTCAAGGGATCCACCTGCCTTGGCCTCCCAGAGTGCTGGGATTACAAGCATGAGCCACCGTACCCGGCTGTTTTTACAAACTTTTTAAAATGGAAAAATACAGAACACGTCACAAATTTTCGTGTCATTCTTGTGCAGGGTCTATGGCATTCTTCTGTATATGGGTCCTATTTTAGTATACGTGCTGCCGAAGCAAGCACACAGTCTGATTTTTGATGTAATATATCATGAAAATACTCCCATGGCATTAAATCTTCCACAACATCATTTTATGTGGCTGCATGGTATTCCATTGTATTGTTTTATTGTAGTTTCTTTACTTTTTTTTTTTTTTTTTGAGACGGAGTCTCGCTCTGTCACCCAGGCTGGAGTGCAGTGGCGTGATCTCGGCTCACTGCAAGCTCTGCCTCCCGGGTTCACGCCATTCTCCCGCCCCAGCCTCCCAAGTAGCTGGGACTACAGGCGCCCGCCACCACGCCCGGGTAATTTTTTGTATTTTTAGTAGAGACGGGGTTTCACTGTGTTAGCCAGGATGGTCTCGATCTCCTGACCTCATGATCCACCCGCCTTGGCCTCCCAAAGTGCTGTGATTACAGGCGTGCACCACCACGCCCAGCCGTAGTTTCTTTACTTGATGCTCTTTTGACGGATGCGTCAGTTGTTTCCAATTTTTTTTTTTTTTTTTTTTTTTTGAGATGGAGTCTTGCTCTGTCTCCCAGGCTGGAGTGCAGTGGCGTGATCTCGGCTCACCGCAAGCTCCGACTCCCGGGTTCACGTCATTCTCCTGCCTCAGCCTCTGGAGTAGCTGGGACTACAGGCGCCCACTACCACGCCCGGCTAATTTTTTATATTTTTAGTAGAGACGGGGTTTCACTGTGTTAGCCAGGATGGTCTCGATCTCCTGACCTTGTGATCCGCCTGCCTCGGCCTCCCAAAGTGCTAGGATTACAGGCGTGAGCCACCGTGCCCGGCCCAATTTTTCCATTTTAAATAATGCTGTGGGCTAGGTGCAGTGGCTCACACCTGTAATCCCAGCACTTCGGGAGGCCGAGGCAGGCAGATCTCCTGAGGTCAGGAGTTTGAGACCAGCCTGACCAACATGGAGAGAAACCCCGGTCTCTCCAAAAAAAAAAAAAAAAAAAAAAAAAAAATTAGCCAGGCGTGGTGGCACACACCTGTAATCCCAGTTACTCGGGAGGCTGAGGCAGGAGAATTGCTTGAATCCAGGAGGCGGAGGTTGTGGTGAGCTGATATCAAGCCATTGCACTCCAGCCTGGGCAACAAGAGCGAAACTCTGGAAAGAAAGAAAGAAAAGGAAGGAAGGAAGGAAGGAAGGAAGGAAGGAAGGAAGGAAGGAAGGAAGGAAGGAAGGAAGGAAGGGCGGGCAAGCAAATTGTGATGCACATTCTCTTTCTTTTTTTTTTGGATGGTGTCTTGCTCTGTTGCCCAGGCTGGAGTGCAGTGACTCCATCTTGGCTCACTGCAACCTCTGCCTCCTGGGTTCAAGCAATTCTCCTGCCTCAGCCTCCCAAGTAGCTGGGATTACAGGTGTGCACCACCACGCCTGGCTAATTTTTGTATTTTTAGTAGAGATGGGGTTTCACCATGTTGGCCAGGCTGGTCTTAAACTCCCAAAGTGCTGAGATTACAGGCGTGAGCCACCGCGCCCGGCCCATGTGATGCACATTCTTATAGGTAAATCTTGGCATGCGTCAATGACTGTATTATTTTCTCAGGATGAGTTCTCAGAAGTGGAGCTGCTTTGTCAAAGGGTGTACATAACTTCAAGGCTTTTGAGGGTATTTTCTGATCCAGTGAAGGACACCACTACCCAGTTGTCCAAGTCAGAAGCATCAGGTAATGTTAAGTCCAAGAGAATAAGGCTAATTAATGAAAGAATGGGCCACACAACCCATTCTCTACCAGGGGGTATGCAGAGGAGAGAAGTTACCAGGCTCTGAAGATTGTCAGCCACTGGGGAGATACTATGAGGGTCTTTCCTGGAAACCAGAGGAATACTTTTGCCCCCTGCCTACCTGGTCCTCCCCGGAAGCCACAAGTGCTCCACATAGCATCCCTGGGCAACTCCTTTCCTGCTGCCCAAGCAAGCAAGGTGCCAGTTCCGCAGGATCCAGCCAGCTGCAACTGACCCTGAGCCAACTCCCACAGCCCTGAGTGGGTCAGCTTTGCTTATGAAGCAGGACCCTGGCACCTCCCCAGGGGGTCCAGCTTCCCTTCCCCCAGCCCCCAGCCTTGAGGGAGAAGCAATTGGGATAGGCTTGGGGAGGTGGGTGTCGGATCAGGGGTGTAAAGGATAGAGGAGCTGAATGTCTCTGTCCTCAGGGAGATCTTGAGATGACTCACATGCCACTGGAGGGGAGAGAGAAGCTGAGGGATGAATGGATTGCAAACTAGAGGGAGGGGCCGAGCTTCCGTGCCTTGATTCGCCCGCGTCAGTTGCTTCAACAACATCTGCAGTGCGTGGGGTTGAGCGATCCCACTGGTGGGGCTGGGGTGGGTAGGGCTTCCAGGCTGGCTGACGTTTGCTTCCCGCCCGCTGGGCCAGCCTGGAGCAGTTCATGAATGACTCACCTCATTGTCAGGCTGATTCACTGCTCGGCTGGGTACTTGGGTAGGGGGGCGGCCCCCTAGGTACGGCTCACACCCACACACATGCGCACATACACATGTACGCACACGCCCAGGTGGGGCTCCACTGGGGTCGGACACGAGGGATGGGATTTCTGTGGTAAGAGGCAGGGGCATGCACACCATCTAGTGTGTGAATAACCTTGAAGTTTCAGTCTGTGGTGTACTAGTGTTTATTCACATTTAAATTAATTAAAATTAAACACAATTAAAACTTCAGTTTCTTAGCTGCAGTAGCCACATTTCAAGTGCTTAATAGACACACATGGTCAGTGGCTACTCTGTTGGGCAGTGTGAATAGAAAACATTTCCATCAACACAGAAAGTTCTATCGGACAGCTCTGGTTTACATAGCTGCCTACACACCAACTCAGAATCCACAACCTTCGCACACAAAGCTACACAAACAGATCAGTCCTCCCCGCCCCCATAGGCAGCAAACAACACACATTTAATTCCATACACGTATTCAACGGGCAATACCCAATCACCTACACAAGATTCTCAGCGTGTACACACACTTCCTATCCAAATATGCCACCGTCCATACCAAGGCAAATGTAAAGATAAACACATAAAAAAAAGTATGTCATCACACTGACTCGAATACAACTGTTTGTTCGATAAAAATACAAATTAGGGGCCAGCCGCGGTGGCTCATGCCTGTAATCCCAGCATTTTAGGAGACCAAGGCAGGCAGATCACCTGAGGTTGAGAGGTTGAGATCAGCCTTGCTAACAATGGTGAAACCCCGTTTCTACTAAATATACAAAATTAGTTGGGTGTGGTGGCCCACACCTGTAATCCCAGCTACTTGGGAGGCTGAGGCAGGAGAATCACTTGAATCCGGGAGGTGGAGGTTGCAGTGAGCTGGGATCCCACCACTGCACTCCAGCGTGGGCGACAGAGTGAGACTCCGTCTCCAAAAAAACAACAACAAAAAAAACAAATTAGGGTGAAATGCATTTGCAAGTATACTGAAATAGATACAAACCCAAGCCATGTGGTTCCCATAACAATTCCCAGCACGTGTTTGCAAATTCAAGTAAGGGGGAAGGGAATCCACATTTGTTGAGGTCCTGTTAATAGGCCAGGCATGGCGTTAGCCATTTCAATGCATTAATTCATTTAATCTCACAACAACCTTGTGAGGAAGATGTATTATTCTTTTTTTTTTTTGAGACGGAGTCTTGCTCTGTCTCCCAGGCTGGAGTGCGGTGGCGCGATCTCGGCTCACTGCAAGCTCCGCCTCCCGGGTTCAAGCGATTCTCCTGCCTCAGCCTCCCAAGTAGCTGGGACTACAGGCGCCTGCCACCACGCCTGGCTAATTTTTTGTATTTTTAGTAGAGACAGGGTTTCACTGTGTTAGCCAGGATGGTCTCGATCTCCTGACCTCGTGGTCCGCCTGCCTTGGTCCCCCAAAGTGCTGGGATTACAGGCGTGAGCCACCGCGCCCGGCTGGAAGATGTATTATTCTTTATTTTTTAATTTTTTTTTTGCGACAGAATCTCACTTTGTTGCCCAGGCTGGAATGCAGTGGCATGATCCCAGCTCACTGCAACCTCCGCCTCCCAGGTTTAAGCCATTCTCCTGCCTCAGTCCCCTGAGTAGCTGGGATTACAGGCGCCCGCCACCATGCCCGGCTAATTTCTTTTTTTTTTTTTTTTAGACGGAGTCTTGCTTTGTTGCCCAGGCTGGAGTGCAGTGGCGTGATCTCGGCTCACTGCAAGCTCCGCCTTCCGGGTTCATGCCATTCTCCTGCCTCAGCTTCCCAAGTAGCTGGGACTACAGGCGCCCGCCACCACACCCGGCTAATTTTTTTGTATTTTTAGTAGAGACGGGGTTTCACCATGTTAGCCAGGATGGTCTCGATCTCCTGCCCTTGTGATCCGCCCGCCTCTGCCTCCCAAAGTGCTGAGATTACAGGCAAGAGCCACCGCGGAAGTGAGCATTGAGTTGCCCAGCCATTCGCACTCCCTCCTGACAAATGGCATCAAGTCATTCAACAAACACTTGTTCAGCCTGGGCAACATAGGGAGCCTTCATCTCTACAACAAATAAACATAAAAAAATTAGCTGGGCTTAGGCCAGGCACAGTGGCTCACGTTTATAATCCCAGCACTTCGGGAGGCCAATGCGGGTGGATCACGAGGTCAGGTGTTCAAGACCAGCCTGGGCAACATAGTGAAACCCTGTCTCTACTAAAAATACAAAAAGTTAGCTGGGCGTGGCTGGGCGCAGTGGTTCACGTCTGTAATCCCAGCACTTTGGGAGGCAGAGGCGGGCAGATTACCTGAGGTCAGGAGTTCGAGACCATCCTGGCCAACATGGTGAAACCCTGTCTCTACTAAAAATACAAAAAATTAGCTGGGCGTGGCTGGGCGCAGTGGCTCACGTCTGTAATCCCAGCACTTTGGGAGGCAGAGGCGGGCAGATTACCTGAGGTCAGGAGTTCGAGACCAGCCTGGCCAACATGGTGAAACCCTGTCTCTACTAAAAATACAAAAATTAGCCAGGCATGATGGCACATGCCTGTTATCCCAGCTACTCGGGAGGCTGAGGCAGGAGAATTGCTTGAGCCTAGGAGGAAGAGGTTGCAGTGAGCCGAGATCATGCCACTGCACTGCAGCCTGTCCTGCAGAGCGAGACTGTCTCAAAAAAAAAAAAAAAAAAAAAAAATTAGCCGGGCGTGGTGGCGGGCACTTGTAATCCCAGCTACTTGGTAGGCTGAAGCAGGAGAATCGCTTGAACCTGAGAGGCAGAGGTTGCAGTGAGCCAAGATCGTGCCACTGCACTCCAGCCTGGGCAACAATGTGAGACTCCGTGTCAAAAAAAAAAAAAGTTAACTGGGTTTGGTGGTGTGTGCCTGTGATCCCAGCTACTCAGGAGGCTGAGGTGGGAGGACTGCTTGGGCCCAAGAGGTGGAGGATGCAGTGAGCCATGACTGTGCCGCTGCACTCCGGGCTGGGTAAGGGAGTAAAGTAAGTCTCAAAACAAAAACAAACTCATTTTCTGAGTGTCTTCAATGTGCCACATGCTGGTTCACAAAGGTGAAAAGCCACAGTCTTGCTCTGAAGCAGTATTAAGTCAAGCAGGGAGGCCGGGCGCCATGGCTTACGCCTGTAATCCCAGCTACTTCGAAGGCTGAGGCAGGAGAATCGCTTGAACCCGGGAGGCGGAGGTTGCAGTGAGCCGAGATCGCGCCACTGCACTCCAGCCTGGGCGACAGAGCGAGATTCGGTTTAAAAAAGAAAAAAAAAAAAGAACGGAAAAGAAAGGGGCGGGGGCAGGATTAGGCATCGTGGGGCCAAGATGCTTGATCTCACCTGAACCAGTGCTGAACCAGCCGACTGGGAAGAGGAGCCGCTTGGGGGCGACCGAGAGCCCATCCGTTTCCCCTTTAAGACCAGAGCGGAAGACTACAGTGAGAAGGCCCTTTGTGTCGGCGGGAAAGAAATATGCCTGCCCCTTTAAGAAGGCGGAGACGCCCCAGTGGCGGCGTCTTCGAATGCGGCCTAAGGCGCCTGCCGCCAGTCTCCTGGCGACTTTCCCTATATCGCAGAGACTCATCCCTCTGACCCCAGCCCGGAAGCACTGTCCCTCGGAGTCCGAGACTTCCACCTGGGTCGTGTCCAAGGCCCCGGCGACTCCCCGGACTCGGGGTGCCGGGCCAACCTCCCCGCCGAGGCCCACCCGCCGTCGCTATGGTAATGCCGCGCCCAGCTTGGGGGCTGGCGGGCCGCAGGGCCCCCTGGCCTCCGGAACTGCTCATGGGGTTCCAGCCCCTCGCCCGCGCAAGTTGCAGGACCGGGGTCTGGGTGGGGGTTCGGCGGAGTCGGGAGACCTGGGCTGTCGTCAGGGCTTGTCATGGACGCGCCGGAGACCCTGAGAAAGCATTCTCCTCCCCCGGGCCTCAGTTTCCCTCCTGTTGCCTTCCTACCCTCCTGGGAAACCCCCCTTTCCAGTGCGCTCAGACGTCACTACCGCTTGGGTCCATCCCTTTCCCCTCCCCGCCCCACACTTTCTACTTTTTTTTTTTTTTTTTTTGGACGAAGTCTCGTTCTGTCGCCCAGGCTGGAGTGCAGTGGCGTGATCTCTGCTCACTGCAACCGTCGTCTCCCGCCCACCCCTTTCACTCTGACCCTTAGAGTCTTGGGAACTGTATCGCCAGCTGTAGCTCCTGCGGCTCTGGCATCTGGGGTTAGGCACCACCTCTGATCTGGGTTTGACACTCATCAGGAACTGGCTACAGCAGCCCTGCTGGCTAGAAAGAAGGAACCGTGGACTGGGGCATCCTACTCTCCTGGGACCCTAGTTTTTGGGCCTTGGATTAGGTAGGGAAACTACTGGCTTCATTTGCAGAAACAATGCCACTGTGCAGACATGTTTGGATTTATGGTAGTTTCTCTTATGTTTGACATAAGATTGGTCAGGCGAAACCTTTGGGATATTGCAAAATCCTTAGGCCCAAGCCAGGGGCCGTGGCTGACACCTGTTTTTGTTTGTTTGTTTTTTTGAGACAGAGTCTCACTCTGTGGCCCAGGCTGAAGTGCAGTGGTGCGATCTCCGCTCACTGCAACCTCCACTTCCCAGGTTCAAGCAATTCTCCTGCCTTAGACTCCCAACAAGCTGGGATTACAGGCGGGCACCACCACCCCAGCTAACTTATTTCTATTTTTAGTAGAGACGAGGTTTCACTTTGTTGGCCAGGCTGTTCTTGAACTCCTGGCCTCAGGTGGTCCACCCGCCTTGGCGTCACAAAGTGCTGGGATTACAGGAGTGAGCCACCATGCCCAGCCTGTGGCTGACACCTATAATCCCAGCACTTTGGAGGCCACAGTGGGAGGATCACTTGAGCCCAGGAGTTCAAGACTGGCCTGGGCAATGTAGTGAGGCCCCGTATCTATAAAAATTTAAAAATTAGCCTGGGCGCAGTGGCTCACGCCTGTAATCCCAGCACTTTGGGAGGCTGAGGTGGGCAGATCACAAGGTCAGGAGTTCAAGACCAGCCTGGCTAACATGGTGAAACCCTGTCTCAACTAAAAATACAAAAAAAAATAGCCAGGCATTGTGGCTTGGCCTGTAATCCCAGCTACTTGGGAGGCTAAGGCAGGAGAATTGCTTGAACCTGGAAGGTGGAGGTTGCAGTGAGCCAAAATCGTGCCGCTGGACTTCAGCCTGGGCAACAGAGCAAGACTCCGTCTCAGGAAGAAAAAAAAAAAAAGAAAATTAGCTGAGCACGGTGGTGCACACCTGTAGTCCCAGTTACTCAGGAGGTTGAGGTGGGAGGGTCACTTGAGCCTAGGAGATTGAGGCTGCAGTGAGCTATGATCTTGCCACTGCACTCCAGTCTGGGCAATAGGGCAAGACCCTGTCTCAAAACAAAAGACAAAAACAAAATGTTTACGCCCATGTGCACAGTCCTGGAGAACTGCCCTTGCTCCCCTAGGCAGCCTTCCCTTTGCCCCCTTTCTTCCCTTCCAGGATTAGTGCAGATGGTTCTGAGTGGATTATGTTACAAGAAAGTTTTTTAATCTTTCTTTCCTTTTTTTTTTTTAAGACAGAGTCTTGCTCTGTCGCCCAGGCTGGAGTTCAGTGGTGCAATCTTGGCTCACTGCAACCTCTACCTCCCGGGTTCAAGCAATTCTCCTGCCTTAGCCTTCCAAGTAGCTGAGATCACAGGCATGCTCCACTAGGCCCGGCTAATTTTTTTTTTTTTAAAGACAGAGTCTTGCCCTGTCGCCCAGGCTGGTGTGCAGTGGTGCGATCTCGGCTCACTGCAACCTCTGCCTCCCAGTTCAAGCGATTCTCCTGCCTCAGCCTCCTGAGTAGCTGGGATTACAGATGCCCACCACCACGCCCAGCTAATTTTTTGTATTTTTAGTAGAGACAGGGTTTCAATATGTTGGCCAGGCTGGTCTCGAACGCCTGACCTTGTGATCCGCCCCCACCTCAACCTCCCAAAGTTCTGAGATTATAGGTGTGAGCCACCACGCCCGACCAAATTTTGTATTTTAAGTAGAGATGGGGTTTCACTGTGTTGGTCAGGCTGGTCTTGAACTCCTGACCTCAGGTGATTCACCAGCTTTGGCCTCCCAAAGTGTTGGGATTATAGGCATGAGCCACCGTGCCTGGCAGAAAGTGTTTTAATCTTTTTCTAAGAGGCGGGTCTCACTATGTTGCCCAGCCTAGCCTCAAACTCCTGGGCTCTAGGGATCCACCCACCTCAGCCTCCCAAGTAGCTGGGACTGCAGGAATGAGCCACTGCACACAGCTAAGTAAGTTTTTTAGAATACTTGGGTCTTTTTTTTTTTTTTTTTTGATACAGACTCACTCTGTCGCCCAGGCTGGAGTGCAACCTCTGCCTCCTGGGTTCAAGCGATTCTCCTGCCTCAGCCTCCCGAGTAGCTGGGATTACAGGCATGAGCCACCATGCCCAGCTAACTTTTGTATTTTTAGTAGAGACAAGGTTTCTCCATGTTGGCCAGGTTGGTCTCGAACTCCTGACCTCAGGAGATCCACCTGCCTCGGCCTCCCAAAGTGCTGGGATTACAGGCATGAGTCACCACGCCCGGCCCTAGATTGTTTAAGTCTTTAACGAAATCCCATTTCTTCTCATTCCTTAGTCCTTTCCCAGCCGTAGCAAAAACAAACAAAAAACAATATACCTGATGGTATTGTTAGTGCTGGGAAGAAGCAGAGTGAGGACAGAATGTGCTTGCAAATGGTATTTCTCAACCCCAGTTGGTTTTTTTTCTTTTCAGGCGTGCAGTTTGCAGAAGCTGTTTGCTGTGGAAGAGGAGTTTGAAGATGAGGTAGGGAAGTGTTGATGATCAGAGGTGGCAGACGAGGTCTTAAAATGTAAACACTCAGGTTCAGAACATTTTGGATTAGCCTGTACCAGCCTCCTTTTAGTTGACATGTGTATGTTTTTGCCTGTGAGGTGCTGAGAAGTGATGAGAAGTGTAAACAACCTACTTAACTGTCTTAGAAACAAAAAACCAGAGCAATGAATTGCCTAATTGTCATACCTTTAAATTATAAGGGCTCTTTCCTGGAAGCTGTGTCATCTAGCTGATTTAATTCACCTCTATGATAACATACTTGCAGTGGGAAGGGCTGTGTATGTAGAGCCAGAACCATGTAAGAGATAGCATAGTTACTGGATGGCAGGAGGCCAGGGGTCAGCAATTGGCTATGTGAATCAGGGCAAGTTACTTTATTCTCTGGTCTTCTGTTTTCTCTTCTACAATATGAGGGATGCTCTTCTGCCTCAGATGTTCTTCCCTTCCCTCTGTCTAATCACAAGATGAGGGGTGAGACTAGATCCAAAGCTCGCACGTTAGAATTACCCTTGTCTAGGCTCTACCACACACCAATTAAATCAGAATTTCTGGGAATGGCCCAGCCAGGGATATTTCTTTTTTTTCCTTTTCTTCAACATTTATTTTAAGTTCAGGGGTACACGTGCAGGTTTGTTACATAGGTAAACATGTGCCATGGTGGTTTGCTGCACAGATCATCCCATCACCTAGGTAATAAGCCCAGCATGCATTAGCTATTCTTCCTGATGCTCTCCACCTCCCTGCCCCCGGCAGCCCCCACTGTGTGAACTTCTTTCTTTTTTTGGAGACAGGATCTCTTTCTGTCACCCAGGCTGGAGTGCAATGGCACAATCACGGCTCACTGCAACCTCAACCTCCCAGGCATAAGTGATCCTCCCACCTCAGCCTCCTCAGTAGCTGGGCCTACAGGTGTGTGCCACCATGCCCAGCTAATTTTTCGTTTTTTTGTAGAGACAGGGTCTTACTAAGTTGCCCAGGCTGGTCTCAAATTCCTGGGCTCAAATGATCCTTCTGCCTCGGCCTCCCAAAGTGCTGGGATTACAGGTGTGAGCCAGTGGGCCCGTCCTGATTTTTGCTTTTACAAATAATTCACAACTGCCAGTTTTGTCAAGGAGATGTGTCCTTGTCTTTGTCTTTCAGCTTTGGAGATATGTGATTACAGGCTGAAAAAGTGACTGTTAAAATGACCCTCTTGGGTCTTACAAGGTGATGATGGGACTGCTAAGTGAGTAATGGAATTAGAGTAAAGGAATCTGACAGCTGAAGTTTCTGTTCCTTGAAAATGGCAGATCAGTCCCTTCCCCCTTCCTAAAGCAGATGATGTCATGTCTGAGAGTGAGCTCTTTGGGAGAAAAAAGACCATCAACCTCCAGAGTCATCAGGATTTTATTACTGCTATAGTTCTGGTTATTATTATTATTGTTGAGTCCTGTGGTTGTCCTGCCTGAGTATGGGACTCACTTAATAATACACAAAGCAGGAAAAAGCCTTTCTGTAGCCCAGACAATCCAGTGCAGTAGCAGAGGGTGGGGGTGGTGGGGACCCTCCTGTCAGTTAAATCAGCAGTTCTGACTCAAAACCACCCTCAGAACAGGTCTGTTGCTCTTGAAGGTGTCAATCTCACCTTGCTTCCCAACTGGAATCCATACTTTATTTAGCTTGCCTGAAAAGCTATATTTAACTTCTGCCTTTTTTGCTGGCTCCAAGTCCTCTCTGGCTTACTGAAGGGTAGCTATCTCTGTGTAGTGTGTGTGTGTGTGTGTGTGAGAGAGAGAGAGAGAAAGAGAGCACACGAGTGTGTATTGGGGATGAGGAGTGAGCTAAGGACAGGCAGCATGACCAGCTGGATAGATCCCTGTTTAGATAACAGGCCAGACACCAGAAAGTGGTCTCCTTGAGATGGTTGTTGTGTGACCTAGGGTGATTTGTCTGACTTCTTGGTTCCCTGGAACGTTTGCTTCTCCTGCTGTTCTCCTCTAACTGCCCCTCTCCCCACCCATGAAGACTGAAGAAAGAGGTTACCTGAAGACTTAGCCTTAGATTGGAGTGTTTTTGATAGAGCCTTGTGTAGGGCCATGGGTGAGGTCAGAGGTGGTAAGAGACACCACTATTGGCTTTCATGCTTTGGTTTCTTTTTCTTTTTCTTTTCTTTCTTTTTTTTTTTTTTTTTTGAGACAGAGTCTCACTTTGTCACCCAGGCTGGAGTACAGTGGCACCATCTCAGCTCACTGCCAACCTCTGCCTCTCAGGTTGAAGTGATTCTCCTGCCTCAGCCTCCCGAGTAGCTGGAACTACAGGTGTGCACCCCCATGCCCAGCTAATTTTTTTATTTTTAGTAGAGACGGTTTCGCCACGTTGGCCAGGCTGGTCTCGAACTCCTGACCTCAAGTGATCCTCCTACCTTGGCCTCCCAAAGTGCTGGGATTACAGGCATGAGCCACCATGCCCGACCCTCATGCTTTGGTTTCTTTCAAGTATCTACACACAAACATACACGCCATGTGCCTGAACAGTAAAAGCAGAGGGGTTCTTGATTTCCAGATGCCAAGACCTACCATCTCTGCTTCCTTGTAGGATTTCTTGTCTGCTGTGGAGGATGCAGAGAACCGGTTTACTGGCTCACTGCCTGTGAATGCTGGGCGCCTGAGACCTGTCTCTTCTAGGCCACAGGAGACTGTGCAGGCACAGTCCTCCAGGCTGCTGCTGTTACACCCCACTGCTCCCTCAGAGGCTTTGGGCCTGCCAGACTTGGACCTCTGCCTCCCTGCCTCCAGCACGCCCAGTGCTGACAGCCGTCCATCATGCATAGGAGCAGCTCCCCTAAGGCCTGTCTCTACTTCCAGCAGCTGGATTGGCAATCAGAGAAGAGTGACAGTGACAGAAGTGCTCAGAGAGACAGCAAGACCTCAGTCCTCAGCCTTACACCCCCTACTCACCTTTGAGAGCCAACAGCAGCAAGTTGGTGGCTTTGAGGGGCCTGAACAAGACGAATTTGATAAAGTCCTGGCAAGCATGGAGTTGGAGGAGCCTGGCATGGAGCTGGAATGTGGAGTCAGCAGTGAGGCCATACCAATCCTGCCTGCCCAGCAGCGGGAGGGTTCAGTATTGGCTAAAAAAGCCCGGGTAGTTGATCTGAGTGGATCTTGCCAGAAGGGGCCTGTGCCTGCCATCCACAAAGCGGGTATCATGTCCGCCCAGGATGAGTCTCTAGATCCTGTCATCCAATGTAGGACTCCACGACCCCCCTTGAGACCTGGTGCTGTGGGTCACCTTCCTGTTCCAACTGCCTTAACAGTTCCCACTCAGCAACTCCACTGGGAAGTCTGTCCGCAACGCTCCCCTGTTCAAGCACTTCAGCCTCTCCAAGCTGCTAGAGGGACCATTCAGAGCAGCCCTCAAAATCGTTTCCCTTGTCAGCCATTCCAGTCTCCAAGTTCCTGGTTAAGTGGCAAAGCTCATTTACCCAGACCTCGAACTCCCAACTCAAGCTGTTCTACTCCCTCAAGGACTAGCTCTGGATTATTTCCTCGGATACCCTTACAACCGCAAGCTCCAGTGTCTTCCATTGGGTCTCCTGTTGGTACCCCAAAAGGTCCCCAGGGAGCTCTGCAGACACCCATAGTCACCAACCACCTGGTGCAGCTAGTCACTGCTGCCAGCCGGACACCCCAGCAGCCCACCCATCCCTCCACCCGAGCCAAAACTCGCCGTTTCCCTGGCCCAGCTGGGATCCTGCCTCACCAGGTGAGTGAGCTGGCTTTCTAGGATTTGGTGGGCAAGGGAGAGAAGCAGGGTTCCAGCACTGTCCAGCCCTAGCATATCTTCCCTCTTGCAGAGAAGGAAGGAAGGAAGTGCAGAGAGGCTTTTCAAAGCTGCAGGAGAAATAAAAGGGAAGAACTGAATGCTAGAAAATCCACTGTGAAGAAGTGCTTAAGGCTCTGAGGACATCATAATTTTCTTTTTTCTTCTCCTTTTTTTTTTTTGAGATGGAGTCTTGCTGCAACATCCAGGCTGGAGTGCAGTGGCGCAATCTCAGCTCACTGAAACCTCTGCCTCCTGGGTTTAAGCGATTCTCCTGCCTCAGCCTCTTGAGTAGCTGGGACTACAGGCCCCCGCCACCATGCCTGGCTAATTTTTGTGTTTTTGGTAGAGACAGAGTTTCACCATATTGGCCAGGCTGGTCTCGAACTCCTGACCTCAAGTGATCTGCCCGCCTCGGCCTCCCAAAGTGCTGGGATTATAGGCGTGAGCCACCACGCCTGACCCTCTTTTCCTTTTTTTAAGAAGACCCTCTTTTCCTTTTTTTAAGAATTAGAGATTGGCTATGTTGCTCAGGCTGGTCATGAACTAGGCTCAAGCCATTCTCCCGCCTTAGCCTCCCATATAGCTGGGACTACAGGTGTGCACTAGGGCAGGAAGTCATTCTTGTGCATTTGTTAAGGTCTTATGTGTTGGACAATTTGCTTGGAACTGAGAATACAGAGATTAAAAGAAACAGTTCCTGTCCTAAAGAACTTACAGTGAAATGGAAGAAACAGATGTAAACAAACAAACATGCACAAAGCACACAGTGTGAACAGGGGTCATTCCCTGGGTGCTGGGAAGACACTGGCTCTGCCTTAGGCTTGCTGAGTGGGCTTTGGATGGATGAGTAGGAGGTTAACAGGTGTGTGGCGGAGCGGGCGCTGTGCTCTGTGGATGTTCTGGCAGTGGGAAAGCAGGGAAGAGCATGTGTAAGGGCACAGAGGCAGAAGAGCAAGGTGCTCTCAGATCCACAGAACAGTTCATTGTGGCAGGTGTGGGGAAGCTGGGGCTGAAAAGGAGACAGCCCTGGTGAGACTTGGATTAAACTAGTCTTGGATCAGATCCCAGATAATTGGACTCTGAGGATCTGGACTGGTTGTGATAGGTGTGCCCTCTTCCTCCCATTTTAAGGGTGTTTGAAACAATTTCTGCCTGTTACTTGCTCTTCCCTAGCATGTTAGCAGATATCCAAAGAGGCCGTCTATGTTCCTCCTGGGCTGGATCTCCCTGGAGGAAAGGGTTAGGACTTGGGGAAAGCTGCCCCTTTGCTCATCACAGGCCTCTCAATTTTTCTTTCTTTCTTTCTTTTTTTTTTTTTTTAAGACAGAGTCTTGCTCTCTCGTCCAGGCAGGAGTGCAGTGGCACAATCTCGGCTCACTGCAACCTCCACCTCCCAGCTTCAAGTGATTCTCCTGCCTCAGCCTTCCAAGTAGCTGGCATTACAGGCATGGGCCACCACGCCTGGCTAATTTTTGTATTTTTGGTAGAGATGGGGGTTTCTCCATGTTGGCCAGGCTGGTCTCGAACTCCTGACCTCAGGTGATCCACCCGCCTCAGCCTCCCAAAGTGCTGGGATTACAGGTGTGAGCCGCCACGCCCAGCCAGGCCTCTCTATTTGGGTCACTGCCCCCTTCAGGCAGCCCTGGTTTTTGCACCTGGGCGAGCTCCGGCTTCCTCACGTTTTCAAACCAATCCCCAAAGTATCTTTTTTGAGCTGCCAAAGAGGCTCCTGAGACTTTGTTAGGAGAGATGTAATATGTGTTAATAGTCCCTGATCATTTCCTGAACTCATTATGTAAACCAGACAATAAGCTGTACTTGTAAATAACAGCTGCTAAGCTTGCTCTCATCTTCTCCTTCCCTCCCCTCTTAGCAGAGTGGGAGAAGTCTGGAGGACATCATGGTTTCCGCGCCCCAAACTCCAACCCATGGTGCTCTGGCTAAATTCCAGACAGAGGTAACTTATGCAAATGTTAACTTTCTGGGTGTGATTTGAGAGTGAGGGGCGTCCCTGTGTGTTTCAGGAGTTAAGAATCAAGAGCTGATGCTGCTAGGCCTGTTTGCTGGTGTCACACACTAAAAGGCATTTGAGGCAGGTAGTTGGGGGAGGCAGCAATTTTACTGGCATTAAGTGAGGCCTGTCCTGGTGCCAGGTAGGTATTATCTGATGCCATGGGTCCAGCCTTCTTTCCCATCTAAGAAATAAAGGCCCAGCTAGCTCCAGCTTCCCCTGGGGGAGGAGACTGTGATAAGTATTATGAGATTGTGTCTCAGGAGCCCTTCCTCTCAGGTTTCTGAGAACTGAGCTGGGAAGGATCTGCCTTCTCTTGCCTTTGCTGGGTTCCCTTTGGTGGGTGAGACCCTGCTTCCCTTCTCCTTGGGGTTCTGGTTGACCTGCTCTGCCCTCAAACCCAGTTTTGCTTTTAATTCTCCCCAGTATTTTTTCTCTGCTGTAGCTCCGCAGATCTGCCAGTCCATTTCAGATCCAAAGCAGCAGATACTCTCTGGATTCAAAGCATGTATTAATGTAAGAAGGTTAATTGTTAAAGCTAGAAGCATGCCAAATAGAATATGACTGGTTTCAAAATGGCTAAGCCACTCTGGAAGCCTATAAATATATGTGGTGGATCCCTACCCCTAAGACTTTTTGAGTCTGTTACAAAAAATAAGCGTAGATAGCCTTCTGCTTCAATGCAGTTAAAGTCAGGAGCTGATTTTATTTTATTTTATTTTATTATGTTATTTTATGTTATTTTATTTTATTTTATTTTATTTTTGAGACGGATTCTCGCTCTGTTGCCCAGGCTGGAGTGCAGTGTCGTGATCTCGGCTCACTGCAACCTCCGCCTCCTGGGTTCAGGCTATTCTCCTGCCTCAGCCTCCTGAGTAGCTGGGACTGCAGGCGTGTGCCACCATGCCTGGCTAATTTTTGTATTTTTAGTAGAGACGGGGTTTCACCATGTTAGCCAGGATGGTCTCCATCTTCTGACCTCATGATCTGCCCGCCTTGGCCTCCCAAAGTGCTGGGGTAACAGGTGTGAGCCACTGCGCCCAGTCAATTTTTGTATTTTTAGTAGAGACGAGGTTTCACCATGTTGGCCAGGCTGGTCTCGAACTCTTGTCTTCAGGTGATCCACCCGCCTCGGCCTTCCAAAGTGCTGGGATAACAGGTGTGAGCCACCGCGTCTGGCCCAGGAGCTGATTTTATTAAAAATTTGTTTTTCATACCTAGTCCTGCAGACAGGACCTGATTTTAAAAAGAAAAAAAAAGAGTATCTGCTGAATGAAACCTGTGATACGCGACAAGATTTTCACGTGCTTCAAATGCCAAAGCAATCAGAAAAAAAAAAAAGAAAAAGAGAAAAAAAAGATGTCACATACCATTTTCTGGCCTTGGAGATAAATGAGAGGAGAGACTGTGGCCATTGTACTACAGTTTTTCCGAGGGGATTTGCCTTTCCTCTCTCACCCTTCCACCCTGTTTCAATCAAGAGTCTGTAGCAAGGTAGACCTATTCATACAGGCTCCCCCTCTGCTCTGTGGTACCAGATTGTTGCTAGTTCCCAGGCATCTGTGGAGGAGGATTTTGGGCGAGGGCCCTGGCTGACCATGAAATCCACGCTAGGCCTGGATGAGAGAGACCCTAGCTGCTTCCTCTGTACCTACAGCATTGTCATGGTGCTGCGCAAGGTAAGGATTCTGGGTGCTGAGACCCAAAGGAAAGACCATTTTTCTCCCTCTCTCTGACCTACTGCCCTACTCCACCTTAGGAAGGGGCTGTTTGCTCCCTCGTACCCTATACAAGTAGCAGCACGAAGCCCCTTTGGTTGTATCTTCCACTTACCTACCTTTTCACTGTCATCCATAGGATTGGGCCCAGGTGGAAGGAGAGAGTGGGTTATGGTATGCCTCTGCACTTCCAGGCCCTGGGTGGGGTGGGGTGAGCACACTGCCACCCTCAAATCTCCCTAGTGGTTAAGGGTTGTGTGCAGAGACATGCCAGTACATGTGCCAACATATCCCTGCCTGTGACTGTTATGATGGAACATTGTGTAAACACATATAAACAAAAGAAAGTGCTGGACACAGTGGCTCACACCTGTAATCCCAGCATTTTAGGAGGCTGAGGTGGAAGGATCACAAAGGTCAGGAGTTCGAGACCAGCCTGGGCAACAAAGCGAGACCCTGTCTCTACAAAAAAATACAAAAAAAAAAAATCAGCTGGATGTGGTGGCACATGTCTTATAGTCCCAGCTACTAGGGAGGCTGAGGCCAGAGGATCACTTGATCTTAGGAGGTTGAGGCTACAGTGAACTATGATCGTGCCACTGCCCTCCAGCCGGGGCAATAGAGCGAGAGCTTGTCTCCTTTAAAAAAAACCCAAGGCCGGGCGTGGTGGCTCACACCTATAATCTTGAGAGGTCAAGGCGGGCGGATCACCTGAGGTCGCGAGTTCAAGACCAGCCTGACCAACCTGGAGAAACCCTGTCTCTACTAAAAATACAAAATTAGCCGGACGTGTTGGCACATGCCTGTAATTCTAGCTACTCAGGAGGCTGAGGCAGGAGAATTGCTTGAACCTGGAAGGCAGAAGTTGCGGTGAGCCAAGATGTGCCATTGCACTCTAGCCTGGGCAATAAGAGTGAAACTCCGACTCAAGAAAAAAACAAAAACCAAACAGGTCAGGCGGGGTGGGTCACGCCTGTAATCCCAGCACTTTGGGAGGCTGAGGCGGGCAGATCACTTGAGGTCAGGAGTTCGAGACCAGCCTGGCCAACATGGTGAAACCCCCTCTATTGAAAATACAAAAATTAGCCAGGCTTGGTGGCACACGCCTGTAAGTCCAGCTACTCAGGAAGCTGAGGCTGGAGCATCGCTTGAACCCAGAGGCGGAGGTTGCAATGAGCCAAGGTCGTGCCATGGTACTCCAGCCTGGGCGACAGAGCGAGACTCCATCTCAAAAATAAAAAAATAGGCCGGGTGCGGTGGCTCATGCCTGTAATCCCAGCACTTTGGGAGGCCGAGGTGGGTGGATCACGAGGTCAGGAGTTCAAGACAAGCCTGGCCAACATGGTGAAACCCTGTCTCTACTAAAAATACAAAAATTAGCCGGGCGTGGTGGTGGGCGCCTGTAATCCCAGCTACTTGGGAGCCTGAGGCAGGAGAATCGCTTGAAACCAGAAGGTGGAGGTTGCAGTGAGCCAAGATTGTGCCATTGCACCCAGCCTGGGAGCGAAACTCCCTCTCAAAAAATAAAAAAGAACGGAGGCAGGGGAGAGAAATGAAGGACCTCCCAGCTCTAGGTCTGTCAGAGAGAGATGGGGTACCTCCTTGTCCTCCACAAAGAAGATCATCACTATAACTATACTCTGACCCCTCCTAACCCCGGTTGCCCTGGCACACTTGGAGACCTGGGAAGTCACAAGTGGGCCGTGGAAGGCTCAGCATATGCCTCTCCTTGTAAGCAGGCAGCCCTGAAGCAGCTTCCTAGGAACAAGGTCCCCAACATGGCGGTGATGATCAAGTCCCTGACTCGGAGCACAATGGACGCCAGTGTGGTTTTCAAGGACCCCACGGGTAAGGAATTAGGTCCTAGGTTGTCTGGTGAGTGGGCTCCATTGAGGCCAGGAAATGAGGTGGAATCACCCTCTCCCTTTGCAGACAGGAAAACTGAGGCAGTGAGCAGCCCACTTCCCAGCCAGGGCCCATACCAGTCGCTGTGCTGCCCTTGACCCCGAGACTGATGGGCCATGTGGTATTTGCAGGAGAGATGCAGGGGACGGTGCACAGGTTGCTGCTGGAGACGTGCCAGAATGAGCTGAAGCCTGGCTCAGTGCTGCTGCTGAAGCAGGTATGGGGAGCAGCTCTCCACACCACTGCCCCCCGGATAGAGCCCTCAGTGTCTGTCTCCTTACCTGTTTGGCTGCCTTCCTCTACAACACCAGGCACGGAGTGGCTGAACCATTGCTAGGCCCTGGCTTGAGCTCAGGGAAGGCCTGTGGCCCTTGAGCTGGCCCCCATTCTTCAGGGTGGATAGGGATGGAGGGTTGTGTTAAGGGGAGATTGTGGCAAATGGTTCTCTTCTGGCACCAAGGCTAGGCAGAGGACACCAAGTGAAAGGCAGGTGGGAGCCAGGTGTCCATCTGGCAGCTCCCAGTGCTCCATCAGGACACTGACCTTCCCTTTCCTTGACTCCAGATTGGAGTGTTTTCTCCTTCACTTCGAAATCACTACCTCAACGTGACACCCAACAACCTGGTCCATATTTACAGCCCGGATTCTGGGGATGGGAGCTTCCTCAAGCCATCTCAGCCCTTCCCCAAGGTAAGAGGAGCAGGAAGAAACGGGAGACTGGTAAGGCCCTCCTTCTGCCTGGATCTTCTGATTTCTTCCTCTCTTCCACCCTGGGGAGCAGAGGTCTGAAGGGGGCAGGTGCTCTGAGGTGAAAAGGTATCTTTGGGGACAGGACCATCTCCTATCCCTCATCCAGCCGCCTGGCAGATGGCTCAGTAACAGTACCTAGAGGAGCAGCTGGCTTCTTGGTGATCCCTGAGCATCTGATGGCAGGCTTGAACATCTGAGAGGATAGGAGTCACTTGAGAACTAACCAAGTGGAGGGCCCACCAGGGGGTGGTGGCAGTAAATGACCGAGGGTCAGATCTGCTACAGGTGGCAGTGTGGAGAACAGTGAGCTACAAATGGCCTGTCAGGTGAGCCAGCACCTGCTCTGTGTCTTCCCTCTTGGCATCTGCCTCTGCTAAATTAGGGGGAAGCTGCACAGAGCACTGGTGGGGACATCCTCTTTAGGAACCGAGACGAGCATTTGGCATTTATGGGAGGTAAGCATGGGCTTCCAGGCAGATCCACTCCAGGTTGAGAGTGTAGAGCCTGGGCTTGACTTGCCCTGCCCCCACCACCTTCCTAGGATCTTGTGTACTGAAAACGTGTACTGTGACCTTGGGCAAGTCCTGTTGCCTCCCTTGCAACAGCTTCATCTATAGTACGTTTGACTTGATGACCTCTAGTCATCTTAGACAGAGGTTTTCATCTAAGCTCCAACTTTCCACTTCCATTTTCCTCATCTTTCCCCTTAGCCCCTCCACATTCTCTCAAAATCACCCCACTTCTAAACCCTTTCTTTTTCTTTCTTTTCTTTTCTTTTTTTTTTGAGACAGTTTTGCTCTGTCACCCAGGCCAGAGTGCAGTGGCGTGACCTTGGCTCAATGCAACCTCTGCCTTCCAGATTCAAGCGATTCTCCCACCTCAGCCTCCCGAACAGCTGGGACCATGCCCAACTAAATCTTTTTGTATTTTTTAGTAGAGACAGAGTTTTGCCATATTGGCCAGGCTGGTCCCGAACTCCTGACCTCAGGTGATTGGCCTGCCTTGGCCTCCCAAAGTGCTGGGATTATAGGCATGAGCCACCGTGCTCGGCCTATTTTTCTTTTAAATTTCAAATTATCTATACTTATTGAAATAAATCAAAATAGCACAGAATAAGCAAAAAATGGGTCCTACCCTTCCCCACTCCTATTTCCTAGGACTAACCATGGTTAACCATTTAATTACCGGTATTTATTTATTTTTTTTTTTTGAAATGGAGTCTCACTCTGTCACCCAGGCTGTAGTGCAGTGGCATGTTCTCAGCTCACTGCAACTTCACCTCCCGGGTTCAAGTGATTCTCCTGCCTCAGCCTCCTGAGTAGCTGGGATTACAGGTGTGTGCCACCACACTCGGCTACTTTTTGTATTTTTAGTAGAGACGGGATTTCACCATGTTGGTCAGGCTGGTCTCGAACTCCTGACCTTGTGATCCACCTGCCTCAGCCTCCCAAAGTATTGGGATTACAGGCATGAACTAGGCGTGCCAGGCCCAGTTTTTGTGTTTTTAGTAGAGATGGGGTTTCACCATATTGGCCAGGCTAGTCTCAAACTCCCGACCTCAAGTGATCCTCCTGCCTTGGCCTCCCAAAGTGCTGGGATTACAGGTATCAGCCACCGTGCCTGGCCTTAATTACCAGTTTTAATTACCTGCCCATATATTAGCTATATATTCCTTTGGGGATTGTTAACAACTAATTTTAAATCTCAGGCTAACTCTTCAATGTATTTCTGAATGGCCTCTTCACTCTCTGCTCTAGTTATAGAGAATCTCTAAAATATTAGATACCAACAGAACTAGGAAAGCAAATCAGCCAAAAGAGGTTTGTTTTTTGTTTTGTTTATTATCTGCTGCTTTGGGTGTTTGGTGTTTCAGCTGCCTCCCTTCAGCATGGGCCTGGGTGGCTGGCCTCTGCCATACTCTTCCATCATGTTTCTTTTTTTTTTTTTTTTTTTTTTTTTGGAGCAAGGGTCTCACTCTGTCCCCCAGGCTGGAGTGCAGTGGCACGATATTGGCTCACTGCAACCTCTGCCTCCTGGGTTCAAGCGATTCTCATGCCTCAGCCTCCCGAGTAGCTAGGATTACAGGCGTGTGCCACCATGCCCGGCTCTGTTTTTGTATTTTTAGTAGAGATGTGGTTTCACCGTGTTGGCCAGGCTGGTCTCGAACTCCTGACCTCAAATGATTCACCCGCCTCGGCCTCCCAAAGGGCTGGGATTACAGGTGTGAGCCACCACACCTGGCCCCATCATGTTTCTTTCCTGAGCCCCACACTGTTCGTTTGAGGTTGTCTGGGTAGAGGTGGTGCCATCTGAAGGGATTTCAGGGACACAGGCATTGGTAACCAGATCCTCTGTCCCCAGGATTCAGGGAGCTTCCAGCATGATGTGGCTGCAAAGCCCGAGGAAGGCTTCAGAACAGCACAGAACCTAGAGGCAGAGGCGTCCCCTGAGGAAGAACTCCCAGAAGCAGGTAAAGCAGTCAGCCCATCTGGGAGCAAGAGAGGTTCTATTTCCTGTTGAATAGCTGAACCAGAATCTTCCTGGCTATATCTTGTTCCTCTTTCCATGAATCTTTGGATCTTATATAATCTTACAGAAATCAGATACAGTGTCTTGTTTGGCAAGGCTGCAGGCCACAAACTCGTTAACAGTGTGATGGGGCCATGTAAAACAAAGTGTCATCCACAGGTTTCCCCCATTTTCAGGTTATGTGCCATCAGCCACAAGGAGGAAACATCACCATCCCCTGTCCAGATGGACAGGCGCTATCTTTGTGCCACACTCTGAGTCCTCTGTGGGCTGATGACCAGACCACAGAGGCAGATTTCCCATCCTGAGTAAGCTTAGAGGAGTGCTGAGGAGTCAAGACGTCCACTGGTTTTTGGGAAAACCAGGCTACAAACCAGAGAGGCCCAAATGCAGACCCCTTGTGGTTGGGCCAGCTGCTTCCTCAGAAGGCAGCATCACCCAGGTGAAACTAACACCATTCAGGATCTAGTTTTAGCTTTTTTTACTTTAATTTTTATTTTTGCGACAGGGTCTCATTCTGTTGCCCAGGCTGGAGTGCAGTGTTATGAACACGCCTCACTGCATCCTCGGCCTCTAGGCTCAAGCAGTCCTCCCACCTCAGCCTCCCGAGTAGCTGGGACTATAGGTATGTGCCACTATGCCCAGCAATTTTTTTTTTTTTTTGAGACGGAGTCTCGCTCTGTCACCCAGGGTGAAGTGCAGTGGTGCGATCTCAGCTCACTGCAAGCTCCGCCTCCCGGGTTCATGCCATTCTCCTGCCTCAGCCTCCTGATTAGCTGGGACTACAGGCGCCCGCCACCATGCCCAGCTAATTTTTTGTGTATTTTTAGTAGAGACGGGGTTTCACTGTGTTAGCCAGGATGGTCTCGATCTCCTGACCTCGCGATCTGCCCGCCTCAGCCTCCCAAAGTGCTGGGATTACAGGCGTGAGCCACCGCGCCCGGCCATGCCCAGCAATTTTTAAATTTTTTGTAGAGACAGTTTTGCCATGTTGCCCAGGCTGGCCTCGAACTCTTGGGGCTCAAGCGATCCTTCTGTCTCTGCCTCCCAAAGTACTGGGATTAGAGGCATGACCTACCGTGCCCAGCCTGGTCTTTAGCTTTTCAATTCCAAAAATTCAATCCTGTCTGGCCCCAAAGTTCACAGGATTATATGTGGGCAGAAACCTACCCAGGTGCCGAGGCAAGAGACTGAAGGCACAAACTGTTCCAGTATAATACAGAAAATAGTTAGAATAAGAAAAGTTATACTAGAAATAGGATATAGAGATGATTATATATGGATATTACCAATCATTAGTTTTTAGTACTAATTTCTGTATTATTATTATAACTGAGAAAAAAACCAGCCAATATAGAGTCAAGAGCTGAAGGGACATTGTGAGAAGTGACCAGAAGACAAGAGTTGGGTGCCAGATGTAGGGTCCAGCCCTACTGGGCCTTGTGGGTTTTCTCTTCGTATGCAGAGACGAGAGATTATAGAAAAATAAGACACAAGACTAAGAGAAAGTAGGAAAGACAGCTGGGCCCAAGGGGCCACTACCACCAATGCGTGGAGTCCGGTAGTGGCCCCAAATGCCTGGATGCGCTGCTATTTATTGTATACAAGGCAAGGGGGCAGGGTAAGGAGTGTGAGTCATCTCAAAAGATTGATAAAGTCAAGCAAGTCACGTGTCCACGTGATGGGGGCCTTTCCCTTTGTGGTAGCTGAAGCAGAGAGGGAGGACAGCATATGTCAGCGTTTTTTCTGTGCACTTATCAGAGAAATCAAAGACTTTAATACTTTCACTAATTCACTACTGCTATCTTCCAAGAACTTAAAAGAAGAACCAGGTATACAGGCGGAACATGAAAGTGGACAAGGAGCGTGACCACTGAAGCACAGCATCACAGGGAGACGTTGAAGCCTCCAGATGATTGTGG
The DNA here is from genome assembly GCF_000001405.40 of Homo sapiens. Lineage (NCBI taxonomy): Eukaryota > Metazoa > Chordata > Mammalia > Primates > Hominidae > Homo > Homo sapiens. Next base: position 44,159,923 of record NC_000017.11, read on the forward strand.
GCAGGCCTGGCTAATGTCAGGCCTCCCACAAGAGCTGGTGGAGCAGTGTTCTCGAACTCCCCCAAGGAGAGTTCCCTTTCCCAGTCTGCTAAGTAACAGTTGCCTTCCCAGGCACTGGCGCTACCGCAAGACTGAGGTCTGCTAAGTAACGGGTGCCTTACCAGGCACTGGCGCTACTGCTAGACCAAGGTGTCATCAGGCAGCCCTTATCAGGGCGTGACAGAGGACTTTCACTCTTGTCTTCTGCTCACTTCTCACAATGTGCCTTCAGCTCCTGACTCTGTACTGGCTGTTTTTTTTCTCGGTTATAATGATAATACAGAGATTAGTATTAAAAACTAATGATTGGTAATATTCATATATAGCTGGGCACGGTGGCTCACTCCTGTAATCCCAGCACTTTGGGAGGCCAAGGTGGGCGGATCACGAGGTCAGGAGATCGAGACCATCCTGACTAACATGGTGAAACCCCGTCTCTACTAAAAATACACAAAAAATTAGCCAGGCGTGGTGGCGGGCGCCTGTAGTCCAGCTACTCGGGAGGCTGAGGCAGAAGAATGGCATGAACCTGGGAGGCGGAGCTTCCAGTGAGCCGAGATCGTGCCACTGCACTCCAGCCTGGGCGACAGAGTAAGACTCCATCTCAAAAATAAAAAAAATCCATATATAATCATCTCTATATCCTATTTCTAGTATAACTTTTCTTATTCTGTTTTCTTTATTATACTGGAACAGTTTGTGCCTTCAGTCTCTTGCCCTGGCACCTGGGTAGGTTTCCACCCACAATTATGGATAGGTGTTCTCACACTACCTAATTCACAGTATACCAATGGATAAACCACAAAGGCCATTATATCTTGTGAAAAAGCATATGTCTCTTATCCTGGAATCTTGCATTGCCTGGAAGCCTGCACTCTTTCTTTGTGAGACAAGCCAAGGCATCACCAGAAGGTTGCTGGTAGTGACAGAGAGTTGATTATAGAATATTAGGGCTGGTGGGCCGGGCATGGTGGCTCATGCCTCTAATCCCAGCACTTTGGGAGGCCAAGGCAGGTGGATCACGAGGTCAAGAGATCAAGACCATCTTGGCTAACACGGTGAAACCCCATCTCTACTAAAAATATAAAAAATTAGCCAGGCGTGGTGGTGGGCGCCTGTAAGTCCCAGCTACTCAGGAGGCTGAGGCAGGAGAATGGTGTGAACCCAGGAGGCGGAGCTTGCAGTGAGCCGAGATCACGCCACTGCACTCCAGCCTGGGCGACAGAGTGAGACTCTGTCTCAAAAAAAAAAAAAAAGTTTGTTTCAGGTAAAGTGGGGTTGATAACAGGAGCTAACTGGAGATGCCCTACCTATGAATGTTTATTGAGGCACAGAGCAAGCACTCAGTCAGTATTAGCTGCTGCTAGTAAATAATATTGCTAGGGATTATCGAGGTCAGCTGTGTCCAAGTTCTCGGACATAAGTACCACATCTGAGAACTGTAGTCTTACACAGGCACTTTGAGGAAGGGGGTGATATTTTCCACTGTCAGATGAGAAGCCAATTAAGGAACTGTGTAACTCTGAACACATCTGATGGCTTTTCCCAGCCCTCTTTCTCCTTCAGCCAATGAGAGTTGCACTAGGTGACCTCTGAAGCCTTCTTGTTTGGCACTATGACTGGATGGAAGGAGAGGAATCAGTGAGGCTCAGGGGAATCCTCTTCCTCGTCAGAATGGCCCAGGGATTACGCCCCCGCCTTTTGTCATGTACGGGTACAAGGGGAGCAGAGGGAAGATGGAAGTCAGGCCAGCCTCAGGCCCATTGGCATGGGTACCACTGCCTGGAGGAGCCGCCTGCCCAGCTATACAGCCAGGTCCAGGCCCTCCTGAAGGGCAGAAACTTTGGACCTGAGTCACATGGAATGCTGATGTTGTCACTAAGGCTACCCATCATTCCCCTCTCTGTAGATGACCTGGATGGACTCCTGAGTGAGCTTCCTGAAGACTTCTTCTGTGGGACCAGTAGTTGAGACTGCCCCAACGCAGGACAACCCACCATGAGCAGGCAGCTCTGGGCATGTGTCTGGTCACATCCAAGGGGGAGAAGAAGGCCAGCATGATTGGAGAGTGGACACAGCCGGGGGGCTTCTGTGGTTGCTCCCACCCTGGGTGTTTTCCCTGAGAGCCCCCTCATCTCTGCGCTGCCCTCACTTTGGGCCTTCCTTTGCCGTTGGCACCAGAATCCGGCCGGAGACTGGCTCTCCAGCCAACAAGAAAGGCCTGTCACCCTCGCCTTGGGTGTCCCTCTCCTGCCTCAGCTTAATTTTAGAGGATATTGGGCCTGGTTTTCTTGTCCCTTCATACCCTAGTCCCTGGACAGCTGAGGAGATGAAAGGAGCCACACCACAACAATGGCGGCCTGCCCCTCCACACAGGGGAGAAGCACGCTCAGGCTTCCTCTGCTTTGTCTCTTCAGACCTGTGGTTGCTCTGCTCATCCATGCCCAAGGTTCCCAGGTGCAGGACAGAGGTGTGGCCTATTGTACCTTGTTCTGAAATAAAGCATCTCCTGCTTCTTCTGCCTCCCTTTCTTTTCCACCCCCTGCTGCTCCTGCCTAACTGCCCTGCCAGTGCTGTGTGGCCACAAAAGGGCTCAGGCAACTCTTTTTCTCTTTTTTTTTCTTTTTTATATACTTTTAGACTTCTAAAATTTTTTTTTTGAGACGGAGTCTCGCTCTGTCACCCAGGCTGGAGTACAGTGGCGCTATCTCGGCTCACTGCAAGCTCCGTCTCCCGGGTTCATGCCTTTCTTCTGCCTCAGCCTCCCAAGTAGCTGGGACTACAGGCTCCTGCCACCACGCCCGGCTGATTTTTTTTTTTTTTTTTTTTTTTTAGTAGAGACGGGGTTTCACCGTGTTAGCCAGGATATTCTCAATCTCCTGACCTCATGATCCACCCCGCTTGGCCTCCCAAAGTGCTGGGATTACAGGCGTGAGCCACCATGCCCGGCCTTAGACTTCTAAATTTATAGATTTATTTATTGCAAAGATAGTACAGAGAGTTCCCACATACCCCACACCCAGTTTCCCAGTTAATATTATTTTATTTATTTATTTTTGAGCTGGAGTCTCGCTGTCGCCCAGGCTGGCGCAATCTCCGCTCACTGCAACCTCCACCTCCCAGGTTCAAGAGATTTTCCTGCCGGCTGGGCGCGGTGGCTCACACCTGTAATCCCAGCACTTTGGGAGGCCGAGGTGGGCGGATCATGAGGTCAGGAGTTCGAGACCAGCCTGGCCAACATGGTGAAACCCCGTCTCTATTAAAAATACAAAAATTAGCGGGGCGTAGTGGCACGCACCTGTAATCCCAGGTACTCAGGAGGCTGAGGCAGGATAATTGCTTGAACCCAGGAGGCAGAGGTTGCAGTGAGCCGAGATCACGCCACTGTACTCCAGCCTGGGCGCTGGGCGACAGAGCAAGACTCCGTCTCAAAAAAAAAAAGATTCTCCTGCCTCAGCCTCCGGAAGCTGGGGATTACAGGCACACGCCACCACACCAGCTCATTTTTTTTTTTTTTTGACATGCAGTTTCACTCTTGTCGCCCAGGCTGCAGTGCAATGGTGTGATCTCGGCTCACTGCAACCTCTGCTTCCTGGGTTCAAGTGATTCTCCTGCCTCAGCCTCCCAAGTAGTTGGAATTACAGGCGCCTGCCACCACGCCCAGCTAATTTTTGTATTTTTTGTAGAGACAGGGTTTCACCATGTTGGCCAGGCGGGGCTTGAACTCCTGACCTCAGGTGATCCACCCGCCTCGGCCTCCCAAAATGCCGGGATTACAGACATGAGCTACCGTGCCCAGCCTAATTTTTTTATTTTTAGTAGAGACGAGGTTTTACCATGTTGGCCAGGCTGGTCTGAAACTCCTGACTTCAGGTGATCCCCCCACCTCAGCCTCCCAAAGTGCTGGGATTACAGGCATGAGCCACCATGCCCAGCAATTTTTTTGAGACAGGGTCTCTCTCTGTCACTCAGGCTGGAGTGCAGTGGCCCAGTCATAGCTCACTGCAGCCTCGACCTTCAGGGCTCAAGCAATCCTCCTGCCTCAACCTCCCAAGTAGCTGGGACTACAGGCAGCACCACTATGGCTGGCTAATTTTTACATTTTTCTTTTCTTTTTTTTTTTTTTTTTTTTTGAGACGGAGTCTCGCTCTGTCACCCAGGCTGAAGTACAGTGGTGCGATCTTGGCTCACTGCCAGCTCCACCTCCCGGGTTCACGCCATTCTCCTGCCTCAGCCTCCCGAGTAGCTGGGACTACAGGCGCCCACCATCACGCCCAGCTAACTTTTTGTATTTTTAGTAGAGACGGGGTTTCACCATGTTAGCCAGGATGGTCTCGATCTCCTGACCTCGCGATCCGCCCGCCTCGGCCTCCCAAAGTGCTGGGATTACAGGAGTGAGCCACTATGCCCGGCCTAAGTTTTTAATTTTTCATAGAGACAAGGTCTCACTATTGTTGCCCAGGCTGGTCTCAAACTTACGTGATCCTCCTACCTTAGCCTCCCAAAGGGCTGGGATTACAGGTGTGGTCTCCCCTATTATTAACACCTTAGTATGGTACATTTGTCACAATGAATCATTATTAACTAAACTCCATACTTTATTCAGATTTACTCAGTTTCCCCCTAATGTCCTTTTCCCCTCAGAATCCCATTTCACAATCATCCTGACTCTTGGATGTGATAGTTTCTCAGACCTTCCCTGTTTTTGATGACCTTACAGTTTTGGGGAGTACCGGGTAGGCATATGGTAGAATCCCCCTCTATCAGGATTTGTCTGATGTTTCCTCATGATTAGACTGAGGTTCTGGGTTTTGGAGAGGAAGACCAGAGGTCAGGTGCCATTCTTGCCACATCTTATGAAGGGTTCATGCTGACTTTGATCACCTGACTGAGGTAAACTTTGCCAGACTTCTCCATTGTAAAGTTACTCTTTTTTCTTCTTTCTGTACTGGACCCTTTGGAAGGAAGTCACTGTGTGCAGCCCACATTTAAGAATTGGGGAATTATGTTCTACCTCCTTAAGGGCAGAATATCTACACAGGTTTTTGTTTTTTTTTTTTCTTTTTGAGATGGAGTCTCGCTCTGTTGCCCAGGCTGGAGTGCAGTGGCACAATCTTGGCTCACTGAAAGCTCTGCCTCCCGGGTTCACACAATTCTCCTGCCTCAGCCTCCCGAGTAGCTGGGACTACAGGCGCCCGCCACCATGTCCAGCTAATTTTTGTATTTTTAGTAGAGACGGGGTTTCACCTTGTTAGCCAGGATGGTCTCGGACTCCTGACCTTGTGATCCGCCCGCCTCGACCTCTCAAAGTGCTGGGATTACAGGCGTGAGCCACCGCACCCGGCAGTTTATTTGGAATTCTTCTGCATGGGAGATTTGCCTATTCTCCCTTATTTATTCATTCATCCATTTATATCAGCATGGACTTACAGGTATTTATTTTATACTTTGGGATATGATCTCAAACTACTTAATTTTGTTGCCAAGTGTGGCCAGGCGTGGTGGCTCACACCTGTAGTCCCAGCACTTTGGGAGGCCGAGGCAGGCGGATCACGAGGTCAGGAGATCAAGACCATCCTGGCTAACACAGTGAAACCTTGTCTCTATTAAAAATACAAAAAATTAGCCAGGCATGGTGGCGGGCGCCTGTAGTCCCAGCTACTTGGGAGGCTGAGGCAGGAGAATGGTGTGAACCCCGGAGGCGGAGCTTGCAGTGAGCCGAGATCGCGCCACTGCCTCCAGCCTGGGTGACAGAGCGAGACTCCATCTCAAAAAGTAAAATAAAATAAAATTTTGTTGCCAAGCAACTCTTCATTGCTGTGACTTCTCTGTACCAATTTTCGGACTAGAGGTGGACAAGAGGCATGGGTGGGGTGTAAAAGGTCTAATTATACCAAGTTGCCAACCTTGTTTTCCTTTCTGGAAGGAGGAGTTGGGAAAACTCTCCCAACTCATGGGCAAGAGGAGGCAGGTTAAAGAGCCCGGTTTGGGCCAGGTGTGGAGGCTCATGCCTGTAATCCCAGCACTTTGGGAGGCCGAGGTGGGAGGATCCCTTGGGCCCAGGAGTTCAAGCCCAGCCTGAGCAAGGTGGTGAGATGCTATCTCTTGAATAAGTAAATAAAATAATAAATAGCCCTGTTTGACAGCCAGCCCCTCCTGCCTTAGCCTCAGCCTGCACTAAGCAGCTAGGAGACAGAGGCCTTCCATGGGCATGGGCTTGGCACTCCTCTGGGGGGAAGCGTTAATCTCCTTTTCCCAAAGAGGCTGATCCCATGGATTCCAGTTTTGTTGTTGTTGTTGTCGTCGTTTTAGAGACATGGTCTCACTCTGTCACCAAACTGGAGTGCAGTGCAGTGGTGTGATCATGGCTCACTGCAGCCTCGATCTCCTAGGCTTAAGCAGTCCTCCCATCTCAGCCTCCCAAGTAACAGACTACTGGTGCGTGCCACCACGCCTAGCTAATTAACAACATTTTTCTGTAGAGATGGAGTCTTGCTGTGTTCTCCAGACTGGTCTTGAACTCCCGGGCTCAAGTGATCCTTCCCACCTCAGCCTCCCAAAGTGCTGGGATTACAGGTGTGAGCCACAGTGCCCCACTGGATCCCAGTCTTAAGGCTGAAGTGAGTAAGTGCTTTGAGAACTCCATGTTCACTTACCTGCTGATTACAGCAGGGCCCTGTTCTAGAGGCTTTTGTGCCACAAGGCCAGGGCAAGAAGGGGCTAATTCCCCTGCACCCTGGTCCCTTCACATTCCCATTGGGTTTTTCTACCTGAACCTACCATACATTTCCTTCTCTCCCACCTTCCACTCCCTGCTAACTCCCCATCTACACTGGGATCTTCCTGCACCTAAACCCCCACAGCTGGGAGTGGCAGCATGCACCTGTAGTCCCAGCCACTTGGGAGGCTGAGGTGAGAGAATCACTTGAGCCTAGAAGATTGAGACCAGCCTGGGCAACATAGGGAGATTTCGTCTCTAAAAAAATAAAAGCTCCCCTCTGCCCTGGGCCTATTCCCCATTCTTGACACCCATGAGCCCCGGTCCCCCTGCTCAGTCCTGATCAATCCCACGCTCACATCCTGGCTTCTTGTGTGCTTCACTACCCCACAGGCTCTGAGATCCCAGAAGGCAGGCTGGGCATCTGATCACCTGGCCCTGTTCCCTCCAGGTTGAAGTCAAGGCCTCCTTTCTCTGCCCTCAGGAAGCTAACTCTACAGACAAGGGGACTGAATACAGTGGTATCTTGGGACTAAGCTGTTAGGGTACCTAGCTCCTTCAGGTCTGTGTGGCAAGAAGGCAGGGGAGGGGCTAGGCTATGACTCTTGTGTGCCTCAGGGAGGAAGGGGACACCCACCTGCCTTGGCCTCTCTTGGTCTCACCCAGCCTTGCCAGATTCTCAACCCTGGGAACCCAGCTGTGGGTGCCCAGCCAGGCCGTTGATGTGGCAATTAACACACCAAATGGGTGCCAACAGGGTTCATCAAGGCTGCATTTATAGAGGCATCTTTCTCTGAGGACCTCCAGGCTTTGCTTTGTATGATCTAATTCCTCCTCTGGGATCCCCCACCCTGGACTGCCACCAAGAGGCTGGAGCCAGGCAGAGAGTAGGTGAACAGTAGAGTAGGGGCAATGCCGGAAAAAGCCCAGGCTGCTGCCACCCACTTGGGCGGGCGGGTGGATGGATGTTTGCTCTGGCAGAGAACAGGGACCTTCGTTCAATGCACTACACATAAGAGGCCCGCCTGCCATGAGCCAAGTGCTCTGACTGCCAGGGCCTGCTCTGGAGCCCACATCCAGCATGGCAGACCCACATCAACAGCATAGATAGGTGCTTTACAGCGTGCCCCTGAGTCCTTCAGGAGTGCAGATTGGGCAGTGGCTGGAACTATAAGAGTCAGGCAATGGGTTGCTGAAGAGACCTCTCAGAGCAGGTGACCTTAGGGGTAGATCCTCAGGAAGGTGTTGAGGGAATTCTGAGCTAAGGGAATGGCCTGACAGGGAACGGTTGTGGGGAGCCGTGCGTGATGAGGATGCCTACCCTACGTGAGTGGCATGGGGCCAAACCAAGGAATTGGGGGCTTAGTTGAAAAGGGCAGGCCAGGTGCAGTGGCTCACACCTGTAATCCCAGCAATTCAGGAGGCTGACTTGGGAGGACTGCTTGAGGCCAGGATTTGGAGCCCTATTTTAAAAAAATGAAAGGACAGGTATTGGAAGGCAGCAGAAGTTTTTAAGCAAGGGAATTAACCATTTTAGACAGATCATTCCGGCAGCGGAGCAGAAGGGATATGGCCAGAGGAAGAAACACCAGGTGAAAGACTGAGTTGATCCAGGTTTAAGGCATTACATCGAGGGGCTGAACTTGAGACAGTCCCTGAAAATGTAAGAACAGGAGCTAGAACTTGCTTATGGGAAGGGCCTAGGGAGAGGAAGAAATAAAAGATCACTGGGCAAGGTGCTGCTGCAGGGCCAGGAGGCAGGACAGGCAGCGGGAGAAGGGCCAGGAGGAGCCCCAGATGCAGAGGGGACAGACCAGCCCTGCCTGCAGGCCGCTGTGCACTGAGTGAGCTCAGGGTGAGCAGAGCTTTTGAGCCCTCCCCTTCCCCAGCTTGGCAGGCACACCAGCTTGTGTGGTTTCACGGCTTCATTCCTCCCCCTAGAGGCTCCTGGAAGCACAGCTGCTTTCTCCTAAGAGTGAACAGGTCTGTGGCTTAAACATCTTAGGTCCATTCCCAGAGTTTCCAGCTCAACCCCTTGGCTCTCCTCAGGCCGGCCATGTGAGCCCCCTTAGCAGCTGGGTTAAAAAAATAAATCAAGGATGATTGAAGGTGCTGGGAGCTGTGGCTCACGCCTGTAATACCAACACTTTGGGGGGCCGAGGCGGGCAGATCGCCTGAAGTCAGGAGTTTCAGACCAGCCTGGCCAACATGGCGAAACCGACTACTAAAAATACAAAAATCGGCCGGGCGCGGTGGCTCACGCCTGTGATCCCAGCACTTTGGGAGGCCGAGGCGGGCGGATCACGAGGTCAGGAGATCGAAACCATCCTATTCTTGGCTAATACGGCGAAACCTTGTCTCTACTAAAAATACAAAAAATTAGCCAGGTGTGGTGGCAGGCGCCTGTGGTCCCAGCTACTCGGGAGGCTGAGGCAGGAGAATGGCGTGAACCCGGGAGGCGGAGCTTGCAGTGAGCCGAGGTCGCGCCACTGCACTCCAGCCTGGGTGACAGAGCGAGACTCCATCTCAAAAAAAAAATAATAATAAATAAAAATACAAAAATCAGCTGGGCATGGTGGCATGCACCTATAATCCCAGCTACTCAGGCAGCTAAGGCAGGAGAATCACTTGAACCCCAGGAAACGGAGGTTTCAGTGAGCCGAGATCACCCCACTGCACTCCAGACTGGGTGACACCATGAGAAAAAAAAAAAAAGGATGATTGAAGGCAGTTTCTACAGACTAGTCTGTCCTGCTTGGAGAATGGGGGAGGCTGCCAGGTGGCTGCAGCAGCTGAAGGCAAAAAGTGTACCATCTTTTTTTTTTTTTCTTCTTTTTTTAAGAGATGGAGAGGCAGGGGGTGGTGGCTCACGCCTATAATCCTAGCACTTTGGGAGGCCGAGGCGGGCAGACCACGAGGTCAGGAGTTCGAGACCAGCCTGGCCAACATGGTGAAACCCTAAATTAAATCTCTACTAAAAATACAAAATTTAGCTGGGCATGGTGGCGGGTGCCTATAATCCCAGCTACTCAGGAGGCTGAGGCAAGAGAATCGTTTGAGCCCGGGAGGCGGAGGTTGCAGTGAGCCAAGATCGTGCCATTGCACTCCAGCATGGGAGACAGGGTGAGACTCTGTCTCAAAAAAAAAAAAAAAAAAAAAAAAGATATAGGTCTCACTGTGTTGCCCAGGATTGTCTCAAACTCCTAGGCTCAAGCAATCCTCCTGTCTTGGCCTCCCAAAGTGCTAGGATTACAGGCATGAGCCACCATTCTTGGCCCAAAGCACACCATCTATGTGGGGTCCTGGCTCTGCCTCTCACAAACTGTGACCTTGAGCCAGTAGATTACTTTGTTAAGCCTTAAATTCCTCATCTGTAAAACAGAGATAAGACCACCCATCTCAGGGGCATTCAACTGTGATAATTTCATTTATTGTCCAAACCAAGTTTACTAATTATTGGGTGGGCTGGGAAGTATGATCCCCTGGGTGAAGGTGGATATGAATGTGATTTAAACACCGTGAAACTCTGTGCATATGTACAGAGTTATTGCTGTTACTGCAGATGCTGGGAAGAGCTGCTCACCTTCTCAGTAACTCTGCCTTGACCTCCCCTTACCTCCTGTGCTGAGGTCAGCCCTCTCTCCTCCACGTGGGCCAATGGTGGCTCCTGCCCTCCAGCCAACATCAGAGAGGCTGGAGGCACCTTGTCTTCCTCCCAGCCCTGCCCATCTCCATGACTGACCTTTTTGCGCACCCTGGACCTTGCCAACCCAAGATGCTCGCTCTAGAGATGAAGGTGGATGCAGATGCTGGGGTTCGGGGGTGGCCTCAGCTGAGGGCCTGCTGACCAACCAAAGGGTATCGGCAGGGGCAGGGGCTGGCCCTCACCCTGGGCTGGGGGTTGGGCCAGCAGCTTCTCAGCACCAGGATCATGACTCTGAGCAAACCATGTTTACCAGAGCAGCAAAGGACCTATTTATAGCCTCAGCTGCTGCTTTCTCTGGCTCACGGTGGCGGGGGCAGGGTGGCTCCTCAGAGCAAGGGAGGTAGTCGGGTCGAGGGAACCTGGCTCTGCCCAGGTGCCACTGCCCAAACCCCTGGGCCCCATCCATGGCAAGAGAGACCTTCCCCTTCACCTCCTCCATGCTGCGCTCTCTCCGCCTGCAGCAGGAGTGGCTGGAATGGGAGGACCGGCGGCGGGCGGCTGCCCAGCAGTGCCGGAGCCGCAGGTGCCCGTCAAGTCCCCGGGCCCGACTCACTAGGCCTCACCGTTCCTGCCGAGACCCAGCTGTCCACCAAGCCCTCTTCTCCGGCAACCTGCAGCAGGTCCAAGCCCTGTTCCAAGATGAAGAGGCCGCCAACATGATTGTGGAGACTGTGAGCAACCAGCTGGCCTGGTCGGCTGAACAGGGTAGGGGGCACCAGAAGAGGGCAGAAGAGGAGGGAGAAAGAAGGGGAGTGGGTGGGGAAGGGGGAGAGTCTAGGCCCCTCCTTCCCTGCAGACCACAGACTATAGCAGCCCTTTCCACCACCTATCCTAGCTCCCTCCTAAACAGAGATGAGGCAGGGTTAGCAGTCTGTATGTCTTTTAAGAATTAAAAGTTGACCGGGCACAGTGGCTCACGCCTGTAATCCCAGCACTTTGGGAGGCCAAGGCAGGCGGATCACGAAGTCAGAAGTTTGAGACCAGCCTGACCAACATGGTAAAACCCCATCTCTACTAAAAATAGAAAAATTAGCCGGGCATGGTGGTGCGCACCTGTAATCCCAGCTACTCAGCAGCTGAGGCAGAAGAATCACTTAAACCCGGGAGGCGGAGCTTGCAGTGAGCCAAGATAGCGCCACTGCATTCCAGCCTGGGGGACAGAGCGAGACCCTGCCTAAAAAAAAAAAAAAAAGAGACAAGGTCTCACTATGTTGCCCAGGCTCATCTCGAACTCCTGAGGTCAAGTGATCATCCCGCCTTGGCCTCCCAAAGTGCTAGGATTACAGGTGTGAGCCACCACCCCAGGCCCCAAGGTGAACAAGCCTTTGACACTATTAGCCATTCAAAGACGCTGAGATTTCCTTAATGGGAGTCACTCTACTTAGTTGGCCCCTGTGGTTTTATACAGCAATTAATTTTTTTATGACACATACTATGTTTTGTTACAGATTGATAAGCTGTATTAAAAGGCTGTTCCAATTTATTCTTCCACTTCAGGACTTGAATAAGCCCCCTTCCACAGGTACAGCCTGGCAGTGTTTGTGCTCAGCAAACCATGCAGAGGGAAGGCCAGTGTCAGCTGTCAGCTGGAACCAGCATCCCCACTCCCTGCCCTGCCCTGTCTTATACACCACCTCCCAAAACTATTTGCTCTCCCTAGGGTTCTGGGTGCTGACCCCCAAGACCAAGCAGACGGCACCCCTCGCCATCGCTACAGCCCGAGGCTACACAGACTGTGCTCGACACCTGATCCGGCAGGGAGCTGAGCTGGATGCCCGTGTCGGGGGTCGCGCTGCCTTGCATGAGGCCTGTGCCCGAGCCCAGTTTGACTGTGTGCGGCTGCTGCTGACCTTCGGAGCCAAGGCTAATGTGCTGACTGAGGAGGGCACGACTCCTTTGCACCTCTGCACGATCCCCGAGTCCTTGCAGTAGGTGCCTGGGGGCTGAGACAGTTTGGGGAGAAATGTGTGTGTGTGTCTCCAGCTCACAAGGCCAGAAGAGGGAACCTGACAACCACATGCAGCTTTGTGGTTCATAAAGCACCGCATATACACATCTTCACAATAACCTGGAGACACCTCATCCTACAGATGAGAAAAATGAAGCTCAGAAAGGCTTAGTAACTTGTCCAAGGTCACATCTGCTAAGCCCAGGAGGCAGAAGCCCTGTTGCTTTTTGGGAAAACTCTGTTCCAACTGCAGTCTCCAATACCCTGTGAATCCTTTGTAGCCAAACCTAGCTGTTTTTTTTTGTTTTTTGAGACGAAGTCTTGCTCTGTTGCCCAGGCTGTAGTGCAGTGGCGTGGTCTCAGCTCACTGCAACCTCTGCCTCCTGGGTTCAAATGCCTCAGCCTCCCAAGTAGCTGGAATTACAGGTGTGTGCCACCACACCTGGCTAGGTTTTGCATTTCTAGTGGAGATGGGGTTTTGCCATGTTGGCCAGGCTGGTCTTGAACTCCTGTCCTCAAGTGATCCACCCACCTTGGCCTCCCAAAGTGCTGGGATTACAGGCGTGAGCCACCATGCCCAGCCCAAATTCCTAGTTGTTTTGAGGTATTAAGAAAGATCTGGCCAGGTGTGGTGGCTCACACCTGTAATTCCAGCTACTAGTAGGTCGAGGCACAAGAATCGCTTGAACCCGGGAGGCAGAGGTTGCAGTGAGCCGAGATTCTGCCACTGCACTCCAGCGAGACTGTCTTAAAAAAAAAAAAAAAAAAAAAAAAGCCGGGCGCCATGGCTCACGCCTGTAATCCCAGCACTTTGGGAGGCTGAGGCGGGTGGATCACGAGTTCAGGAGTTCAAGACCAGCCTGGCCAACATAGTGAAACCCCGTCTCTATTAAAAATACAAAAAATTAGCCAGGCTGGGCATGGTGGCTGGCGCCTGTAATCCTAGCTACTCGGGAGGCTGAGGCAGGAGAATCGCTTGAACCCGGGATGCAGAGGTTGCAGTGAACCGAGATTGTGCCACTACACACTAGCCCCTGCAACAGTTGAGACTCCATCTCAAAAAAAAAAAGACCTATGGGCCAGATTCAGTGGCTCACACCTGTAATCCCAACACTTTTGGAGGCGGAGGCAGGAGGATTGCTTGAGTCCAGGAGTTTGAGAATAGTTTGGGCAACGTAAGTGAGGTTTTTGTCTCTACTAAAAATAAAAACTAGCCGGGTATGGTGGCATGAGCCTCTAGTCCTAGCTACTCGGGAGGCTGAGGCAGGATGATCTTTTGAGCTCAGAAGTTCAAGACCAGACTGGGAAACATAGTGAGACCCTGTCTCTACAAAAAATAAAATTAGCCGGGCATGGTGGTGTGCATTGTAGTCCCAGCTACTCAGGAAAAGCATTTGAGCCCAAGAGGTCTAGGCTTCAGTGAGCTATGATCATGCTGCCACTGTACTCCAACCTGGACAACAGGGCGGGACCCTGTCTTAAAAAAAAGTGGGAAGAGAGGTATGGGGGTGCCTCACACCGATGTTAGGAAACACAGGGCTAGATTTTTTTTTTGGAGACAGGGTCTCACTCTGTTGCCCAGGCTGGAGTGCAGTGGCACAATCATGACTCACTTGCAGCCTCGATCTCCTGGGCTCAAGTGATCCTCCTGCCTCAGCTTCCAGGGTAGCCGGAATCACAGGCCAGTGCTACCACACCTGGCTATTTTTTTTTTTTTTTTTTTTGAGACGGAGTCTTGCTCTGTCTCCCAGGCTGGAGTGTAGTGGCCCGATCTCGGCTCACTGCAAGCTCCGCCTCCCGGGTTCCCGCCATTCTCCTGCCTGAGCCTCCCGAGTAACTGGGACTACAGGCTCCCGCCAACACGCCCGGCTAATTTTTTTTTTCTGTATTTTTAGTAGAGATGGGGTTTCACTGTGTTAGCCAGGATGGTCTTGATCTCCTGACCTCGTGATCCACCCGCCTCGGCCTCCCAAAGTGCTGGGATTACAGGCGTGAGCCACCGCGCCCGGCCCAACTGGCTATTTTTTAAAAAGTATTATTTTTAGTAGAGACATAGACTCTCTATGTGGCCCAGGCTGGTCTCCGACTCCTGAGCTCAGGCAATCCTCCTGCCCCAGCCTCCCAAAGTGTTGGGATTATAGGCATGAACCAATACACCAACCCTCCCACTTTTTTTAAGGTTGGCAGTTTCTTGGAGTCCCTGCATGAGGGTATTTGCACTTTCACAATCAGGTCAACAGACAGGGTGGCAGGTAAGGATTCAAGGGCTTCTGGAAGACTCTCCACTGCCCACAAGCTGGGGACCTCTCCCCACTAGATCTAGATGAAGTCCAAGAAGTGGTCCACATTTGCCAGCCCTTTCTTGGGTTCTTACAGGCATGTGGTGTGCCTTCCAACAGACTTCATCTTTCTAAGTAAGATGAGAATCCCCACTTACTGGAACCCTACTGAGCGAGCTTTGGAGTGTTAGTTAAATTTAGTATTTGGAAGCCGGGCGTGGTGACTAACACCTGTAATCCCAGCACTTTGGGAGGCTGAGGCAGGCAGATCACGAGGTCAGGAGATCAAGACCATCCTGGCCAACATGGTGAAACCCTGTCTCTACTAAAAATACAAAAATTAGCCAGGCATGGCAGCGCATGCCTGCAGTCCCAGCTACTCAGGAGGCTGAGGCAGAAGAATTGCTTCAACCCAGGAGGCAGAGACTGCAGTGAGCCAAGATGGAGCTACTGCACTCCAGCCTGGGCGACAGAGCAAGACTCTGCCTCAAAAAAAAAAAAAAAAGATTGGGCATGGTGGCTCACACCTGTAATCCCAGCACTTTGGGAGGCCGAGGTGGGTGGATCACGAGGTCAGGAGATCGAGACCATCCTGGCTAACACGGTGAAACCCCATCTCTACTAAAAAAATACAAAAAAATTAGCCGGGCATGGTGATGGGTGCCTGTAGTCCCAGCTACTTGGGAGGCTGAGGCAGGAGAATGGCAGGAACCCGGGAGGCGGAACTTGCAGTGAGCAGAGATCGCACCACTGCACTCCAGCCTGGGCAACAGAATGAGACTCCATCTAAAAAAAAAAAAAAAAAAAAAAAAAAAAATTAGTATTTGGAAACAAAAATTAGCCCCACAATTAGAATTTACCAAGGAGATAATTCAGTAGCTTATGGAAGACTGGCTGCTACTCACATCTTGGCTACAGAGCAAAGAACCTACCTGGAATATGTGAGCAAGGATTTTGGCCATTTTGGGAAAGGGTATTTGATTATCAGAGTTTCATCGAGGATGGTGGATCTGCTCCTGTTTCCAGCAGCTGCCGTTCTGGCTTTTTAATTATAAGTTACTGTTAGTTTGGTTTCATCATTATTAATTTAGTTTGTTGCATGTTTGGTTTACCCTGCAGTATGTAAGGATGCATGTTTGCCACAACAGTGTTCTGGCCTATAATTTTCCCTGGAACTGGGAAACATGCACTCTTTAAAACCTGTTTTTGTTTTTGTTTTTCCTTTGGTTTTGTTTGTTTTCCCTAGGGGAAAGTGGAGGAGGATGGCCCCAAGTGCCTGCCTTTGCTTGAATGATTGTGGCCTGGTTTAGAAGAGTGGTCTTTTAAGTGTGGGGACAGAAAGAAAATATTATAACTTGTATTTATTTTTTTTTGGTGCATACTGTTTAATTTTCTATGCTTCATAACGTACACAGAAGTGGGTTTTCAAAATTTTGTGCTATCAAAATGTTAGGAGATAAGGCCGGGTGTGGTGGCTCACACCTGTAATCCCAGCACTTTGGGAGGCCAAGGCAGGAGGCTTGCTTGAGCCCAGGGGTTTGAGACCAGCTGGGGCAAATGGTAAGACCCTGTCTCTATAAAAAAAAATTTAAAAAATTAGCCAGGTGTGGTGCTGCCCACCTGTGGTCCCAGCTACTTGGGAGGCAGAGGCAGGAGGATTGCTTGAGCTTGGGAGGTCCAGGCTACATGAGCTGTAATCACACCACTGCACTTCAGCCTGGGCCACAGAGAGAGACCCTGTCTCCAAAAAAAAAAAAAAAAAAGGAGACAACTGACAACTGAATGATTCAGAACCAGACCTTGGGGTGGAGACAGAGTAGACTGTGGGAGGGACTGTCTGAGGCAGTGAGTACTATTTCTGGTGCAGCCACTAACTTGCTGTGTGTCCTTGGCTGCACAAATCACTCCTGGGCTTAAGTTTTTCATATGAAAACTGAAGATGCTTCTGGTAGCTCTCAGGACCTTCCAATTCTGTTGTCTGTAGCGGGGCTTGTATGATTCTCATGGAGGACACCAGGTAGGACCTCAAGCTGAGAGGGGTGGAAAGGCAAGGGAGTGTCACAGCAAGCTGAAGGGGTCCCAAGCCTTCAGGATTTTCCTCAGGACCTTGCTCTCTTGTCCCCAGGTGCGCCAAGTTGCTGCTGGAAGCAGGAGCGACGGTGAACCTGGCAGCAGGCGAGAGCCAGGAGACGCCCCTGCACGTGGCGGCGGCGCGCGGCCTGGAGCAACATGTGGCTCTGTACCTGGAGCATGGCGCCGACGTGGGCCTGCGCACCAGCCAGGGCGAGACTGCGCTGAACACGGCGTGCGCTGGGGCCGAGGGCCCAGGTAGCTGCAGGCGACACCAGGCTGCGGCGCGCCGGCTCCTGGAGGCTGGAGCTGATGCCCGGGCGGCCGGGCGCAAGCGCCACACGCCGCTGCACAACGCTTGTGCCAACGGCTGCGGGGGCCTGGCCGAGCTGCTGCTGCGTTACGGGGCCCGCGCTGAGGTCCCCAATGGGGCGGGCCACACGCCCATGGACTGTGCGCTGCAGGCCGTCCAGGACTCCCCCAACTGGGAGCCTGAAGTCCTTTTCGCCGCACTGCTGGACTACGGGGCGCAGCCAGTGCGCCCTGAGGTGCGCTGGGAGGCCCTGACATAGGAGGCTCCTGTGTGGGGGAGCCCGCGGCTGGAACTGCTCCGCTTCTGGGGAAGACAGAGGGTCCAAGAGACTGAAAGCCTGCCCTCAGTGGCCAGGGGGCTGTCCCCAGCTTGGGAGGGGGAGAGAGGATTCTGGGAGAGAGAGTCCAAGGGAGGGAAGAGCCCCAGAGGAAAACTGGGGCCAAAAGGTTGGAGCATACTTGAGGGTGGGGTAGACAGAGGCACAAAAAAGGGAAGAGAGACTCAGACCTTAGCCCCCCAGATTAGGCTAGGATTGGCCATGTGGGTGAGGCAAGACTTGGGTCTGCCCTCGGGTGGGGGAGGCATGTGCCCAAGACCCTCTTTTGACCCCTAGATGCTGAAACACTGCGCCAACTTCCCTCGGGCCCTGGAAGTCCTGCTTAATGCCTATCCTTGTGTCCCATCCTGTGAGACCTGGGTGGAGGCGGTGCTCCCAGAGCTGTGGAAGGTATGTTTGCCTCAGGGCCGAGATGGGGAGGAGGGACGAGCCACAGGCCTATTCCTTCAGGACCAGCCTCATGGAGGGAGCAGCAGGAGGGCCCCTGGGTAGAGAGGATGGGTAGAGTG
Source organism: Homo sapiens (assembly GCF_000001405.40). Taxonomy (NCBI): domain Eukaryota; kingdom Metazoa; phylum Chordata; class Mammalia; order Primates; family Hominidae; genus Homo; species Homo sapiens. The sequence goes on from NC_000017.11 coordinate 44,177,842, forward strand.
GCACCCCTGGGTTTCAGGGTACCCCCTCCCCCGGTACCCCAGGCTGACCCCTAACTCCACACACCTCTCCTGCCTCCCTCACTTGCATCAGCACAGACATTTATCTGGCATCTCTTAACTTGGTGGGCACTGTGCTAGGCTCTCTGGGGTGGGAGTGGTATAGACATAGTGGAGACCCTTCCCTGAAGTGGAGCCCCAGCCCGCATTATCACTGCAGGGCCTCTATGGTTCTGAATCTGAGTCCTTTGAGACACATGAAACACCCAGGTGGGTGCATGCTGCAAAATCCCAGGACCCCCACCGCTGGGTTGCCCCCAGATGGTAGGGCAAGGGTCATCTGACCTTCTTTCACTCCTGGCCTAGGAGCACGAAGCCTTCTACAGCTCGGCCCTGTGCATGGTGAACCAGCCAAGGCAGCTGCAGCACCTGGCCCGACTAGCTGTGCGCGCTCGGTTGGGAAGCCGCTGCCGGCAGGGTGCCACCCGGCTGCCACTGCCCCCGCTCCTCAGGGACTACCTGCTGCTGCGTGTGGAGGGGTGCATCCAGTGAACCCCATGTCAGGCTGTCCCATGGTGTGTTCTGCCCCTCCCACCTGTCCCCGCCTCCAACTGCGGAGGACCAGTTCCTGGCCCTCTTTTCTTTTCTTTTTGAGACCTAGTCTCACTCTGTTGCCCAGGCTGGAGTGCAGTGGCGCTATCTCGGCTCACTGCAACTTCTACCACCTAGGTTCAAGCGATTCTTGTGCCCCAAACTTCCGAGTAGCTGGGACTACAGGCATGAGTCACCACACCTGGCTGATTTTGTATTTTTAGTAGAGACAGGGTCTCACCATGTTGGCCAGGCTGGTCTCACACTGACCTCAGGTGATCCACCCGCCTTGGCCTCCCAAAGTGTTGGGATTACAGGCATGAGCCACTGCGCCTGGTTGCCTGCCCCTCTTTTCTGTACTCCACGTGCTGTCCTGGTCCACCTCACTCCTCCATGGGCTTCTTGAGACACCTGCTGACCTCTAGCCGGACCTGAGCTTCAGACCCTCTCTCCAGCAGGAAGGGCTGCAGACTCGGCCTGTTCCCAGACTCGGCCTTCACCTCCCTTCTCCTCCTGTGTTTAAGTGGATGGCCCCTCTATCCATCCAGGTCCCATGCCAAGAACCAGTGATTCTAGTGGCCCACCACCTCCCTCTCCTGCCACCCTTATACCTGTTCAGCCTCCTAAAGAGGGACAAACTCTGTCTCTGCGTGCACTGGCTTGCCTGCCCTGCCTTTGTCACTCCAAGGGAGATCTTGAGACCCATGCCCTGAATTGGTGCTGGAATGGTCTTTGGGAGTCAAACTCTGATCATGCCCTCCAGTGGCTCCTCTCACACTAAAATCAAAACTCTTTAAAACAAGCTGAGTGCAGTGGCTTACACCTGTAATCCCAGCACTTTGGGAGACTGAGGCGGGAGGATCACCTGAGGTCAGGAGTTTGAGACCAACCTGACCAACATGGTAAAACCCTGTCTCTACTAAAAATACAAAAAATTAGGCCAGGCGCAGTGGTTCATGCCTGTAATCCCAGCACTTTGGGAGGCCGAGGTGGGCGGATCACGAGGTCAGGAGTTCTAGACCAGCCTGGCCAACATGGTGAAACCCTGTCTCTACTAAAAATACAAAAATTAGCCGGGCATAGTGGCGGATGCCTGTAATCTCAGCTACTCAGGAGGTTGAAGCAGGAGAATCACTTGAACCTGGGAGGTGGAGGTTGCAATGAGCCAAGATCGCGCACCGCTGTACTCCAGCCTGGGCAACAGAGCGGGACTCCGTCTTAAAAAAAAAAAAAAAAAAAAGTCTTCCGTGAGGAGCGCAGAGGAGGTCGCGGCGCCGGAGGCCCCAGAAGGCTCGAAGGCACCGCGGGCTGGGGTCGGTGGCTTAGGGAGCCCGTCTGGCCATGGTGGCCGCGGGTGGTGGTTGGCGCGGCTGCGCTGCGGCCCGGGGCAGTGCGGACTGGGACAGTCGCGGCGCTGACGCCCGCGGGCCCCAGCTGCAGATATGAAGCGGAGCCGCTGCCGCGACCGACCGCAGCCGCCGCCGCCCGACCGCCGGGAGGATGGAGTTCAGCGGGCAGCGGAGCTGTCTCAGTCTTTGCCGCCGCGCCGGCGAGCGCCGCCCGGGAGGCAGCGGCTGGAGGAGCGGACGGGCCCCGCGGGGCCCGAGGGCAAGGAGCAGCCGCCTGCCTTGGCCTCCCAAAGTGCCGAGATTGCAGCCTCTGCCCGGCTGCCACCCCGTCTGGGAAGTGAGGAGCGTCTCTGCCTGGCCGCCCATCGTCTGGGATGTGAGGAGCCCCTCTGCCTGGCTGCCCAGTCTGGAAAGTGAGGAGCGTCTCCGCCCGGCCGCCATCCCATCTAGGAAGTGAGGAGCGCCTCTTCCCAGCCGCCATCACATCTAGGAAGTGAGGAGCGTCTCTGCCCGGCCGCCCATCGTCTGAGATGTGGGGAGCGCCTCTGCCCCGCCGCCCCATCTGGGATGTGAGGAGCGCCTCTGCCCGGCCGAGACCCCGTCTGGGAGGTGAGGAGCGTCTCTGCACGGCCGCCCCGTCTGAGAAGTGAGGAGACCCTCTGCCTGGCAACCACCCCGTCTGAGAAGTGAGGAGCCTCTCCGCCCGGCAGCCACCCCATCTGGGAAGTGAGGAGCGTCTCCGCCGGGCAGCCACCCCATCCGGGAGGGAGGTGGGGGGGGGGTCAGCCCCCCGCCCGGCCAGCCGCCCCATCCGGGAGGGAGGTGGGGGGTCAGCCCCCCCGCCCGGCCAGCCGTGCCATCCGGGAGGGAGGTGGGGGGGTCAGCCCCCCGCCTGGCCAGCCGTGCCGTCCGGGAGGGAGGTGGGGGGGTCAGCCCCCCGCCCGGCCAGCCGCCCCGTCCGGGAGGTGAGGGGCGCCTCTGCCCGGCCGCCCCTACTGGGAAGTGAGGAGCCCCTCAGCCCGGCCAGCCACCCCGTCCGCGAGGGAGATGGGGGGGTCAGCCCCCCCACCCGGCCAGCCGCCCCGTCCGGGAGGGAGGTAGGGGGGTCAGCCCCCCGCCTGGCCAGCCGCCCCGTCCGGGAGGGAGGTGTGGGGGGTCAGCCCTCCGCCCGGCCAGCCGCCCCGTCTGGGAGGTGAGGGGCGCCTCTGCCCAGCCGCCCCTACTGGGAAGTGAGGAGCCCCTCTGCCCGGCCAGCCGCCCTGTCCGGGAGGGAGGTGGGGGGTCAGCCCCCCGCCCGGCCAGCCGCCCTGTCCGGGAGGGAGGTGGGGGGGTCAGCCCCCCGCCCGGCCAGCCGCCCTGTCCGGGAGGGAGGTGGGGGGTCAGCCCCCCGCCCGGCCAGCCGCCCTGTCCGGGAGGGAGGTGGGGGGGGGTCGGCCCCCCTGCCTGGCCAGCCGCCCCGTCCGGGAGGTGAGGGGCGCCTCTGCCCGGCCGCCCCTACTGGGAAGTGAGGAGCCCCTCTGCCCGGCCACCACCCCGTCTGGGAGGTGTGCCCAACAGCTCATTGAGAACGGGCCAGGATGACAATGGCGGCTTTGTGGAATAGAAAGGCGGGAAAGGTGGGGAAAAGATTGAGAAATCGGATGGTTGCCGTGTCTGTGTAGAAAGAAGTAGACATGGGAGACTTTTCATTTTGTTCTGCACTAAGAAAAATTCCTCTGCCTTGGGATCCTGTTGATCTGTGACCTTACCCCCAACCCTGTGCTCTCTGAAACATGTGCTGTGTCCACTCAGGGTTAAAAAAAAAAAAAAAAAAAAAAAAGCCAAGCAAGCGTGGTGGCGCATACCTGTAGTCCCAGCTACTTAGGAGGCTGAGGCAGGAGAATTGCTTGAACCCGGGAGGCGGAGGTTGCAGTGAGCCAAGACCACGCTATTGCATTCCAGCCTGGGTGACAAGAGCAAAACTCTGTCTCAAAAAACAAAACAAAACAAACGAGAAAACAACTCAGTAGAACAGAGCCTCTAGCCTCTGCCAAATTATCTGGCCTCTTGACTTCCCTTCTTCCTTCCAAGGTTCATCTCCAGCCTTAGTAAACAAGTCACCAGTTGCTGGATGTGACCTGCTCCTCTTTGCTTTCAGGTGTTTGCATGTGTTATTCCTACCGCTTGGAATACTCTTCCACATTTTTTGGCCTGGTCAAGGCTGATCTGGCCCTCAGGACTCAGTTCCAATAGCACTATCTCTGCAGAGGCTTCCTTGGTACTTATTTAAGTGCCTGTGGTTGTCTCAACTAGGCTGAGACTGGAACTATATTCCTTGAACAGGTATTTTAGTAAATGACTGCGGAAGGAGGAACATCCATGAGCCTGGGGTCCATCTATGTGCTCCCTCCGTCCCCAAGTGATGAATGGTGTCTTAAACAGTGGTCACCACATACAGTCTCTGAGGGCCCAGCCACCAACTGCCCGAATTCCCCAACTTCTTCCTCTTGTCCCAGAGTCAAAAGTACCACAATACAGCTTTTGGAGGAAGCTTTTCAAAGCAAGCCAGTTTTTATGAGTGCAAATAAATGATTAGTCCATGGAACCAAAGTATGGATGTTGTTTGACTTAAATGGGACAGAGGTCCCCATCATTCCATGTTCATTCCCCACCCCCTGGTGCTGTTCTGTGGTTTCCAAGTTTTCTGCATTGAGCAACTGTTACAAGAACAACACAAGGGCCAGGTGCCGTGTAGTCCCACCTACAAGGGAGGCTGAGGCAGGAGGATCACTGGACCCCAGGAGTTTGAGACCAGTCTGGGCAAGAGTGAGACACTGTCCCTAAAACAATTTTTTTTTGAGACAGGGGCTCTCTGTGTTGCCTAGGTTGGAGTGTGGTGGCGCGATCACTGCTCATAGCAGCCTCAACCTTCCACACTCAAGCAATACTCCTCCCAAGTAGGTGGTACTACAGGCATGCACCACAACGGGTCTCACTATGTTGCTGAGGCTGGGGAAAAAAAAAGGCCAGGCACGGTGGCTCATGCCTGTAATCCCAGCACTTTGGGAGGCCAAGGGGGGCAGATCACTTGAGTCCTAGAGTTTGAGACCAGCCTGGGCAACATAACAAGATCCTGTCTCTAGAAATTAAAAAAAAAGAAAACACAAAATACTTAGCCAGGCGTGCTGGTGCATATGATGGTTCCAGCTACTCAGGAGGCTGAGGTGGTGGGAGGATCGCTTGAGTCCAGCAAGCAGAGGTCGCAGAGAGCTGAGGTCACAGCAAGCTGAGATTGTGCCACTGCACTCCAGCCTGGGCGACAGAGTGAGACCCCGTCTCAAAAAAAAATAAAAAAATGAATAAAAATAACAGAAACACAAAGCCTCTCATAGACCCAGAACCTATAGTACCTATCACAGGAGGGAACTGGGGAGGAGCTCCCAGCAGTCTTCTCCTGAGTCAGCAGTCTTTTTGCTGAGGGATCCTAGGGTCTCCAGTCCCAATACCAGTTGGAGTTATACAGTGGAGACAGGGATCCAAAGTCCTGGGGTCTGCCTCCTGCTGCAGCTGCCCAACTTTCCCTCCTCCAGGAGAGTTATATCTTTGGGATTCCATTTCATCAACACAAAGACAGTTTTTTCACCTTGTTATGCAGAATGCAACACCCCCTTTCTGGATGAAAATTTGTGCTTTAGTTTTACAGAGCCAAAAGGCCTGACAGAAGAAAAAGAACTCCTCCCTAGAGAGGGAGGCTGGGAGCCTCACTCTCAGGGGCAATGCTGAACTTTCTACCCCTTTACAGCACGCCGACCACAGCCAGCTCAGCCTTTTCTGATATATTTACAACTACAAAAGATACCGTTAAAAAAGAAAAATACCTGGGTGCAGTGGCTTACGCCTGTAATCCCAGCACTTGGGGAGGCCGAGGCGGGTGGATCGCCTGAGGTCAGGAGTTCAAGACCAGCCTGGCTGACATTGTGAAACCCTTTCTCTACTAAAAATACAAAAAGTAGGCCAGGCGCGATAGCTCACGCCTATAATCCCAGCACTTTCGGAGGCCGAGGCAGGCAGATCACCTGAGGCCAGGAGTTCGAGACCAGCCTGGCCAACATGGTGAAACCCTTCCCTACTAAAAATACAAAAATTAGCCAGGTGTGGTGGCACACACATATACTCCCAGCTATTCAGTAGGTTGAGGCAGGAGAATCACTTGAACCTGGGAGGCGGAAGTTGCAGTGAGCTGAGATCTCCCACTGCACTCCAGCCTGGGTGACAGCAAAACTCGTCTCCAAAAAAAAAAAAAAAAAAATCAGGATACAAGGCCAGGTGTGCAAATCCTGTTGGTGGACAAATCGCCTCTTTGGGGGCAATTTGGCCACTTCCTTAAACACTGTTCCCAGTTACACAAAAGGCAGGCTACATACAGGAATATTCCTCTCAGCGTTGCTTGCAACAACTCATGTTGGAGTGGTTAGACAAATCCATATTACCCATGGCAGGAAAGAACTAGGGAGGGATTCCAAGTGACCAGCATGTGTACTGCCTTGGGAAGATCTCCCAGAGTGGTTTTTATTGATTGATTGAAACGGGGTCTTTCTGTATGCCAGGCTGGAGTGCAGTGACGCAATCACAGCTCACTGTAGCCTTGACCTCCTAGGCTCCAATGATTCTCCCACCTCAGCCTCCCAAGTAGCTGGGACTACAGGCACACACCGCCAGGCCTGGCTAATTTTTAAATTTTTTGTAGCGACAGGGTCTCGCAATGTTGCCCATGCTGGTTTCAAACTCCTGGACTCAAGTGATCCTCCCACCTTAGCCTCCCCAAGTGCTGCAATTACACTCTAGAGCCACCATGCTCAGCTGAAGACAATTATTTTCCTTTACATTTTTTTTTATTTTGAGACGGAGTCTCACTCTGTCTCCCAGGTTGGAGCATAGTGGCGCGATCACAGCTCTCTGCAATCTTGACCCTAGGGTCAAGCAATCATCCCACCTCAGCCTCCTGAGTAGCTGGCTCATGGCTCACTGCAGCCTTAACCTCCTAGGGTCAATCATCCCACTTCAGCCTCCTGAGTAGCTGGGACCACAGGCACACGCCACCATGCCCAGCTAATTAATTTTTTTTTAGAGATGGGGGTCTCACCATATTGCCCAGGCTGGTCTTGAACTCCTGGCTCAAGGGATCCTCCTGCCTCAGCCTCCCAAAGTGCTGGGATTACAAGTATGAGCCACTGTGCCCGGCTTTGTGAATGTACTTAATGCCACTGAATTGCAAACTTAAAAATAGTTAAAATGGTTTTAAGTTTTATGTTACGTATATGTATATATTTATCTTTAGAGATAGAGGTCTCCCTGTGTTGCCCAGGCTGGCCTTTAACTCCTGGGCTCAAGTGACACTGCTGAGTCAGCCTTCAGAGTAGCTGGGACTACAGGTGCATGCCACTGTGCCTAGCTATGTTTATTTTACCACAATGAAAGGACTTACAAAAAAGAAGCTAGACACCGAAGAGGATACACAGTTGGATTCCATTTATAGCAAGTACAAAAACAGGAAAAACTAATGTATGGTGACAGACGTCAGAATAGTGATTACTCTTTGGAGGTTAATGGCTAGAAGAAGACATGAAGGGGGAGATTCTGGGGTAATTCTTTCTTTTTTTTTTTTTTCCTGAGACAGAGTCTCGCTCTGTCACCCCAGCTGGCGTGCAGTGGCTCCATCTCAGCTCACTGCAACCTCCGCCTCCCAGGTTCAAGCCATTCTCCTGCCTCAGCCTTCTGAGTAGCCAGGATTACAGGCGTGCGCCACCACGCCCGGCTAATTTTTGTATTTTTAGTAGAGACGGGATTTCACCATGTTACCCAGGCTGGTCTTGAACTCCTGACCTTGTGATCCGCCTGCCTTAGCCTCCTAACGTGTTGGGATTACAGGCGTGAGCCACCGCGCCAGTCCTAATTATCTATTTCTTGATCTAAGTGCTACTTCTGCCAGTGTTCAGTTGGTAGAAGCCACCGAGCTTTTTGCTTATGTTTGCCCCTGTCTGGATTATTTATCCTTTAATCAGTAGTTCTCCAAAACCCCAAACTCCAGCGCTTTTTTTTTTTTTTTTGGAGACAAGGCCTCCCTGTCGGGTGCAATGCAGTGGCTCAGATCATAGCTCACTGCAGCCTCGAACTCCTGAGCTCAAGCGATCCTCCCACCTCTGCCTCCCAAAGCGGTGGGATTACAAGAGTAAGCCACTCCCCCCGGCCACAGTAAGTTTTTAGAAAAAATTTTAATTGCGGCCGAGCGCGGTAGCTCACGCCTGTAATGCCAGCACTTTGGGAGGCCGAGACGGGGGCGGATCACCTGAGGTCGGGAGTTCGAGACCAGCCTGACCAACATGGAGAAACCCTGTCTCTACTAAAATACAAAATTAGCGGGGCGTGGTGGCGCATGCCTGTAATCCCAGCTACTCGGCAGGCTGAGGCAAAAGAATCGCTTGAACCCGGGGGGGCGGAGGTTGCAGTGAGCCGAGATCGCGCCATTGCACTCCAGCCTGGGCAACAAGAGCGGAACTCCCGTCTCAAAAAAGAAAAAATTTTAACTGCAAAAATCTGGATAAGTTCTTGAAAGCTGGACTTTTCCCCCTTTTTGTGTCCTAAGCCTGCGCCGAATCTGTGCCTTCTTTGAAATGCTTTCCCGCCTTCTTTCTCCGGGTCCCACACTACCTGGGGCCGCACTCTTCAAGCACTGGATGCTGACTAACTGGTCTCCTTATCTGTCTTCCCGACTGGCCCAGAGCTGAGTTCTTACTAATCCCCGCTAACCTGGAGTTAGGTGCGCGTTGCAAAGCAGTAACGAATCCAATCAGCCGGGGAGGCAGACAGCAGGGCCGGAAGAACAAAGCTGGAAAGGGAAACGTCGCACCGGCTCTGCCCAGCGGCGCCAGCCCGGGCAACCTTCCGCAGTCGCGAAGCCACGCCCCTTTCCCAAGTACCTCCGCGCTAACTCCTCCCCCCTGGCCCCGCCTCTCACCCTGGATTGCCTAAGGCCCCGCCCACCAGGCGTGGCCCCGCTCTGGGAGGGCCGCAATCCCGCCAACAATGACTCCACCCCTCCTTCCGCTGAGAAACCTGTCCCTTTTATTTAAAGAATACCTTTTACGTCAGCCCGTCTTACGCAGCTTCGCGTCATCAGTGCAAGGCGCGGAGGCGGGACTTCCTGTCCCTGGTATAACAGCTTCCGGGAGAAGCCGGAAGAGACCGGACCCTGAACAGAATCGCAGATTGCCAGCCCTTTTCCCGACCCCTACGGAAAGACGAGTCCAGGGGCCGTCCTGGCGAGGTCAAAACATTTAGTCTGGTCTTTTCAGGTGAGGACTTCCCCATCCAGGCACAGTGCCGGTCCAATCCCCCTTTAATTTCCCATGACTCCTCGCGTCCTGAAGCCCCGCCCCCAGTTCCCCAGCCCCGCCCCGAAGTTTGAGGGGTGTGGACGGTTTGTGACCCCCTTAGCCGACCCTACTCCTCACTGGCCGGGACAACTGGTCTTATCACGGAGGCTGGGGCCAGGCAGCCCTTCGGTTCGGGTGGGCCCATGGACCCCAGTCCAACGCCGAGGGAATAGGACCATCCAAAAGCGGAACCTTCGCCTCAGAAAAAGGGTGCGGGACCCCTCCTCACCGTGCGGTCACGGTACGGACAGGGTAGATCACAGGCTGAGGGACAGAGCAAAGACCCCTGAGGCCGGACACCTGGGGTCCTGCCGGGCCCCTCCCCACGAGAGTTCCCTGTGTCTGTGCCAATCGTTTTCGTCTTTCTTTGCCGCAGTTTCTTTTCCTGTAAATCATGGTTAATAACATTAACCTTCTTACCATCAGGGGTTAGTTGTGGTTGTGATAAATAATTACTACCGTTATTAAGCAATTGCAATTTGCAGTGTGCCAGGCACTGTGCCAAGTATTTTGCTTCGATGATTTCACGTCATCTTCAAAACAACCTCATGAGGTAGGTACTGTTTTTAACCCCATTTTACTGATGAGAAAGCTGAGGCTCTGAGAAAGTTGTCTGAGGTGTTATAGCTAGTAAGACGCAAGACTGGGGTTATAATTAGTTGTTTTTCTAACTCCAGGGCCGGTATATTAAATAAGGATGTTGATGTGTTCCACAGATAATTCTTTGAGCAACTACTGGGGCATTATATTGGACACTTCAGTACCAAGAGAAATACATACGATCCTTGTCTACCAGGAGTCTAATAGAAAGATGGACAGGTACATAAGTATAATGAAGTTTTATAGGTGCTGTGAGAATAGTCTGATAATGGTAATCACCAGACTGGATTTGCCCAGGGACAGCTGTGAAAGCAGCAGATTCTCCAAGGGAAATAGTAGGTACTCCAAGGAGCAAGCAGGGACCCTTCCTGCCTTTCTAAGAAACTGCAGCAGCAGAACCTTCACAGTGAAAGAAGAGAGACTGAGATATGGATTGTGAGAGCTGTTATGGAATCTTTTTCAAATCACTCCACTTGGGGAGTGGTCATTGCAGGAGTGGGCCCATGGTGACCCAGGAAGGTGGTGCTTCTGGTGTCTGTCCCAAGTTGCTCCCCAGGGCTTGCCAGAAGTTTCAGAGGCGGCACATAATGTCTGCTGCATAGTATCTGCCCGCGGTCCCTACAGAGTTATCGTTTTAGATTTGTCTGACTCTGCTTTTGATGGTAGGTCAGTTTTCTTTGGCTCTTGACATCTGGCAGCCTGGATCTGTGACCAGGAATGAAATAGGCTCAAATGAGACAATCTGGCAGGGATGGCTAAACAGTGCTTCCAGGGGGGCCCCACAGTAAAATATTCCAGGCTTTTGGGTCTCTCTGAAGCCACTTTGGAGGCTGCTTAGGAGGCATATTTGCTTGACCAAGCGATAGAAATCCTAGAGAAACTCAGGCCTCAGCAAAGATTTTTCCTCATTCACCAAAAAAGCAACAACAGTAGCAGCAGCAGCAAGGCTGTGGGCTTTTCCTGCTGATCCACACTCATTGGGAAGTTGGAGTTTGAGAGAGGAAGGTCACAGAACGTGAAAGCAAGAGTTTCACAATAGAGGCAAAGGGTAGGGTAGGTCTTTAGGTTTAGGTTGGGGTGCCGGAATTAGGAAGGTTTGTGCCCCCTTCTACACAACACTGAACTCCTTTTTTTTTTTTTTCAGGGCTGGGTCAGTTAGAACCTAAACAAACTAGAGACCTGGTTGCAACCCCTCAGGCTCTGCTGATGCTGTCCCCCTTTGTTCCTGCAGCGTGGACCCTGCCAGCAGCCAGGCCATGGAGCTCTCTGATGTCACCCTCATTGAGGGTGTGGGTAATGAGGTGATGGTGGTGGCAGGTGTGGTGGTGCTGATTCTAGCCTTGGTCCTAGCTTGGCTCTCTACCTACGTAGCAGACAGCGGTAGCAACCAGCTCCTGGGCGCTATTGTGTCAGCAGGCGACACATCCGTCCTCCACCTGGGGCATGTGGACCACCTGGTGGCAGGCCAAGGCAACCCCGAGCCAACTGAACTCCCCCATCCATCAGAGGGTAATGATGAGAAGGCTGAAGAGGCGGGTGAAGGTCGGGGAGACTCCACTGGGGAGGCTGGAGCTGGGGGTGGTGTTGAGCCCAGCCTTGAGCATCTCCTTGACATCCAAGGCCTGCCCAAAAGACAAGCAGGTGCAGGCAGCAGCAGTCCAGAGGCCCCCCTGAGATCTGAGGATAGCACCTGCCTCCCTCCCAGCCCTGGCCTCATCACTGTGCGGCTCAAATTCCTCAATGATACCGAGGAGCTGGCTGTGGCTAGGCCAGAGGATACCGTGGGTGCCCTGAAGAGGTGAGTGGCCTGGGAAGTGGGAAGCTGCTTGTGCTCATCCCCCAGCCCTTGGTTGCCTCTAAGGAGGCTGGTGCAGACATGGGAGCTGCAGCAAAGTGTAAGATCCAGCCCCTACCAAGGGCAGGTAGATACTTTCTTAGAAATACACCCTTCAGGCCGGGTGCAGTGGCTCCCGGGACTTTGGGAGGCCGAGGCGGGTGCATCACGAGGTTAGGAGTTCGAGACCAGCCTGACCAACATGGTGAAACCCCATCTCTACTAAACATACAAAAATCAGCCGGGCGTGGTGGCGCACGCCTGCAATCCCAGCTACTCAGGAGGCTGAGGCAGGAGAATCGCTTGAACCCAGGAGGTGGAGGTTGCAGTGAGCCGAGATTGCGCCACTGCACTCCAGCCTGGGCGACAGAGTGAGACTCCATCTAAAAAAACAAAACAAACAAATACACCCCTCATTAGTTAAGGATAAAGATGAGGGGGGCCTGTCGCGGTGGCTCACGCCTGTAATCCCAGCACTTTGGGAGGCCAAGGCGGGCAGATCACAAGGTCAAGATATCAAGACCATCCTGGCCAGCATGGTGAAACCCTGTCTCTACTAAAAAAAAAAATACAAAAATTAGCTGGGCATGGTGGCGCACTCCTGTAGTCCCAGCTACTCGGGAGGGTGAGGCAGGAGAATTGCTTGAACCCGGGAGGCAGAGGTTGCAGTGAGCCGAGATCGCGCCACTGCACTCCAGCCTGGCAACAGAGTGAGACTCCGTCTCAAAAAAAAAAAAAAAAAAAAAAGGATAAAGATGAGGGAAAAAAAAATCCACCCTCCAGTTTTTCCCCACTCCCCTGCTTTGTTGGTCCAGGCCTGTTTGCCTTCTCATTCCTCACCCTCTATCTTTTCTTCCATGTCTTTCATCCTTACAGCAAATACTTCCCTGGACAAGAAAGCCAGATGAAACTGATCTACCAGGGCCGCCTGCTACAAGACCCAGCCCGCACACTGCGTTCTCTGAACATTACCGACAACTGTGTGATTCACTGCCACCGCTCACCCCCAGGGTCAGCTGTTCCAGGCCCCTCAGCCTCCTTGGCCCCCTCGGCCACTGAGCCACCCAGCCTTGGTGTCAATGTGGGCAGCCTCATGGTGCCTGTCTTTGTGGTGCTGTTGGGTGTGGTCTGGTACTTCCGAATCAATTACCGCCAATTCTTCACAGCACCTGCCACTGTCTCCCTGGTGGGAGTCACCGTCTTCTTCAGCTTCCTAGTATTTGGGATGTATGGACGATAAGGACATAGGAAGAAAATGAAAGGCATGGTCTTTCTCCTTTACGGCCTCCCCACTTTTCCTGGCCAGAGCTGGGCCCAAGGGCCGGGGAGGGAGGGGTGGAAAGGATGTGATGGAAATCTCCTCCATAGGACACAGGAGGCAAGTATGCGGCCTCCCCTTCTCATCCACAGGAGTACAGATGTCCCTCCCGTGCGAGCACAACTCAGGTAGAAATGAGGATGTCATCTTCCTTCACTTTTAGGGTCCTCTGAAGGAGTTCAAAGCTGCTGGCCAAGCTCAGTGGGGAGCCTGGGCTCTGAGATTCCCTCCCACCTGTGGTTCTGACTCTTCCCAGTGTCCTGCATGTCTGCCCCCAGCACCCAGGGCTGCCTGCAAGGGCAGCTCAGCATGGCCCCAGCACAACTCCGTAGGGAGCCTGGAGTATCCTTCCATTTCTCAGCCAAATACTCATCTTTTGAGACTGAAATCACACTGGCGGGAATGAAGATTGTGCCAGCCTTCTCTTATGGGCACCTAGCCGCCTTCACCTTCTTCCTCTACCCCTTAGCAGGAATAGGGTGTCCTCCCTTCTTTCAAAGCACTTTGCTTGCATTTTATTTTATTTTTTTAAGAGTCCTTCATAGAGCTCAGTCAGGAAGGGGATGGGGCACCAAGCCAAGCCCCCAGCATTGGGAGCGGCCAGGCCACAGCTGCTGCTCCCGTAGTCCTCAGGCTGTAAGCAAGAGACAGCACTGGCCCTTGGCCAGCGTCCTACCCTGCCCAACTCCAAGGACTGGGTATGGATTGCTGGGCCCTAGGCTCTTGCTTCTGGGGCTATTGGAGGGTCAGTGTCTGTGACTGAATAAAGTTCCATTTTGTGGTCCTGCAGCCTCTTTCTGTGACAGAGAATGGCTTTGCGCTGCCCCCAGGAAAATGGTAATGAGAGTAGGTAGGCCGGGGCTACCAACGGGAGATGCAGTTTATTTACACCAGCAGCCATGGGGGCAGAGGGAATACACAGCGTTTACAAAGTTAGCTACCTGTACAGAATGGATTACATATGCAAAAATAAAAATCTCAAGACCACAGGACAGCGTGAGCCCCACCCCCCTCCCCCAATGACCCCAGCATGCGGTAATGCCAGGCGGGTGGCCCCTGGGCATGCGGGGGGGAGTGATGCATGGAAGGAAAAGCCACCGGCCATGGAAATTAGTACAGAACCCCCCCACACACACTCAGACACAGGATACAGGGTGGACGACACCTAGCCGGGGTGGGAAGGATGGGAATTGAAACCCACACAGCCTGCTGTTAGAGGGAGGGGAGTGGGGAGCTCCTAGCCCCTGTTCAACTACATGGTAGGGGGGGCACTCTCTCCCCAGAAGGAAAAGGGTTTGTTCCCTCAGGGTCCCTGCTGGACCAAGCCCATCTCTTACCCAGCCTGGGCAGGGGGCTCTGCCCTGAGGGCGGGCCAAGGAACAATGGGGAAGTTTATGTGGACAAACCAGTTCCCAAGCTACTTCCCACTTCTCCCTCCTCCAACCAGAAGGGGGGAAAAGGGAGAGGCCACAGGGCAAAGAGTGTATTAGGGCCTGAGCTGCAGCTGCCTCTCAGAAGGGAGAGTGGCCCACAGCCTTCCTCCCTTCACCTTCAGCCCACTCCCCAGACTGCATCTGGAAGCGGCTAGAGGCCTGCTGAGATCCTCCTCTCCCTCTGGCCTCCTCTCGGAGGGAGACTACGGAGGGCCAAGAATAGAGAAGCCCAGGCCCCGGGATTTATTCTAACTCCTGCCAAAATCTGTTTGGCTTTTTAAAAAATAATCACAATTTGTGGGTTAAAAACCAATTTGCAACCAGGCATGAGCCACAATCAGAACCACCCCAGCGGGAGAGCGGAGTTCCAGACAGGGCATTGCAGCCCCATCTCTGTTGTTCCCTTAACCCTCTAGGGTCCCTAACCCGATCAGTCCAACCAGTCCTGGGTACTAACTACCCAAATGTGGGATGGCTCCTCTTGGGAAGAGGGTAGGGGACATGTCCAGCAAGTGCCAGAGAACTTGGCTCAGGGTCACCTCCACCCATGTCAGTCAGCTCTGCTCCCAGCCCAGGTCGCGGTCCTCCAGCTTGGCTCCTGGGAGTGGTGGTGCCCGCATGGAGGGGGGACGGTACATCTCTTTAGGATGTAGACCAGGCAGGTGGGCACACTGGCATGACAGTCCCACAGAGGGGCAGTGACACCCCTTCCCCTCCACTGACAACCTGGGGCACAGAGGCCACCCTCTCTTCCCACCCAACTCCTAGCAAAGGGGGAGAGGCACAAGATTAGGATTTTCCTCAGAGCCCCAAACCACAAGTACAGAATAAATAACTTAAAAGCGCTAAGGAAGGGAAACAGGGCACGCTTTGGAGGCAGGAGCGCTGAGAGGAACTGAAGCCAGTCAAGGTGAAGGGGGTGGAAGCAGCAGTTGGGAACCTGGGCTGCCCCGGTAGGGCAGTGGGGCAGGGTGGGCAGGAGGAACACGGGGCCACCCCAGGAGGGTGAGGCTGGGTCCCTTCCTGGGGCAGGGAATGAGGTAAGAAAACATTTCAAATAAAGCAGCACCGTTCCCTCTCACCTTGGGGCCCCACTCCTCACCAGCCCTGGGTCAGGGAGGAGAGGCAGGGGGAGGAATTCTGACACTTCTCCCTCTTCCTACCCTCCCTTTCCCATTCCTTGAAGCTGTAGAGGCTGGAGGCCCTTTCCTGGCACCCAACAAAAGGACAGCTCCTGCTGCCAAGGAGGCCCATGGGGACTGAGGGGAAAGGGCTGCCCCTGTGAGGGGCAGGGAAGGTGGCGGCAGTTCTGGACGCCCACCTCAGCAGACAGCACTCTGTGCCTGCCTACCCCTGGGACTGGGGGCATTTGATAAGATTCTGCACACAGACAGGACATGCCCAGCCTTGCCCCTCAGCTCCAAGCACCGGACCCATTCACATTGCTGAGGGCGGCCGAGGCAGGCCCCCTCCAGGCTCAGCTTCCAACCCACAGCCTCCCGGGTCGCCACATTGCCCCTCAGCAGGGCTTAGTCCAGTTCCTGGGGTGGGGGGCAGGCAGTGCCCTGGCACAGTGCCCAGGTCAGGCCCCTGGCCTAGCTGGACATCCAGTAACTCACAGAATAAATAGGAAAACCGCCTCCCCACCAAACTTATGTCCAAGGCATAATATGTCCAGGTCTGAGTCCTGCACGCCGAGGAGTCGTGCTCCATTGCAGAGGACTTTGACACCCCCCAGGGGCGCATAATCGGATCCTCTGCCTGCCTGGCCCACCAAGCTTCCCAAGCCCCAACCCCCAGCAGCCGTCCATTTGCCAGGCTATGCCACCTGGGTGGGGGTCAGGAGAGAGGGCTCTGCTCAGCCAAAGGCTATCCCTTGCACCCAAGTCAGTTGATGTCATCATAGATGCTGGGCGTCGGGGGTGCCGGTGGCTTTGGCTTCTTCTTCTTGTTGGAACCTAGGCCGGAGGCAGTCCCTACCAGGCTCAGATGGGATTTCTTTTTCTTGGTTTTCCGTGACTCAGAGCTGTTGGTACCTGTAGAGAAAGAGACACAAGGGATGAGAGTATGGTTATGGCAGGAGAGGTGGCACCCCCATGGCTTTGGGCACAGAGCCCCTAGGGCCCAACTGCATCACGTACCTAGACCCCATCCCTGATTTTCACTCGTCTTGGAGGAGCCTGAATCAGAGGGTGAGAGGTCAGAGGAGCCGTCCCACTGAAGCCGGCTGATCAGGGCCTGGCTGTCAGTCATGTCAAAGCTGTCATTATCCAGGGAGCTCTCGACCTCTGGAAGGACACTGGAAAGGGGATGAGCCAAAGAAGGGCTTTAGAGATAGTGATCATCGCCCTAACTGGTCACAACCCCCCACCCTTCCTGTAGGGCCACTTACGCCGAGGGCCCGAGAAAATAAATCCGTACGGTTCGCCTCTGCTCATCTGTGTGCTGTGGGCAGCGCAGGGACCTGGTGGTGAGGCAAGGCAGGGAGGGTTCTGAGGAACTCAGGTAAAGCCCCTCCCCTCGGCAAGGCAGGAGCCACAGGCACAGACAGGGAAGGGGTGAATGCAGATTCATCCCCAGATTGTGGCCAAAGGCCTCATCATTAGAGGAGGGAAGGGGAAGGGCAGGAGCCCCATTGCTCAAGTCCAGGGGTACTCCCAACCCATGCCCATGGTGAGTGTGCAGGAAGCGCCTGGCCCCCTTTCTAGGTTCTGTGCTCACCTTGTGCACATCTTCTTGGTGTGTTCAGAAATCACCCCACATTGCTGGAAGAGGAATATAAGCTGAAAGGAGGGATGGAAGGAACCTACTCTAGATGTTAGATGTTTCTTTCTGTATAAATGCTAGATAGCACAAGCAGAGATGGCCCAAAGGTGTCCAGAGCAGATGGTCCCAGGACACTATGGGCCGGGAAACCTAATTCCAGACAGAGAGAACGATACGGCCCTGACTGCTAGGTCACCAGCTTCCTCCCAGGCCTTGACCACTGCCTATGGCTCCAGCCCACTCCCAGGGACCTTCTCTCTTGCTGGTCCTCCCTCACCGTGGTTAGCAGGCTGCGAAGCTCCTCCGGCCCCAGGGTCTCATAGCTGATCCCAGTTGAATTGTTATACTGCAGGACAACCAGAGGTACAGGTTAGAGATGGGGCAGAGAAAAGAGAAGGACAGGGGTGGAAGTGAGAATCAGTCCCTCTGGTCCCTTTCTAAGTGAGGCTTTAGAACGACCCTGCCGTTTTCCAAGTGATTTCTCTCATCCCATCTGCCAATGGATAAGGGGTGGGACTCAGAAAGAACATAAATATGTAAGATCCAAATAGCTCATCAGTGCCTCTGGCTGTCAGCATTCTGATCCCTACTTGTCCAAATCCCCACCACCTCACAACCAGGACAATGAGAGCAAGCATGAGGGGCGGCCCATACTCACCTTAAAAGGATCCGAATTGCTAAGTTCCCCTGAAGAAGAAAAAAGAAGGGGAAGGGTGTTTGATGCAGAGGTACAGACAGAGAACCCTGAAAATAACCAGAGAGGAAGTGGGGGTGACAGAAGGATCACAGGCCCTCCCTCAATTCCCCTATCCCCGGGCCCCACCTCCACCCCCCGGCAATGAGTCCCAGAAGACACAGCTAGAAGCATTCCCATTGCTCCGGCTCCACTTACCATTTTTGTGTTTTAATGACTTGGATCTTCGAGGGGAATTGGGGTTCTGGAATGGGAGATACCATAGCTTTGGGGAAAGGGTAACGAAAAGGGGGAGCCGAGAACCCAGGGAAGGAAAAAAGATTTGACAAAGCAGCATCCTCAAATTCCTACTCTTCCTCCCCAGTAGGAGGCCTGTCTACCCATGTGCCCTCCCCCACCCCCCTTCCCCACCCACACTCCCCCGCCCCGGACCCACCAAAGACACCCTCAAGCCCCCAATGACCTCAGCCTTGAGTCATGACACTCGAGGACTCCCTGCCCAAAGGGGAGGGTATCTGTCCTTTACCCATTATTTCCCCAATGCCTGGCCCGGCTCTCACCTTGTCTGACTTTCTCTTCTTGGCTGTGGGAAACAAAAGCATAAAGAGCAGGGTTTCCGTTAAGTTCTCAATCTAAAAGCATCTCAAGAAAACCATACAACAGGCTGGGCACGGTGGCTCATGCCTGTAATCCCAGCACTTTGGGAGGCCCAGGCGGGCAGATCACGAGGTCAGAAGATCGAGACCATCCTGGCCAATATGGTGAAACCCCATCTCTACTAAAAATACAAAAATTAGCTGGGCATGGTAGCACGCGACTGTAATCCCAGCTACTCAGGAGGCTGACACAGGAGAATCGCTTGAACCCGGGAGACGGAGGTTGCAGTGAGCCGAGATCTCACCACTGCACCCCAGCCTGGGCCACAGAGCGAGAATCCATCTCAAAAAAAAAAAAAAAAAAAAAAGGAAAAGGAAATCGCGTAACTACACTCTCTCTTCATCATTCAAGGCAACAATTTGTGACCACTGTATACCCAATTCCTGCTTCCCACCTCATCCCAATGCCCCCCGGGTTTCCCCAGATCCCCAAGCACCTTTCTTCTCCGAGCCATAGGACCAGTCGTTGTCATTGATGTCATCATTATCTTCTTGGTCACTCTCAGACTTATTCATATTGTTGCTATTGGCAATCCTGCCAAGGGGAGGGAAGAGAAAGGGGCCAAGGGGAAGGAAGAGAAAGGGGTCAAGGTGGTCACCCCGCTCTGCCCCCAACTTCAGAAGCAGGTGGAGCATCTGGGGCCAAGTAAAACCCACCCTCTGTACCTTCCCAATGCCCCCGGGGGACTACACCATGGCACAGGCTGCAGAGAACGGGCAGCTCTGGTTCCCTCACCGGCGGTTGGCGATTCGGCTGCTGTTCCGACCCATTCCCAGGCACTTCTCCAGATGGGGAGCAAAGCGGGAGGCGGCAATGCTGCGACTGCAATTGGGGCAAACACACTCCTTGCTCTTCCACTGGTTGAAAACCTGTCCAAAGATGTCCAAGCCCGGCTGGTCCACGATCTCTGGGGACAGGAGAGGCTGGCGATCAGGGTGGGCAGGACCCTCTCCTCTTGTTCCCACCTGGGGTCCCACGGCCTCTTCAATCCCTCCCCCGGCTCACAGGAGCTCCAGGTGCTACATCTAGCACAGTTTCCAGAGAAGGAAACTCCAGGCAGTCCCAGGGAAGGGCTGGACTGCTGCTCCTTCACCCTGAAGCTCACCAAAATCCTTCATGCTATCAGGGTCCGTGTCGTCCAAGAAGAAGTAGCCACACTTGACAGCCCGGTGTACCTCAAAGCAGAATCCCAAACAAGAATCCTCGACCAGGTCCGCGTATATCTCCTGAGCGATGGCCTGGGCCCCAGGGGAGAACATCTACGGTCACAAGAGTCACAGCCCCCTGGACTCTCACCAACCAAATCTGCTGCCAACTGGCCCCAGCCAAAAATCATGCTTTCTTTGCCATTTTCCCCATCTTGACTTCGTGTTCTTTCTTCTTCCTGGATCCTTGGCTTTTTCAGCTGGCTATTCCCTTTAAGGAACAAGGCTGACTACCCAAATTCCTCTTTGGTGTGGATGCCAGATACAGCGACGTAGAGACATCAAGAGAAAGAACTGGAGGCACACGTGGGGGAGCCCTCACCTCTAGTTTGCTGTTATCCAGGCCAGACAAAGACATTTCCTCCATTTTCATTTGTAAACTCTTGTGGAGACGGCGCTCTGACTGCTCATAGCACAGCGGGCGGCAACACGGCTGCACACACGGGGGTGGGGGTGTTGTTGTGAGTCCAAGGCACCTCTGAATGCGGCCACCTTCCCTCCCCACCTCGCTGCCCAAAGCTCAGTCCTGGCATCAGGGTCTCTCCCTCCCCAAGGCCCAGGCTCCCTAAGTCTGGATGGTCCTTCAAGGCCTGAAACCTAAAGGGGGCCTAGTCTTTCCCAGGCCTGAGCTCAGGCCCTGGACTCCACTGCCAATCAGAGTCTGGGTCTATAGGAGGCAGCAGCTCACCCTAGGTCCCCAAAACTCAAACCCCTCTTTGATACCCATGGTGCAATGCAGCAGGGGGAGGAGAAGGAACTCCAAGGCCTCAAAGCAAACCCACAGGGTGTGGCAAAGAACTGCACAGACTCCTAAATACACCCCCCGCCTTCCCTAAAGACTCTCCTCAGAGTCACCTCTGCTTTCAGCCAGGATGTCCACTTGGGGGGGTACTGCTACCAGAAGTAGAAATGGCCCTAGGACCCTACAACCTTCACCCCACTCTGTCTTCCCTTGAAATCAGCCTGCCACTCCACGAGGGGAGCAGAGCCCACAGGAGCCTAGAGCTAAGGGACATTTCTAGCCACCATGAGCAGGAACGGCGGGGGGTGGGGGGGAAGAGCCTGGTAGGGTGGCACGCCAGGAGCGGGCACTCCCCTTACCTGTTCTTCCTTTAAATAACCACCCGCCCTCCCTCAGGACCAGCCCGGAAGTCTCTCCAAGAGCCCCAAAGTCCAGGAACCCCCACCCAAGGATTCAGACACAGAACCCACAACCCAGGGCCCCTCGGAACGGTGGGTACGAGTTTCAGGAGCTGCCGGCCTAGAGTGGGGTGGGGACTGACGAATGAGCCGGGGGCACTGGGAAGGGTAGGAGGCCGGGCCTCGGCTCTTCCCCCGTCCCTGCGGCACTGCTGCTGCATCATACCGACTGGGGGGAGGACAGCCGAGCCGCCGGGGCCGGCGCCGGGCCGGGACAGACCGACCCCCAGAGAGTGGGACGCGTCCCAGCCCCTCTCCTTCCCCGCCCGCCAGCAGCCCCGGCCGGCCGGGGAGAGGAGTCCGGGAGGGTGTCTCTATTGTCCCGGGGGCTGGGGCCTGGCTCCCTAACAAAGGCCCCGCGCCCCCTCCCCGGCCGGCCCTGCCCCGCCCAAGGGGGACCCAGACGGGGGAGAGCCAGGGGCCCCGGCCCGGCCGGGAAGCTGGGGGAAGCCGGGCGTTTCCGCGTCGGCCCGGGGGGAGGGGAAGGGGCGCTGACCCAGACCTGGGGGGAGGGGGCCCAAGCCCCGCCTTGGGCCCCGCCCCCCGCCCCCCACAGGCCCCTCCCCCGTCCCCGTCCCCGTCTCCGTCCCGTACTCACCCCGCCCGGGGGGCCGCGCCGGGGCCCGGCAGCCTCTCAGGGCCGCGTCCTCCGGCGGCGGCGACGGCGGCGGCTGCTCCGGAGCCCCATGTCCGTCGGTCCGTCCTCGCCTCTCCCCGGGGCCCAGGGCCCGGGGCCGGGGGGTCGGGCCGCCCCCCCGCCTGGCCGCCTCACCGGGCGGCCATGGCCCCTTCCCCTCCCTTCTTGTCCCGTCGCCGCCTCCTCCTCCTCACCTCACCCCGCCCGCGCGCAGTCCGCGCGCCGTCCGCGCGCCCCTCCCCCCGCCCCCCACTCCAGCCCGCCTCTCCCGGGCGGGGGGTGCGGCGCGAGCCCGGAGCGCGCGCGCGTGTGCCGCGACCGGAGGATGGATGGATGGAGCGAGCGTGAACGCGAGCGTGCGCGCGCGCGCCCCTCTCCCCCTCCCTCTGCGCGGGCGCGAGGCCAAGCGCGAGCGCGCTCCAACCTCCTCCTCTTCCTCCTCCCGCCCCTCCCCAACACCCCGCCCTCCCCCTCCCTTCCTCTTCCTTCTTTCGCTTTCGCGCGCCCAGCGACTGCTCGCGCCTGCTAGAAGGGCCCGAGCGCGTGCATCTGCCCCGCGGCCGCAGCTCGGCAGCATTTGCTCCAGGGGGCGGGGACCGGGAGGGGAGGAGGGGCGCCACGCCGCCGTCCAAAGTACCGGCGGACGGGGACGGGGGCGGAGAGATGGGCGGGGCCTTCGCGGACCTCCCCGACCAATCGCAGGGAGGCCTCGGCCCGGGAGGACCAATAAGATGGGGGTGGGTGGGGCGGCGTTCAAGGTGAGGTGCGCGGTGCGCTGGGGGCGGAGACGTTTTGCCGTCCCGGCCGGCTCGGGGGCGGGGGCAGCGGGTGGCGTCGAAAGAGAGCGCCGGCTGCCAGCCGAGCCTGGGACGCCTTCCGGCCCAGGCTCCCCCGCCCTTCCCTCGGGGCTCCCCGCTCTCTCCCCCGCCACCCTCCGCTCCCCCCTTTACCCCGAGGCGTGCAGCCACTTCTGTGAAGAGGCCAGACTTGAAGTGGGGCGCAGTTAGGACCTCGGGGCGGAAAGCCTGTGGAGCCTAAGGGGCTCGCCCGCGCCTCAGTTCTCCCGGTTTCTGGGCGGGTCTCAGCCCACTCCAGGCTTGCGGACCAACAAGCGGCCGAGATGAGGGTCCGCTGCTGAGGTCGGAGGCCGAGCTGCGCCCTTCTGCGCGGAGCGCCCTCCCCGCCCCTCGTCCTAATTTAGATCCCACACCTGCTCGCCTTTCCTGCTTCCGGAACCCACGCTGGACCCCCACCCCTCCAGACAGCCTCCTTGTCACTGGCCAGATCCTTCCCCCGACCCAGTGCTGTTCCCCTGGGTGCAGCGTGTCCCTGTGCTCACGCTCTCAGTCCCTCTTTACCTTAGGAAGGGACAGGCCTTTTCCCAGCCGCGGTGGATGGCTGGATTGGCGCTTTCATCTCGGTTACTCTGTGTGTGGTGTCCTGGAACGGTTGTGTGACAGCCCTCTCCCCTCAAGAGATAAGATTAAAAAGGAGGATAGTCTGTAATCACATACTTGGAGCCATCTTTGGTTTTTAGTTTTCAGCAAATACTTATTTTTTTCTCACCGATTTCTCCCGAGAAACAGCAAACATTTATTGAGGCGATATTCCAGAGTAGTTCAGATCAGGCGTCTGATTTGAATTTAAATCGTTGGGCCTAGCAAATGAGTTTCCTGTGCCTCAGTTTCCTCTGTTGTCAGTGGGCATAATGATAGTCCTATCTCCTTGCGTTGCTGTAGTGATTAACAAGTCAGTGCATGTGAAACTCTTAGCTCTGTGTAAGTGCTTGGTAAATCTTAGCTGTTATTCTCACGGTGCTCCAGGTGCTGGGATAAAAGATGATATAAGACAGTTGTGCTTCTTCAAGAAGTTCACTGTCTTGTGGATAGATAGGTAGGATAATAATTGCAAAACAGTGTGAGGAAAACAACAGAGAGAAAACAGAGGTAGACAAAAGGAGACATCAAATGATGTAAGAGAGTTGGTCAAGAAAGGCTTCTTGGGCAGGGTGCGGTGGCCCAGGCCTGTAATCCCAGCACTTTGGGAGGCCAGGAGTTCGAGACCAGCCTGCAAAAATGCAAAAATTAGCTGGGCGTGGTGGCGGGCTCCTGTAATCCCAGGAGCTACTCGGGAGGCTTAGGCAATAGTAGTAATCCAGCTACTCGGGAGGCTTGGGCAGGAGAATCGCTTGAACCCGGGAGGCGGAGGTTGCAGTGAGCTGAGATTGCGCCACTGCACTCCAGCCTGGGCAACTGAGCGAGACTCCGTCTCAAAACAAAACAAAAAAGAAGAAAAAGAAAAACTTCTTATAGAGGGAGATGAACCAGGTGAAGGTAGGCCAAGAAGGCATTGGACATCCCCAACTGGAAGCTTCAGAAGCATGGATCAAGCTGGAACAGAGGAGTGGGTGGCAGAGCAGCAGGAGGTGAGCAGGCTGGATAATACAGGACAAAGCAAAGTAGGTGTTGAAAAGTTTGTGGGCTTTAGCCTGTAAGCTGTGAGGAGTCCTCAAGGGGAATCATTCACCAGACTTATATTTTTAGTGGATCATGCTGGAGTATGGTCTGGAGAATAATTTAGAAGCAGTAGGTTTTTTGTTTTGTTTTGTTTTGTTTTTTTAGACAGCATTTTGCTCTGTCACTCAGGTGCAATCTCAGCTCACGGCAACTTCTGCGTCCCGGGTTCAAGTGATTCTCATGCCTCAGCCTCCTGAATAGCTGGGATTACTGGCGCACGCCACCACGCTCGGCTAATTTTAGTTTTGTATTTTTAGTACAGACAGGGTTGCACCATGTTGGCCAGGCTGGTCTCGAACTTCTGACCTCAGGAGATCCGCCTGCCTCAGCCTCCCAAATGCTGGGATTACAGGCATAAACCACTGGGCCTGGCAAAAGCAGTAGGTTTTTGTTACTGATTGAGGTGTGTGGAGGAAAGGAGAGGGAGGTCTTGAAAACACCTTTACTAGGATGGGGAACTCAGGGGAGGACATGGGAGGACACAGGATGACTTCAGTCTGGGATATATTGAGGTTACTGTGGGATCAGCTGATGGAGACCCAAAAGGTGGTTGAACTCAGGTCTGGCACAGAGAAGTAAGCTAGGTCTTCAGGAACTTCAACAACATCGCCTCAACCTTTGTTTTCTCTTATCTCCCGCCTCCTTTTCAGGAATTCTTCACTCCAGTGATGCTGATCTGTTTCTTACCTAAATATGCCCAGTACATTCTGCCCTAAGGAATTTGCGCCATGGCCAGAAAATCCTCCTGGCTTCTCCCTGTTTACCTAAATCCTTCCTCATATCCCCACCCATGGCCATCCTCATACCAAACTTCTTTACAACTAGACTGTACTATTCATTCTGTGCTTGGCCTGGGCTGCTCTGTGGTGGTGACCTCTTTGGGCACGTGCCCAGTCTCCACAGTTAGCACCAGTTCATAAACACTAAGGCCTGAGCTGGTCCTGACTCTGGGTGAGGCCCTGGGGTTACAGCAACAAGCAAGAGAGACACACAAACCTTGTCCTAGCGCAGCTTACAGCCTAGCAAGGCCTGATGTGAAGGAAATAAGGCCTGAGTGTGAAGGCATTCAGGCTGCTGAAGAAACGTATAGTGTGGAGACCTTTTTTCTCAGGAGTTCAGGGAAGGAAGTGGTCTTTTAAGTGGAGACCAGAATTAACTAGGCAGAGAGAACACCATGTGTATAGGCCCTAGGAGAGAGCATGTTATGTTCGAGACATGAATGGTCAGTGTGGCTAGAGTCGGGGGAGGGCTAACGGGGGCAGCAGATCCCCAAGGGCCTTGTGGGCCAGACCTATTCACCCACTCAGCAAATCTTTCTTGATTGTCAAATGTATATCAGGCAGTTTCAGGTGCTGAGATTACTGTAATGAACAAGCAGATAAGGTGTCTTCTACTTGGGGAGATAGATAATAAACAAATACATAAACAAGAAGATGGAGGAGGCCTCTCTAGAGCAGGTGGTTGGGAAAGGCTTCTCTGTGAGAGGACATGTGAGTTGAGGCTTAAAGAATGAAAAAAAAAAATCAGGTATGTGTAGAGTTGGAGGAATAGCCATTCTAGGCAGAGAGAACAGGTGCCAAGACCCCGCAGGTAGGCATGTTTGAGGAACAGAAGAGATCACTTGGTTGGATCGTTGTAAGTGGTTAGGAAGAGCAGGGTGAGAGAAGATAAGAGAAGGAATGCGGGGGCCAAGCCTTGTAGGGCCATGGTAAGACATGGTAAATTTTCAGTACAGAAATAATCAGATTTATTTCTGAGATAATTTTGGCTGCCATGTGAAGAATGGGCTGTAGGGGGCGAGAGTGGAAGCAGGAAGACCAGCTTTAGGAGGTCTTTGCAGAAGTTGAGCAATGATGGTGGCCTGAAATAGGATGGGAGTGGCAGCTGTGGGAGCCACCCTGTGGGAGGGGTCGACAGATTTGAGACAGCTTTAGGAAGTGGAATGGAGAGGTCTAGGTGATTGAACCTCGAGGTGAAAGGGAGAGAGGAGTCAAGGCCAATACTCTGCTTTCTAGGTTGAACGACTAAGTGTTTGGTAATCATTTCGGGTCTTGAGGTATGAGATGTCTGCAAGATATCCCAGGGGATGCAAGGGTGTCTACACAGGTCTGCAGCTTGGAAGAGCAGTCTCTGTCGGCACCACCTTTCGGAATGGTTGCATATGCGTGATAATGGGAGGTTGAAGGGAGAGACATGAACACCTGGGATAAAATGAGGAAGAGCTGACACCAACAGAGTAGACCAAGAAGGCAAAAGACAAGACAAGTGTTCACCAGATGTAATGAACATGTTGGTGACCTTAGCAAGGAACCTCAAAGGATGGTGGTAAGTGGGAGGCCAAGAGGCACAACAAGCTTTTTAGCAGTTTGGCCACTATAGGATAGGGGCAAGGGCTGGGAGAGAGTTCTCCGACAGGACCTGGGTCTGCAGCCCTTTGAGGTTCCAGGAACCCAGCCAAGGCCTGCGCAGGAAAGGGTGTCTTCCCTTAATCTCAGAGAGTGAGTCATCTCAGCCCAGCCCAGCCTGCTTCCCATCAGAGGCCTAGATGGTCCTAGGAAAGTCATCCTTAACCCTTAACCTTTAACCTGGGATGGAGCTGAAGGCTCAAAGTGAGAGCGTGCTCCCTCAACTCCCCACGATAAGCCCTACACTAGGAAGGCTTGCATGCCCAGGGCGAACCCTTGACCCTAGTAGCTCATCACCTCCAATTCCCCAAGACCATGTACTTTGGGTGAAAATGCATTTGTTCTCCAACTTCTCAGAATCTTTAGTGGTCTCACAACCCAAGGTGAACAAATGGAATTGAGAAAAGGGCAAGAACAGTAGCACAGAACAATGTGAAGGTAGGTTGCCTATGGAATCTTTAGGGAAGAGGAAGATAGTTCTAGGAAGAAAAGGCAAATTGGCTTCAAGCATTTTTATAGATCAAACCTGTTGGGTCACCCCTGTGAACCTTCATTGATTCCAGTGACCAGACAGCAGTCAAACCTTTGTTTTTCACTTTATTATACAAAAAAGGGAAAACAAAACTTCCACAGTTGGCTTTAAGCATAGGCAGACACCTCTAAGCCACTCCCTCCCACCTCCCATGATACAAATTCAAGTTGTGGTGGTTGTTGAATCCTACAAAACACTCCTTAAATATTAGAAAAGAAGTTGGGGGTGGGGATGGGGGTCTTCCCACCCCAGCCATCCCATCCCAGTGCCAAAATGCACTCAAGAGTGACCTCTTACAGCACCAACACCCCCACCCTGACAGTCCTGTTTGTACTGTAAGAATTTTTCAATTTTTAAAACAGGAAAGAAAAAGTGCCCCATTCAAAGTTGTTTTTAAATGAAAATACATTCCACTGAAACACAACAGTGTAGGGGCATCCAAATAGGAAACTGGGGTTCTTTGCAGGGCTCTTGGGAAGAAATAGAACCTATAAACCCCTGTACTTAATTCCAGGATTAGGACAAAGGAAGGGGAATGGGAGTGGGGAGTGTCCCCCCCAGGCCTCCCCACCCCCAGCACCAAGGTCCAAGGCAAAGCAGAGACTGTCTGCCTTCCTTTGGGAGAGGGACCCACCAGCCTCTCTGGGACCAGGGCCCTTCACCGTTCTTGCTCCACCTCCGCGGCAGAGTTCCCGCTCTTCCCCCATTCCTTGGCTTTCATTCAGAGGGGGAAGGTGGAAAAGCACCAAGCCCCAATTTAATAGGTCAGTGACATGACCATAAAAAAGAACCCCCCAAATTTAGTCAACAAAAAAATAAGAACTACAGAGATAAGGTGGCTTGGCTTATTAAGAGTCAAGGAATCAAGGTACCAAAAAATACGGGAGATGGCTGGGAAGAGTTAGAGACAGCTGCAGATGCAGCTTTTGCAGACTTCTTGCCCAGCTGTGGGGTTGGGGGAGGAGGGAGCAGACCTGAGAAATTAAAGGAAATAGGGGGTGGTGGGAGGATTCAAGGAAGGCTGGAGGGATGTGTAAGTTAGGAGCTCCCAGCACATTTCTTGAAGCCCAGGTTCTGAGCCTGGGGTGGCCAGGCTTGGCCTCTCAGATGAACAGGGGAGACCTTTTCCATCAAATACAAGCTTTAAGCTTCACACCATCTTGCCTGCCTTTCCGCCTTCCTGCTGGACAATGGAGACCAGCAGCTCGGATGCATGTGACTCTGGCAGAGGGAGCCTGGTCTGGGAAGCATCCGAGAATGGCTTCAGCACACTCCCCCTAATGGAATCAGAGACTGGGCAAAACAGAGGATGTGGAGAACGGGGCAGCCTCAGCCTGCTCCCACCAGGGTCAACATCTCCCGGCCCTCACCGACCCTTTTTCCAGATTCACAACAAACTGATGTGGGCTCTAGGACAGACCCCTTTACACACACACACACACACTCACACTCTTTTGCACACATCCACAGCTGCACCCATGCTATGTACAGGAACACACATACACATACTCTCTTCCACATACATCAAGACCATTTTTAAAAGGTTCCAAATCTACCCCTAAACCCTCCCTCTCCCAGAAATGACAACAGAGACGGCAGCCGAGATCGGTAGGAAACGTCTCGTTGACAGCTCAGAGCTTAAAAAAAAATATATACACATATATAAAAAACACTTCTGCCCCCTCCCCCATGAACGGGTCCAGGCAGCTCCTTCCTGCAGGGGGCAGGGGAGAGGGCCACCAGGGCAGTGCCTGTTTTCTTGAAGGCACCGACCCTCCTCCTCCCCATGTTCCCTGCCTCCAGTTCCAATGCAGGGGTCCAGGTGGCAGGCCCCTCTGGGAAGGAATGGGTCTTCCCCAAGCTTCCACCCCACCTTGGATTGGGCCGCAGGTGTGGAGGGCCTCATCAAACTCTTTGGGACCCCCCACCCCCACTCTCCGGTCCATTGTCCATGCCGGAACCGCAAGTGCAGAAGTGGGTGGGGTGGGCCAGGCTGGTCCGGTGCTGGCTTAGTCTGATAGTTGCTGTCCCTGGAGGAGGACCCCCAAGGGCTGATGTCTCTGAGGCTGCAGAGTCCTGGCCTGGGCTCCTCCAGCCCCCTACCCCCACCGTATTTTTTTTTTTTTTTAAAGAAAGAAAGAAAGTGGGGGAGGCCAGGGGGGCAAGGGACAGAACATGGGGGAGAAACAAAGGTGGTCAGTTGGGGAGGGGAGCTCCTGGGCTCTCCCTGGCTGCCCTGGGGTGGGGCTGAGCCTCAGTTGGAGTCAGAGTCTGAGGAGTCCCCTGAGGAGGAGGAGCTGGAGCTGCTGCCCTCGGACTCATTATCTTCATCCTCATCGTCATCCTCGTCGTCGTCTTCGTCCTCGTCATCCTCTTCATTCTGGGGGGTGAGAAAGGATGTGGAGTCACCAGGTGGCCCTCCTGGCAGGACTCCCCTCCCCTCCCACTGTGCCCTGTCTGCCCCACCTCATCCCCATCCTCGCTCTCGTCCTCGCTGCTGGACTCAGAGGAGTCGCCGCCATCTTCAGAGGAGTCCCCATTCTCATCATCTTCCTCTTCTTCATCCTCGTCCTCGTCATCCTCATCCTCTTCATCATCCTCCTCGGACTCCTTGGAGGGATGGAGGCACATCAGTGGTCTCTGGTCTCTGCCCAACCATTCCAGGCAGTGCCCCCCGCCCCACGCCCCTGCATCTGGGAGGGGCTCCTTACCGACTTGGACTGCAGAGTAGTCCGGCTGGATTTGGGGTTTGGGCCTCGCAGCTTGGTCATGCTCTTACGTTTCTGCAGGATGGGGACACAAAGGTGGCAGCCATGAGTTCGACACCCCTGAATTCCCCCACCCCTACCCCACTGCTGCTCTGCTCCCAGACTCACATTGGAGATGTACTCTTTATATGCTGCACGGTCCTGGGGAGACAGGCTCTGGGGGAGACAGAAGCGGCAAGGGTTGGAACATAGCCAACTACTGCTGACTGAGCATGCTGGCCCAGTGCTAGGCAGTGGGCTGAGCATTTATATATCATCACCCCATCTTACCCCTCCCAGGCTCCCTAGATTTTGGGTCTCTGCAGAGAGCCCCTGGGATCTGAGAACACAGCTCTAATTTTTTTTTTTTTTTTTTTTTTTTTTTTGAAACAGGGTCTTGCTCTGTCACCCAGGCTGGAGTGCAGTGGCACAATCTCAGCTCACTGCAGCCTTGACCTTCCCAGGCTCAAGTGATCCTTCCAACTCAGCCTCCAGAGTAGCTGGGACTACAGGCATGTGCCACCACACCATGCTACCTTATAATTTTTTGTAGAGACAGCAATCTCACTATGTTGCCCAGGATGGTCTTGAACTCCTGGCCTCAAGTGATCCTTCATACCTTGGGCTCCCAAAGTGCTAGGATTACAGGCGTGAGCCACTGCGCTGGCCCAAACCCTAGTATTTCTGCTTCTGATACCCAGAGTCCTTCTCTAAACCACTAAGACTATTGGTTTTCACATTTTCCCTGTTGCTTTTCGCAAATGGAAGCTCCTATCAGAGTCTTCCTCACTCCAAAGAAGTGCCCCCGTGATGAGTCAGCCTGGCATCATCAACCACACCCCAACACCAAACCCTTGAGCCATCGATGAGGCAGTGGGGCTCACCAAACTCCTGAAACAGCAAATCCCCACAGTCTTCCTGGGTCCTTGGCCAACCTGCCTTGGTGAGTGGGAAGGACACAGGTGATTCTCTCCACTTTACAGATCTGACTACTCAACCAAAGCACAGAGGGGAAGCACAAAGGCCAGGAGTCTAGGAGAGGTCCCGTGGTCCCAGATGGGGGAGGAAAAGGCAGTCTGATTTGGATTCTTCTACTTACTGTGTGACCTTGGGCAAGTTACTTAACCTCTCTGAGCCTTGGTTTCCTTATTTTTAAAAGGGTGATAGTGGCTGCGGACGGTGGCTCAAGCCTGTAGTCCCAGTGCTTTGGGAGGCCGAGGTGGGCGGATCACATGAGGTCAGGAGTTCGAGACCAGCCTGCCCATCTCTACTAAAAATACAAAAATTAGCCAGGTGTGGTGGTACATGTCTGTAGCCCCAGCTACTCTGGAGGCTGTGGAAGGAGAATCGCTTGAACCTGGGAGGTGGAGGTTGCAGTGAGCCGAGACTACACCACTGTACTCCAGCCTGGGCAGGAGAGCAAGACTGTCTCAAAAAATAAAAAAAAAAATAAAAATAAAAGGGTGATAGTGACCGTTATCCTGAAGGATTGCGAGGGCATGGAATGAAATCATGAATGAGACCAGCCAGCACAAGTGGGTGGATGGGCCAGGCTAGGATGGTGCTGGCTTAGTCTGATGCCTCTCTGTTCCTTCCAAGGGTCCCTTGCCCTCTCACCTTAACCCAGAGGTCCAGGTGCACCTTGTACTGCTTTTGCTGCTCCTCGGCCAGCTTTTTGTAGTGCTCCTTCTGGCTCTGGGAGATGCGCTGCCAGCGACTGCCGATCTCCACCATGCGCTCCTTCAGCGGCAGGTGGTTCAGCTCCCCATTGGACAGCAGCTCCTGGGAGAACTTCTGGTAACCGTTCCTGGGAGGTGGGTTGGTAGAAGGAGGGTCAGGACCCCAACAAAGCAGCCATCCAGCCCTGACCCTCCCCGACCTCCAGGGCAGACTCCAACCCCCAGGCTCACATGGGAGGCTTCTTGGGTTCTCCCTGGAATTTCATCTTCTTGGAAGAATTTGTAGCAGCTGGAGGTGCCCGCATCTCACTCAGCTCTCTCTGGAGGGAGAAAGGTCACGCTCACCCCCCAGTCCCACCCCCAAAATACTGCTGCCTTCTGCCTCATGCCATCAGCACCTTAGCTGGCTGTCTTTTTCTGTGCCAGGGAGGAGGAGAAACAGGTAGCTAGTGAGCAACTTCCTAACAGCTCACGTCTGAGGCAGGCACCACAGTTTACAAGTGCTTTCACAACTGCTCGCATCCTCCGAGTCAGCCTGGAGGTTAGCAATGTCACCCCCACCTTACTGATGAGAGACAGAGGTTCAGAGAAGGAAGCTGAGACTTGCTGAGAGTCACAGACCAAGGCTGGGACTTCTTGCTCAGAGCTGCCCAACCAAAGGGGAGTTCCCGAGCTTTCAATGAATGGGGTGGCCCCAGCCCCATTCCTACCTCATATCGCTTTTGGTCTTCGGCTGCCTTCTTAATCCACATCAGTTTCTCCTTCTTTTCCATGTTATTCCAGGTCATTTCCATGGCTTTCAAGGCCTTCACCCGGTCATTCTGGGGACCAATAAGGGTATCAGCCGTGGGAGGGGTCACCCGGGGCTAGAGGCTGCAGTACTACCCTTTCCCACCCCTGTCACCTTGAAGCGGGCCAGGTAGTCGCCGATAACGCTCTGTTGCCAGATCTCCTCAGCTCTTTTGGGGGACTCGGGCAGCTTGCCCCGTTCCTCGCGCTCCCCGCCGGGCTTCCTCTCCGACTGAGCCTTGAGCGCCGCCTCTCGGGCCTTGTACTTGGCCTGCGGGGATGGCCCGGGCGTCAGCCTTCCACCCACCCCCAGGGGGCGCGCGCTCCCCGCGCAGCAGCCCAGGCGCTCCCGCCGGCGGGCAGAAGCATGGGCTGGTGCAGATGTCTCCCGCCTGGGGCTCGCCCCCGCCTGGTCTGCGGCGCTCAGCTGACAGCTTCCCGCCTTCCGGCTGCTGGGCGCCGGCCCCACGTCCCAGCCCAGGCACCGCGTGGCTCAGGCGGCCAGGGGCGAGGTGGCACGGCCCGCCAAGGGGAAGAGGGGGCCCTGGCAGCCCCCCTGGGGGCACAGCGCTCCGCCAGGCAGCCTGACCTTCTTCTTCTCAGACAGGTCGTTCCACATTCGGGCCAGCAGGCGGGTCAGCTCGCTCTCGGAGAGCTCAGGCCGCTCCTCCTGCAGCTGCCGCCGTTTCTCCTCCGAGAAGATGAACATGGCCGACACGGGCCGCTTGGGCTTCTCGGAGCCGCCCTGTCCAGGTGCAGAGGGTCGGGGTCCGTGGGTGCTGCCAGGGAGCCCAGTCTTGCCCACCCCCGCCTGCGCGGCCGCACCCTCTGCCCACCTTGCCCCCTTCCTGGGCTGGCTTCTTGGAGGCGGGGCTGGTGGCCTGCTTCTTGTTGATGTTCAGCATCTTCTCTTCCCCCAAGACCCGCTGCTGCTCCTCCTCAGGCAGGCTCTGGACAGGAAAGAGGAGCACGGGGCTGCATGCCTGGCACCCAGACTGCATGGTGCCCTATCTCCAGGGGCTCACCAGGGCTCTGCCTGCCAAGTCCCAGTCTTCTCTGCCCACTGCCCCACCGGAGGAACACTCACCTCGAGGAAACGGAGCAGCTCCACCTCGTAATCTTTCTTTTTCTGGGAAAGTGAGTGGAGTCAGGATCAGTCTGGAGACAGTGTCACCACAGACCCTGCAGTACTCGGAGGACAGTGACCTTCAGCGGGCCTCCAGAGCCTGGGTGTGGGCTGGACTCCCTGCCTGGACGGGCTCAGTTGCTAAGCCCAGCCCAGCCCCACACTGTATTGGAGGCAGGTACCCAAGGCACACGCCACCAGGGACTGACTGGCCCAAGATGGGATCAGACCTCATGCTTCAAAACCCCAAGGCAGGGTGGCCCCTGCCACAGCTCACCTGATCACACTTCTTGTGATAGGCGTCCTTCTCCTTCTGGGACAGCAGCTTCCACTGCTGGCTGCACAGCACCATGCGCTCTGTGCTGGGCACGTCCTTCATGTTGGCCATGAGCTCTGCGCAGTACAGCGAGTAGCTGTTCCTATCAGAGCCGCGGGGAGAGAGGTGCAGCCCGTAAGCGAGCAGGGCAGCAGGCCTTCTCACCTGCAGAGCCCAGCCCAACTTCCCAGCTGCCCACTCGCCCACCCATCCCAGGGCAGCGCTCACGGAGGTGGCTTGGTGGGTCGCCCGTCAAACTTGTCCTTGAGCTGGCGTTCGGCCTTGGTGAGGGTGGACTTGGTGATACCCTCCTCACTGATGTTCAGCTCTGGGTGCTTCTGGATATAGTCTCTCATGATCTCCTGCAGAGCCAGGTGGGGGGACGGAGGGCAATGGGGTGTGGAGTTAGCTAGGGCAGGGGCAGGGGGAGAGCCGCTGGGGAGGGCAGGCAGGGAGCAAAGCTGGGGGTGGCTGCGCGTCAGTGGTGTCACACGAGACGTGGTGCCCTGCCCTGCCCTAGCCTGAGATCTCATGGGGGTGGGGGGTGGGGAAGGTAGGGGCAGAGGTGAGGGGCCCAGAAGGCCCCTCCCTCAACAGAGGGATGGGGAGTGACACCTCCCGCAGAGTGCGGTGGCCACGGAGTCGGAGGGCAGAGGCTCGTGAAGAGCCGGACGGGGAGGAGCGCAGCGGAAGCCTAACCTCGTACTCCTTCCGCTGCTCCAGGGCCTTATGAATCCATTTCAGCCTCTTTTTGTCCGAGAGCTGAGACCACTGCTTCCCCAGGGAGTCCTTCACCTCCTTCGTAGTGGCCTGCAAACCAAAAGCCGTCAGACACGCACAGGCAGCCAGGGGCAGGGGGAGGGGGGAAGGGGGAAGGGGGCACAGAGGCCCCCGCCCCCTCAGGCCATGGGAGGTCACATCAGTGTCCCCCACAGGCCAGGAGGGGAAGGCGGAGAGGCGGGGATCCCGCCTGGGTGCAAGGGGACTGGCTCATACACGCACGCACACACGCACACGCTTGCACGCCAGCTGGCCCGGGCCCTGTCCATGCAGCCCACCCCTGGGGAGGGGCCTCCTCTCCTGCTCCCCTGCACCGTGCCCGGCCGACCTGGCGCGGCTCCCCCCTGGCCACCGCCGTGCATCCTCCACCCCCAACCCTTGGCCGGACACTCACATCTGGCCGCACTTTGAGATACACCTTCTTCTCGTGGGTGTACCACAGCTGCTGGGGGGTTTTGGGCTTCTCTGGGATGTCCGATTTCTTGGCATTCTGGATTAGGTCGGGGTGATCCTCCCTAGCCAGGACACGGGGAGCAAGGATCAGCAGGGGACGCTGCCAGGGCAGACTCAAGCTAGCTGCCCCACCCACCAAGCCTCCTGGGCCTTTCAGCTGGGGCTCAGTGGGACGGTGGCTGCCTGCCTGTCTCTGTCCCTGAGCATGACACACTAGGGCTCACATGTGACCCATCCTCTTCCATGCCTCAGAGATGGCAAACTCAAGGCTCTGGCCAGGGTTAGCCTATTCTGCTGCCCCCAGTGCCCCGTGGCCCTCCTCTGGGCTCCACTGCCTTACCTGAATCGGGCCAGGTTTCGCTCGAACTCCTGTTTCTCTCTCTGGAAGTCCTGAATATATTTCATCTGGGGGGAGGAGGGGATGGGGTCACTCAGGACCCAAGGGTATCTCACCCTGAGCTATGAAGGCCACCCAGACCCCTCCTCGCTGGCTCTTCTGCCTCCCACGCTGTGATGCAGGGAGTGGAGGCTGGCGCCCTGCCCGCCTCCTGGCGGGACTCACCACAGAGCAGACCTGCTGGCTTCTACCACAGATGGTGGGAGCTGCAGGGGTCGCCCAGACACTGAATCCTACATCCTATTCTCTCCTTCTGAGCAAGAGTCCCAGAAGGGGGCCATGGCATTACCCACGGTCACACAGTGCGCAGTGGCAGCGCTGAGCCTCCCCCACTCGTTTCTCCAACACCATAGAACTCTCACAGTGGCGTCGGGTGCAGGCCTTGCTCCTGTCACTCCCTCTTCTCACTGTCTGTGGCAGCTGACATTAGTCTGTCCCCTTGTACGTAGCCTCTACATCTATGGCCAGGGCTGGGCTGAGTCCTGTTTCCAAGGCATGAGGGGAGATTGTGTGGAGGGGAACCCAGAGCGAGTTCTTCCAATACAAGTCTCAGCCAGCTACCCTGCATCTTCCTGCCCAGTTCTCACACCATCACCTTCTTCTCTTTCTCCAGGATCCTGGCTGTCTGGCCCCTCCAGCCCTCCCTCCCTCAGCCCACTCATTCTTTCCCACCACTTGGCTTCCCTTCCCTTCATCACCCCCTTTTTAGCCTCCCCACTCTCACCTCACTCCCTCCCTGCATCTTTCCCCACTTCTCCATAGTCTCCTTCTTGTTCCTCCTTTCCAATGTGTCTCTTTCTCTTCCTCATCGACCTTCTCTCTTGGCTCCCACACAATGTCCATCTCTTCTTTCATCCTCGCGGGCTCACAAGAGTGGCACTGGCAGGTGCCAGGAGCTCATGGCAACTGAGCCCAACCCCTGCCTCTTATAGAAGCACCAGGCATAGAAAGGCAGTGCTCCTTTCCCACAGTTCCCACAGAAAACCAGAAGCAGAGCTCAGCCTCCTCTTCCCCCATCTCAGTCCTCCTCAGACAAAACAGTTTTAGACCTGAAGGGGACCACACAGACCTGGCTCACCTCACATAAAGACCAGGCCCACAGAAGTGAAATGACTTACCAAAGGCCCCATACACAGCGGTTCAGTGGCAGAGCCAGGAGAACAGGCCCAAGTCTTGTGTCCCCCAGGACAGCACCTTGTCCACTCTACCAGTTTCTTCTGGCCTTCCCTGGCTCTGACTCTAGAGCTTGGCCTCTCCCTCCCATCCCATGAGAGTGTTTGGGTGTGTGCAGTCAACTGTCCAACATCCTCATCAAAGGGGTCAACAGTTCCAGCAATCCATACCCCTCTCTGCTTGGGCAGTGGTTGCAGACAGCTGGCTTTTTTGGGTACAGCACCAAGGGCATGTGAGTCTGCAGCCAGGGTATGCCAACCAGGAAAAAGGGCTACTCATAGCATGGCAGCGGCCAGTGCCCCCTTTTGAGAACTGGCTGTGTATGACTTTGTTTCCTCTCCAAGCAGATGTGCTTCTTGTCTTTCCTGCTGCCCTTCCCCATCTATCCCTGGCTCTGTCTCCTTGTCCCGTGTCTCTTCTTTGTGTCCTCTGTCCCCATCCCATCTTCCTCGTGTCCCATCTGCAGGCTCCTCCAATGTTTTGCTGCCTATCTCTGGGAGGGACCTCCTGAGCTCTGTGACTGAGCCCTGCCTGGGAGGCTTAGGCAACCCTCCACCCAGAGTTAATGCTTTGATGGTCTGGGACAGTGCCCGACCTCTGCAAGGAACAGTATGAGGCCAGGAGGGACAATGTGTGTCCTTGAGTGAACACGTGTGCGTGGAGAAGTGCACTTCACAGGTGGACGTGGCAGTAACAGCACTGGACTGGGACTCTGGGGCACTAAATCCTGCTCTAGCATCAATAGTTGTGTCACCCGGGACACTTAACCCTCCTGCACCTCAGTTCCTTGCCCACAAAACTGGGATAACCTTTTCCTAGGGTTACCTTTATAAAGACATTGCAAGTATCAAATGAGACCATGACGGGAAACGTCATAGAGGGTGAAGAAGTGCTGCGGAGCCTAACAGTGAGGATGGGTGTATGGGGGAGAGAGAGCTTGAAACAGAATGCTGTGGGTTTTCTGTAGGGGGAAAGGTTGGTCTGAGCACCTGCTGTCTGGTTTACATCTGTGATGGTGCCTGTGCCTGACCATGTGTGGGCCGAGGAAGGGGCAATCAGGTGTGGCTGCCCAGGACCTATTCTGCTGTGCTGACTCACCCTCATCCCTGATGCCAGGTTTCTCCAAGGCCTACCTCCAACTGACCCACACCACACCAGCTGCTCCCAGCCTCTCCCCTCCTCCCACCTTAACTCTCCTCCCCCCACCTTCTTCTTCTCCGGAAGCTCCTTGTATTTCTTGGACAGAATCTTGGTTAGGTCCAGGTTGCTCATCTCAGGGTGGAGTTTCGCATACTTGGCCCGCTTCTCCATGAAGAAGCGGAAATAAGGGGTCAGGGGCTTCTTTGGGAAGTCTGGGTGTTTCTGGAAGAAGGGACAAGGACACAATGGAGGTCAAATACATCCCTTCTTTGGACCTTTCCTCCCATACCCCTCATGCTCCTCCTCCTAGTAACTCACCTTGAGTTTTTTGCCTTTGTAAGGATTTTTAACATGTTCCTGAGCATCGAGGATCAATTCTGTCAATGTACGGAACTTCCTCACCTGGAGGAAGAGGGGTGGGAGGAAGGGGAAGTTGGGAAAAGGAAAATGCCACACAGTAGTATACCCCCATCTTATAACGGGTCTCTTCTACTCTTTACTAGACTAAATTTACCAAAGAAGAGCAGAGGCCAACAGCCAAATGAAGCAGGCAGCATGACACCCAGGCACTGGCCCATGCCTACCGCAGAGGCCCAGGCAGTCAGTACACACCAAAGGCCAGCAACAAGGGGACTAACTGACCTCAACCTGGTTGTCCATGCTAACACCTCCGTCAATCTCAGCATGCTAGCACCTCCGTCAATCTCAGCACAGCTCAGGCTGTTTGGCTCAAGACCACTCAGATAGAAAGTGGCATAACTTTAAGCCAGTGCTGTCAACCGTGCCACCTCCCAAAATGCAAAGGGGCAGGTAGAGAGCTAACGGGAGACCACATGAATGCCTCTCCTGGTCTCTTTCCTTCCTGTTTACAGCCTGTTTCACTTCCCCCACCACGCTGAGTGGGGGGTATGTGTGTATGTCAGAAAAGGGGGATCAGTTACCTCATTAGAAATCTCCACCCATTTGAGCTTGCACATGTCTCCAGAAAAGTCTTTAAATGCTACTTTTTCCCAGTCCATGTGTGATTCGGTGGTTTTGAACTTGGAGCTGTCATTGGATGGAAGGTTGTTCTTCATGCATTCCAGCAAAGTCAGCATGTCTTCCTGGGACCAACGGTCTGGTAAAGAGTAACAGAGGCCATCATGCCTGGCTCATGCTATCCCCCCGATCTGTTCCCCAGTTCTTGAGTGCTCAACTCTTCCTCCCTAGGGCATCCCAGCCCCTGGTTGCTTCCCATCTGAAGGCACAGACAAGATATGGCTCAGCCCTAAGGAAACTGTGGCCATATTGGATCAGGGCAGGGACTCCAGTCCAGACCATGCTATACCTAGAAAGCCAGGCTCGAACTCAAGTCTGGCTTGCTTCAAGGCTATTATCATTTATACTGTGCCAAGCTGCAACGGGCAGCTATTTGCTGTAAGGGGAAGAGGGGTGGAAATGAAGGTACAGTGATTCAGGGCTTTGTGGGAAACGAGGTAGCTTGTCAGAGAAGGAGGGAAGCAGGGAAGCAATATATCTAAATGTGCTGCCAAGTTCAAGTTCTGAGTGGATATTCTAAATGTGCAACGACTGAGAATGGGGTGTGGACAGTAAGGAAAATCCATGCAGATGTCTCTCCTGCACAGCTGGAAACCAATGTTAGAGACACCCACCACCCCCTAGCCCCTTAAAGCAGATCAAGGGAGAATTTCTGGCAAATAAGAAAAAGGAAACAGAAGCAGAAGCAGGATACAGGGCAGCTCTGAGGCAAGGTAGGCAGGTGCACAGAAACTCTCAGGGCCCTGCTCCAGGGAGAACCCCCAGAATTACAAGCTGTCTTGTCAGCCCAACTACCCAGGGAAGCAAGAACAGGTCTGGAACAGTTATTTTTCAGCCACTGAAATGCAGCCCCAGAGAGCTCTAGGCCACTGTGGATGGGCTGGGAGAATAGCCACCCAAGGCCAGAAGTCAAAAGGGCTCTCCATTTTCATTTGCATCTGGTAACCTGGGCCAGAGATTCTGCAGAATGGGCCACGTGGACCCATAATCCCCTCTCCCCTCAATGTCCCACAAGCATGGCCAGCTGTCCAGCTTCATCCTACTCTCTATCCCCATCTAGACTGGATCACTGCTGAATGAGGCAGAGATCTAGTTGAGTACATATATCCCATGGCTTGGGGCCTAAAACCACCAAAACAGCCCTTTTCTCCACCTGCCTCTACAAAAGCCTCATGGTCTTCCTAAAAAGCCTGAGAAGCCTTCCCCAACCCCTTCCTGACCCTTCCTCTACACTCATCCTTCCTCCCATTCCAGGACACTGGGCTGGGACACACTTCAGGCTGAATGGGAACCCCAGAAGGCAGGCCTCCTCTAACACAGAGGGTGAGGGACAGGGAGAGAGGGGAGGTGAGCCACTCCAGGCCAAATAATTTGGATTCAGCCAAACCCCAAGTGTGGGAGATGCTTGATTCATAAATACTCAAGGCACTTTCTCCCCCAGTTCAGTGTATGCAGACTGAAAAAGCCCTTGAAGAAGGGAGTGAGCCCCGCAGCCACGAGGGAAAGAGGGTTTAAGTTTCAGAGGGCCGGGGGTGGATGCCCCTACCTTGGCCTTTGGGGGCGGCCATTTCCAGGTCTGTGGGGCAGTCGGCTTCTCCGTTCATCCTCCAGCTGTCCAGCCACCTCCTCGGTCGTGCTGGCCGGGCAACCCGGGGTCAAAGCCACCTCACCCTTTGGAAGACATACCAGTTCCCACTCAGGAAGGCTGAGAGGTGAACGACTAACGACTTTCTAACCGCCCAGAGTAGAAGGGGGCAGGTCCACACTCTGAGAGACTCAGCCATGACCTTATTAGACTTAAGGGGTCTATGGGAATGGGAGTGCGCCCCTCCTCTTCCTCGTGACCCCCTCCCCCAGCCCCTGCAGCCCGGCTCCGCGGCGCGCGCCCTCCCCTGGCCACGCGAGGGCCTGCTCCTAGCTCCCGCGTGCAGCGAGCGCCCGCCCTCCGCCCCGCTTCCCAACCCCAGCCAAAAAAAAAAAAAAAGAAAAAATCTCCTCCTCCTCGGAGCGCCCGCCCCGGGGAGGCCCCAGGCTGGAGGGCGGGGGAAGAGGAAGGGCGGGTAAAGGGCGCGCGCGGCCACGGAAGCGGGCACGCGCCCCAGTCTCCTCCTCCCGCCTCCCCCCGGCCGGTTCCCCCCGCCTCCGCAACCCGGCGGGGACCCGGACGCAGCGCAGCCGCCGCCAGCCCCGGAGCGGAGCGGCCGCACCGCCCCCGGGGACCGGATCCGGATTCCCGCCGCTCCCCCCTCCCGGGCTCCCTTCGCCGTCCCCGCCCGCACAGGCGGGCAAGCAGCCGGAGAGAAGCGGCCTAGCCTGCCCCCCGCCCCCGAGCCACCCACCCCGGCCAGAGGCGCCGCCACCGCCCAGCCACCCCGACGCGCACGGAGGAGCCCGGCACAGAGGCGCGACCGCGGCGGGAACCGCCGCCTCCTCCCCCGAGCCTGCGGCCCAGCCCCGCCGGCGCCCCCGCCCCGGCCTCCGGGGAGCCGAGCCAAGGAGAGGGCGGGAGGACGGCGGCCGGGAGGCGGGGGCGCAGCGCTCACCGGCCCCGCCGCCCCCTCCGGCGGCCGGGGAGAACTGCGCCTGCCGGCTCCGAGAAGCGCGGGCTCCTCCGCCAGCGGCCGGGGCTCGGCTCAGGCCTCGCTTCCTGCCTTCCCCTCCCCCGGCTCTCGGCGTCCTCCCAAGTGCCCTGGTCTGCTCGCGCCCGGTCGCCTGCTCGGTGGTCGCTTCGGGTCCCCGCTGGGCGCCCACCGCACCCCGCGGTTCGCTCCCGCCGTCCGGCCCCGACCCCAGCGCGCGTCCTCAGCCGCCTCGGTTACCCGGCGCAGCGCGGCCTCCGGGCTTCCCGCTCCAGCGGCTCCCTCCCTGGCTCTGAGTGGCGGCGCCCTCCCCCGCTCGGCCGGGCACAGCCGCAGCTCCCTCCCGCGGCGGCAGCGGCTCCTCCTCCGGGCGAGGCGGCGGCGCTGGGGCGGCGGCTGCTGCTGCTGTGGCGGCGGCGGCGGCGGCGGCGGCTGTGGCTGCTGCCTGCTGCTCCTCGCGGCGAAAAGCACAAAGCACAGCGCCCTCCGCCTGCAGGCAGCCCGCCCGCCGCCGGCCCCGGCCTCAGCTCGCACACCCCCCGCCGCCGCCGCAGCCTCAGCCGCCGGAGCGGGGAGGAGGAGGGAGAAGGGAGGAGGAGGAGCGGGAGGGGGGGCGGGAGAAGCGGGGCAGCGAGCGCGTCCTTCCCCGTAGAGCGCACACCGACCCCCGGGGAGCGAGCGCCAGCCCGCCCGCCT
Organism: Homo sapiens; assembly: GCF_000001405.40. NCBI lineage: Eukaryota > Metazoa > Chordata > Mammalia > Primates > Hominidae > Homo > Homo sapiens. Next base: position 44,219,901 of record NC_000017.11, read on the forward strand.
CGCCGGCTCCGCTCCCTCCCACAGCCTGCCCGGGCGGGCTCCGCGGGGGGCAGCTGGGAGGAGGGGCGGGAGCTGGGGGGACCCGGGCGGCCGAGGCGGAGGGAAGGAAGGAGGGGAGGGGGGTGGTGGTGGTGGTGCTGGCGGCGGCGGCGGCTGCTGCTGCTGCTGCTGCCGCCGCCGGGGAAGGGGGGGGGGGCCGGGGCAGGGAGACACGCAGCCGCCCGGATGGCGGCGGGGCTCGGAGCCTAGGCGGGCGGGCGGGCGCCGAGAGCGACCTCGCCAGACCCGCGGGGGAACTAGCAGGCTTCGCCGGCGAGGGAGGGCCGAGGTGCGGCCGCGGAGAGGGTGCCCGGAGGTGCCCCCGGCGTCCGGGGAGGCTCGGGGGGCGCCCACAGCCCTGCTCCGGAGCTCTCCCCCAAGTTCTCCCAGCTCAGACTAGGGCTTCCAGGCCAGCTCTCTCCCGCCTCCCGGAGCGAGCGGTCCGCGCCCACCCTCATCCCCCGGAGCGTGGCCGCTGGTTTGGGGCGCACGCACGCCGATCGCGGCGTCCAGCTTCGGTGCCTACCTCGCGGTCCTCTCCTTGCCGAACGGCACATACGAAACTTAAAAAAAAACCCGAAAACTAAAACCTCTGCATTAAAAAAAAAAAATCCCCGTTGCTCTTTACACCCCGGAAACGGCAAGGGAACGACGGGCTCCGGCGGAGGGGCCGCTGTGGGAGCCGGTTCAATCCAGCCCGGCATGGTTCTCCAGGCCTGCCCGGGCGCATGAAGATCGGCGCCGCCGCCACTCGTAGCAACCCCTCTCCCCCGAAATCCGCGGCTCCCGGGCTCACTTACCGAGCGTGTGGATGGGAGCGCAGGCCGGGGGCACCTGGGAGCACGGCGGGCCGAACAGTCGAGCCGCAGCTCCGCTGCAGCCGACGCCGGGGCAGCGAGTCGCCAGACAAAGCCCGAGATGGCGAAGCGGAGCGACGGCTAATGGCGAGCCCCACGCGCCGCGCTCCGCCCGCCCCGCTCCGCCCGCCCGCCCGCCCGCCTCGGCGCAGCGCAGCGCCGCTCCGAGCGCTTGCCCGTCAGAGCCGCCTCGGCGCCGCCGCCTCCCGGGCCACCCCGGCCTCGCCTGGCCCCTCCGCCTCCTCCGGGCGGCTCAGCCTCACCCCTTCCCTCCCACTGCTCTAGGGGTTGCACAAAAAAAATTTTTTTTTTTTAAAGAAAAATGGTTTTCGTCTTTTTTTTTTCTTTTTGCAGGGCGGGCATGTTGAGACTTTTGGATATTTCTGCCCCCAGCTCGCACTCACCTGCGGAGCCGCCGGGAGGGCTAGGGGTGGGGGCGCGCGGGGCTGGAGCCGGCGAGCGCGGGTTGAAAGCCAGCCAAGCTCTGCAGCGCCCGACCCGGGCGTGTACGCCGCCGCCAGTCCCCGCAGAGAAATCGTCCTCCTACCCCGCCTCCATCGCTCTGCGTTTCTCTTCCAATCAGCCGGTCGCTTGGTGGCTCCTCCATTCTCCGGCCAAGCCCAGCTGCCTAGAGCGAGCTCCACTCCTCCATCTGTTCGCCGGGGTCCTCGCTCCCCTGCCGGGGCCGGCGAGACGGCGTGAGGCCGGAGGGGGATTTGCAAGGAAACCTGCCTGCTTCCCGCTCCCATTGCTCCATCCCCGCTGCCTCCTGCCTCCTGCTTCTCTCCTGCGTCTTTCCAACTCTCCCCTGTCGCCACTGGTGTGTGTCTGAGTGTGTGCGCGGTTTTTTTTTTTTAATTGCTCTTTGCTTTTGCAACCCTGAAGCAAAAGGGGGGGGGGGTAGTTACAGGGAAAAAAAAAGCGAGAAAGAAGCTCTTAGATTTGCAACACATCGGAAAACCGGGGGAGCACCCCGCCTTATCCGATCTCCATGCTCCGCAAGGGCCTTCCGGGTTTTAGGACAAGCTTCTCAATGTCCCGTTTCGCTGGGTTTAGGATCCGAGGAGTCCGAGCAAAAAGTTCTCCCCCTGGGTCGTAGTGACGGGTGTCGGGGTGGGAGTTGCGGGGATTTTTCAAGAAGCAGCAGCTACCCCGGCGTCGGTCACTGGGCCGGGGTAGGGGAAAGAGCAAAATCCCAGTGGGTTTGCGCGAGGGATCTTCTAGGGTCGAGGCGGGTGTGGGGGGAGTTGGAACCGGGAGACACCGCTTGGCGCATCTCTCCCTCGGTCTCTACCTCCTGTCCTATGCCAGCTCCCCCTTTAATTTTTTTCCTCTCCTTTAATCTAATTTCTTCCAACTCCACCTTTGTTGTTACCGGCGTCACACCCGGACCAGCCAATCCCCGCCACGCAATCAGCTTGTCAAAAAGCCTCGGCCATCCCTAGGAAAGCAGGCCGCAGGCGCTGCCCCCCGGCGGCGGCGGGCAGCCGCGAGGGGAGCCCAGCACCCGGTTCTCGCTGCCCCGGGTGGCAGCGGGGCAGCCTCCGACAAGACGTCCCTTGGTTCACTGTCCTGCAGGCCGGGGATGAAAGGCCTGGACAGGGTCCACCACCCACTCTCCCACTGCCACGGCCGTGGTTGACTGTCTTTGCCTCCCCTTTTCAGAGGAAAGGTTATCAGGACAGGACGCAGGGAGCCAGAAGACCATCTGAAGGAAGCCTGCTTCCAACGGGCCCAGCCTCCAGCCACCGCTCCTGGGGCAGCGCCATTGCTCCTGGCTCTCAGGCTGCCAGTCTCCCACACCGACGCTCTACTGCCCGCATCTCGGCCAGCTGGGTCACCCAGCCCCTTTCGACTCTCCCCTGGCACGCAGCCTTCTCCTTCACTCGGCCTGCCTCGCTGCTGCTGTAATTCCTCTTGTCTCCTGGGAGAAATGAGATTGCTTTCCCAGGACTTCCACATCCCACTTCTATCAGGTTTCACCAACAGGGAGGAAGCCCTGTCAAGATCTGGTGTGTCCTGTTTTTTTTTTTTTTTTTTCCCAGAGGGCACTGGCATGTAGGAGAAGCGGATTTACCACTAGTAGATGTTAATGAAATTTCAGCTTCTAGGCCCCTAACTTGCAGGACCTGCCCAAGGCCCTGAACTTAATTTTGTTTTCATCATTTGGTATTTTTTTGTTAAAAGAGCCACCGACCACCTCCCCGCTACCCCAGAACTGCACGTGTTTCTGGCCCTACAAACCCAGATCGTCCCTTGGAATATACACAGGGCAATTTGTGTAGGATCACACTGCGCTAAAAGTGAGGCATGGTGGGCTAGGCGCACTGGCTCACACCTGTAATCCCAGCACTTTGGGAGACCAAGACAGGAGGTCTTAAGTGATTAAGCCCAGGAGTTCGAGATCAGCTTAGACAACATAGCAAGATGCTGCCTCTACAAACACACACACCCCCTATTATAATATGTCAAAAAAAAAAAAAAAAAAAGGAAAAGTGAGGCATAGAACTGACTTTATTGTTTTGACTAGGAAAGAGCAAAGGGTTTGGAATCAAAAGTCCCAACTTCCCCACCTTCTTAATAGTGTGTGAATCTGAGTGCCTTATTAACCTTCCCTGGTCCCAGTTTCGTATCTGTAAAGTTAGAATAGCAATCCTGTTTAATTTGCTTCTCTCACCAGGGATCAGAAGGCCAAATGAGATGATGTATGTAAAATTGTAAAGTCCTCCACAGATGGCACTTGCCACATTACAGAGAACTTGAGACCCCCCCCCACCAATAACGTTCCAAATCTTCCACATGCAGATCTGGAGTCCAGGTGTCCTGGCTCCTGGCCCTGAACTTTTTGGCTGGGCCAAGGGGCTTTTCGGTAAAGTGCTTTGGAATAAAACAGGATGAACATGAATCATAAGAATGAGTATTTATTGATTCCTTGGGCAGCAAAAACTATGGCTGGCACCCTTCCCACTTGGAAACGAATTGGCTTGTTTTACATCTATTTCGTCTGTGGTGAGGTCAGGAGTCCAAGACTTGGGCTAACGGCCAGAGTATGAGGAATCTGCCCTTGGCCCTTTTTCTTTGCCCCATTTCCCAGTTCATCTCCCTCCTCACCCTCCAGCCTTCTGGCATGTGCCTTGAAGCAGAGCGCTGGCATTCAATAACCCCAGCCCAGGCTGGTGACAAAGCGGGATCCTAGCTACACAATTTCCACTTGGCCTCAGTATTTCCCCAGGTTGCCAGCATCCAAGCACCAGCTTATATAAAACCCCCAGAGTGCCTGGAATGCGTTAACCAAAGTGTGGTACTTAAATTACCAGTCTACAGGGAGTAATTTTAGATGGTATACCAATATTTTCAGATTTATGTATTTTAATGCATATTGGAAATGTTCTGTTTTTAAATTTTTATTTAAGATGGTATAAAGACACACGTTTTTGGGCCAAGAATGTTATTGTCCCTTGTTACTTTTTTTTTTTTTTTCCTTGGGACGGAGTTTCACTCTTATTGACCAGGCTGGAGTGCAATGGCGCGATCTTGGCTCACCGCAACCTCCACCTCCTGGGTTCAAGCGATTCTCCTGCCTCAGCCTCCCAAGTAGCTGGGATTACAGGCATGCACCACCACGCCCAGCTAATTTTGTAATTTTAGTAGAGATGGGGTTTCTCCACGTTGGTCAGGCTGGTCTCGAACTCCCAACCTCAGGTGATCCGCCCACCTTGGCCTCCCAAAGTGCTGAGATTACAGGCGTGAGCCACTGCGCCCGGCCTGTCCCTTGTTATTTTTTTATTGCTGTGTAAGTCAGAGATAGTAAAGTACACATACTTTAAGTATACAACTTTTTTTTTTGAGACGGAGCTTTGCTCTTGTCACCCAGACTGGAGTGCAATGGCACGATCTTGGCTCACTGCAACCTCCACCTCCCTGGTTCAAGCAATTCTGCCTCAGCCTCCCGAGTAGCTGGGATTACAGGCATGCGCCACCACGACCAGCTAATTTTTTTGTATTTTTATTTATTTATTTTTTGAGATTGAGTCTAGCTCTGTTGCCCAGGCTGGAGTGCAGTGGCACGATTTCAGCTCACTGCAACCTCCGCCTCCAGGTTTCAGGCGATTCTCCTGCCTCAGCCTCCTGAGTAGCTGGGATTACAAGCGCCCACGACAATGCCCAGCTAATTTTTGTATTTTCAATAAAGACGGGGTTTCGCCATGTTGGCCAGGCTGGTCGCGAACTCCTCACCTCAGGTGATCTGCCTGCGTCAGCCTCCTAAAGTGCTGATTACAGGCAGGAGCCACCCAACCCAGCATAAGTATACAGCTTGATGAACTTTTAGGTATGTATATTTAGTATCATATTACATATGTGTATACCATGTAACCAGCACCCAGATCAAAATATCAAATATTTCTAGCATTTAGCAAGTTTTTTTTTTTTTTTTTTTTTTTTGAGGTGGAGTCTCACTCTGTCACCTAGGCTGGAGTGCAGTGACACGGTCTTGGCTCACTGCCAGCTCTGCCTCCCGGGTTCGTGTCATTCTCCTGCCTCAGCCTCCTGAGTAGCTGGGACTACAGGTGCCCGCCACCATGCCCGGCTAATTTTTTTTTTAATTTTAATTTTTAGTAGAGACGGGGTTTCACCGTGTTAGCCAGGATGGTCTCGATCTCCTGACCTCGTGATCCACCTGCCTCAGTCTCCCAAAGTGCTGGGATTACAGGCGTGAACCACCGCACCTGGCGCATTTAGCAGGTTTACTCAGTATTCCCCTCCAAGTATCATCAATGTTCTGAGGTTCTGAGCTCTATCACCATAGACAAGTTTTACCTGTTCTTGTAGTATTTCCATTGTATAAATATACCACAATTTATCCATTCTACATTTATTTATTTATTTTAAGGTGAAGTCTTGCTATGTTGCCCTAGCTGGTCTTGAACTCTTGAACTCCTGTTTTTTTTTTTGTTTTTTGTTTTGTTTTTTTGAGACGGAGTTTCACTCTTGTTGCCCAGGCTGGAGTGTAATGGCACGATCTCGGCTCACTGCAACCTCTGCCTCCCGGGTTCAAGTGATTTCCGCCTCAGCCTCCCGAGTAGCTGGGATTACAGGCATGAGCCACCACACTTGGCTAATTTTGTATTTTTAGTAGAGACGGGGTTTCTCCATGTTGGTCAGGCTGGTCTCGAACTCCCGACCTCAGGTGATCCGCCCACCTCAGCCTCTCAAAGTGCTGGGATTACAGGCTTGAGCCACTGTGCCCAGTCTTGTTTTTTTCTTGAGACAGAGTCTTGCTCTGTCACCCAAGCTGGAGTACAGTGGTGTGAACTCGGCTCACTGCAACCTCTGCCTCCCAGGCTCAAGCGCTTCTCGTGCCTCAGCCTCCCAAGTAGCTGGGACTACAGGCCTGCACCACTACTCCTGGCCACCTTTTTGTATTTTTAGTAGAGACTGGGTTTCACCATGTTGCCCAGGCTGGTCTTGAACTCCTGACCTCAAATGATCTACCTACCTTGGCCTCCCAAAATGCTGCCTCCATCTCCCAAACTGCTAGGATTACAGGTGTGAGCCACCGCACCTGGCCATAAGTTCAAATTAATTAAAATTAAATAAAATGGAAAATTCAGTTCCTCAGTCACATTTACCATATATCCATGGCCCTATGTGTCTAGTGGCTACATTATTGGATACTAGAGATATAGAACATTTCCTAGGCTGGCGCGGTGGTTCACGCCTGTAATCCCAGCACTTTGGGAGGCCGAGGTGGGTGGATCACCTGAGATCAGGAGTTCGAGATCAGCCTGGCCAACATGGTGAAACCCTATCTGTACTAAAAATACAAAAATTAGCCTGGCGTGGTGGCAAGCACCTGTAATCTCAGTTACTCGGCAGGCTGAGGCAAGAGAATCACTTGAACCTGGGAGGCGGAGCTTGCAGTGAGCGGAGATCCCACCACTGTACTCTAGCCTGGGTGACAGAGCAAGACTCTTCTCAAAAAAAAAAAAAAAAAAGAAAACAATAGAGTGTGGTGATTTGGGGTACATGGTGTGAGGGGATGGCAGGATATGAAGGAAAGGGCAATTGAGTAGAGCTCTTAGAGGTAAAACTCACAAAAATATAGGGCCCCATCTGACCTAGTCCACCTGCAATTTTTATTTTTTATTTATTTATTTTTTATGTTTAGAAGAAATACGGACTTTAATGAAGAGTTTTCCTTTTGCTACAAGTGAGACCCGGGGAAACATCCCAACAACGACAAAAGGAGGCCAGGATGGAAACAGCCCACTCTCTCTTATCCACAAGGCCTAAAGAGAAAGCCCGGCTTGCTGTCGTGTGTCCACTCCGGGCCTAGGCAGGGCTGCGCCTGTAAAAGGTACTCAGGAACTGCAGGTTTTGCATTTCCCCTTTGTGAAACTAACATGCATTTGGGCAAACTTCTGCCTCCCAGTCTCGTGGTAAGAGGCCCAAGTTTTTCTAGTCCTAGGTGGAAATCAGTTTCATCTGCCTCAGGTCTCTGGTATAAATAATAATGCTGCTGATCCCAGTTACCTCACAGGCCTGGGCAACGAAAATGCCAAGAGCTGCAAAAGGTCTTGGAAAATTCAAAAAGGTGATGTATAAATTTAATAATTGATTATCATTTTGTGCTCAAGAATAAGCCATGGAAAACAAAATTAGGAAAGTAAGTCTATATCCCTAAAATATATGCATATAAAATTTTAAAAGAATGCAGTTCCAACTCTGCAGATAGTATTCAGGGATGGTCTACTGCTTTAGAGTCTCAATGCCCCTTTTCCCACCTCCACAAAATCCACCTGGGAGAGTTTACTGTACACGAAGCCCAAATTCAGTCACCCCCCACCCCTCCTCTCCCAGAAAGGGAGGCAGGGCAGAGGCTCCAGGAGGAAGGGCTACATTTTGGCTATAGAGTACAATAGGCATGCATCATGGGAGGGCAGGGTTTATGAAATGGATTGAGGGGCTCTGGCCAGGAGGCACTGAGCAAGGGACAGGTCCATCTTCCCCCTGGCTGGGAGGGGGGCTCTGGGACAATCTCTAAGGGTTGCATATCCCCAGGGAGAGGGGATATATGCCATTCTTGTCTCTATTCTCCCAACCCAAACCAGAGAGGGTGCTGAGCAAGGAGAAAACAGGGTCTCAGAAGCCAAGAAGGTGTCGGCATCACTGTCATTGAATTCAGGGACCCATGAACTCTTTTTTTTTTTTTTTTTGAGATGGAATCTCACTCTGTCGTCCAGGCGGGAGTGTAGTGGTACAATCTTGGCTCACTGCAACCTCCACCTCCCGGGTTCAAGCGATTCTCCTGCCTCAGCCTCCTTAGTAACTAGGATTATAGGTGCATGCCACTACACCCAGCTAATTTTGTACTTTTAGTAGAGACGGGTTTTCGCCATGTTGGCCAGACTGGTCTTGAACTCCTGACCTCAAGTGATCCATCCGCCTCGGCCTCCCAAAGTGCTGGGATTACAGGTGTGAGCCACCACATCTGGCACGAACTCTTTGCATAAAATATCTTCAGACCTAGGAGGTGGTCAAAGGCACAAAGTTTAAACATGGGGTGGGGGTTGTGGAGAGGTGTCTGGGGTACCCTGAAGCTCAGAGGTGTGATTTGTTCCCCCTTGCCCAGAAGGGTGACTGCTCCACTGGGCCTATCACCACAGGACATTTTCCATGACAAGCACTCACCTTCTTGGGGAAGGGACATCGGGTTGGCACAGGAAAGGCGTAGGTAAGGGGCCACTCTGTCCATTAATACTTCGGGTGATTAATGTTTGGGGAGAAGCAAGATTCTCCCCCAGGCTTCTGACTCAAACTCTCTCACTTAGCTGGATACTAAACCCAGTGTCCACACTACCCTCAGCTCTGACACAAGGCCAAACCCACAGAACACTCCCAAATGAGGTCCCGAGAGTTAGGGAATAGGGTGGAATCTTCTGGAAGAGGGCGCTGGGGCAGATCACAGTTTCCACTTCACAGGTTGCTGTAGATACAGTTCACTGCCCACAGAGATGATAGGCCAGTGATTGTCCATGTGGTAGCTGATGAGGTGACTGACACTCTCTTTTTTTTTTTGAGACGGAGTCTCGCTCTGTTGCCCAGGCTGGAGTACAGTGGCGTGATCTCGGCTCACTGCAAGCTCCGCCTCCTGGGTTCACACTATTCTCCTGCCTCAGCCTCCTGAGTAGGGACTACGGGCGCCTGCCACCACGCCCAGCTAATTTTTTGTATTTTTAGTAGAGACCGGGTTTCACCGTATTAGCCAGGATGGTCTCGATCTCCTGACCTTGTGATCTGCCTGGCTTGGTCTCCCAAAGTGCTGGGATTGACACTCTCAAAGCAGTGATCCTTTGTCCAAACCAGTCCTTCAGGGTCCACCAATAGCAGGTGCTTAGGCAGCCCACTCTGCAAGCCAGTAAGCACATACTGGCCTTGGTCATGCTCTCCCGCACCAGGAAGTCGCCATGGAGCTGCAGCAATGCCTCAGCCTCTCGCTGGCTCAGCTTCCCGTGGAACCAGGGCTCCCCTTGGAGCTGCTCAGCCATGGAAACCACTGGGGAGGGGGAGGCACCCAAAGAGCATCTTTAAAGGGCTTCATGTCAAAGAGGTCCCAGGGTGCACTGCGATTGATGGCAGGATGGGGGGGCCTAGCACCACCTTCTGCTTGCCGGGCCTTGTCTAGGTTCTGGACGTTGATATAGGGATCATTGAAGAGCTCTCTGCCTGCTGGACAGGGTGGTGGAGGTGGCATCTGTTTGCGGACTTCTGGATCTCCCCCAGCAGGCTATCCCACAGGCAGTGTAGCTCCCAAGTGGCTGGGGGTCCAGACACTGGGTGGAGTGGGTCAAGCAGCCTCTGAAGTGGCTCCTTCCCGAAGCCTCATGTCTACCAACTCCCCAAGAGAAGGTTCCTTCCCAGGGACGTCATTATAGTACTAATGGTCAGGTGGCTCTTCCTCCTCCTCATCCCAAGCTGATCCATCAAAGCCAGCCATCCTGTCTTGGGGGTGAGCAGTTGGGGTGGGTTCGTGAGGTATTGTTTGAAGCACAACTCGAAGGCCTGGCCAATGGTGCTAATGACATCCTGGGAGGGCCTTTGGGACACTCCAGAATGTGGCAGGCTCTCTGATTCACAGGGTCTTTGGCAACGTAGGCAACATCCTCAGCTGTGTCCTGTTTGCAGTCTGCGGCCATGAGGTTGAGGCTGCTGGTGGAGACGGTGAGAGTGATTGGCATTCCAGCAAATTTCAGGTTACTCCTTCCCAGGATAGAGCTGAGCAGGCAGCTACAGGGCTTTCTCTTCCTTGTCACCCCCTTCACACCCAGCACAGCATCACACACCAGACTGATGGCCTGCCTCCCTGCGTGACCTGAGTTGGGTGTTGAAGTCGAGGGCACGCATTGATTGCAGGACCTCCATATAGCCCATGGAAGTGAGCCTGGGCCATTAGCATCCTCTGCTACAACAGCTGTGGATTGGAGCTAGCAAAGTGAGGACAGGAAGGAAGTGGTCCCAGCGGACATAGAGCAGGGCCAAGAGGAAGAGCAAAGCAGGGCCTCATGGAGTCTCCGCACCGCACCACAGGCCGATTTGATTCCAGATCACACCACTGCCTGCTTAGGTCACCACTCCAACTTTCTCCCCTGGCTCTGCCTCCCTAGAGAAACTTTATTACGCTCACTTCCCGCCTCACTAACCCCTGACCCTCTCCCCCTGCAGTTTTTAACTTTCTGAGTTGCTCACATTGAGCCTACAGCAATTTGTCAATTACACTTCAGGTTTTTCTACCCTGGCACTGGTTCCTGTGGAGGTTACTGCTTGTGAGTTTCTGCTCCCATCAACTGTGATTCTCAGGCTGGGCGTGGTGGCTTATGCCTGTAATCCCAGCACTTTGGGAGGCTGAGGCAGGAGTATTGCTTGAGCCCAGTAGTTCAAGACCAGCCTGGACAACATAGGGAGACCCCATCTCTACCAAAAATTGAAAAATTAGCTGGGTGTGGTGGCTCGTGCTTGTAGTCCCAACTATTAGAGAGGCTGAGATGGAAGAATCGCTTGAGCCCAGGTATTTGAGGCTGCAGTGAGCTATCATTTTGCCACTGTACGCCAGACAGAGCAAGAGCCTGTCGAAGAAAAAAAGAAATTGTGATTTTATCTGACTGTCTCACCAATTTAGGGCATAGCAATTTGCTGTGTGACCCCACTTCTCTGATGGATCTAAGAAGGGTTGATTTTTCAGTTTGTTCAGCTTTTTACTTGTTTGAATGTAGAGGTGATTTCCAAGCTCTTTACATGTTAGACTGGAAACTCTTCTTCCTGTTTTTTTTTTTTTTTTTTTTAAGAGATGAAGTCTTGCTATGTTGCCCAGGCTGATCTTGAACCCCTGGGCTTATAATCCCAACTCCAAAGTGTTGGGATTATAGGCGTGAGCCACCTTGCCCAGTTGAAATCCTCTATTTCGTTTTGAGTGAATTTGGCTGTTTGTGTCTTTCACTCTGTTTAAAAAACTATATATGGGTTGGGTGTGGTAGCGCATGCCTATAATCCCAGCACTTTGGAAGGCCAAAGCAACGGGATTGCTTGAGCCCAGGAGTTTGAGACCAGTCTGGGCAACATAGCAAGACCCTCTCTCTACAAAAAAATACAAAAATTAGCCGGGTATAGTGCCCTCATGCCTGTGATCCCAGCTACTCAGGAGGCTGAGGCAGGAGGATCACTGGAACCCAGGAGGTTGAGGCTGCAGTGAGCCATGATTGCTCCACTGCACTCCAGCGTGGATGACAGAGTGAGACCCTGTCTCAAAAGAAAAGAAAAAAGAAAAAAAATTCCCACACAGCACAGATGATAGGATTTTTTTTATCCTGACGTATAGGAACTTTATTTTACTTTTAAATTTATTTAATTAATTATTATTATTATTTTTTGAGGTGGAGTTTTGCTCTTGTTGCCCAGGCTGGAGTGTAGTAGCGCGATCTCAGCTCATTGCAACCTCTGCCTCCCAGGCTCAAGCAATTCTCCTGCCTCAGCCTCCCAAGTAGCTGGGCGCACCACCACGGCCAGCTAATTTTTGTAGTTTTAGTAGAAACAGGGTCTCACCATGTTGGCCAGGCTGGTCTCAAACTCCTGGCCTCAAGCGATCCGCCTGCCTCAGCCTCCCAAAGTGCTGGGATTACAGGAGTGAGCCACCGCGCCCTGCCAATAGGAATTTTACCATTTCGTTTAAGTTGTCAAATGTATGGGTATTTATGTTTGTAGTATTCCTTTGTTATTCTTTTAATGTTTTTAGGGTCTGTAGTGATGTCTTCCATTTCTGTTATTTATAATTTGTGTCTCTTCTCTGTTTTTCTTGGTCAGTCTGACCAAAGGTTTATAAATTTTACTCATTTTTTTTCAGAGAACTAGCTTTTCGTTTCATTGATTTCCTCTACTGTTTGTTCTTAATTTCATTGATTTTTTTTTTTTTTTTTGAGTGACTCACTCAGTTACCCAGGCTGGAGTGCAGTGGTGCTATCTCGGCTCACTGCAAACTCTGTCTCTCAGGTTCAAGCGGCTGTGCCATCTCAGCCTCCCGAGTAGCCAGGACGATAGGTGTGCACCACCATGCCCGGCTAATTTTTGTATTTTTATTAGAGATGGGGTTTCACCATGTTGGCCGGGCTGGTCTCGAACTCCTGACCTCAAGTGACCCACCTGTCTTGGCCTCCCAAAGTGCTGGGATTACAGACCTGAGCCACCAAGCCTGGCCAATTTCATTGATTTCTATTCTATCTTTATTATTTCCTTCCTTTTGTCTGCTTTGGGTTTAATTTGCTCATTTTTTCTAGTTTCTTATAGCAGGAGTTTAGGTTATTGATTTGAGATATTTCTTATTTTCTTTTTCTTTCTTTCTTTCTTTCTTTCTTTTTTTTTTTTTTTTTTTGAGATGGAGTCTCACTCTGTTGACCTCAAATGATCCGCCTGCCTTAGCCTCCCAAAGTGCTGAGATTACAGGCGTGAGCCTGCTCGCCTGGCCTCTTATTTTTTAATCTAGGTATTTAATGCTCTGTTTCCCCCTAAGCACTACTTCATTGCATCTCACAAATTTTGATATGTTTTCATCCTCCTTTAGTTCAAAATATTTCTCAATTTCACTTATGACTTTAGCTTTGGTCTATGGGTTATTTAGAAGTGCATTGTTTTACTTTCCAAATACTTAGGGATTTGTGGCCTGGCGCTGTGGCTCATGCCTGTAATCCCAACACTTTGGGAGGCCAAGGCGAGCAGATCATTTGAGGTCAGGAGTTTGAGAGCAGCCTGGCCAACATGGTAAAACCCCGTTGTCTCTATTAAAAATACAAAAATTAGCTGGTCATAGTGGCACACACCTGTAATCCCAGCTACTTGGGAGGCTGAGGCAGGAGAATTGCTTGAACCCGGGAGGCGGAGGTTGCAGTGAGCCGAGATCGCGCCACTGTACTCCAGCCTGGGCGACAGAGAGAGACTCTATCTCAAAACAAACAGAAACAAATATTTAGGGATTTGCTAGATGTCTTTCTGTTATTGATTTATAATTTAATAATGTTATGAACATAGGCTATGTTTTCTGTGATTTCCATTCCTTTAAATTTGTTAAGGTTTGTGTTTGTGGCCCAGAATGTTGTCTATTTTAAGGTGAATGATCCATGGGCATTTGAAAAGAATATGTATTCTGCTGTAGTTGGGTGGAGTGTACCCTAAAGATAAATTAGGTCAAGTTGGTTGCTGGTGCTATTTAGGTGTTCTATATCCTTCATGATTTTCTGTCCACTAGTTCTATCAATTATTGAGAGAGTAGTGGTAGTTCCTGCCATAATGGTAGATTTATCTGTTTCTCCTTTCAGTTCCATTAGTTTTAACTTCATGTATTTTGAAGTTTTGTTTAAAAAATTATATAAGGGCCAGATGGAATGACTCATGCCTATAATCCCAGCACTCTGGGAGGTCGAGGTGGGAGGATCGCTTGGGCCCAGGAGTTTGAGACCAGCCTACGCAACATAGGAAGACCTTGTCTCTACAAAATTTTATTTTTTAATTGGCTGGGTGTGGTGGTGGGTGCCTGTCGTCCTAGCTACTCCAGAGGCTGAGGTAGGAGGATTACTGGAGCCTGGGGGGTTGAGGCTGCAGTGAGCCATGATTGAGCCACTGTACTCCAGCCTAGGCGACAGAGCGGGACGCTGTCTAAAATTTAAAAAAAATAAAATGCACACACATATATAGACATGCTCTATTTTAAAATATATGTAAGGTAGGCTTGGCGCAGTGGCTCACGCCTGTAATCCCAGCACTTTGGGAGCCTGAGATGGGTGAAATCACTTGAGTCCAAGAGTTCGAGACCAGCCTGGGCAACATGATGAAACCCTACCTCTACCAAAAATACAAAAAATTAGCTGGATGTACTGAAACATGCCTGTAGTCCCAGCTACTAGGGAGGCTGAGGTGGGAAAATCACTTGAGCCCAGGAGGTGGAGGTTGCAGTGAGCCAAGATCGTGCCACTGCACTCCAGCCTGGGAGACAGAGCGAGACCCTGTCTCAAAAAAAAAAAAAAAAAAGGAAAAATATATATGTAAATTAGTGTTCACATATAATAAATCTGGAGGAATATACTCTAAATTATTAACAGTCATTACTGGAGGTTTTTTTGTTTTTTGTTTTGTGTTTTTAGAAACAGCCTCCCACTCTGTCTTACTCTGCTGGAGAGCAGTGGTACCATCATAGCTCACTGCAGCCTCAAAGTCCTGGGCTCAAGTGATCCTCCCACCTTAGCCTCTCGAGTAGCTGGGACTACAGGTGAACACCACCACACCTGGCTAATTTTTAAATTTTTAGTAGACACAAAGTCTCACCATGTTGCCCAGGCTGGTCTTGAACTCCTGACCTCAAGTGATCCTCCTGCCTCGGCCTCCCAAACTGCTGGGATTACAGGCATGCGCCACCACACTTGGCCAAATTACTGGAGATTTTTATTCTGTATGTTAAATCATTCTGTAATTTAAGTGTTTTATACATGTATTATTTTTGAAATCTGAAAATACAAAGATATGTTTTAATGGAAGTAGAGAGATGATTTGATGTGTGTGAGTGTGCATGTGTCCCCCAGCCTGAAAAGCATTTTCTGGTCCATCTTGGGAAAAAGTCAGCTGAGCACTCCTGCTGGGCCCTCAGGCCATAACCCACACCTCCTGCTTCTGCTTCCTCACCCAGCCCTTCCTTCCTTACCTCCTGTCAGCTGGCTCTGGGCCCAGGTACATGGGAAAGAAAACCTTCTGAGGTCACCATGTGGTCTGCCAACCCAGCAGGCTTTCCATGATGTCACTTCACTTTGCTGAGCAAATTTCACCCATTTCTCTTCAGGCTACTTCTCAGATATATTCCATTTCATAGACTCTATTCCTTCAAGATATTCCACCTCTCTCATCACTGGGACAGTTACTGCTTGTCCCTCAGGAGTCAGATCAAATGTCTCTCCCTCCAAGAAGCCCTGCCTTACTCCAGCTCCCTCTGCTCCTGCCACTCCCTGCACAATACTAGTGTTTTCTTTTGTTTTGTTTTTGAGACAAGGTCTCACTCTGTCACCCAGGCTGGAGTGCAGTGGCGCGATCACGGCTCACTGAAGCCTTGACCTCCTGGGCTCAAGTGATCCTCCCACTGCAGCCTCTGGAATACTGAGACTATAGGCGCTTGCCACCACGCCTGGCCACAATTTTTTTTTTTTTTTGAGACAGGGTTTTGCCACATTGCCCAGGCTGGTCTCAAACTCCTGGGCTCAAGGCATCTGCCCACCTCAGCCCCTCCCAAGGTGCTGGGATTACAGGCGTGAGCACCATGGCCAGCCAGTGCTCACTCTTGCTGAACGTCGGGCCCCATGCTGACTGCAGGTCCTATGATAGCATGGGCTATGTCAGCCCGCCTCTGCTACTGACTCACTGACATGCACAGATTCCCAGTTTGCCTCCTTACAGCGAATTCCTCCTGTATGAATTCACTTCCAGGTGAATCACTTTAATCATGTCACTTCCCAGCCCAAGAACCTGCAAGACTCCCTAATGCCTCCTGAATCAAGTCCAAACCCTTCTGGGCAGTTAGGGTTCTTCAAACTTGACCTTGCTTTTTCCATCTTATATGAACCTCTTCTAGAAGGACTCACCTCTGCAGTCAAGACTTCCCTGTGCTGTCGATACACCATTCCCACCTCCCTGCCCTTGGCCAAACCACTCCCCTACCTACCTGGAAGGTACCCCACCCTCCATTCTCCCTGACCCTTGAGAACAAATTGAATTCCTTTCTTTTTGAGACGGAGTTTTGCTCTTGTCGCCCAGGCTGGAGCGCACTGGCACCATCTCATCTCGGCTCACTGCAACCTCCACCTCCCGGGTTCAAGCAATTGTCCTGCCTCAGCCTCCCAAGTAGCTGGGATTACAGGTGCACGCCCCCACACCCGGCTATTTTTTGTATATTTAGTAGAGACAGGGTTTCACCATGTTGGCCAGACTGGTCTCAAACTCCTGACCTCAGGTGATCCGCCCACCTCAGCCTCCCAAAGTGCTGGGATTACAGATGTGAGCCACCGTGCATGCCCCCAACTTGAATTCTATCCAGTGTCCAAAGTCTAGTTCCTCTTCTCCACAAGCATTCTGTCTCTGGACTTCATAAGCTTGATGGCATAGAGGTGTAGAAGGACACCAGGCTCTTGGTCAAACAGCCGTGCATCTGAATCCTACCCTGCCTCTTAGAAGCCGTATGAGCTAGGGTGAGTTCCTTATCTTCTCTGTGCTTCAGTTTCCTTATCAGTAAGATGGGGCTAAAGCCGACCTCACAGGGTTATTGTGAGGAGGAAAAGAGTAAGAACACGGAAAGCACCTGGAACTGTGCCTAGCACATAGTATGTGCTCAATAAATACTGAAAGCTACTTCTTCAGCCCATTCTGCTCTCTGCCCTCTCAATTTCCACAGCTCATGTCCCTGCAGCCTGCCAGCCCTGGGTCACATCCTGTCACACAGCCCTAGAACTGTTCCATATGGTCAGCAAAACTGAGAACCCAGACCCCTCATATACAAAGAGACAGAAACAAACCTCTCAAATATGACACACCTTGTTAGCAGTGATCAGAGGAGAAAAGGGTTTATTACCCAGTCCCGGAGTGACACCATCCCCCACCCAACAACTCTCAACAACTTGATAGGGCCCAAAGAGGGAAGGGGCCTAGAAGACTGAGAGCAAAAGAGAAAGGTGAGGCTGGCCAGGCACAGTGGCTCATGCCTGTAATCCCAGCACTTTGGGAGGTCCAGGCGGGCAGATCACCTGAGGTCAGGAGTTTGCCAGCCTGGCCAACATGGTGAAACTGTATCTCTACTAAAAATACGAGAATTAAACTGGCATGGTGGCGGGCGCCTGTATTCCCAGCTACTTGGGAGGCTGAGGTAGGAGAATCGCTTGAACCCGGAAGGTGGAGGTTGCGGTGAGCCGAGACCCTGCCACCATGCTGTTGCACTCCAGCCTGGGTGACAAGAGCCAAACTCCATCTCAAAAAAAAAAACAA
This sequence comes from Homo sapiens, assembly GCF_000001405.40. Lineage (NCBI taxonomy): Eukaryota > Metazoa > Chordata > Mammalia > Primates > Hominidae > Homo > Homo sapiens. The sequence continues at coordinate 44,237,354 of NC_000017.11, forward strand.
AAAAAACGAGAAAGGTGAGACCTTTAAGAGATGATAGGAGCCCCTCTCCCTCTCCCTCTCCCTCTCCCTCCTCTCCCTCTCCCTCTCTTTCCACGGTCTCCCTCTCATGCCGAGCCGAAGCTGGACTGTGCTGCTGCCATCTCGGCTCACTGCAACCTCCCTGCCTGATTCTCCTGCCTCAGCCTGCCGAGTGCCTGCGATCGCAGGCGCGCGCCGCCACGCCTGACGGGTTTTCGTATTTTTTTGGTGGAGACGGGGTTTCGCTGTGTTGGCCGGGCTGGTCTCCAGCTCCTAACCGCGAGTGATCCGCCAGCCTCGGCCTCCCGAGGTGCCGGGATTGCAGACGGAGTCTCGTTAACTCAGTGCTCAACGGTGCCCAGGCTGGAGTGCAGTGGCGTGATCTCGGCTACAACCTCCACCTCCCAGCCGCCTGCCTTGGCCCCCCAAAGTGCCGAGATTGCAGCCTCTGCCCGGCCGCTACCCCGTCTGGGAAGTGAGGAGCGTCTCTGCCTGGCCGCGCATAGTCTGGGATGTGAGGAGCCCCTCTGCCTGGCTGCCCAGTCTGGAAAGTGAGGAGAGTCTCTTCCCGGCCACCATCCCATCTAGGAAGTGAGGAGCGTCTCTGCCCGGCCGCCCATCCTCTGAGATGTGGGGAGCGCCTCTGCCCCGCCGCCCCGTCTGGGATGTGAGGAGCACCTCGGCCCGGCCGCGACCCCGTCTGGGAGGTGAGGAGCGTCTCTGCCCGGCCACCCCGTCTGAGAAGTGAGGAGACCCTCCACCTGGCAACTGCCCCATCTGAGAAGTGAGGAGCTCCTCCGCCCGGCTGCCACCCCGTCTGGGAAGTGAGGAGCGTCTCCGCCCGGCAGCCACCCCGTCCGGAAGGGAGGTGGGGGTCAGCCCCCGCCAGGCCAGCCGCCCCGTCCGGGAGGGAGGTGGGGGGTCAGCCCCCCACCCGGCCAGCCACCCCGTCCGGGAGGTGAGGGCGCCTCTGCCCGGCCGCCCCTACTGGGAAGTGAGGAGCCCCTCTGCTCGGCCAGCCGCCCCATCCGGGAGGGAGGTGGGGGAGTCAGCCCCCCGCCCGGCCAGCCGCCCCGTCCGGGAGGGAGGTGGGGGGGTCAGCCCCCCGCCCGGCCAGCCGCCCCGTCCGGGAGGGAGGTGGGGGGGTCAGCCCCCCGCCCAGCCAGCCGCCCCGTCCGGGAGGTGAGGGGCGCCTCTGCCCGGCCGCCCCTACTGGGAAGCGAGGAGCCCCTCTGCCCGGCCAGCCGCCCCGTCCGGGAGGGAGGTGAGGGGATCAGCCCCCCGCCCAGCCAGCCGCCCTGTCTGGGAGGTGAGGGGCGCCTCTGCCCGGCCGCCCCTACTGGGAAGTGAGGAGCCCCTCTGCCCGGCCAGCCGCCACGTCCGGGAGGGAGGTGGGGGGGGGTCAGCCCCCCCGCCTGGCCAGCCGCCCCGTCCGGGAGGGAGGTGGGGGGGTCAGCCCCCCGCCCGGCCAGCCACCCCGTCCGGGAGGGAGGTGGGGGGGTCAGCCCCCCGCCCGGCCAGCCGCCCCGTCTGGGAGGGAGGTGGGGGGGTCAGCCCCCCGCCAGGCGAGACGCCTCGTCCGGGAGGGAGGTGGGGGGTCAGCCCCCTGCCCGGCCAGCCGCCCCGTCCGGGAGGTGAGGGGCGCCTCTGCCCGGCCGCCCCTACTGGGAAGTGAGGAGCCCCTCTGCCCGGCCACCACCCCGTCTGGGAGGTGTACCCAACAGCTCATTGAGAACGGGCCATGATGACAATGGCGGTTTTGTGGAATAGAAAAGGGGGAAAGGTGGGGAAAAGATTGAGAAATCGGATAGTTGCTGTGTCTGTGTAGAAAGAAGTAGACATGGGAGACTTTTCATTTTGTTCTGTACTAAGAAAAATTCTTCTGCCTTGGGATCCTGTTGATCTATGACCTTACCCCCAACCCTGTGCTCTCTGAAACATGTGCTGTGTCCACTCAGGGTTAAATGGATTAAGGGCGGTGCAAGATGTGCTTTGTTAAACAGATGCTTGAAGGCAGCATGCTCGTTAAGAGTCATCACCACTCCCTAATCTCAAGTACCCAGGGACACACACACTCTGCCTAGGAAAACCAGAGACCTTTGTTCACTTGTTTATCTGCTGACCTTCCCTCCACTATTGTCCTATGACCCTGCCAAATCCCCCTCTGCGAGAAACACCCAAGAATGATCAATAAAAAATAAATAAATAAATAAATAAATAAATAAATAAAAAGAGATGATAGGAGCCGGGTGTGGTGGCTCACGGCTATAATCCCAGCACTTTGGGAGGCCGAGGCAGGCGGATCACAAGGTCAGGAGTTCCAGGCCAGCCTGGCCAATATGGTGAAACCCCGTCTCTACTAAAAATACAAAAATTAGCTGGGCGTGGTGGTGGGCACCTGTAGTCCCAGCTACTCAGGAGGCTGAAGCAGGAGAATTGCTTGAACCCAGGAGGCGGAGATTGCAGTGAGCTGAGATAGCGCCACTGCACTCCAGCCTGGGCGACAGAGCGAGAGATGATAGGGATCTTGAGGGCCGCCCTCATGAATGGATTAATTCATTCATAATTAATGGTTAGAGGGGAACTGATAGCTTTATAAGAAGATAAACCTGAATTAGCATGTTAGCAAGCGCAGTCCCCTGACCATGTGATGTGATGCCCTGCATGGCCACAGGGCACCACAGAGAGTTTCCAAGTTCCAGGCTCTGCCTCTCTCCAACAAAGAGGAGTGGGGTTCCTATCCCTGGTTCTTACTCTTCAAGACCTCTCCCAAGTTTCCAACCCCACCCTGGCCTCAACATTGGACTTAGGGTGCAGTCTTCCCATAAACTGCTAGGAACAGGGGGGTCGGGTGTAGGTGGGAGGAGGAAAGAAATGCTCAACCTAAAGTCTCTGCTTCTGGGATCTTCCACTCAGCTGGGAGAGATTAGACGTGCATAAGCAACAAAAATGAAAATAGACAGTGCTGCACAACTTTAAGAATAAATATAGGCCTGCCTGGTGGCTCACTCCTGTAGTTCCAGAACTTTGGGAGGCTGAGGTAGGAGGATCGCTTGAGCTCAGGAGTTTGAGATCTGCCTGGGCAACATGGTGAGACTCCATCTCTATAAAAAATACAAAATTTAGCCAGGCGTGGTGGTGTGTGCCTATAGTCCCAGCTACTCAGGAGGCTGAAGTGGGAGGATCCCTTTAGCGTGGGAGGTAGAGGTTGCAATGAGCCGAGATCACACCATTGCATTCCGGCCTGGGCAAGAGAGCGACAGAGTGAGATACTTTCAAAAAAAAAGAATAAATATAAACCTAGGGCTTGGGAGACCAGTAGTGGGAGCCCTCATGGACATAAAGGATAAAGGAAGAGGTAGCATTCCAGCCTCAGCCTTTGGACTTGTTAGGGTAGATGGTCTTTCTCATTAAAATAAGACCAGGCACGGTGGCTCATGCCTGTAATCCCAGCACTTTGGGAGGCCAGGGTGGGTGGATCACTTGAGGTCAGGTGTTCGTGACCAGCCTGGCCAACATGGTGAAAGCCTGTCTCTACTAAAAAAAAATACAAAAATTAGCCGGGTATGGTGGCGGTCGCCTGTAGTCCCAGCTACTTGGGAGGCTGAAGCATGAGAATTGCTTGAACCTGGGAAATGGAGGTTGCAGTGAGCTGAGATCGCACCTCTGCACTCCAGTCTGGGCGACAGAGCGAAACTGTTAAAAAAAAAAAAAAAAAAAGATGTGCCAACAACATTAAAAACATTCAAGCAATCTCAATTAAATTTCCAATTGAATTTTTTGGAAGACTACAATAAGCGTAAGAATAAGGCCCTCATTATAGCTAAATTATCTTTATGAAAAAGAGAGGCGTTTGGTTGGAGACATTTTAGTCTGCTTTGAATATCCCTGGCTTCTTCCCGTTTTGGGGCCTCTTTGAAGTTAGGCAGGGCCACATGACTAGTTCTGGTCAATGGGCTGTAAGCACAGTGACTTTGTCATTGCCCAGCTCAGGCATTTAAGAGCTTGTGTGAATCCTCCAGCCCTTTCTTCTTCTGCCAAAGTGACCTGGAAGTCATATATTTCAGTTTCGCCACAGATATAATCAGCTTGGATTCATGAACCCCGCATGAAGGAAGCTGCCACGGAGAAATGCAGTGGATCTTGTGTAAGTGGGAGATAAAGATTCATGGATTAAGCCACTGAGATTTGGGGTTATTGCCACAAGATAATCTACTCTATCCTAATACAAGGAGGACTTGGTCTACCAGATATTAAGGCATTCTCTAAAACTTTAATAATAAAGAGCCGTGAAATAGTCTGAAGAAACACAATGGAGAAGACAGAGACAGGACTCCATATATGAGATCTTTTTTTTTTTGAGAAGGAGTTTTGCTCTTGTTGCCCAGGCTGGAGTGCAATGGTGTGATCTTGGCTCACTGCAACCTCTGCCTCCCGGGTTCAAGTGATTCTCCTGCCTCAGCCTCCTGAGTAGCTGGGACTACAGGTGCCCGCCATCACACCCAGCTAATTTTTGTATTTTTAGTAGAGACGGGGTTTCACCATATTGACCAGGCTGGTCTCGAGTTCCTGACCTCGTGATCCGCCCGCCTCGGCCTCCCAAAGTGGTGGAATTACAGGCGTGAGCCACCGCGACCGGAGAGATGTAGGGCTTTTTTTTTTTTTTTTTTTTTTTTGGTGGGGGAGGGAGTTTCGCTCTTGTTGCCCAGGCTGGAGTGCAGTGGCGCTATCTTGGCTCACCGCAACCTCCGCCTCCCCGGTTCAAGCGATTCTCCTGCCTCAGCCTCCCGAATAACTGGGATTACAGGCATGCACCACCACGCCCAGCTAATTATATATATATATTTTGTTTGTCTGTTTGTTTGTTTGTTTTGAGACAGAGTCTCGCTCTGTCACCCAGGCTGTAGTGCAGTGGCACGATCTCGGCTCACTGAAAGCTCTGCCTCCTGGGTTCACGCCATTCTCTTGCCTCAGCCTCCCGAGTAGCTGGGACTACAGGCGCCTGCCACCACGCCCCCTACCACCACGCCCCGCTAATTTTTTGTATTTTTAGTAGAGACGGGGTTTCACCGTGTTAGCCAGGATGGTCTCAATCTCCTGACGTCGTGATCCGCCTGCCTTGGCCTCCCAAAGTGCTGGGATTACAGGCGTGAGCCACTGCGCCTGGCCTAATTTTGTATTTTTAGTAGATACGGGGTTTCTCCATGTCGGTCAGGCTGGTCTTGAACTTCCGACCTCAGGTGATCTGCCCACCTCGGCCTCCCAAAGTTCTGGATTACAGGCATGAGCCATTGCCCCAGCCAAGAGGTAGGGCTCTTAAGAGATGATTGGGTCATGAAGGCTCTGCCTTCATGAATGGACTGATCCATTCATGGATTAATGAATTAATGGATTAATGGATTAGTGAGTTATCATGGGAGGGGAACTGGTGGCTTTGTCAAAAAAGAAAGGCCAGGCGTGGTGGCTCATGCCTGTAATCCCCAGCACTTTGGGAGGCCAAGGTGGGAGGATCGCTTGAGCCAAGGAGTTGGAGAGCAGCCTGGGCAACATGGCAAGACCCTATCTTTACAAAAAAATTTTAGTTGGGCATGGTGGCACGTGCCTGTGGTCCCAGCTACCAGGGAGGCTGAGGCGGGAGGATCCCTTGAGCCTGGGAGGTGAAGGCTGCGATGAGCTGTGATTGTGCCACTGTACTCCAGCCTGGGTGAGAGTGAGATCCCATCTCAAAAAAAAAAAAAAAAAAAAAAAAAAAAAAGAAAAGAAAAAGAAACGAAAAAAAAAAAGAGGAACCAACAGATCAAGATCTAGAACATAATGCTGATTATGTATAGAAATACACACACGTGACAAACCAAGTGTAAAGGTACATTTTGAGACAATTTAGATATGTTGGTTATGGATTAGATATGAGATGATATGAAGGTATTACTGCTAATTTTGTTGGGTGTGATAGCATTGTGGTTAGGTTCAATGATGGGGGCATGCATAGCTAAAGAATATAGGGGTGAGGCCGGGTGCGGTGGCTAATGCCTGTAATCCAGCCCTTCGGGAGGCCGAGGTGGGTGGATCACAAGGTCAGGAGATCGAGACCATCCTGGCTAACACGGTGAAACCCTGTCTCTACTAAAAATACAAAAAATTAGCTGGGCGTGGTGGTGAGCGCCTGTAGTCCCAGCTACTCGGGAGGCTGAGGCAGGAGAATGGTGTGAACCTGGGAGGCAGAGCTTGCAGTGAGCCAAGATCATGCCACTGTACTCCAGCCTGGGCAACAGAGCGAGACTGTCTCCAAAAAAAAAAAAAAAAAAAAAAAAAAACAATATAGGGGTGAAATGGCATCAAGTATGGGATTTAAAGTATTTCAGCAAAGGATAAAAAGAGGAAGATAAAGCAAATGTATTATTTTCGGCAAAGATTTAAGCAAGATTTCAAGGCGTAATTTTGATAATTTTTGTTTTTATTTTATCATTATTATTATTATTATTATTTTTGACAGAGTCTCACTCTGTCGCCCAGGATGGAGTGCAGTGGTGCCATCTTGGCTCACTTGCCTCCTGGGTTCAAGGGATTCTCCTGCCTCAGCCTCCCGAGTAGCTGGGATTACGGGCACATGCAACCACACCCAACTAATTTTTTTTTTTTTTTTTTGAGACAGAGTCTTGCTCTGTCGCCCAGGCCAGAGTGCAATGGCACGATCTCGGCTCACTGCAACCTCTGACTCCCGGGTTCAAGCGATTCTCCTGCCTCAGCCTCCCGAGTAGCTGGGACTACAGGCACGTGCCACCACACCCAGCTAATTTTTGTATTTTTAGTAGAGGTGGGGTTTCACCATGCTGGCCAGATGGTCTTGATCTCTTGACCTTGTGATCCGCCTGCCTCGGCCTCCCAAAGTGCTGGGATTACAGGCGTGAGCCACCGTGCCCCGCCTAATTTTTGTGTTTTTTAGTAGAGACGGGGTTTTGCCAGTTTGGCCAGGCTGGTCTTGAATTCCTGACCTCAAGTGATCCTCCCGCCTCAGCCTCCCAAAGTGCTGGGATTACAGTGTGAGCCACCGCGCCCGACCTATTTTAGTATTATTTTTTAAGAGAATAAGTTTGGCTCTGTTGTCCAGGCTGGCATGCAGTGGCATGATCTTAGCCTTGAACTCCTGGGCTCAAGCGATCCTCCCCCCTCAACCTCCCACAGTGCTGGGATTACAGACATTAGCCACCATGCCCAGCTGATAATTTCTGAATTTGACAAATGAGTATATTGGGATTCATTCTCTACTTTTGTGTATAAAAATTTTCATAATAAAATTTAAAACAACAACAGTGACACATATTTTCAAGAACCCATTCATATAAAAAGAAACAAATTAAACAAGTTAGAATGGTTGCTGTGGAGGGGGAAGAACATAGGAGTAGGGAATGAAGACAAAAGAGAAGGAGCAGGCCGGGTGTGGTGGCTCACTCCTGTAATCCAGGCACTTTGGGAGAACGAGGCAGGAGGATCACTTGAGGTAAGTCAGGAGTTCGAGACCAGCCTAGGCAACATGGTGAAAACCCATCTGTACTAAAAAATGCAAAAATTAGCCCGGCATGGTGGCAGGCGCCTGTGATCCCAGTTTCTCAGGAGGCTGAGGCAGGAGAATCACTTAAACCCAGGAGGCAGAGGTTGCAGTGAGCCAAGATCATGCCACTGCACTCCAGCCTGGGTGATAGAGCAAGACTCTGTCTCAAAAAAAAAAAAAAAAAAAAAAAAGAAAGAGGGCTGGGCACGGTGGCTCATGCCTGTAATCCCAGCACTTTGGGAGGCCGAGGTGGGCAGATCACGAGGTCAGGAGATCAAGACCATCTGGCTAACACGGTAAAACCCCGTCTCTACTAAAAATACAAAAAATTAGCCGGGTGTGGGTGCGGGTGCCTGTAGTCCCAGCTACTCAGGAGGCTGAGGCAGGAGAATGGCATGAATCTGGGAAGTGGAGCTTGCAGTGAGCTGAGACCGTGCCACTGCACTCCAGCCTGGGCAGCAGAGCGAGACTCCGTCTCAAAAAAAAAAAAAAAAAAAGGATGAAGAAAAGAAGAAATGAGAAAAGAAGGAACGGAAACAAGAACAGTTGATGATAACCTGCCCTGACCTCAGGAGGATGACTAATTTAACCCTCTGCACCTAAAGTCCACAAGAAGGAGAAAAATAAAATGATATCTCCTATAACTCTACCATGGTGGCATTTTAACTTTCTGTCTAAGCCTCGAACCCTCACTCCTGTGCACCCTACTGTATGTTTCTATGTGGCTGTCACCATGAGGAACACATCACTATGAATTTTTGCCTGCGAAAATGCAGCACTGGGCCGGGACTTCTGGATATATGATATCATTTTATCCTCTTAACAACATTGTGAGGTGAGTATCATTATCTCTATTTTACAGATGCCTTTAACCTCAGAGATCAGGCTATTCAGCCAACTCCTACTACTAATAAATCACAAAGCTGGCACTTTGGGAGGCCAAGGTGGGATGATTGCTTGAGGCCAGGAATTCAAAACCAGCCTAGGCAACATAATGAGACCTCATCTATACAAAACAAAATGAAAAAACAAATCACAAAGCTGGTATTCCAAACACCTTGGCCTCAAAGGCCCAGGGTCATGTGATGCCATTAAGTTGATCCAATAGCTTCCTCATAATTATTAAGGTCTGCCTAGTGGTCCATTCTATTGATGGAGGGTAATTTACTGTAATTTACTAACTGCTGTCCTATTTCTGAGTATTTGGGCTCTTTCTAGCTTTCTGCTCACATAGATAGTCCTCTAAATTATCTTCAGGCCCAGAGCTTTTTGAGTCTGTTGAATTACTTCCTTATCAGGGTGGGGTTCCTTTGTGTTCACACACAAATGTTGACCTCATTACAGTAGTTCATTCTCGTTGACATGGTTTTCACAAAAGAGTTGAATGGACAAGCAGGAGTTAAAACCCAGAGACTGGCCAGGTGCGGTGCCTCACGCCTGTAATCCCAGCACCGTGGGAGGCCCAGGCGGATGGATCACGTGAGGTCAGGAGTTCCGGACCAGCCTGGCCAACATGGTGAAACCCCGTCTCTAATAAAAGTACAAAAATTAACCACGGTGGTGGCTTGAGCCTGTAATCCCAGCTACTCGGGAGGCTGAGGCAGGAGAATCTCTTGAACCCAGGAGGTGGAGGTTGCAGTGAGCTGAGATCGTGCCGCTGCACTCCAGCCTGGGCCACAAGAGTGAAACACCGTCTCAAAAAAAAAAAAAAAAAAAAGAAAACTCCCCAAAAAACCCAGAGACTGTGTGTGTGTGTGTGTGTGTGTGTGTGTGTGTGTGTCTGTGTGTCTGTGTGTTGGGGGATGGGGGATCATGTGAGGTACAGGAAGTTGGGGTAGTGTGAGGCCTCCGGCCAGGCAGGAAGTCAGTCTGGGGGGATTCCTGTGTCCCCCACATTTCCCTAATGCCTTCCTGGCCCAAGCTGTTTGGGGTCTGAGGTGCAACAAGGGGAATTAGGCAGGCTGTGGTCCAGCCACTCTCTCTTTGCCCTGATACCCCGCCCCTACCCCAGGCCCCCTCTACTCCCTCAAGAAGGCCTCCGAATCTTCTCTAAGGGTGGGAGGAGTGGGATGGATGAGCAGAAACCTGAAGTCTGCACACCCTCGCTCTGCTCCCTGGCTCTCTGTTCTTAAGGCCCAGCTTCCCGTGCTGGACATCACCTGGGGATCTGGTTAAAATGCAGATTCTTATTTCTCAACTCTGGGGCAGGGCCTGAGCTCCTAGATTACTGGCAAGCTCCCTAGAAATGGCACTGCTGCTGGTCCCAGAGCCCCACTGTGTAGCAATGCCCTAGGGATTCTGGCCAGGGTCCCAGCCTCCCCTGCTGCCCAAGCTCCAGGTAGTGTTTCAGAATTGCAATTAAAAACATGGAGAGGGGCTTAACCCTTGGCAGGGGCAGGAAGTGGTCCCCCAAATTGAGGCAGCATTTATTCCCCTAAGTCCAGATATGATGAGCTGGAAAAGGATGGAAAGGATCCTTTTCCAGGCGATGGAAAGGATCTACCAGGAAGAATTAGCCCAGTAGAAAACGGAGACCCAGAGAGGGGACTGGCTTTTCCCAGGTTGCACAGCCAGCCTGTGGAAGAGGCCTGGGGATGCCGGTGGCCTGAGCTCTCTTCAGGCTTGTCTCATAGCCTGACTTCTGGGTACATGGACGTGGGGAATGGAGGGTCTGGCAAGCCCTGGGGACAGGGCCAGGGCTGTGGGGATCTGCAGCTGCTGTGTGTGGGAGGTGGACGCTGGGACGGCTCTCCCCTGGCAGAGTTAGCTCTCTGACCCTTTGGCAGCTGCCCTGGCTAGCCTGGGAGGGGTCAGCTGGGGATAGGCAGTAAATATAGATCTAGGGCAGGAAGCCAGGCGGCCCAGCCCTGCACTGACCTCTCGTTGGAAGTCTAGGGAGGGCAGATGTCCAGTCCTGGAACCCTCCTCTCCCGGGGTGGGGGACACCTAGCCCAGCAACACCCTAGAATTGCTGGAAGTGGTTGGGGGTAGGGGACAGAGCCTCCAAAGGGGACCAGGATGAGGGTAAGCAGAAAGCTGGCCAGGAGACGCTGTGCCTGTGTGGCCATGTGCCCTCTCTGGGCCTCTGTTTTCTTCTCTGGTCATCTCTGTCAAAGGTGCTGTCCAGCTTCCCGGTAAGGGGTCCACTGATCTAAAGGGAATTGGGGGCTCACAAGTATAAGGAGCAGGGGGCAAGGTCCCCTTACAGTCCCTCCTCCCACCCCCACAGGTCTTGCTTATTCAGGAGAGGAAGGAGTCTCAGAGCATAATCTCATCTCTTGCTCCCTACCCACTCTCTGGGTGCTGGCCTCCCACCCTAGGGCTCAGGGTCACACCTCAGCCTGGCTCCCCTTGCTGCATAGATGCAGCCCTGTGCCAGGCCCGTGCCACACACACCATGCCCACCTAGTTCAGCCAAGACCCCCGGGACCCCCGACTCTGGGAACGGGAATTCAGGCAAGGCAGCCACTCCAACACAGATACGTTTATTGGCAAAACCTATTCCCAGGCATCAAGGGGAAGGGTGCTAGCAGAGTGAATAATTTTTGTTTTTCACTTTCCTTGGCCATGTTCAAGGAGCAAGGGGAGGGGGAGACAGGGACATCCCAGTCAAGATAAGGAGGATCCCAGCAGCTCCCCTCCGAGGTTGGGCTCTTCACCAACCAAGGCCTTTTCTTGCACTGTCTCCTTTAATCCTTATAACAACACTGCAAGGTAGGTACCATTATCATCCCCATTTTACAGACGAGGAAACTGAACTGTAGCATGGGCGAAGTGGTGAAAGGTGGGTGTCAGCTTTCAGGGACAGGAGAGCCTCCCATGGACTGAGCTAGCCTGGGAGGTACAAATAATGTTACTCTATGTTGGGCTGGAACCCCACCACACACACATGTTGAGTCTGTGGCCCCCAAGGCTGATGTTTCCTTCCGTTTTTTTTTTTTTTTTTTTTTTTTTTTTGAGACAGGGTCTCGCTCTGTTGCCCAGGCTGGAGTGCAGTGGTGCAATCTTGGCTCACTGCAACCTCCACCTCCTGGGTTCAGGTGATTCTCTTGCCTCAGCCTTCTAAGTAGCTGGGATTACAGGTGCCTGCCACGAGACACCCAGCTAATTTTTGTATTTTTAGTAGTAACGGGGTTTCACCATGTTGGCCAGGCTGGTCTCAAACTCCTGACCTCAAATGATCCGCCCAACTTGGCCTCCCAAAGTGCTGGGATTACAAACGTGAGCCACTGCGCCCAGCCACCTCCTCTCTTTTCTACCACTTCCTGATTCTGTTTCCTCCATCTCTCACCACTTTCACGTCTTTCAACTCTTTTTATCTTTTTGTTTTATAAAAAAATAAATTTGCCCATGTTCTTGGAGAGCCTGCTGTCTCCTACCCCAATTGGTCAGATCTGGGTTCTCCCCAAGATTCAGTTTAGATGGAGTTGAGGATAATGGCTCTCAAATGAGGGGCCTGAAGTTGTGTGTGAAGCCAAACTATGTTGAAAACTCTTAGAAAATACGCAATTAATAAATTACAAACCCCCTCACTCTCCCGCCCCTACCTTCCCACCCTCCCCCACTCCCTATCCAAATGTAGAATCAACTGTACCTTGCCCCCCACCCCCACCCCAGGGCAGGGCTTGTCTCAGTCCCCTCGGAGTCCACTGATTCCGGGGCCCTCAGTAAATGTTTGTGGAATGAATGAATGAGTGAACTAATGAGTGTTTGGAGGGAGGAACCAAACACTTAGGAGGCCTGAGTCCCAGGCCCAATCCCTGGATCATCCTTGCCTGTACCTTGTCCTCACCAGGACGCCTCTCTCTGGGCCCAGAGAAGAGGGTCTCAAGGTAGGGGCTGGGAGCAGAGTGGGGAAGGGAGGAGTCACAGGGGAAGGGAAAGTGGACGCATGACTGACAGAGGACAGAGCTCGGACCTTGAAATCAGAAGGCCTGGTTCAAATCCCAGCTGCACGGCTCAGTTCAAATCCCAGCTATGTGACCTTGGGTACGTTCAAAGACAAATGATGACTGCTATAGAACAGTCCCTGTGGAGTTTACAAAGCCCTATTTTACATGTATCTTTGGTCCTCAGTAACCATCCTGTAATGTGGGTATTATCATCAATATACCCATTTTACAGAAGAGGAAATATAGGCTGGAAAGGTCAAGGGACTTGCCCAAGGTCACACAGCAAGCACCCCACCCGCTCACCCACCTCCTGCCTTTGCTTCTACCCCTGCCTGTGCTGGGAAGAGGGAGGGCTCAGATCTAAGTCTTCCAGCACGGGATCCCCAGTGAAAGTGTGGCAACAGGAGGGACTGTGCAACAAACCCCCTAATGTGGGCCCCATCGGCCATCCCCAGCCAGAAAAGCCAGGCTACCCTTTGTGGAAGGTCTCCTGGACACGCCTTCCTTCCCCACCCACAGCCCTGGGGCCTCAGCTGCTGCTCCAGGAGGATCCTGGAGTCCATGAGGTGCCCATGAACTTCTGCTTTTCCTTGGAAGGTGGGGATGTGGAATGGTGGGGGAGGGTCTAGGGCCTGGGCCCGCCCCTCACACAGGCATGGCCACTTCGTCGTATTCATCCCGACCTTCCTCCTCATCAAAGGTTGCCTTGGCATCATCAGCATCCAGCTGGAGGGGAGGGACAGGAGAGAGACAGGGTGAGAGACCCTGGGGCCAGAAGAGCCCTCCCCGGGCACGAAAGGCACCTCTGGAGTTAGGAGAGGGTCTGGCTGTCTTGAACCTTGGACCAGTCCTGTTTTATCTCCCCAGCAGCTAGGACTGGCCTAAATGAGTCGTTGTCAAAGTGAGAGGCAACCCCGGGGATGTGGACCCTGGCAGGGGAGGGCCTGCAGAGGGTGAGCAGGGGACCTTTTCACCAAGGCGGCCCCACAGTGACCTGAGTCACCCTGTGGAAGAATCCTATTAGAGGAGTGACTCTGTCCCAAATGACTCGGAAGACGGCAGGACTTGCTGCTTAGGGGTCCAGCTCACTCACAGCACACCCTGTCTGCCTCTTGACGCTCTCCCCAGTCGTGCCATCATTTCCCCCTTTACAGGTGAGCAAAATGAAGACACAGAGAAACAAGGCCCCGTGCTCCAGATCATATGCTAGGACACAGCAGGCCAGAACCTGGACACCAGCCCTAGCCCCAGACTTTACCCATGACTCTGTCCTGCCTGCCCTAGTTCTGAGACGCGCCCCTCGCATGCTCCCAGCTCTTGTGCCCCAGGCCCAGGCAGCCACTCACACACTGAAGCTCCACGTTCCTGAAGATGAGCGGCAGCAGGACGCGCCGCAGCGGCACAGTGAGGATGAGGACGAAGGGCAGGGCCAGGGAGGCCGGCGTGGACTTCACCACCCACAGCACTGCCAGGCAGATGATCTGGATGCCCGTGAATAAGTGCATGCGCCAGGTCTTCACCTGCAGGCGGAGGCTGGGGTCAGTGCCTATCACACCCCAGCACCCTCTACCACCCCAGGCTGGGCAGCCAGAAAAGGGTCCTGTACCCGCTTGACGTAGGGCACATCTGGGTGATACTTGGGTGGCTTGAACAGAAGCAAGATGCGGTCAAAGAGCTGGATGCCGCTGAGCGACGTGACCCCCATGTAGAGGAAGATGCCAAACAGTACAGCCAGGGGGATGCGGGACAGGATGGGCTCCATGAGGATGGACAGGCCTGTGGGGGAGCCGCACACTCTCAGCCCAGGTTGCCCGAGGCCTGGCACCAGTGGGGGGTCAGGCCCCTATCTGGGGCTGGGAATAAAACACAGGCACCATATGGAGCCATTTCTTTTTTCCTTTTCTTTTCTTTTTTTTTTTTTTTTTTTGTTTTTTTTTTTGAGACAGGATCTCGCTCTGTCACCCAAGCCAGAGTGCAGTAGTGTGATCTCGGCTCACAACAGACTTAACCTCCTGATCCCAAGTGATCCTCCCGCTTCAGTGTCCCTAGTTGCTGGAACTACAGGCACATACAACCACACCTGGATCATTTTTTTTTTTTTTAATTTTTAGTAGAGACAAGGTCTCACTATGTTGCCCAGGCTAGTCTTGAACTCCTGGGCTCAAGTGATTCTCCTGCCTTGGCCTCCCAAAGTGTTGAGATCCCACGCCTGGCCTGGAGCTATTCCTATGGGTCTTTTTTTTTTTTTTTTTTTTTTTTTTGAGGCGGAGTCTCACTCTGTTGCCCAGGCTGGAGTGCAGTGGTGCAATCTCAGCTCACTTCAACCTCCGCCTCCTGGGTTCAAGCAATTCTCCTGCCTCAGCCTCCCAAGTAGCTGGGATTATAGGCGTGCGACACCACGCCCAGCTGATTTTGTAATTTTAGTAGAGACGTGGTTTCACCATGTTGGACAGGGTGACCCACCTGCCTCAGTCTCCCAAAGTGCTGGGATTACAGGCGTGAGCCACAACCCCCGGCCTCTATCGGTCCTTTTTATAGGTATTACCCCAATTTTACAGATGAGGAAACAGGCTCAGAGAGGTAAACAACCTGCCTAAGGCCACACAGCTGGCAAGGAGTCAAAGCCCTGCCTGCCTGACTTAAGCCCACTCCCTTAACCTAATGAGGGTCACAGAGGTCAAACACACACACCTTTCTCCTCACCCCAGCCCAGAATGCCATCAACTGCCTCCTTTAAGAATTTTCCCTGACCTCTCCATCTGCAACCATGGCACTGCCCACACCGAACCCAGCTCGACTCTTGGCTGCTCCAGAACTGAAATCAACCCCAGTGACCCTTCTTTCTTCTCCCCCACATCCCTGGACTATGGCTAGAGCACCGCCCCTTGTATCAGTCATGGAGCAGCTGAGCTGGAAGAGAACTGGGGGACATCTGTTGAACCCTCCAACTGTGCAGACAGGGAAACTGAGACCCAGAGACAAGGAGGGATACTGGGTTAGCAGCAGGGCAGGGCTAGAACCCACAGTTCACTGGACTTCTGTTGGGTAAGTCAGAAGGTGGGGTCTGGTCTGGAGAAGGCCTCGGAGTGGAGCCCCCTTCCTCCCTGCTCAGACGCCCAGCCCAGTGCCTTGGCCTTTCCTCCAGGATCCCCTCGTGTGAGTAGGGGATGCTGGGGAGATGTGGGGAAGTGGTGCAGGATGGGGGAGGCTGGAGGAGGTGCTGGGTCCGAACAGAAAGGGGAAGGGGAAGGGGCCGGGGGTGAGGGGCAGGAGGATGGTGAAGACGCGACCCAGCTTTCACTCACCCACAAGCACAGCGACCAGGAGTCCACTGATCCGCTGCTCTTTGACCTCCTGGATCTGGGCTGCAGCCCCTGGGGTGCTGGCTTTGCCCATGACAGTGAGGGCGTTGGCATGGGTGACGGAACGCACGGTGGTGGCACTGAGCCAGGGCATCCCAAAGAGGGCGGCCACCCCACCCATGCCTACTACCAGCAGCAGGTCCAGGTGGAAGCCGGAGCCCTTGACCATCTTGCGCTCAGGTTTGCTGACAATCAGCCTACGGTAGGGGAAGGTGAGGGGTAAGCAGGGTTCTCCCCTGCCTCCTCCACCCCCTCCTTCCTTCTCCATACTTGGTGTCCTTGTAGCTCAGTTTTGTCTTCTGTGCCCCTCGCTCTTTGAGTTCCTTGCTCCCCTCCCTCCCGCCCCATCTTGAGAATCCAAACTCTTAAGAGCAGAAATGTCTTCACAACATTCAAGGCTGATTCGCAGGCAACGAAGCTTCAGCTTCAGGGAGCTTTGCTTGTACAGGCCCCTCCAAGATCCAGCACCTAATTTTATAGTTGTCATTTTGCATTTTTTTTTCTTTTTCTTTTTTTTCCTAGAGTCTTGCTCTGTCGCCCAGGCTGGAGTGCAGTGGTGCGATTTTGGCTCACTGCAACCTCTGCCTCCCGGGTTCAAGTGATTTTCCTGCTTCAGCCTCCCAAGTAGCTGGGACTACGGGCACATGCCACCACACTCGGTTAATTTTTGTATTTTTAGTAGAAACGGGGTTTCACCATATTAGTCAGGCTGGTCTCAAACTACTGACCTCGTGATCCCCCCGTCTTGGCTTCCCAAAGTGCTAGGATTACAGATGTGAGCCACCTCACCTGGCGCTTTTTTTTTTTTTTTTTTTTTGAGATGGAGTTTCACTCTCGTTGCCCAAGTTGGAGTGCAATGGCGAGATCTCGGCTCACTGCAACCTCCGCCTCCCGGGTTCAAGCGATTCTCCTGCCTCAGCCTCCCAAGTAGCTGAGATTACAGGCTCGTGCCACCATGCCCGCCTAATTTTTTGTATTTTTAGTAGAAACAGGGCTTCACCATGTTAGCCAAGCTGGTCTCGAACTCCTGACCTCAGGTGATCTGCCCGCCTCGGCCTCTCAAACTGTTGGGATTACGGGCGTGAGCCACCGCGCCCGGCCACGTTTTTTTTTTCTTAAAAAGAGCTCTCCAAATTATACAACTTCTGGTCCCACAAAACCTGGAACTGCCCCTGGCTTTTCACTATTCCTGCTAGTCGGGAGGGCCACACACCCGCAGGGACTAGCTTGCAGTCCTGGGTCTCTTGCCTGCCTGGGAGAATGCCAGGGAAAGGTCCCTGCCTCCCACCCTCCCAGGCCCAGCCCCCACCCTGTCTCTCACGTGGTGATCTGAGACTCCAGGAATATGAGGATGAAGACCAGCAGAGCAGGCAGGGCGGAGGCAAACATCATCCAGATGGGAAACTCGGAACGCAAGCCCAGTGGGTGGATGACCCAGCCCCGGGCTGAGGAGTTGGACACCTTGAAGCCATCAGGCACCGAGAGTTTCTGTGGGAGGGGGTAGCAGGTAAGAATGCCAAGGGCAGGAGGATGGGGAAGGGTGGGAGCAGGAGGAGCCAGGGTCCTAGGGGTCGGGCAGTTAGGTTGGAGGCACTTGGGAACTTACTTATATTGAGCACTTGCTCTGTACCTAATCATTACACTAATCCCTTTACATCCATCTGCTCGTTCCCCACTTTAAAGATGAGGAAAGAGAATCAGAGAGGTTATGTAGCTTGCCCCACATCACACAGCTATTTGATGGCAGAGCTGGGATTCATGCCTAGATCTGCCTGGCTCCAAAGAATACTTCTTCCTACTGCTCTGGGTTAAGGAATGAAGGTGGCAACCTGGCCCAGCACCTTGCTTTGGCCACAGGGGTCCTCTGGGGCTGTGAGAAGCACATGGGACTCCCAGAGGAGGCAGGGATGGGGTAGAGGTAGTCCCAGCTGGCTTCAGGTTGGGGAAAGCTATTCTAGGGAAGGGGCATGCTGGGGGGTGGAAATGAGGACCTGGGGGGTATCATGGTCTGAGGGCTGGGAGGAGGGGTCACCTGGGTGTAGGTATCCTGAATGAAGAAATCCACCAGGACCATGATCAGGATGGAGATGGGGACCCCGAAGTCCCCGATGACCCGACGCAGCTGGGGGCAGGTGAAAGGACCAGTGGTCAGTGCCCAGTCACTCCCCACCTCCTGCCTTCCTCCTGCCCTATATTCACCCACGGGGCCCTGCTCTTCCAGGGGATCCATCAGCATCTAATGCCCTGTCCTGCACCTCAGCTATGTCTGCCTCCTTTCTTCTTCCCCCAGCAGTTCTCAGGCTGGGCATGCCATGAAAGTGGGAGGGGCTTGCCCATAGAGTGAAACCCTAGGTAAGGATAGGGCCAGGGGAGGTTGGAATTGGGAATGGGAATCTGAAAAAGAAGGGAAGCTAAGGGCACTGAGGAATTTGGAGCGGGGGGGCTTTGGGCTGGGATAGGGCAGTGTTGGCAAGGACAGGCGAGGAGGGTATGCTGACCTTGCCAGGGAAATAGGAGCTGTTCTTGAACTTGCGCAGCATCATGGCAAAGAAGAAGGTACCGGCCATGAGCACAAGGGAGAGGAGGGCTGTGTTGGGCAGGGGGCCCTGAGGTTTGGGCACCATCAACACGTTGTAGTTATAAGTCTTCTGTAGTGGGTGGTCCTGGAAGATCTGCAGCAGAAAACCAAGGCATTCTGTTCTCTCCCAGCTTTGGCTTGGGCTGGAAAATACCACCAGCTAACTCTACCCAGCACTACTATCCATTCATCCAGTCATCTATTAATTCATCATCCATCCATTTATCCACCCATCCATCATTCATCTATCCATTATCCATTGATCATCCATTGATTATTCATCCATCCATTCATTATCCATCTACCCATCCATCCACCTACCTATCATCTATCAACCCATTTATCCATCCATTCATCCGTCCATCATCCACCCACTCATTCATCAATCATCCATCCATCCAACCATCCATCCATCCATCCATCCGTCCATCCATTATCCATCTATTCATCCATCCATCCATCTATCTTCTTCCTCAATTGACATGGAAACAGAGGATAAATGGGATTCTACAGCTTGGTTTTCAGGAATGAAGACAGCCTAGGTTTAGGCAGGGAGGGCCATGGAAGGCAATGGGTGTGTGTGCGAGCACACATGTACACCCAGGACCTGGGAGACATGAGAAGGCTGGAGGTCAGGAAACAAGGGTCAGGGAAGTTTCTAACAAGGGGTTAAAAGACCTGGACACAGAAAGACCCTCCATCCAACAGAATCAGGGGACAACACATAGGGCTCACCCTTCTCCCATATAAAATGCAGGTACAAAGGCAAGCAGAGCTTAAGATGATGGGAGCCAAGCCAAGGTGGCTGGGCACTCCATCCACAAGCCCTGCAGCTCTTGAGGACAAGCACAGGGGAGGGAGTGGGGGACTTCAGAGGCTCCAGAGTCCCCCCAGCTCTCACTGTGCATGTACTTTCACATGCTCAGTGTCATGCCCATACCTACCCATTGCTCACGTCATGTGTGGTCATGAACTGGACATGTGCACACAGAGGCACCCTCTCATGCCTCAGCAAGAGTGCTGGCCACAGGCAGCAGGTGCCAACACATATGTGGTCACAGTCAACACAGCTGCACAGTCCTGTGTGCAGATGTGTGACTACACAGACATAGACACATATGTTGACACAGACACATATGTTGTCACAGTCATGTGCACAGTCACATGGTTATGTACACAGGTGAAAGCAAAGACACACAAATGCTGCACAGACACATGTGCGAGGACACAATGGCTCAGTCTTTTTTTTTTTTTTTTGAGACGGATTCTTGCTCTGTTGCCCAGGCTGGAGTGTAGTGGCACAATCTCGGCTCACTGCAACCTCCACCTCCCGGGTTCAAGCAGTTCTCCTGCCTCAGCCTCCTGAGTAGCTGGGATTACAGATGCATGCCACCACATCTGGCTGATTTTTGTATTTTTAATAGAGATGGAGTTTCACAATGTTGGTCAGGCTGGTCTTGAACTCCTGATCTCGGGTGATCCACCTGCCTCGGCCTCCCAAAGTTCTGAGATTACAGGCCTGAGCCCTCGCACCCGGCCACTGTCTCAGTCTTATACACAACCTCCCGTGTGCATTAACATCCCCATAGGCCCCCACCTTGATCAGCTTGGAGAAAGTCTCATAGATGAAGATGAGGGAAATGAGGAAGGAGAAGATCTCCTGGGTATAGCGGGAGATGAAGCGGACCAGGAAGCTACCCTCGAAGGCCACCACCAACACCACCAGCAGGATGAGCCAGAAGCCGATCCACACGCGGCCCACGATGTACTCTAGACCGTTGGTCTCGCAGAACTGCAGGGTGGTCAGAAGAAGCCGGTCAGTCAAAGGGTCTTGGGGCAAGGCACCATGCATCAGGCAGGTGGTGCGGGGGACATGACAGGGTCAGTGGGGCAAGGACAGAACTACCGAGAAGAAGGCTTCCTCAAACACCAGCAGGGGTCCTGAGAAGCCGACCACAAGCAGGGGCTGAGCCCCCAGCAGGGCGAAGAGAATGCCCTGCACTGCAGTGGAGATCAGCAGCTCCGACACTCCCATCTGGTTCCGGGTCTTTTCTCCTGTGGGTAGAGGTCACAGTGGGATCAAGGTCAGGAGATCATTTCCAGGAGCCCATAGAGCAAGTCATGGTCAGGCTGATGCAGGGGTCTGGAGGGTCAGACAGAGTCAGAAGTTGGGGCTGAGACAGAGGCCAGAGGGTCAGAGGCAAGAGTTAGGGAGACAGGTATTGGCACTGACCCAGGAGGCCGCCGAAGGTGATGGCGGGTGACAGTGCAGCAAAGTAGATGAAGATGACGGCAGCCAGGACCTGGGGGCTGAATGCATCTGTGATGTCACTCAGGTAATAGGGGTAGCGGCGCCGGATATCACGCACCAGGCCCCCGAAGAGCTGGCCTGTCTGCTGCAGAGGGTCATCTGGGCCCCCATTTAAGTCTGTGGTGGAGGATAAGAGCATGGTCAGAGGGAGTAGCTGGAGGAGGTGAGGGGAAAGGGGACTGGAGGGTGTAGGGGAGATTGTCTGATGGGAATGGGGCGGCGAAGAAGTCTGGAAGATGTGGGCAAAGGGAGCGATGAGAGGGGAACATGTGATGGGAGACAGAGGCTACGCTGAGGTGTCTGGGGGTCGGTGGGGGCTCAGAAAGCCTCAGCTGGGAAGGGCAGGTACCTAGGCCCTTGTAGAAGCTGGAGTCTGGCTTGGCAGGGCTGGACTGATAGCGCCTTCGAAGTAGCTCCCTCTGCACAGGCACCAGACTGAGCAGTGCCTGCTCGGAGGGGGCATCGGTGGGAGGCAGCACTAGGCTGCAGTCCAGGAAGCCCTCTAGGGAGTGCAGCAGCTCCCCTCGGCTCTGAGCCATGTAGGCATCTATGCGGAACACCTAGGGGCAGGAGACAGGGTCAGAGCTGCCCGGACCTGCGGAGGGAAAGGACCCAGGAGTCCACAGCCAGGGCCTCCAGGAACCAGAACCCCCTCAGGCAGCAGCTCCCATTGCCAGGAACTGCTTTTCCTGCCCGCTCCCACCCCTACTCTCCCCACTAAGAAAGAGCTCTGGGGAGACAGACGGGGGCCCTGGGTGGGGAAAGGAGAAGGAACTAAAGCTAACCTGGTGGGTTAAGCAGACTAGATGAAACTAGAGCTGACTAGGCCCGACCAAGCCTGACCTGACCAGGTGGAACCAGGTCATAGTGAGCTGGACTAGACTAAGCCAGGCCAAAGCCAACCAGACGAGACCAGGCCAGAGCAGGGCCAGACTGCACGCCCCGACTGCCCCCGCCAGGTAGGATAGCAGCAGCTGGATTAGGCTGAATGGGTCAAACCAGTGAACCTAAAGTAACCCAGGCCAGGTTGGAGAGCAGGCCTCAGCCACCATGCAGGTCCCAAGCTTCCCCAGCCCAGCCCTCTCCGGCCCTTCCTTACCCTCTCTGACATGAGGGTGGCAGCAGCCCGGCCAAGCTGGGTGTAATCGATGTGGGGGGCCTCAGGTCCCAGCAACACAAAGAGGAAGCGTATAGGCACCGGCAGCTCCACCGCCTCCAGCTCCGCTGCCTCCTGCAGCCTCACGAAGCCCAGCACCGGCTGCTCCAGGAAGTCGGCGCGGCCTGTTAGGGGATGAGAAGATCAGGCCAGGCCGAGGAGCCCAGGGTGGGTGTGCTGAAGAGATGGGGCTGCGGGGGTCCAGGCTGAGGGAAAGACAGGCTGAGCCAAGACACGAGGGGTGTGGAGGGCTGAGGGTAGAGATGCCTGTTCTTACCCACTAGCACCAACGTGGCCTCTGAATCCGGGGGAATCTTTTCCAGAATTCCAGATGGTGAGTGCCCTTCTGTGCCCCCATCTCCCTGTGGGAAGGAGGGTGGTGACGGGAGTCCTCGGGCCAGTCTGACCTGGGAGACCTGAGCATCCTCCCCTTCCCATTCTCGCTTCCCAACTCTCCTGGCACCCCCCGGGCACAGGAGTGCTTCTGGTCCCCTGCTTGTGGTCGGTTTTTCAGGACCCCTGCTGGCGTTTGAGAAAGCTCTCTCCTTGCCCCACCCTGACCCTGACCCTGACCCTGTAACTGACTCACCTGCTCACAGAAGAGCTGTGTCTCCAGTGAGGAGTGTTGGGGGAGCAGAGGCTGTGAAGGATCCCCAGAGCGTGTCAGGACTGCAGGCTTCACACCCCCCAGGGCCTCCAGCTCTCCAGCGTGGCTGCAGGACGTACAGGGGACATGGGCTGAGTAAGCTGTTCAGGCTGAGCTATCAGTGGTGGGAGGGATCAAGGGCGAACATCAAGGGACTGGGGTAGACATCAAGGGTAGACATCTGGGACTTCCCAGACCAGACCAGAGAGACCCTGGGATGGAAGGAGAATCAGAGCCTCCTCTCCAAGGACGTTGTAGATGTAAGTGGGTGGCCTCTGGAATGACGAGGCGGGATCAAGAGTGGCTACAGAAAAGGGCCTTGCAGGTCTGCCCTCCTGGGGACCAACAGCCCCCAACTCTGAGCATAGGACATGGCCACCCCTTTCAAGGTGTCAGAGATGGGAGCCATAGTGGAGGAAAGTGGGCCCCTGCCTGGTGAGGGTAGGGCCACCTGGATCCCGGGGGAGAACTTGGGGCAAGTGGGCTGGGGAAGTGGGCCCACTGGATATGGAATCCAGGCCCTGGCAGGCAGGGGCACCTGTGTTTAAGCAGCAGGGCCCGGAGCAGCTCCTCTCGGTCCTGAGGCCGGATCTGGTCTTCAAAGATAAACCTGTCTAGCAGTTGGTTGGCCACTCCAGCCAGGGAGGTCTCTTGCAGGTCTAGGAGGACAGTACCTGCAGGCAGTGGAGGAGTGAGCTGGTAGGCTGGGCCACAGCACCCCACAACAATCCTCATCTGCAGGGGGTCCAGAAGGGCCCAGGAGGCTCACCCTTGGTGAAGACTCTACGCAGCTCTAGGAGGCTCCAGAAGGTGAGGTGAGAGAGGTGCGGGCGGCCCCAGGCCCCATTCTCCCCCAGGTTCTCCTCCAGTTGCACCCAGCGCGCCGCCTCCATCCATCTCAGCTCCTGGTTCTTTTCGTCCATCACCAGCTCCTGCAGCTCCACATAGACCTGTGGCCCCATGCGCCTGAGTTAGTTCATCAGGCATAGTCCAGGGCATAGTGGGTGCTCAGCCACTCTCGAGAGAGGCTTGTGCTTGTGAGGCTTGGATCCCTGTGCTCAAGGGTCCGTAGATACGGCTCACACCACTCCCTTATCTCCCAACTTCCTGGCCAGGCCTTTACCCCATTGCAGAAGGCATTTGGAGAACCCTGACCCAAAGGGATGCTGGAGAGGCCACTGGGGAGGGAAAGGAGTGGGAAGCAGAGGCCTGGCGGGCCGAAGCTAAAGGGGACTTTGGAGTCATTGGGTCAGTCTCCAGCCTCTAAGATTGTTCGTGGATGTGCTTTAGCATGTCCCTGAGGCCAGGTGGTTGCTCCAAGGGCCATAGCTGAGGGCCACCCCAAATTTCTAACCACTTAGACAGTTCAGTGCCCAGTGGGGACCTGAGGGGCCTGGGCAGAGGAGAACAAGTCTTTAATTCTGTGCTTCCCCAGTGACGCCCGACAGCCCAGCCAGGGCCTGAGGGCCTGGGGACTCAGCCCTTGTCAATCAGGTTATCTCTGCCCAGGGTGCTCCTGGAAAGGGGCCCAGGCCTCCCCATCAGTGGGGCGTCCCTCCCACCTGTTTCCTGGGATCCTCACTCCTCTATCTGCTGCAGGGTCTCCCCCAGCCTGAAGCTGCCTCTATCCCCTTGCTCCTCTCTTCCCTGATCAAATGGTGGGTCCCAAAGGCAGCATGGGAAAGAACGGAGGAGGCTGGGGTCCTCACCTTGTGGGTACCCGGGTGTGATGTGGTGTGGTAGTCTGTGGCTGTTGCCTCGGTGTCGTGAGCTGAAAACCAGAGGTCGGTTAGTATTGACCTGACCGTCCCCCACCTGAGGCTCTTCACCATCCACTGTGAGCCTCAGAGACCCAGGCATGGGCAGATGCCCCTCCTTCCCAGTGCCCTGGGCTGGGTCTCTGGTGCCGCATCCCACACTGGCCACTCAGCAGAATGAGGCTCCCCACACTTGTGTGCTGGGCCTAGCCTTGGGCTCCCTATCTGAGCCTTGTCGAGGACACCCGGGATTCAGCCAGGGAGGCCTAGCCCCTCCGCAGTGATGAAGTGAAGGGACCTCTCCAAGGTGACGGCAGAGCCCTGAGTGGCAATTTTCAGGATCCTCCTAGGACCTCCTCCCTCCCCTGCCACCTCTGAGACCAGACTCCCTTCTCTCCTCCCACCTGCCTCAATGAGCCCGTCAGCACAGTGTCTCACTGAGCTGAGGCACCAGGGTGGGTCAGCCCCTTATATTCCCACCCCTCCCACCCCCAGCCCTCATTTCCAAGAGGGGCCTCTTAACTTTAATCCCAATCTCCAGCACTTAAGTCCTGTTGACAGTAAACAGGTCCTGCCTGGGGCTCCCCACCTAAGACCTTGGACAGGCCAGGGAAGGCAGGGTGGTTCCTGGTGTCTTTCTATCTAGGAGGGTCCCCACAAGCCCCTCATTTCTCAGGACCTCTTTCCCCAAGAACAAGCCCATTTTCTGGCCTGGAAGCTGGCATTGGATGGGCACAGATGGCATGTGGGCTCACGCCCTTGTCCCAAACTGGCTGCCCGCCCTTCTCACATTGCAGGGGCACTGGATGGGTGACTGCCCCTGCTCTCCCAGCCACCTCCTGTGATCATTTCAAACAAAGCTCTGTTTATCCTTCAATCAGCCAGAATTGAGGGGAGAACGGCCCGTGGTGCTTGGGAGGAGGACTGTGGAGAAGGGGAGAGGACAAGTGCCCCTCCTGTCCCTGTCTAGGGCTCAGCAGCTCATCCCAGCTGAGGGAGGGAGAGGGGCTCACCTGCCGGCTCCTCCATCTGGGACTCGGGGATGTCTGGGTCTTCATATTCCTCCTGCTCCAGATTCTCCTCCATCATGTCTTCATAATCATCCTGTGGGAAGTGGCCGCTGAGGCTGGGCTGTGAGGGGCTCTTCCACCCCCAACGAAGATAGGAGTCTAGGACCAGGTCCCCAGAGCCTCCAGGTGGGAGCACTGCTGATGCCAGGGAACACCCACCTGCAGCTCCTCCATGGCGTGGTCCTGAGTGTCCAGTTGTCTACGGTGATCTGAGCCCCCAGCATAACCCGCACCGCGGGTCCCTGCAGCAGAGGGCACAGGCTGAGTGGGGCACAGGGCATCCCAGGGTCTCCTGGTCCTCCTCCAGAGGGGGCCACATGTCAGTGGAGGGGATCCACGTGTTGGAGGTGGTAGGGCCAGAGGAAGGAAGTGTGGAGGGAAAGGGAGAACGAGCTGGATTTGCAGGTGTGAGGGTAGGTGAGCAGGGGCTGGGAGAGAGGGGCAGTGCAGGGAAGAGGTAAGTCTGGCTGGCACCAGCGAAGGATGTTTGGGGAAGATGGGCAGGTCACCCTCAGGTCCATCTCCCTCCTTCATTCTCTAGTCTTCACCTGGCTTCTTTTCTTGCCCATCCCTGGGACTCAGCTAATACCAGGGGACCTGCTGGTCTCTTCTTCAGGGGGGCTTAGCTCCCCTGAGGGGCTCTAAACACATGCTCTTCTCTCAGAAATAGCTGCTGCCCACCGGGCATGGGCTGCAGCATCCTTGGGAGTGGTCCGCAGGTCTGGACGATGTGGTCCTACTTCTCTCCCTGACCCCATCTTGCACTCCGTCTCTCTCGCTCTCTCCCCACCTAGCCTATTGGCCTCCTGTGGTTCCTAGAACTCACTAAGCCCTTTCCTGTCCCAGGGCCTTTGCACATCCAGCTGTCCATATCCCGGACACCCTCCCCCCAATACCTCAGACCTTCTCACATCTCGGCCCAAATGTCTCCTCTTCAGAGGCCCTCCCTGGCCACCACCTTGACCCAATCTGTCATGTTCTGGTTTCTTTTCCCTCCCTCCTTCCCTCCCTTCCCTCCTTCCTTCCTTCCTTCCTTCCTTCCTTCCTCCATCCCTGCTTCCTTCCTTCCTTCCTCTCTCTCTCTCTTCCTTTTTGAGACAGAGTCTCACTCTGTCACCCAGGCTTAGAGTGCAGTGGCATGATCATAGTTCACTGCAGCCTTGAACTCCTGGGCCCCAGGGATCCTCCTGGCCCAGCCTCCTGAGTAACTGGAATTATAGGCATGCCACAGTGCCCAGGTAATTAAAAAAAAAAAAATCTGTGTGTAGAAACAGGGTCTCACTATCTCAGTGTGGGCTGCTGATTTCTTTCTTCTTTTTTATTTTTTTGAGAGCGGGTCTCCCTCTGTTATCCAGGCTAGAATGCAGTGGCATGATTACAGCTCACATCAGTCTCAAACTCCTAGACTTAAGTGAACCTCCCACCTCAGCCTCCAGAGTAGCTAGCACACACCACCATGCCTGACTAATTTTTAAATGGTTTCTTGGTTGGGCGTGGTGGCTCACACCTGTAATCCTAACATTTTGGGAGGCTGAGGCAGGCAGATTGCTTGAGCTCAGGAGTCCGAGACCAACTGGGCAACATAGTGAAACCACATGTCTACAAAAATACAAAAATTAGCTGGGTGTGGTGACGTATACCTGTAGTCCCAGCTACTTGAGAGGCTGAGGTGGGAGGATTGCCTAAGCCTGGGAGGCAGAGGTTGCAGTGAGCCAAGATGGCACCACTGCACTCCAGCCTGGGTGACAGAGTGAGACTCTTTAGAAGGAAAACAAAACAAAACAAAAAAACCAATACGTGGTTTCTTGATTGATTTGTGTTCATATTATCTGACAATGCTTTTGGAAGGGAAACTACCTGAGTGCGAAGACCCTGTATGTCCCATCCCCACGAAATTCACTACTCCTAGCAGAGTGGCTGTCACGTAGTAGGTGCTCAATAAACATTTACTGAATGATTGTAAGAATGGCTCCCTATTGCGGGGTTGGGGCTCTGAGACTGGGGAGCCAGGATGACTAGGCCCCAGCCAAGAGGCCTCTGAGCTCGGGGTCTCAGTTTTCTCAGTTGTGTCCCTAGCAGAGAGGAAGGTGTGCCTTCCCCAGGAATGTGAGGGCAGGTCCAAGGGGAGGACAGGGGTCACCTAAGGTGGCCCCAGACTGGGTGTGGAGGTGCCTCTTTTCCCTCCTCGCCCACTACAGCACAGGGCATTGAGGTGACAGGCAATTGGGTCGGTTCAACAAAGGTTCCCACTCTGTGCCTGGCATTGTGTTGAGCACTGGAGGCTGTGGGGAGGGGGTGCCGAGCACTGGGGGCTGTGGGGAGGGGGTGCTGAGCACTGGGGGCTGTGGGAGGGGGTGCCGAGCACTGGGGGCTGTGGGGAGGGGCTGCTGATCACTGGGGGCTGGTGGGAGGGGGTGCTGAGCACTGGGGGCTGGTGGGAGGGGGTGCTGAGCTGAACAAGGCCCGTCTCTACTCTGGGGAAGCTCCTAGCCGCGACAGGGAGGCAAACTGGGAACACAGGGCAGCCTCAGTGCTTCCGAGGTGACATGGACCCCAGGGGCCGAAAGTGCTGAGTGCCAAGGATCTGTATGGCAGGAAGAAGAGCAGGACGCGTTTGCAGCACTCGGGGGTGGAGTCACCGGAGGAGGGGTCACTGGCGCTAGCCTAAAAACACAGGTGAGTTTTTCTTGTTTTTGAGACACAGTCTTGCTCTCTCTCCCAGTCTGGAGTGCAGTGGCGCGATCTTGGCTCACTGCAAGCTCCGCCTCCTGGGTTCACGCCATTCTCCTGCCTCAGCCTCCCGAGTAGCTGGGACTACAGGCGCCCGCCACCACGCCCAGCTAATTTTTTGTATTTTTTTAGTAGAGACGGGGTTTCACTGTGTTAGCCAGGATGGTCTCAATCTCCTGACCTCGTGATCCACCCACCTCGGCCTCCCAAAGTGCTGGGATTACAGGTGTGAGCCACCGTGCCCAGCCAAGCACTGGTGAGATGTGAAGGGCTGGGAGTCCAGATGTGAGGCATGCCTGGGTGGAGCTGAACAGGTGGGCTGAGCAAGGTGGGAAAATGCCACGTGAGGGCATGGGGCAGGGAGCCTGGCCAACATGGTGAAACCCCATCTCTACTGAAAATACAAAAATTAGCCAGGCGTGGTGGCGCATGCCTGTAATCCCAGCTACTCAGGAAGCTGAGGCAGGAGAATCCCTTGAACCAGGGGGCAGAGGTTGCAGTGAACCGAGATTGCGCCACTGCACTCCAGCCTGGGCAACAGAGCGAGACTCCGTCTCAAAAAAAAAAAAAAAAGAAAGAAAGGGATGTGCAAACAGCCTTCTTTCTGAGGAATGGGTGACCCTGCAGTCCTGGGGGTAGGGAGGGGATTACTGGATCTCACCAGACTGGAGAATGGGAGAGACCCCTGCCTTGGCAGGTGGGGCAAGTGATGGGGTGCGGGGGAGGGGTCCTGGACCTGAGGACGAGGTAGTCCCTACTGCAGGGCTTGGCTTTGCTCCTGAGGACCCTGATGACCCACCTCTTCTCTCTCTTTTTCCTCCTCCCTCTCTGCTTCTCCCAAAGTTCCTCTTTCTCTTCCATCTTTATTCACTTTCTTCCTTCTCTGGACTTGCCCATGCACTTTCTTAGGCCTCAGATGCTAAGGCCTCCAGGGTGTCTAAGCCTTAGGTACTAAAAGTCCCACCCATGGGGCTGGGACTGTGGCCTTGGTTGCCTATCTGAGGAGTGGAATGGTCAGAGGGGCCCTCAGAGCTGCAGAATCCAGAGGTCCAGGCTGCCTCTCTGCCACTGACTGGCTGAAGGGCCTTGGGCAGCTTCCAGCCTGTAGGCCTCAGTCACCCCATCTGTACAATGGGAGTGCCTTCCTGCCAGGGTTCTGAGACATCAGTGAGAGAGAAGAGGGGAAAACAGAGGTGCCTTGAGCTCAGTTGGAGACTTACAGGGCGCACCCATGACCCAGATTGCCACCCGCCAGCCAGGCCGCCCCCCAGCTGCAGGCCTTGTGCTGCCTAGCACTGATAAGGGCCTGGACCCAGATCGCTGCCCCAAGTTTTGGAAGTGCACCAAACACCTGGCCAGCTAGCCAGCTGGCCAGGGCCAGGCCAGATAAGGGTGAGCGGGACATCTGAGCCTAGAAGGTATAGCACAGCTGGGAAGACACGGCGGGAGAGGGGATTGACCAGATGACAGGGACAACTTCCTAGTGGTATGGCACCACCTTTGTGTAATCAGCCCGAACTGCACAAAGAACTGTACTGCCTTAACTCTTAGAATCCCCAAAGCATTCTGTGAAGTGGTTTGGGGATTCTAAGAGGAAGAAGAGTAATGTCATTAATCCATTCTACAGATGCGAAAGCTGAGGTTCAGAGACATTTACCTGCTTCAGCCACCCAGCAGGTAGGTATCAGAGCCAGGTTACAGCCTGGACTACCTGACTCCAGCCACATCCCTAAGCACTATGCTAAGTTGCCTCCAACAAAACAACTGTTAGCTGGTTTAGAGTTAGTTGTTAAGATCACGGACTCTGCAGTCGGACTGCCTGGATTCAAAGCCCAGCCCTGCCATTTACTAACGGCGTGTGACTTCAACTCTCTGTGCCTCAGTTTTCTCATCTGTAAAATGGGGGTGATGATAATGATGCCCATCTCATAGACCTGTTGTAAGCATTAAGGAAATTTACATTTGTAAGGGGCTTAGAACAGTGCCTAGCATATAAGGAGCGCTATGAAAATGTTTGCTGTCATTATCCCTTGCTGCTGGGGTTACAGTCAGACTTGCCATCTTCATTTCCCCTCTGATTTGCCCTCAGTTCCCATGGAATTAGCCTGAGCTAAGTGTTTTGAGATTCTCATGTGGTAGGAGGCTCTGCAGTTCCCTCCAATACTGACCACGCTGGGCGTGGAGCCAGGTGCCCCAGGTAGACCCCTGGAAGTGTCCCAAAGGGGATACTGTGTCAGCTGACATCCTGCCTCCTAGGTGGGAGAGGGGGTGGTCTGAGGACCCCATTAGGAAGGAAGGAGTCTGGGGTGGACAAGACCTGACCCTGTGGGATCCAACAAGCTGACAAGGGCCCATACCTGGAGGGGATCAGATACCCCCCGCAACACACGCACCGGAGCCACACATACCTCTGCTGCCATTGACCACCTGCCACCCTCCTCTTTTCAGGTGCCAATGGGCCTGTTCCCTTAGGGGCAACATATGCATGGTAACATTCTCACCCCACCCACCTGCACCCCCTTGGAGGTCAGGAGCCTGGCCCACCTGGGCATAGATTCAGGCTGGGCACCTGTAGAAGCCCTCAGGGCAGGCACCGAAGGACCATCCCCAGCCCCTCCCTGCCCTGCCCACCTGCTCACGAGCCTCAGGGTCCCTTGGTGAAGTCCTGCAGCCGCTGGTGCCCTCTGCGACCAGCTACGTTCCCACTCGTTCTGACAGCACCAGCGCCCCAGGGGCAGCTCGCAAACCCCTGACTCATGCCCCCGCCTCCTAATCTGCCCGCCCCACTGGCCCTGGGAGCCCCTTCCCACACCCCCCACCCCGCTCCCACTGGGTGCCCAGTAAACAGAGTTATCTCTTACCCACATCTGGACAGCTGTGAGTCTGGCCCACCCCACCCGCCTGGCCAGCCCCCAAGGCCTCTCGGGGCCCTCCTGGTCCCCATGGTTCTCCTGACTCTTCCTTTGTGGATGAAGGTTTGATCGCTCTGTCCTCAGGGCTCCCAGTGCCCTGGCAGGAAGGCACCAGCCTCCAGAGGTCCCTGTCCTGCCTCTGTCCATCCTCCACTCTGGCCAGGCCCTTCTGCTCTGGCCCCAAGGTGCAAGGGCGCCTGCTCCTCTCGTCTCTCTTGGTATCCACGCTAGGACTCACTCCTCCTCTGCAGTTTTCTCCACAGGGAACTGCTCAGCACTCACGGGGCACGGACAGCCCCCTCCCCTCCTTGATCCAGACTAGGATGCCCCAGCCACATTCTCCCCAAGACCCTGGCTGGTTCTAAAGAGCTGGCTCCTGGACACTAAGACACTGACATTCAGTCAACCTGAAACAATGTCAGCTCAACAAAACAACCATCCCCACACCAAGCTCTTCAACTCACAAAGCTCTAATGTCTGGGCATACTGGCTCCTCTGTAGGCAGCCTGGCTCAGGCCCCCAGGCCAGAACAGCCGCATTCTCAGCCCCTGCCATGCCCCTCCCCTTCAGTTCCCACCCCTACACCCCCAGTTTCTCTGCTCTGGGGGGTGACCAGAGCCTGGTCACCTCTTCGTAGGCTCTGGTTGCTAAAGAGGCAGAGACTGAAAGATGAGTACAGATCAGCAAGAATGAAGAGGGGTTTTCAAGCAGACAGAAAGGGGTGTTGTGGCCATCGCTCTGGGCACAGAGAGGAGGGTGTCCTAGTACAGCTCCGGCATGGACTGGCTGAAGGAACCTGGACAAGTCCCTGGCCCTCTCTGGGCTTCTGTTTTCTCATCCGTAAAGTGAGAGTGTTGGGTTATGTGGCCACCAGCCTGAAGTTCAGACTCAAGCAGAAGAAACTCAAACACAGGGACACACAGGTGGACAAATCCCGCCACTGCAAGACCATTCACTATCTGCACCACAAGCCTGCCAGGGGCTGAGTCCTGTGGAGAGAGAAAAGGGGAGGGACACGGGTCCTGAGGCAGAATCCTGTTTATGGAGGACCTCGGTTCCAGGAATTATGCTGAGGCCTTCATCTTGTGGTCACGCTGGATTCCTACAAACCCCCCACTTCACAGAGGAGGAAACAAAGCCACAGAGAGGCTTTCCCAGGAAAAAGAATGCCCAACGGACCAGCACCTGCCCCGTGCAGTGCACCATGCCTGGACTTCACACGCTCTAGCTTGCCAAGCTCTCTAAGCCCATCTGAGGACAACACTGTTTACGATGTTTATTCACCTCTCACAGAGAAAGGGCAGCAAAAGGAGAGCAGTGACTTGCCCAAGTCCTCTGGGCTGGTGAAGCCAGCGTGGGCACTCCGACCTGCTAATCTGCCTGGACAGCTGGTGTTCTGCCAGATCTGAGCCCCTCCCACCACCCAGGCCTTGGTGCCGGTCAGGAACAGAGAGAGGCCCTGGCTAAAGGGGGCTGGAGGTGCCTTCTCCTGCTCCAGCTGGTGGGATCTGTCCCAAACCCTGGGCCCACACTGGGTTGGCTTCCTATGGCCTGTGGCAGTGAGTGCCAAGTGAAGACCTTTGACTCCTTGACCCAGCCAGTGTGCCCAGTCCCCTTGCCCCTCTGCCTGCCCTAGGAGTCAGAGACAGCTGAGTGCAGGGGGCAGCAATGGGGCACCTCTCCTGGGGCCCGGGAAGGACTGACAGCTGGCTGGGGGTGGAACAACAAATGGCATCATCTGGCTTAGGGGGAAAATCTGGCCAGCTGTTTGGCTGTTCTGCAGGCACCACCCCCTGGCAGCCCCACCAGACAGCCAGGCAGAGGCACAGCAGCTTGGACGCTGGTTCTTTCCACTCACACCACATGTTCTAGATCATTCTTGTTGCCCTGGCTGAATGTAGATGTTTCTTTTCTAACTCTGCCCAATGTCACATTTAATCTTTTTTTTTTTTTTTTTTTTTTTTTTTTTGAGGCGGTGTTTCGCTCTTGTTGACCAGGCTAGAGTGCAATGGCGCAATCTCGGCTCACTGCAACCTCCGCCTCCTGGGTTTAAGCGATTCTCCTGCCTCAGCCTCCCAAGTAGCTGGGATTATAGGCGCCCACCACCATGCCGGGCTACTTTTTGTATTTTTAGTAGAGATGGGATTTCACCATGTTGGCCAGGCTGGTCTTGAACTCCTGACCTCAGATGATTCGTCTGCCTCCCAGAATGCTGGGATTACAGGTATAAGCCACTGTGTCAGGCCTCTTTTGTTTTTTGTTTTTTTTTGAAATGGAGTCTCACTCTGTCGCCCAGGCTGGAATGCAGTGGCTCAATTTCAGCTCACTGCAACCTCCACCGCCCGGGTTCAAGTGATTCTCCTGCCTTAGCCTCTTGAGTAGCTGGGATTACAGACGCCCAACACCACACCCAGCTAATTTTTGTATTTTTAGTAGAGTTTCACCATGTTGGCCAGGCTGGTCTCAAACTCCCGACTTCAAGTAATCTGCCCACTTCGGCCTCCCAAAGTGCTGGGATTACAGGTGTGAGCCACCTTGCCTGGCCCACATTTACTCTTGTTTATGCTTTTCCAGGAAGAGGTGAGGGCAACCCTCACTCATTTTATTCCAATTTGGACTTGGGTCAGTTTGATTCATCTGAAGGCCTCCATGCGCCTGGCACTAGGCTGCCCTCTGGGGAAGCAAGGCACGAGGGAGTCTTACCTCCCTTTGACTATGCCCCGGGCTGGACAGAGATGGTCGTGGTCAGAAAGATTGGCACCTGGAGGGCTTGAGCAGAGCCCCAAGATGCCTTGAGCTGTGCCCTGAGTGGCCCTTCACACACTCACAGCCCATCCTGCTCTTTCCTTGGAGTCCCTCTTGTCACTACTGCTCTACCACTTCCTAGAGCACTAAGGGAGGAGCCCTCAGATTCCCCTCCCCAAGGTCCATATGTGTCCTCGTTCAAATTTATACTCCTTTGGGAGAAAGCCGGGAGCCCAGGCAGATGTCAGCAGGAATGAAGTGAGCTGAGGGCGAACCCCGTATGATGTTATTTCAGAGCATACAGCTCAGATCACGGGTTGGGATGGGTTGTCCCAGAGGGAGACTCTGTGGGCAGAGGGTGGAGTTCTTCTGAAAGGACAAGACTTTCTCATTTTCTTTTTCCTTTTTCTTTCTTTCTTTCTTTCTTTCTTTCTTTCTTTCTTTTTTTTTTTTTTTTGATACAGAATCGCACTCTGTCACCCAGGCTGAAGTGCAGTGGCGTGATCTCGGCTCACTGCAACCTCCACCTCCCCGGCTCAAGTAATCCTCCTACCTCAGCCTCCTGAGTAGCGGGGACTACAGGCGCACACCACTACACCCAGCGAGTTTCGTATTTTTTGTAGACAGGGTCTTGTTATGTTGCCCAGGCTGGTCTCAAACTCCTGGCCTCAAGTGATCTTCCCACCTCGGCCTCCCAAAGTGCTGGGATATCAGGTGTGAGCCACTGCACCTGGCCTTACTTTCTCATTTTCAATCATCCTGGATGCAGTCAGCCCTCAAGTGAGAAGTGAGGACTGGGTAGTGGCCTTAGAAGGGCCAGCTGCTTTCTCTATCTTACTCTAAGGAGTAGAAGCTGAGACTAGGTAGGACGGGGGTTCGATGATGGTTAAGGGAACTGTCTCTTGCAATGGGATTGGCAATGAGGTGTCAGCTTGGCCTGTGACTGCTGAGGGCAGACCCATTCCATGTGAGCAGACCCTTACATCTTTTCTTCCATGCTCAGCCGGTAATTCTCAGCTGCTATCCTGAAGTCCTCAGCAAAGCTTGCTGGACTGGATCACCTGCCTCTGTTACCCCATGCGGATGGAGGGGAGGGTCTGAGACCATGTTTGGGGCAGAGCAGGCCATGGTTTGCGGTGGCAGCTAAGGTGAGTGGACATCCAGATGGCACGGGGGAGCACCTGAAGGGAGGTGTGGTGGCTGGAGCCAGGAGGCTGGAGGAGGGGACGTGGTCTGGCCAAGGTGGCCTGGAGGGACCTATGTACATTGCTCGGTGAAGATACGGCTTTCTGTGCCCTCATAGACTAGGGACTCAGACCCCTGGGATTTTGCATTAAAGGGAAGTGTCCCACGGCTGGGACATGTGGGCTGTAGAGGACCTCCTCGGGTTGGAAGCCCTGTGTGATCTTGAGCTGACCACACCCTCTCTCTGGACTTCCTTTTCCTCTCTGGACTGTTGTGACCACATGGGATGACAGGTGGGAAAGAGCTTGAAAATAGTCTTCTCTAGATGCAGGCAAGGGGCTGAGTAGTGAACGGGAGAAGGAGCCACGGGGCTCGTGTATCAGGCAGCCTGAGCCAAGGCAGCAGGGCAGGGACCACGCAGCGATAGGAGTTCATGTCCAGCAGGGAGTGTATACAAACCTCAGAGGGAGGATAAGGGATGTAAACAAGGGATGGGCCCGGAGGGACAAGTAATGCGGGAAGTGTGAGGTCCCCAGGGAGACCATGCTGGTGGAGGGCCCAGAGTTGTGAGGTGCAGCCCTGAGCAGTCTGGGGGTGGATGGAAGTGGGGCAGGGTGCACACACGTTAGGAATGGACCAGTCATCATTATCACCTGGTGAGGGAGTGGGGAGGTGCGGGGAATCAGGCGGGAGAGCTGGGGGATGGGGCTGGAACTGGAAAGGCTCTCAGAGCTGAGCCAGTCCAGTCCCCCTACCCTCAGAACCCTGTGCCCCGTGACCCTCATCACCAGCACCCTCGGCTGGGCCCTGGGGAGTCCTGGGAGGAAGGCGGTTTCTACTGTCTAGGGGCAGCCAGGCCAGATCTGTGCAAAAATAACTCACCCTGAGCATCCTTCCAGAGATACACGCTGGGAGTTCTGCAGGGTCCCCTGAGAGCTGAGGAGGAGGAAGAGGGGAAGTGGGAGTTCCAGCAGGACTTTGAAGGATGGGGGCGGTTTCTCCAAATGGGAGGAGGAGGGAGGTCAAAGGGCAGGTTTGGGCCAGTGTGATGGCTCAGGCCTGTAATCGGCACTTTGGGAGGCCAAGGTGGGAGAATTCCTTGAAGCCAGGAGTTCTCAAGACCAGCCTGAGCAACATAGCAAGACACCATCTCTACAAAAAGTAAAAAAAAAAAAAGTTACCTTTTTAGCCAAGTGTGGTGACACAGGCCTGTAGCCCTAGCTACCTGGGAGGCTGAGATGGGAAGATCGCTTGAGTCCAGGAGTTCAAGACTGCAGTGAGCTATGATGGCACCACTGCACTCCTGCCTGAGTGAGTGAGACCCTGTCTCTAATAAAGAAAATAAATAACTATTTTGGTGGCTCACACCTGTAATCTCAGCACTTTGGGAGGCTGAGGCAAGCAGATCACTTGAGGTCAGGAGATCGAGAGCAGCCTGGCCAACAAGGTGAAACCCTGTTTCTACTAAAAACACAAACATTTGCTGAGTGTGGTGGCGCATGCCTGTAATCCCAACTCCTCAGAGGGCTGAGGCATGACAATCACTTGAGCCCAGGAGGCGGAGCCCAGGTTGCAGTGAGCTGAGATCCTACCACGCACTCCAGCCTGTAAAACAGAGGAAGACCCTATCTCAAAAAATAATAATAAATAAATTCAATAATTTAAAAAACAAAAACAAGGGCAGGTTTGGAGAGCTGTGGGGTCAGCTTGGCTCTGCAGAGAGTTCAGTGTGCGGGGGTGTCCTGGGAGGAGGATCTGCTTGAGGGGCTCAAGGCAGGCTGTGAGCTCTCTGAGTCTTGACACTCACCTTTCTCTGAATGTTCTCTGTTCTCTTGGCTTCTGGATCTTTCCATGCACTGTTCCCTTGTCCTGAGATGCCTTTCCTTTCCAAACTTGCTGGACCAAAGCTTTGACCTTCAAGGTTCATTGTTTGCATTCCCAGCTCTGTGAATTCCTTCTCTCCCGCCAACCTTCCAACCCCTGGAGATTGACAGGTCCCAGCCCAGCACCTACCTGTGTCATTGCCTCTCTGCTCCCTACTGAGATGGTCCATGGTCCTGTGTGTCTCCTCCACAGATCATGTTCCCAAGGACAAGGACCCTCACTCAGGTCCTTAAACCTGACCAGGGCTCTGCCGGTAGTTGATAGTTTATATGAGTTTGTTGACTTGAATGAAATCAATACAAAAATCCGTCCCTTTGCCGGGTGCAGTGGCACATGCCTGTAATTCCAGCACTTTGGGAGGCTGAGGCAGGAGGATCACTTGAGACCGAGAGTTTGAGACCAACCTGGGCAACACAGTGAAACCCTGTCTCTATTAAAAAAAATTCTGTCCCTTACCCCACTGCCAAAAGTATAGGTGAAAAAACTAATATTTGGGCTGGATGCAGTGGCTCATGCCTATAATCCCCGCACTTTGGGAGGTCAAGGCGGGCAGATCACTTGAGGTCAGGAGTTCGAGACCAGCATAGTCAACATGGTGAAACCCTATCTCCACTAAAAATACAAAAATTAGCCAGGCATGGTGGCACACATCTGTAATCCCAGCTACTCGAGAAGCTGAGGCACGAGAATTGCTTGAACCTGAGCGGTGGAGGTTGCAGTGAACCAAGATAGTGCCACTGCCCTCCAGCCTGGGTGACAGGGCAAGACCATGCCTCAAAAAGAAAAGAAAACTAATATTTGAGAAAGGTCAAACAAGTGATACATTAACAGTCTTATTTTATTCGAATCCTTTCCCTAAACACAAGCAAGCAAAGAAACAAACCCTGAGCCTCCTCCAGTCCTCTCCATCCACTTGGTTCCTCAAATCCCCAAACCCAGTTGCTTCCTTGACTCTTAATTTTCCCTCACTCCCAATCCCCACTTCCAATAA
The DNA here is from genome assembly GCF_000001405.40 of Homo sapiens. Classification (NCBI taxonomy): domain Eukaryota; kingdom Metazoa; phylum Chordata; class Mammalia; order Primates; family Hominidae; genus Homo; species Homo sapiens. The sequence continues at coordinate 44,275,140 of NC_000017.11, forward strand.
CAGCTCATTCTACTGGATCTAGCTTCATGCTTCTATCCTCTTCTCCCCATCTCCACTGCCCACCCGCCGGGCCCCTCATCATGCTCCTCCGTCACCCCAGGAGTCTCTCACCTGGCCTCCTGGCTTCACTTAGGCCCCCTACAATGCGGTTGCCACACAGCAGTCAGAGTGACCTTTTAGAAACATAAATCAGAGGATATCATCCTGAGTGTAAAATCCTTTGTGACTTCCCCACACCCATTCCCTACTCCGGGCAACTCCTGCCCTCTGCTCACCTCCTCTGTTCCTCGAAAGCACGAGTGCCATCCTGTCGGGATGCTCCTCCCTGATCTCCCCATGGCTGGCTCCTTCTCACCAGGCAAGTCTCAGGTCAAATATTACCCCTGCAAAAGGCCTTCTAAGGCCTTCTTTCATCACCCAATTGGACAAAAACCCCAGCCACTCTCGCTGTGGCAAAGAAAATCAAGACAGACTGTGTGCGAGAGAAAACTCAAAATTTTAGTGGCTTAAGCAAGATAGAAGTTTATTTCTTGGCTGGGCGCGGTGGCTCACACCTGCAATCCCAGCACTTTGGGAGGCCAAGGCAGGCGGATCACTTGAGGTCAGGAGTTTGAGACCAGCTTGGGCAACATAGCAAGACCCTGTCTCTATTTTTTTTGTTGTTTTTTTTGAGACAGAGTCTTGCTCTGCAGGTAGGAGGAAGGGGTAAAGAGGAATGTGTCCCCTTTCTTTATTTTATTATTTTTTGAGATGGAGTTTTGCTCTTGTTGCCCAGGCTGGAGTGCAATGGCGCCATCTTGGCTCACTGCAACCTCTGCCTCCCAATTCAAACGATTCTCCTGCCTCAGCCTCCCAAGTAGCTGGGACTACAGCCATGCGCCTCCATGCCCAGCTAATTTTGTATTTTTTTTTTTTTTTTTGAGACGGAGTCTCGCTCTGTTGCCCAGGCTGGAGTGCAGTGGCATGATATCAGCTCACTGCAACCTCTGCCTCCTGGGTTCAAGCGATTCTCCTGCCTCAGCTTCCTAAGTAGCTGGAACCACAGGCTACACACCACCGTGCCTGGCTAATTTTTGTATTTTTAGTAGAGACGGGGTTTCACCGTGTTGGCCAGGCTGGTCTCCAACTCCTGACCCCATGATCCACCTGCCTCGGCCTCCCAAAGTGCTGGGATTACAGGCGTGAGCCACTGCACCCAGCCTAATTTTATATTTTTAGTAGAGGTGGGGTTTCTCCATGTTGGTCAGGCTGGTCTCGAACTCCCGACCTCAGGTGTTCTGCCCACCTCGACCTCCCAAAGTGCTGGGATTACAGGCGTGAGCCACTGCACCCAGCCTGTGTCCCCTTTCTTTAAGGGTATTTCCCAGAGGTTGCTTCTGCTTACATCCCATTGGCCCAGACTCAGTTCCATGGCTACATTTAGCTTCAAGGGAGCCTAGGAAATGTAGCTTTTATTCTGGGAAGTCCTGTGTTCTATTACACTGGAAGAAGAGGAGAATGGAAATTAGAAGGCCCCTAGCAATCTCAGCCAGAATCATATCATCATATCACCTACTAAATTATCTTTTCCCTATCAGCTGATGCTTTCTTTTCTTTTCTTTTTCTTTCTTTCCTTCTTTCTTTCTTTCTTTCTTTCTTTCTTTCTTTCTTTCTTTCTTTCTTTCTTTCTTTCTTTCTTTCTTTCTTTCTTTTTTTTTTTTGAGACAGAGTCTTGTTCTGTCACCCAGGCTGGAGTGCAGTGGCACAATCTCGGCTCACTGCAACCTTCATCTCCCAGGTTCAAGTGATTCTCCTGCCTCAGCCTCCTGAGTAGCTGGGACTACAGGCAGCCCCCACCACACCTGGCTAATTTTTGTATTTTTAGTAGAGACGGGGTTTCACCATATTAGCCAGGCTGGTCTCGAACTCCTGATCTTGTGATCCACCTGCCTCGGCCTCCCAAAGTGCTAGGATTACAGGCATGAGCCACCGTGCCCGGCTGACAGTTTCTTATTTAATTATTTGTTTATTATGATCTATTGCTGCCTCTAGAACATAAGCTTCATGGGGGCAGGTCCTTTGCCATCCTTGTCTGTAGTCATGTCGCCAGTGCCTAGGCACAGAGCCTGGCAAAGGCGGGCTCTACATTTTTACTGAATGAATGATTGAACGACTCCCCACAATAATGATTTGAGAATGCATTCTCGTTCCCATCTTAACAAGTGGGGAAAATGAGACTCAGAGAAATTAAATAACTTGCCTAAGGACAGTTGGCAGTAGGGCCAAGATTTGAACCTTGCTCTCTGTGGCTCCAGCACTCTTTCAACTCTTTCCACTTCACATGCTGGCTCCCCTGATGTCTCAGCTGCACCCTGGATCAAGTTAGATGCCAGGAAACATGGCTGGGTGCGGTGGCTCATGCCTGTAATTCCCAGCACTTTGGGAGGCTGAGGCAGCAGGATTCCTTGAGCTCAGGAGTTCGAGACCAACCTGGACAACATAGGGAGACCCCCATCTCTATTAAAAAAAAAAAAAAAAGAAAAGAAAAGAAGGCAGGAGGCAATCACCTGGAATCTCTTAGTGCAATTTCCCCGGGAAATTCCACCCCAAGTTCTCACTAATATCATTCCTATAGCCTCTAATGGGATCAACATAATACCTTCCTGCAAATCAATGGGTGAGGATGTCACACAGAATCCATGAAATCAATCCTGCTGGAAGTAAGTACCGGATACTGTCTGAAACTCCAGATGAACTGATAGGTTTCTTTATTTCAGACAGAGAAGGGCCATCTAAGTCATCAGGTTTCCCTTTTTACCTTGGCTGCTAGGAAACTTCGAGTTTTAAGTAAGCACCCAGAACGCAGAGGCAGCCTCAACCTCAGGTAAAGTGCTGTAATGAACAGAATGTATGTGATTTGGAACCAGGGAGCCTAAACTTGAGTCTCAGCCAATGCTCCTGTGAGCAAGACATTCAAACTTCTCTGGACCTTAGAACCGAGGTGATAAACACGTAACTCCTCCGTCCCAGGGCTGTTAAGAGGGTTAAGTGAGCTAATGTATTGGCAAGCTCTCCAGAAATGATTTGATGCTGCATAATGGTCAGACTGTGTCACATGCAGTCACAGGGTACAGTCAGCTCACAGGGGCTGAGCTGTAGCTTCTCATGTCCCAGGAATTATTAAACAAGAGAATGAAGTGGTCAGGGAAGGCTTCAAGGAAGAGACACCTTGAAGGATGGGTGGAACCCTCTGATGGAGAAAATTTGACAGCGTCATTCCTGTACCCTGTAGTGCTGACCTCCCAGGTCACCTCTAATTCCCATCCTGGCCTGCATCTTCCCATCCTTTTAGGTACCCTCTAACCATTACTAATCCCACTGTCTAGTCTCTGTCCCCAGGGGTGAAAATCAGCCCACGGGTGGATAGAGCTGCCCTCAGATGGCTCACAAGTTTCCAGAGACCCAGGGGTTCAAAATGACCAAGTCAACCAGCAGTTACTATTCCTTTATTCGTTCAACACCTGCTCACACGGTCGGGCATGGTGGCTCATGCCTGTAATCCCAGCCCAGCACTTTGGGAGGCCCCGGCGGGTGGATTGCTTGAGCCCAGGAGTTTAAGACCAGATTGGGCAACATGGTGAAACCCCATTTCTACAAAAAAATATAAAAATTAGCCAGGTGGGGTGGTGCATGCCTGTAGTCCCAGCTACTAAGGAGGCTGAGGCAGGAGGATCGCCTGGGCCCAGGAGGTCTAGGGTGCAGTGAGCCATGATCATGCCACTGCACTCTGGCCTGGGTGACAGAGCAAGACCTTGTCTCAAAACAAAAACAAAAACACCAGCTCACACAAGGGTCATCAAAGAGTGTTTAGATGCTTGAGGGGATGGATACCCCATTCTCCATGATGTGCTTATTTCACATTGCATGCCTGTGTCAAAACACCTCATGTACCCCTTACATGTACCCCATAAATATATACAATTACTATGTACCCACAAAAATTAAAATAAAAAAAAGGAGGCTAGACGCAGTGACTCATGCCTGTAATCCCAGCATTTTTGGAGGCTAAGGCGAGTGGATCACCTGAGGTCAGGAGCTTGAGACCAGCATGGCTAACATCGCAAAATCCTGTCTCTACTAAAATACAAAAATTAGCTAGGCTCGGTGGCAGGCACCTGCAATCCCAGCTACTCGGGAGACTGAGGCAGGAGAATCGCTTAAACCTGGGAGGCAGAGGTTGCGGTGAGCCAAGGTTGCACCATTGCACTGCAGCCTGGGCGATGAGAGTGAAACTCCATCTCAAAAAAATAAAAATAAAATAAAAAATAAATAAGGAGAGTTTAGTCTTGGAAAAAGCCCCAGCCCAGGATGAGAGGCTGAAATCTGGGCTCTCCCCAACTAGCAACATCTGACCCTCAACTTCCTCATCCATACAAAAGACTTAATCACACATCACAAAGACCATCCTCAATAAGGGGTGCTGTCTTTACTGTCAGCCTGTACTCAATCTTCCTAAAACTTGAAGAAAGTAGGGTACAGAGAGGTGAAGTAAATTCCCCGAGGTCACACAGCTCATAAGCAGCAGAGCTGGATTGGGACTGGGGATTCACACACTGAAACTTGGGATGGGGGTAGGGAGGGGAAACTCTCCAGGAAATGGCTCTTCTCAGTCGGTGAGATTTTGAGGTCAAACCAGCTGGAGGGAGCCAGGCTCTGGCGGGGCAGCAGCAGACCGGAAACCACAGCCGACTAAGACTGACCTTGGCCTGTAGGGCTGGCTGGGTAGGGCGGGGACGGCCTTGGTTCCCAGCCCTGATTCACTACGTCATTGAAGTCGGTGGCTGAAGACCTCAGCTCTGTCTACTCAGGCTTAGGTGGCCGGGACGCAGGCCTGGCGTAGGGGGGCGCCTGGAAGGGCCTGCATGCAGGTGCAGAGAACCTGCAGGGCGTGAGACCCGCGTAGGGAGAGTACCTATCCTATGTCTGGGGGGAATCTATGCTGGGGAGCCCTGTGGAGGAGGACCTATGGCCGGCGGCCCCCTCTTCCTTCCCCTGACCCTGCACTCCTGGCTCCCTCCCACTTCTGACCCTTCCAGCTGTTCCATGTGGCCTCAGGATAAAGTTCAAGTTCCTCCTTCTGACCTGGCCCCTGCTGTGAACTTGCTCTCCGTCCCCAGCCTGCCCTACTGGTCCTGTCTCTGCGCACTCCCTTAGCTTCATTCACTTTAAAATTGAGCTCAGGCCTCTCTGCAGTCCAGCTTCCACTCCTTCTTCGACTTGGACCTGGCGTGGACGACTGGCCTTCCTCTCCTCTCTCCTGAAGCCCGTCGGACCTCCGCCATGCATGCCTCCCCTTCTGCTAGGTCCTGAGGACCCACCTGTGACTCAGTCACCCTCTGCTTTCAGGGCAGCAGGCACACAGTGGCTCAGAACAAAGGGTGATGGAGGCTGACTGCCTGTGGTCACTGCTGGGGAAGCTGCCTCTGCACTGCCCCAGCCCCGACCAAGGCGTGACCCTTTGAAATACCCGGAACCACAGAACAACCTCCTCTGCTGTGGGGTAAAGGTAGAGGTCGAGGGTCAGCCCCAGGCAGCATCCCAGGTGCCATCAGAGGGCCCCTGATGCTTGGAGCCAGGGTAGGGAGGCGCTGTGTCTAGAAGGGTGCACTTGGGCTCCCCTGGACAACACTGGCTGTGTGAAAGGAACCCCAGCATTAAGGAGGGGTTCCCCCACCCCTGCTATGCACTTTATTTAAAGCCAACCAAACACTGTTAAAATATGAATCACGGGCCAGTTGCAGTGGCTCACACCTGTAATCCTAGCACTTTGGGAGGCTGAGGTGGGCAGGTCACTTGAAGTCGGGAGTTCGAAACCAGCCTGGCCAACATGGTGAAACCCAGTCTTTACTAAAAATACAAAAAAATTAGCCGGGCGTGGTGGCACACACCTGTAATCCCAGCTACTCTGGAGGCTGAGGCAGGAGAATTGCTTAAACCCAGGAGGCGGAAATTACAGTGAGCTGAGATGGCACCACTGCACTCCAGCCTGGGCGGCAGAGCAAGAGTCCGTCTGAAAATAAATAAATAAATAAATAAATAAATAAATAAAAAGAATCACTGCAGCTGTGAATCCACATTAACCCAAAACAGCAGCAAGTAACTGGACCACCCATACTCCTGGCTAGGCCTGGGCTGGACAATGGAAGGGGGAGCAGGGGGGTGGGTGGAGGTAAAGGGAAAGTCTCTCTTGCATCTGTGCCCAATATGCCTGCGTGTCCTAGGGTATGTCTGTATGACAAGGCAGCGGCTGGTGTACCCAAGGGGGTGAGGATGGCATTGTGGGCGATCAGCTCCCATCTTCCCTCTGGCTTGCCCCTGTCTTTTTTCCCCTACAAATCCCCTGGTTCCTGGTGCCTCTCGATGGCTGACCCAACCTTCCTCAGGGCAGGTAGCTCCTCTTCTCAGTCCTGGCCTCCCATCCAAGCCCATGAGGGCCCCTTCCTTGCTGGAAAAACTCTGTCTGTGTTAGTCCTGGAGGAGGGAACAGATAGTTCCCCCAGAAAAGGGCCAAGCCTCCCTTGGGGAGCAGCTCCAGCCCTTCTTGGTCTGTCCTATCTGCTAAGCCAGATGTTTGGGGCCTCCACCTGACAGCTGATGGCAGGGTCTGTCACAGGGCCAGGGCTATGGGTGTGTCCCCCACTGTGTGTGTTTGGCAGGGCAGGTAGGGGAGCAGTTAAGCCAATGGCTTTGAGAGGGTCTGGTGTCTTACTAGTTGTGCGACCTTGAATAAGTTCCCAGAGGTCTCTAAAGTCAAGTTCTTCATCCTTATGGCCAGGCATAGTGGCTCACGCCTGTAATCCCAGCACTTTGGGAGACCAAGGTGGGTGGATCACCTGAGGTCAGGAGTTCGAGACCAGCCTGGCCAACATGGTGAAACCCCATCTCTACTAAAAATACAAAAAATTAGCTGGGTGTGGTGGCAGCTGCCTGTAAACCTAGCTACTTGAGAGATTGAGGCAGGAGAATCGCTTGAACCTGGGAGGCAGAGGTTGCAATGAGCTGAGATCTCGCAACTGCACTCCAGCCTGGGCGACAGAGAGAGACTCCGTCTCAAAAAAAAAAAAAAACAGTTCTTCATCTTTAACACCCAGCCTCCTAGAGAGGTTGTGCTGATAGGAAGACGTTGCACAGGCAGCCCTTAGCACAGCTCCATGCACACAGTTGAGTTTGATAAATAGTAGCGATCACTTTTAGGAGAAAACCCCAGTGGGCATGGGGGCTGCTGTGGGAGTCTTCCCTGTGCTGGGCCCTGAGACCAGGGGCCTCTGCCACCTTCAGAATGCTCCAGGCAGGGCGTTAGATGCCCAAAGGCCTGGCTGATGGAGCAAAAACTCTCTGGGCCCCAAACCCCTGGCCCTGGCTTCTCCTCCTTTGTGGACTTTCCCAAGTAGGGGACTTGAGAAGCCCACCCCTAATCCCAGCAGGAAGGTTGAGCTCTGGGGAGACCTCACAGGGAAAACCCCAGAAATGTCTATTCCTCCTCTGTGCCTCAGTCTCCCTGTGTGGTGGGAAGTCAAGCGGACCCTAGATGACTCCACTCAGACTCAGCTGTCCCTCTGAGAGCCTGGAGAAGGACAGGGAGCCCCCAAGTCCAAGCTCCCCCTCCTCTGGCTCCTTGTTTCTTTCTTTTTGTTTTTAGTGACAGGGTCTGGCTCTGTCACCCAGGCTGGAGTGCAGTGGTGCGATCACAGCTCACTGCGGCCTCGAACTCCTGGGCTCAAGCGATCCTCCCATCTCAGCCTGCCAAGTAGCTGGGACTACAGCCACACACCACCATGCTGGGCTAATTGTTGTTGTTGAGACCGGGTCTCCCAATATTGCATCAGCTGGTCTGAAACTCATGGACTCAAGTGATCCTCTCACTTTGGCCTCCCAAAGTGCTGGGATTACAAGAGTGAGCCACCACTCCCCAGCTCCTCTTGTTTTTTTTAGGTTTTTTTTTTTTTTTTTTGAGACGGAGTCTCACTCTGTCACCCAGGCTGGAGTGCAGTGGTACGTTCTCGCTCACTGCAACCTCTGCCTCCTGGGCTCAAGTGATTCTCCTGCCTCAACCTCCCAAGTAGCTTGGATTACAGGCATGTGCCATGATGCCTGGCTAATTTTTTGTATGTTTGGTAGAGAAGGGTTTTTGCCATGTTGTCCCGGCTGGTCTCGAACTCCTGACCTCAAGTGATCCACCTGCTTAGGCTTCCCAAAGTGCTGGAATTACAGGTGTGAGCCCCCGCGCCCTGCCACCTCTTGTTTCTTTTTGAACAGACTGTGGAGCAGCCAGTCAGGACCCAGAGCCACAGGCCTGTCCCTGCACTGGTTAATTTCAACTGGCTCTGGGCCCGTGGTGTTGAAGGGGCCCTGGGTGGGGTTGGGTGGGGAGTAGAGACTGGTGTCTATGGGGCCCAGGCTTCTATCTCAGAACCCAGCGCTGTCAGCTGAGAGACTTGGGAGGGGCCAACATTAACCCATCTTGCTTTGGAGGAAACATACTGGTTCCGATATCAGCCGTGGGGTGGGGCGCGGTTTCCAGTCTGTGCCTCAGTTTATTCTTTGGAAATAGGAAGAATGGAGTTTCCTAGCCTCCACTTTGAGAAGATGGGGGAAGTTGGTTCATTTATTCATTCAGGTAGTCAATCTACAAACATTTATTTTGAACCCACTCTGCACCACCCATGTGTCAGGCACTGTGCTAGGCACCTGGGATACAGAAGTTTGAAACCAAAGCTGAGGGACCTGGAAGCCTCCAAGCCTAGGGGAGAGTAAACACACCTAATCCTGGGTCTGTGCAGAGAGAAGCAGCAGCCCAGAGCCTGTAGGAGCCATTCATGCACCAAGTTACACATCATTTTGGCCAGCAAACCCCAGGAATTAGTATGGATTTCCTCCTGTGATTTAGCAGAGAGGTAAACATGCTGGAAGCCTGTAGCAGGTGTGTCAATGATGAAATGAGCCGGCGGTTTGGTGGCTCCTGCCATTCCTTCTTCATCTCAGTCAGGAAGGCCTGGAGGGTAGATGCCATGAAGGACTGCCAGTAGCTGTGACGTATAAATACCTCTGTCTTCTGCCTCATCTGCCCAGCAGGCCCTGGATTTGCAGGACCTCACCATGGGGGTGTTTGCTCACACCAGGACTCTTCGCCACTGGAGGCCACTGACCACACTAAATGTGGCCCCACATCCAGATTTTAATCTCTAATACTTTTCCACTCAAAGGAAATAAGATTCTTAGGATGATAATGGATTCTCTGTCTTGGGGTGTGAAAAAGAAAGTCAGGTCCTGGTGCAGTGACTCATGCCTATAATCCCAGCACTTTGGGAGGCTGAGGTGGGAGGACTGCTTGAGCCTAGGAGGTCGAGACCAGCTGAGCAACATAGTGAGACACTGTCTCTACAAAAAATTTAAAAATCAGCTGGGCTTGGCCGGGCGCAGTGGCTCAAGCCTATAATTTCAGTACTCTGGGAGGCCGAGGTGGGGGGATCACGAGGTCAAGAGATCAAGACCATCTTGGCCAACGTGGTGAAACCCCGTCTCTACTAAAAATACAAAAATTAGCTGGGCGTGGTGGCACGCACCTGTAGTCCCAGCTACTCGGGAGGCTGAGGCAGGAGAATCACTTGAACCTGGGAGGTGGAGGTTGCAGTGAGCTGAGATCACACCACTGCACTCCAGCCTGGCGATAGAGCAAGACTTTGTCTCCAAAAAAAAAAAATTAGCTGGGCATGATGGTGTGTGGCTGTAGTCTCAGCTACTTGGAAGGCAGAGAGCAGAGGATCTCTTGAGCCTGGGAGGTTGAGGCTGAAGTGAGCCGTGATTGCGCCAGTGCACTCCAGCCTGGGCAACAGAGTGAGACCCTGTCTCAAGACAAAAAACAGAAAATCAGCATGTGACTTGAAAATCTGGTTGATCCCAGGAAGCAAGAAAACTTTCAAGGATGTCAGAGGCAGTGCTGAGAAGCCCATTGCTGGTAGTCTGAGCATCAGCAAGACAGAGAATTAGGCTAACCTGAGATAAACCAGGAAAGCATCAGGGCTACACAGACAGGAGGGCTCGAGGGTCAAAACATGCTTGTAATCATGGACAGGCCTCTGCGGGATCAGCGGGATGGGGGGATGGGGCATGAGATGAAGGCAAAAAGCAAGCAAGGACAGAAGAGACACCTCTACTTTAAAGAGAGTTTGGGTCCAGGTACAGTGTCTCACGCCTGTAATCCCAGCACTTTGAGAGGCCAAGGTGGGCGAATCACTTGAGGTCAGGGGTTCGAGAACAGCCTGGCCAACACAGCGAAAACCCATCTCTGAAAAATATAAAAATAAGCTGGTGTGTCCCGGCATGGTGGCTCACGCCTGTAATCCCAGCACTTTGGGAGGCTGAGGCAGGCAGATCATGAGGTCAAGCAATTGAGACCATCCTGGCCAACAAGTGAAACCGCGTCTGTACTAGAAATACAAAAATTAGCTGGCTGTGGTGGCTTGTATCTGTAGTCCCAGATATTCGGGAGGCTGAGGCAGGAGAATCGCTTGAACCCAGGAGGCGGAGATTGCAGTGAGTCTAGATCGCACCACTGCACTCCAGCCTGGCGACAGAGGGAGATCCTGTCTCAAAATAAAATTAAATTAAATCAAAAATAAAGAGAGTTTGGAAGTTTACCATCACAAAGAAACCCTCAGTTTGCCAGATAACCAGATTTAGTATGTTTCAAATAATTTGATTGGTGTATGCTTTGTCAATTGTTTAGGGTGGCCAGGTGCTGTGGCTTATGCCTGTAATCCCAACACTTTGGGAGGCCGAGACGGGAGGATCACTTGAGCCCAGGAATTTGAGACCAGCCTGGCCAACATGGCAAAACCCCATCTCTACAAAAAATACAAAATATTAGCTTGGCATGGTGGCATGCACCTGTGGTCCCAGCTACCAGGGAAGCTGAGGTGGGAGAATTGCTTGAGCCTGGGGAGGTCGAGGCTGCAGTGAGCCATGATTGTGCCACTGCACTCCCACCTGGGTGACAGAGTGAGGCCCTGTCCCCAAAAAAAAAAAAAAAAAAATTGTTGGGCGGGTGCAGTGGCTCACGCCTGTAATCCCAGCACTTTGGGAGGCCGAGGTGGGTGGATCGCCTGAGGTCAGGGGTTCGAGACCAACCTGGCCAACATGGTGGAACCCCATCTCTACTAAAAATACAAAAATTAGCTGGGTGTGGTGGCAGGTGCCTGTAATCCCAGCTACTCATGCCTCAGCCTCCTGAGTAGCTGGGATTACAAGATTACAGGCAGAAGAATCGCTTGAACCCTAGAGGCAGAGGTTGCAGTGAGCCGAGATCGCACCACTGCACTCTGGCCTGGGCGATAGAGTGAGACCCTGTCTCAAACAAACAAACAAACAAACAAAAAACCGGGCATGGTGGCTCATGCCTGTAATCTCAGCATTTTGGGAAGCTGAGGTGGGCACATTACAAGGTCAAGAGTTCAAGACCAGCCTGGCCAACATGGTGAAACCCCCGTCTCTACTAAGAATACAAAAATTAGCCGGGCATGGTGGCACATGCAGGTAATCCCAGATGCTCGGGAGGCTGAGGCAGGAGAATCGCTTTAACCTGGGAGGCAGAGGTTGCAGTGAGCCGAGATCATACCACTGCACTCCAGCCTGGGCAACAGATTGAGACTCCGTCTCAGAAAAAAAAAAAAACTGTTTAAGGCGTTTAAAGTGTTCAGATAAATCATCCATAATTTCATTACGGTGTGTAATTGAAGCAGAGTCTCCAGGGCCCATGGGACCGAGTTAAAAATCCCAATGCTAACATTCACCAGCTGTGTGACCTTGGGCAAGTCACTTCACCTCTCAGGGCTTCAGTTTCCTCAGCTGCAAAGTGGGAACCAGATGATAATAATTGAATGTCCTTCATGGGGCTGTTGTGAGAATTAAATGAAGAATACGTTCAAAGCACTTCAAACAGTGCTTGATGCATAGTAAATGCACGATAGTATTTTAATTTTCATTGTTTAGGTAATTCATGTTTTTTAAATATAAACATGAGTACTTTTATTTATTATTATTTTTTGAGACAAAGTCTCAGTCTGTCACCCAAGCTGGAGTGCAGTGGCACAATCTCAGCTCACTGCAACGTCTACCTCCCGGGTTCAAGTGATTCTCATGCCTCAGCCTCCTGAGTAGCTGGGATTACAGGTGTGCACCACCACACCTGGTTAATTTTTGTATTCTTAGTAGAGACAGGGTTTCACCATGTTGGCCAGGCTGGTCTCAAACTCCTGACCTCAAGTGATCTGCCCGCCTCAGCCTCCCAAAGTGCTAGGATTACAGGTGTGAAGCACTGTGGCCGGTCTAGGTAATTCATGTTTAATATGTTAGGAAAAATTTAATTTGTCGAACTCCTAAGTGTTAACTTTTGCTTAGGTGAATATTAAAGAGATGTTGATTGTTTAAAGAGATATCGATTATTTGATAAACCCATTAGCTTAATAAACTGCACATGAAACCAAGTTTTGGCAAGAGTGAGGTTTTCTCTCCATTCAGTAAACGTCCTTGGATCTTGAAGAATTTAATAAATCACCTTCCCTCCCCCAGCTCCACCCATCCACTGGGGGCTCAGGCTGTTCAATACCACTCCCTGCCACCCTGAGTCCTCCGTCAGCTACCGACACATACCCAGGCCTCTGGTCTCCCTCCCTCAGTCGACCGCTCTCCAAGAAGCCCACTCTCCCTCTACTCATGCCTCCCCCAAAGCCCGAGTCTGTCCTGTTAAACCCACCGGACAATCCTCCTTTACCTAGAGCCATGGCCCTATGGCTCTCCTCCCCTTCACAGCTCAACTCAGAGTGACACTCTCCTCTTCCTCCGCCAAGCCTCTCCCCCATCTCCCCTTTCCATGAAGAACCTATTAATGGCCACGTCTAATGGGTGACCCCAGATCCCTGGCTGGATTTTTTTTTTTTTTTAGACAGGGTCTCACTCTGTCATCCAGGTGGGAGTGCAGTGGCACAATCAACAGCTCATTGCAGCCTCGACCTCCTGGGCTCAAGCAATCCTCCTGTCTCATTTTTTCTTTTTTTTAAATTTTTGGTAGAGATGAGATCTCATTATGTTGCTGGTCTTGAACTCCTGGGCTCAAATGATCCTCCCACTTCTGCCTTCCAAAGTGCTGGGAGTACGGGCATGAGCCACTGTGCCCGGCTCCCAGCTGGATTTCTCTGCAGCATTTGACACACGGAGCCTGTCCCTTCTTGGAAATATCTGCACCCCAGGTCCTCTCCTATCTCTTTGGTGGTTTCTTCTTTATCTTCCTGGCTAGCTAGTCTTCCTCCTATCACCTCCCCCCACGTCGGTTCTCCCCCAAATCCATCCCTCCTGAGCTATCTTCTCCCTCCACTCTGCACTTTCATAGTGCACTGTCACAACCTGGCCCTCCTCCAGGGTGGCCTATCTCAGCCAGTTATGCCCCTTCCAGCCATTGCTCACGCCAGAAACCAAGGAGTGACTGCAAAACTTCCGCCTTATCTGGCCAATCACCAAAGGGCCAACCATTGGCTTCCCTGTAACTGGATGACCTTCTCAAGCCCAAGCGGGAGCTTGCCACTTCCTACTAACGTTCATATGCTGATATTCAAATTCTTCTGTCTAGCTTCCCGTTTCATTCCTCTTCTTTAGTCTGTTCCACTATTAGCCCAGGGCACACAGTAGGTTCTCAAATATTTTTTTTGTTTGAGACGGAGTTTCACTCTTGTCACCCAGGCTGGAGTGCAGTGGCGCGATCTCAGCTCACTGCAACCTCCACCTCCTGGGTTCAAGCAATTCTCCTGCCTCAGACCCCAGAGTAGCTGGGATTACAGGCACACGCCACCATGCCCGGCTAAATTTGGTATTTTTAGTAGAGTTGGGGTTTCACATGTTGGCCACGTCTCGAACTCCTGGCCTCAGGTGATCCACCTGTCTCGGCCTCCCAAAGTGCTGGGATTACGGGCGTGAACCACCATGCCCAGCCTCAAATGTTTGTTGAATGTGTATGCTAAAAGGTAATGGTAAGAAGATGACAAAAATATATACGATGCAGTTCACAATGGCTAAAGGTAGAACAATTATAGAATTTAAAGTAAAATAACACTACAGTAGTTCCCCCTTATCTTCAGAGAATATGTTCCAAGACCCCCAGTAGTTGCCTGAAACTGTGGATAGTATGGAACCCTGTATGTGGAGAGTAAGGAACCCTATATATATTATGTTTTTTTTTTTTTTTTTTTTTTTGAGACAGAGTCTCACTTTGTTGCCCAGGCTGGAGTGCAGTGGCACGATCTCAGCTCACTGCAACCTCCGCCTCCCGGGTTCAAGCGATCCTCCTGCTTCAGTCCCCCATCCCCAGTAGCTGGGATTACAGGCACATGACACCATGCCTGGCTAAGACAGGGTTTCATCATGTTGGCCAGGCTGGTCTTGAACTCCTGACCTCAGGTGAACTCTGCCTTGGCCTCCAAAGTGCTGGGATTACAGGCATGAGCCACTGCGCCTGGCCTATACTGTTTTTTCATATGTACACATACCTATGATAAAGTTTAATTTATAAATTAGGCACAGTAAGAGATTACAACAACTAATAATAAGCTGGAACAATTACACTGTATTAAAAGTTATATGAATGTGGTCTCTCTCTCTCAAAATATCTTATTGGGCTGGGCATGGTGGCTTATGCCTGTAATTCCAGCTACTCAGGAGGATGAGGTGGGAAGACAGCTTGAGCCCAAAACTTGAAGACCAGCCTGGGCAATAGAATGAGACTCTATCACTTAAAGAAAAGAAGAAAAGAAAAGAAAAGGAAAGAAAGAAAGAGGAAGAAAGAGAAAGAAAAATAACTAAAGTGTTGGTAAGCCACAGAATGTTAGAAGATACTTATAACACATATAAGTGACAAAAAATTAATATCTGGACCAGTGTGGTGGCTCACACCCGTAATCCCAACAACTTTGGAAGGCCAAGGCAGGAGGATCCCTTGAGACCAGCCTAGGCAACACAGCAAGACTCCATCTCTACAAAAAAATCTAAAAATTAGCAGGATGTGGTGGTGCTTGCCTGTAGTCCCAGCTATTTGGGAGGGTTAGGTGGGAGAATCGCTTGAGCCCAGGAAATCAAGGCTGCGGTGAGCTGTGATGGTGCCACTGCACTCCAGCCTGGGTGACAGAGGGAGATCGTCTCGAAAAAAATTAATATCTGGAATATACAAAGAGCATATAAAGAACTACTACAAAACAATTAAAAAACAAAACAAAACAAAAAACAGTTCAATAGAAAATGACGAAAATACTTTGAAGAGGAACTTCACAGTAGAGAAAATCCAACTGACCAATAAGAATTTGATTAATTTTATTATTTTTTTAGAGACAGGGTCTTTCTTTTTTTTTTTTTTGAGACGGAGCCTCGCACTGTCGCCTAGGCTGGAGTGCAGTGGCACGATCTCGGCTCGATGCAAACTCTGCCTCCCAAGTTCATGCCATTCTCCTGCCTCAGCCTCCCGAGTAGCTGGGACTACAGGCACCTACCACTACCACGCCTGGCTAATTTTTTGTATTTTTAGTAGAGACGGGGTTTCACCGTGTTAGCCAGGATGGTCTCAATCTCCTGACCTCGTGATCCGCCTGCCTTGGCCTTCCAAAGTGCTGGGATTACAGGCGTGAGCCACCGCACCTGGCTGAGACGGGGTCTTTCTATGTTGCCCAGGCTGGAGTGCAGTGGCTATTCACAGGCGTGATCCCACTACTGATCAGCATGGGAGGTTTGACCTCCTCCCTTTCCACCCTGGGCTGGTTCACTCCACCTTAGGCAACCTGTTGGTCCCCCACTCCTGGGAGGTCACTATATCGATGCTGAACTTAGTGTGGACACCCGATCTGCATAGCGCACTACAGTCCAGGACGGGCCTCAAGCAATCCTCCTGCTTCAGCCTCCCAAGTAGCTGGGACTATAGGCTCACATCACCTCACCTGGCTCAATAAGCATCTGAAAAAATAGCCAATCTCATTAATATGCATGAATATACCAACTACAGTAAAATGTCTAACAACAATATTCAAAGTCAGGGACAGAAGAAATGGAAGTATACTGTTATAAGTTTCCTTTGTAACATCTTTATTGAAGTATAATTCACATGCCATAAAATTCACCCATTTAAAGTGCACAATTCAGTGGCTTTTATTACTCCCCGAGTTCTACAACCACTACATTCTAAGTTTAGAGTATTTCCATCACTCCAAAAAGAAATTCCATGCCCATCAGCCATCACTCCTCATTCCTCCCTCCAGCCCTAGGCAACCATTAATATTGTTTCTGTCTCTATAGATTTGCCTATTCTAGACATTTCATGTAAATAAAATCATACAATATAGGCTGGGCGCTGTGGGTCATGCCTGTAATCCCAGCACTTTGGGAGGCTGAGGTGAGCAGATCACCTGCGGTCAGGAGTTCGAGACCAGGCTGGCCAACATGGTGAAACCCGTCTCTACTAAAAATACAAAAATTAGCTGGGCATAGTGATAGGAGCCTGTACTTCCAGCTACTTGGGAGGCTGAGGCAGGAGAATCGCTTGAACCTGGGAGGCGGACATTACAGTGAGCAGAGACTGTGCCACTGCACTCCAGCCTGGGCAACAAGAACAAAACTCCATCTCAAAAAAAAAAAAAAAAATCATACAATATAGGTTTTTTGGTGGCTGGCTTCTTTCACTAACCATGATATTTTCAAGGTCATCCATGTTGTAGCATGTATCAGTATTTCATTCCTTTTTATTGCTGAATAATATTCCATTGTATGCATATAATACATTTTGTTGGTCCATTCATCAGCTGATGGACTTTTGGGTTGTCTCCACTTTTTGGCTATGGTGAATGATGCTGCTTCAGGGGGTATTCCTGATGGGTCTGAGCCCCTGGTTTCCATATCCATTCAGATCATGGTTTTGCTGCAGTTGCCCATTCAGTTATCATCACTCATGGAGTCAACACGAGGTGACCAGTCAATCCCCTGAGGTCTAGATTTATTCTTTCTGCACCCATTATATAGCAGCAACCCTGTCTCCTCATGATAATCAGGGTTGATTACCCTGCCAGGAGAGTAGCTTCTTTTTATTTTGTCTGCTGATCTACTGGCCCGAGGAGCTCAAAACGATCATAAGGCAGCCATAGCTTCAGTTTTAGTGGAATCCTTACTGAGTGGCCTGGTAGAAGCATTCCCTTCACCTACCCTTGGGAATCAGGATCACCAATCATGATCACTAGTCTACCAAAGTATAAAGTGGCAGGAGGTAAAGCTGGACACCGTGGTGCACACCTGTAGTCCCAGCTACTCCGGAGGCTGAGACAGGAGGATCACTTGAGCCCAGGAGTTCAAGACTGTTTTGTGTGATAATCCTGCTGGTAAATAGCCACTGCAGTTCAGCCTGGGCAACACAGCAAGCAGCTGTCCCTCTCTATTTTTTTTTTTTTAAAAGGCAGGGCTCAGTGGCTCATGCCTATGATCCCAGCACTTTGGGAGGCCAAGGGAGGAGGATTGTTTGATACCAGGAGTTTAAAACCAGCCTGTGCACCATAGTGAGACCTTGTCTCTACAAAATTAAAAAAAAAAAAAAAAAGTAGTGTGGGTGAGAAACATATATTTCCCAGTGGGTTCCTGGGAAGGATGGTGAGGGGGATCACTCCAACTTCTATTCCTAGGTTCCTGGAACCATGTATTCTAGCTATAGCAGACACAGCACCATATAATGACCATTAGTTCCAAGTAGATACTGTAGCTTTTTTTTTTTGAGACAGAATCTTGCTCTGCCACCCAGGCTGGAGTGCAATGGCGCAATCTCAGGTCACTGCAAGCTCTGTCTCCCGGGTGCGGTGGCTCATACCTATAATCCCAGCACTTTGGGAGGCCAAGGCAGGAAGCTCGCTTGAGCCCAGGAGTTCGAGACCAGCCTGGGCAACATAGCAAAACCCTGTCTCTGCACACACACACACACACACACACACACACACACACACACACAATTAGCCAGACACGGTGGTGTGTGCCTGTTGTCCCAGCTAGTTGGGAGGCTGAGGTGGGAGGATCATCTGAGCCCAGGGAGGTCAAGGCTGCAGTGAACCATGATCACTCCATTGCACTCCTGGGCAACAGAGCGAGGTCCTGTCTCAAAAATAAATAAATAAATAAAAATAAAAAGAAGCTGAAGGACATCTACTGACCAGGCTATCTTGTCCGCCCGGTTGCTTAGTACCCCTTCTGCAAAGGATGCTCACCGTGGGGTACCAATAGAGACATAGTGCAAACTTTGTGCTCACTCCAGCAAATCCATCCATTTGTCCTCCCCTCACAAAAACCCGTCTCAGATCTTCCAGCCTTGCTCCTTCTAGGTCTCTGACCTATCAGACAAGACTCTGGCCTCTACCTAGTAATCTGTGTATATCCTTAGCTCAAAGCCCTTTTCCTTCCACCTTATGTTGCTGACCAGGTGCTAATGTCAGCAGCTCTGTCATCAAGGGGGTTTCCCCTCACCACTGCCTTTCAGGGCCACCCTTGACTGTGGCTGTGATGTGGCTGAAGTTCATTTTCAGTCCACACCAACCTAGGAAGCCATTTTATCTGTAAATTAGATCTGGGGCTTTTTTTCCTCCTCTGTCAACTGGTGATAAAGAACTCCCCATGAGGCCAAAGGTGTGAGTTGAGGGAGAGACATAGCTGCAACAGGGATACGTGCCCTGGGGGTCTGGCTGCCTGTTCATGTAACTTACTTGTGCGCTTTAGGCTGAGTAGTCCTCATCTGGAATGCACCATTTCCATGGTAGGATGGATTATTGCTGCACCTGCTCAACTGTGTCACTTGGTGTATCTGACAGTTCCCGCTTCGCAATGGGCAGCTCTGATCACATCACCATACCTGTCCAATGGTCAGGTCTCTGCAGCACAACCGAAGACTTCTTTTTTTGAGACAGAGACTTGTTCTCTTACCCAGGCTGGAGTGCAGTGGCACAATCTCGGCTCACTGCAACCTCCACTTCCTGGGTTCACGCCATTCTCGTGCCTCAGCCTCCCGAGTAGCTGGGACTACAAGCGTGCACCACCACACCTGACTAATTTTTGTATTTTTAGTAGACAGGGTTTCACCATGTTGGCCAGGCTGGTCTCGAACTCCTGACCTCAGGTGATCCCTTGACCTCCCAAAGTGCTGGCATTACAGGTGTGAGCCGATGCACCCGGCCAGAAGATTATTTTTTAAAACCGGAACAGTCCTCTGCTGTAGATGGCATGGCCTTGCTCCAGAACCTTCTGGGCTTGCCAGAGACTCCCCAAAGCATCCTATGAATCATAGATAGATGGCATCTGCTAGGCTATATGAGCCCAAGTGGCAGGGAACTTTGCATTTTGGCCTGGACTGAAAAAAACCTCTCTTGTTGTGGGCCCCACTCAAAACCAGCAGCCTTCGGAGTTCCCTGAAAATTAGTTGGAGCAGTATTTCCAAGTGTGGCATGTGCCATCTCCCATATCTGAAGGGGCTTGCCAGGCTTTGTGCATCTTTCCTAGGGATAGGAGACACATGGTGGTGCCAGTTCACTGGACTCTGACAAATTTTGCAAAGATCCTTGAGTCTTTGTAGGATTTATCCTCCAACCTCTGGCAAGCACGTGCCTTGCCACTTTCTGTTCACCAGGTTCCATTAGCTCAATGTCGTCGGTACAATGGATTGTGTGATGTTGTGTGGAATGCCAAGATGATCAAGGTTTCTGCTCTATTATGACAGAAAGCAGGACAGTTAACATAGCCCTGGGGTAAGACTGTGGATGTGGACTTTTGTCTGTCCTCAGGGAAAGGAATCGGCTTTTTTTTTTGAGACTGAGTCTCGCTATGTTGCCCCCGCTAGAGTACAGTGGCTCGATCTCGGCTCACTGCAACCTCCCTCTCCCGGGTTCAAGTGATTCTCGTGCCTCAGTCTCCTGAGTAGCTGGGATTACAGGTACCCACCACCACGTCTGGCTAATTCCTGTATTTTTAGTAGAGACAGGGTTTCACCATCTTGGTCAGGCTGGTCTCAAACTCCTGACTTCAAGTGATCTGCCTGCCTTGGCCTCCCAAAGTGCTGGTATTACAGGCGTGAGCCACCGAGCCTGGCAGGAATCTGCTTCTAATCTTACTTCCTTCAACAAATTAACAGTCATGGACTAAATGGCAGGGACTCTGTTGATCTGTTCTAAGAAAGCTAACACATCTGGCACAGCACTCAATCAGGGCGCCACTTGGTTATGTGCACCCTCATCTACAATGATCCATCTGGTTTTTGCAAGAGCCAGATTGATGAATTAAATGGGGATATCCTGGGAACCACCACTTTTATATCCTTTGTGAGTGACTCCAACCACTGCCATTCCACCTGGGCTGGGGCATTGCTTCTGATTAACTCTCTTGGGAGGGAGATGAGGAAGCAATTTCTAATTGGCCTTTCCTACCCTAATGACTCTTATTTCATTCTTTTTTTTTTTGGAGATGGTTTCATTATGTCACACAGGGTGGAGTGCAGTGGTACAATCTCAGCTCACTGCAATCTTGACCT
This sequence comes from Homo sapiens, assembly GCF_000001405.40. Lineage (NCBI taxonomy): Eukaryota > Metazoa > Chordata > Mammalia > Primates > Hominidae > Homo > Homo sapiens. Next base: position 44,295,751 of record NC_000017.11, read on the forward strand.
CCCTGGCTTAACCAATCCTCCCACCTCAGTGTCCTGAGTAGCTGGGACTACAGGAGTGTGCCACGATACCCAGCTAATTTAAAAAAATTTTTTTGTAGAGATGAGGTTTCACTATTTTGCCCAGGCTGCTCTCAAACTCCTGGGCTCAAGTGATCCTCCCACCTTGGCCTCCACACTTGGGATTACAGGTGTGGTAATGGCTCTTATTTCAGGAAACCAACGCGAGAGATCTGCTATCTACTAAGTACCTCTATTCCACTATGTATTCAGGGGCCAGGGAAATAACCATCAAGCAGACTGATGGGCCAGATCTCCTTTCATCACCTGGCCTCCATATGCCCCACACTAATACATGCCCATGATGGCATTTTGGTTCCTTAATATTAGTGTCAGTTCCAACTCTGTATCCAAAAGCCTTGAAAGATCTGAGTATTTCCCTTTCCCCAGGATGCAGTTGCTCTGATAAGCAGCTGTAAGTACCTTTGGGGGAAGAATAGGATAATTACCATGATATAAACTTGCCATGGCATTGTAGGATTCTTCCTGAAGGGAACTGGCCCCCACTTCAATGAAAGGGCTCTATATTTGGCCACGTTTGGTGGCTCACATGTGTAATCCCAGCACTTTGGGAGGCCGAGGTGGCACATCACTTGAGGTGAGGAGTTCGAGACCAGCCTGGCCAACATGGTGAAACCCCGTCTCTACTAAAAATACAAAAAATTAGCTAGGTGTGGTGGCGAGCACCTGTAATCCCAGCTACTTGGGAGGCTGAGGCAGGAGAACCGCTTGAACCTGGGAGGTGGAGGTTACAGTGAGCCAAGATTGCACCACTGCACTCCAGCCTGGGTGACAGAGCAAGACTCCATCTCAAAAAAAAAAAAAAAAAAAAAAAAGACAAAGGGCTCTATATCTGAAAACTGGTTTGGGCCTGGAAACTGGGTATGGGATGGGGATTTTCCTTTGCAGTGGCTAACTTCAGCCTTCTGCTGTCTCATTCTTGCTTGTTTTTATAAGCAAGAGATACCCTCCTTCACCATCCTCCTATCTGGGAACACCATGGTCTCTTGGTCATCACAATAGATCCCTGCTTACATTTCTGGTCTTTCTGCCTATTACGGTAATTATGTCCACTTAGCCTCTCATGACCACGTGCTGTCGCCTGACCTCGTTCTGGACTCCTGTTATACCCACTGACTCTAGAAAGGCTAGTCCCATAGCAGCTCCCGCTACCATTGCTCTGGCCTGCTGAGGACAGCTACCACTGACCTGCAAATGCCAGTGGCCCTGTTCCAACTAGCACCTTTTGTATCACTTTATTTATTGAGTATTTCTGGGCCCTCATGAAGAACACAGTAGGCTGGAGGGTTCTATAGTCTTATATAATAGTCATTTTATTCTGGCATGCCCACTTTTCTGAGCCTTTATTCTTCCAAGTATTCTGTCAAGGAAGTTCCAACATCTCTACCTCATTTGCTGGAACTCATAGTTTTTCCACACTTTGAAGATCTATCCCGGGGGCATATTGCAACAGGCTTCTGGTGTCCTTGCCAAGCTTTAAAATGTTAAATCCCAGGCCAGGCGTGATGGCTCACTCCTGTAATCTCAGCACTTTGGGAGGCCAAGGCAGATGGATCACTTGAGGTCATGAGTTTGAGACCAGACTGGTCAACATGGTGAAAACCCGTCTCTACTAAAAATACAAAAATTAGCCCGGTATGGTGGTGTGCACCTGTAATCCCAGCTACTCGGGAGGCTGAGGCAGGAGAATTGCTTGAACTCAGGAGGCGGAGGTTGCAGTGAGCCTAGATCGCACCATTGCACTCCAGCCTGGGTTACAGAGCAAGACTCATCTCAAAATAAATAATAAATAAATAAATAAATAAATAAATAAATAAATAATAAATAAAATAAAATAAAATGTTAAATCCTTACCAGGTAGGGCATTCCATATCAATAAACGTACCCTTATTCAGCATTTTTTTTTTTTTTCTGAGACGGAGTCTTACTCTGTTACCCAGGCTGGAGTGCAGTGGTGCGATCTAGACTCACTGCCAACCTCCACTGCCCGGGTTCAAGGGACTTTTGTGCCTCAGCCTCCTGAGTAGCTGGGAGTACAGGCACACGCCACCAGGCCCAGCTAATTTTTTTGTATTTTTAGTAGAGATGGGGTTTCACCATGTTGGCCATGCTGTTCTCGAATTCCTGACCTCAGGTGATCCTCCCGCCTCAGTCTCCCAAAGTGCTGGGATTACAGGAATGAGCCACCCGACCCGGCCTTACTCAGCCTTATATTCCACCCCCTGACCCCAGTCTAACACCCTCAAGATATGTTCCCAAACATGTTCTGCCAAATTCTTCTGGTAAATGTTCACCAGCTCCTGCAGGTCTTTTGGTGAATCATCCTTTTCTTTCCATAGATGGGACAGTGCTTCCCCACTTGGTCCCTGATGAGACTTGACCATTGTTATTGGTCTAGAGTCATGGAGGGGAGTCAACATCAGGCTTTGAAGAGGGCAAGTATCATCTTGTGAGGCGTCTGCCTCAGGTGAGGAATCTGCATGTTATCTAGGCAAGGGGAGGCTGCTCTCTTCCACCCAGGGGGAGAGGCCAATTCTGCCAGCCCAAATAACTCAGCATAATAAGGGGGTTTTAGAACAGATGTTCCCATACCAGGCCTCAGGATCCCACTCCTTCCCTCCCAGGGCCCTGACCTGCTGGGGCTTTAAATATAAAACCCTGCTACTCTTGCAATCAGATTATAGGACTGATTTTCATCACAGTCTGCCCTGCACAGGAGGTGAGGGTTTCCTTACATGCTGCCATAGAGGTCTTCTGGTTTTTGTTTTGTTTTAAGATAGGGTCTTGCTCTGTCGCCCAGGCTGGAATGCAATGGCACAATCATGGCTCACTGCAGCCTCAACCTCCTGGGCTCAAGTGATCCTCCCACCTCAGCCTTCTGAATAGCTGGGAACACAGGTGCTCACCACCATACCCAGATAATTTATTTTTTGTAGAGACAGGGTATTCCTATGTTGCTGGGGCTTGTCTCGAACTCCTGGGCTCAAGTGATCCTCCCAAAGTGCTGGGATTACAGGTGTGAGCCCGGCTTCTTCTAGCTTTTAACTATATCATAAATTGATAGCTGGCTGATGTGAGTCTGTCTTTTATTCTTTTAACCCTTTGATGGCATTAACAGCAACCAAACAACTCCTTTTTTTTTTTTTTTTGATGACAGAGTGAGACTCTGTCATCCAGGCAGGAGTGCAGTGGCGCAATCTCAGCTCACTGCAGCCTCTGCCTTGTGGCTTCAAGTGATTCTCGTGCCTCAGCTTCCCTAGTAGCTGAGATTACAGGTGCCTGCCACCACACCCAGCTAATTTTTGTATTTTTAGTAGAGACAGGGTTTGCCATGTTGGCCAGGCTGGTCACGAACTCCTGACCTCAAGTCATTCACCCGCCTTGGCCTCCCAAACTGCTGGGATTACAGGCATGAACCACTGAGCCCAGTCTCCACAGTCCTTATAATTACCATTTTCCTCTTACACCTCAAATACTAGAGCTATTGCATAGGCAGTGCATCCCTGTCTGCATCCCATTTCACCAGGGTGACAGTCTGACGATCAGTCCAGTTCTCCAGTGGGTATTAGTACCCCACTTACCTCAGCAATGGAATCTTTGGGCCATCTGGATGATGAGTGATCCAAAACCAGAATCTTATCCTGGGGGTCTACTTCCTAGGACAACTTTGGATATCAAATGTGTTGGTTTGGGTTCCCTCCAGAAGTAGAACCTGAGTCAAGGATTCAAAGGAAAGTATTTATTTGAGAAACACAAGTGTTTATTTGAAAAGCGATGCTAGGAATACCAAGCAAGCCAGTGGGAGACTGACATTGGAAAGAAAGGAGGCTCATAAAGGGTGTGTTATCAAGCAAGTTAAAAACATGGACAACCGGCCGGGTGCGGTGGCTCACACCTGTAATCCCAGCACTTTGGGAGGCCAAGGCAGGTGGATCACCTGAGGTCGGGAGTTCGAGACCAGCCTAACCGACATAGAGAAACCCCGTTTCTACTAAAAATACAAAATTAGCCGAGCGTGGTGGCACATGGCTATAATCCCAGCTACTTGGGAGGCTGAGGCAGGGGAATTGCTTGAACCCAGGAGGCGGAGGTTGCAGTGAGCCAAGATTGCACCATTGCACTCCAGCCTGGGCAACAAGAGTGAGACTCTGTCTCAAAAACAAACAAAACAACAACAACAAAACAAACAAACAAACAAACAAAACACGTGGACAACCAGAGCTTAATCCTAAGAAGGAACTCAGGGAGCCAGTCATAATGTTTGCTGCAGGACCTGAGGGATGAGGAAGCTGGCTATTTACGCACCGATCCCCATCGGTGATTGGCTGAAGGTTGCTGTGGCTGGGAGTATAATTCCCCAGAACTTTCAGCCTGCTCAGCAGGCTCCAGTGGCCAGAGAGAGTCCTTAGATAAAGAGCTGCAGGTTCTGGCAGCTGGAAGTTCATCCAGTGAACCCAAGAGCTTCAGGAACATGGGAGGGCACTGCCAGCATCTGCCACACTAAGGGAGGAATCCTTTCACGAGGAGATACTGCAATGGTTCCACTACCTGGAAGATAAGGCTCTCACCTGAGCTCAGGGCAAAAAAGGGGTTACCTTCTGGGATGACTGATCCCAAATGCCAAGGGTAAGCTGGGTTCTAACTCCAAAAGAAAGGCAGGGAGGACTATGTCTGGAACCCAGGGGACTCCCTGGTGTGCCATGTCCTATTTCCGTGTCCAATAGTAAAAGTTAAAAAAAAAAGAGCAATACAGTTCTGAGGATTCCAATTTGTAGAATGCTAATTTCAAGAATAAAGGTTTATTCTTGAAACCTTTATTTTAAGAATAAAGGTTTGGGGGCCGGGCGTGGTGGCTCATGCCTGTAATCCCAGCATTTTGGGAGGCCAAGATGGGCGGATCACCAGGTCAGGGGTTTGAGACCAGCCTGGCCAAGAGACCAGCCTGGCCAATATGGTGCAACCTTCTCTCTACTAAAAATACAAAAATTAGCCGGGCATGGTCGTGGGCGCCTGTAAATCCAGCTACTCAGGAGGCTGAGGCAGGAGAATTGCTTGAACCCGGGAGACGGAGGTTGCATTGAGCTGAGATCGCGCCACTGCACTCCAGCCTGGGTGACAGAGCGAGACTCCGTCTCAAAAAAAAAAACAACAATAATAATAATAACAATAATAAAAATAAAGAATACAGATTTGGGGCCAGGCACGGTGGCTCACGCCTGTAATCCCAGCACTTTGGGAGGCAAGGTGGGTGGGGATCACTTGAGGTCAGGAGTTCGAGACCAGTCTGGCCAAAATGGTGAAACCCTGTCTCTACTAAAAAAAATACAAAAATTAGCCAGGTGTGGTGGTTGGTGGGCACCCGTATTCCCAGCTACTCTGGAGGCTGAGGCACGAGAATCCCTTGAACCCTTCAAGGGTAATGGAAGAGGAAAGTTATAATATCAGCTTCTGACCAGATATAGAAGCAAGGATTGTAGAAGCCATGGGCATGTTTTCTCTTGCTTGTTTTGTTATATACACTCTTTAAATATTGGTTAACTTTCCTCTCCTTCTTTTCTCTTATTTTTTATGAGGATTGTTGTTGGTGATGACCTTCATAATTTAGGTTGCAGAATACTCTAGAGGACATGTGGCTGAACTAGGAGAATTCACATCACACGGAAAGGGATCCCATTGCTGTAGAGACTTTGCGTCTCTGCTTTTGGGGGAGGGCCCCAGAGCATCTTCATTTGAGCAAAGGACAGTTGCATCTATTAGGCAAAGGGATGAAGCTGTTATTATTCAAATATGATGGATAGATGTGTAACTACTGCATAGAAAAAAGGGGTAGATAATGCCAGTTATTTGCTTATTGACTTTCAGCTTCAAATTCATTCTTATTTTCTCTGCTCTCTGATGTTGGAAGGGGGCTGGGACTCTGCAAACCAGTTCCCTAGCCTCCATTACTGTCCTGTTAGGTTCTGCTTGTAGGCGGTGCACACATGGGTGATAAAAATATAAAGAAAAGCAAGGAAATGATTATCACAAAAGTTGAAATATGAACAAGGAATAAAGCTGGAGGACTTATACTTCCTGATTTTAAAACTCACTGCAAAGCTACATTCATCAAAATAGAGTGGTATTGGCATAGAGACAGACGTATAGACCAATGAAATAGAACAGAGGCCCTCATGTAAACTCTTACACACATGAGCAAGTGATTTCTTTTCTTTTTTTTTTTGAGACGGGGTCTCGCTCTGTCACCCAGGCTGGAGTGAAGTGATACAATTTCAGCTCACTCCAATCTCTGCCTCCTGGACTCAAGCGATCCTCCCACCTCAGCTTCCTGAGTAGCTGGGACCACAGGTGTAAGCCACCATGCCTGCCTAATTTTTTTGTATTTTGGGTAGAGATGGGGTTTCACCACGTTGCCCAGGCTGGTCTCGAACTCCTGAGTTCAAGTGATCCGCCCACTTAGGCCTCTCAAAGTGCTGGATTACAGGCGTGAACCACTGTGCCTGGTCTGCAAGTGATTTCTTATTTTTTTTATTTATCTAATTTTTTTAGAGATATGGTCTTGCTATGTTACCCAGGATGGACTCGAATTCCTGGGCTCAAGTGATCTTCCCACCTCACCCTCCTGAGTAGCTCGGATTATAAGTATGTACCATCACACCTGGCCTATGATCAAATGATTTTTTTTTTTTTTGACATAGGGTCTTGCTCTGTTGTCTAGGCTGCAGTGCTGTGGTGCAATGCAGTCTTAAACTTGATCAGACCAGGTGCGGTGGCTCATGCCTGTAATCCCAGCACATTGGGAGGCTGAGGCGGGTGGATCACCTGAGGTCAGGAGTTCGAGACCAGCCTGGCCAACATGGTGAAACCCCGTCTCTGTTAAAAATAAAAAAGTTAGCCGGGCGTGGTGGTGCACACCTGTAATCTCAGCTACTTGGGAGGCTGAGGCAAGAGAATCTGGAAGGTGGAGGTTGCAATGAGCCGAGATCATGCCACTGCACTCCAGCCTGATTTTTGACAAGAATGCCAAGACCATTTAATGGGGAAAGGACAGGTTTTTGTTTGTTTGATTTTTGTTTTTTAAACAAATAGTGCTGGAAAAAACGGATATCCACATGTAAGAGAATAAAGTTGGACTCTTACCTAACACTATCGACAAAAATTAACTCAAAATGGATCAAATACCTAAATGTAAGACCTAAACTTTTAAAACTCTTAGAAGAAAACATATGGCAAAAGCTTCCCAACACTGGATTTGGCAATAATTTTTTTGGATCTGACACCAAAGATGGGGGCAACAATAACAACAAAATAGACAAATTAGCTTTGATGAAAACTTAAGAACTTTGTGCATCAAAAAACCAATATCAACAAATTCAAAAGGTAATTGGCAGAATGGGAGAAAATATTTGCAAGTTATATATCTGATAAGGAATTGATATCCAGGATATAGAGGCAGCTCCTAAAAAACTCAACACCAACAACAAAAACCAAGCAACCCAAAAATGAACAAAGGACTTGAATAGGTATCGCTCCAAAAAAAAAAAAAAAAAAAGAAAACAAATAGCCAGTAAACACATGAAAAGGTGCTCAACATCACTAATCGTTAGCAAAATGCAAATAAAAACTACAACAAAAGAGTGTACTTTCAGGGATCATTTCCCTTTTTCTGTTTCTTGAGATGGAGCCTCATTCTGTTGCCCAAACTGGAGTGCAGTGGCGCGATCTCGGCTCACTGCAACCTCTGTCTCCTGGGATTCAAGTGATTCTCCCACCTCGGCCTTCTGAGTAGCTGGGATTATAGGCATCCACCACCATGCCTTGCTCATTTTTGTATTTTTAGTAGAGACGGGGTTTCACCATGTTGGCCAGGCTGGTCTCGAACTCCTGATCTCAAGTGATCCACCTGCCTCGGCCTTCCAAAGTGCGGGGATTACAGGTGTGAACCACCGTCCCCAGCCCGTTTCTCTCTGTCTTTTTTTTTTTTTTGAAACAGGCTTTCGCTTTGTCACTGAGGCTGAAGTACAGTGGCGTGATCATGGCGCACTGCAGTCTCAACCTCCGGGGCTCAAGTGATCTTCCCATCTCAGCCTTCCAAGTAGCTGGGGAATCCAGGTGCACACCACTACGCCTGGCTAATTTTTGTATTTTTTGTAGAGATGGGGTCTCTCCCATGGGCACAGTCTCATTGTTTCTATAGTTTATTACCAGAAAAGTTTCTCAGAATGTGTAGAGCACTGGAAACCATGAGGAAGAGGCATAGCGTTCTCTCTTGAGCATCAAGTTGGCTGTTGGTGTTGCTTTGCTGCAAACGCCATTTGTCATTGTCTTCCTTGTCTTCCTTTAGGAGAGTAAGAGGGAGAGGACACAGTCTGGGTAGTTTCCCTGAAAAAAAGAAAAAAGAAAAGAAAACTACAATGAGATACCACCTCACACTTGTTCACACTTGTTGGGATGGTTACCATCAAACAAGCAAACAGGAAATAACAAGTGTTGGCAAGGATGTAGAGAAATTACACCCTTGTGGCCGGGCGTGGTGGCTCACGCCTGTAATCCCAGCACTTTGGGAGGTCGAGCTGGGCAGATCACGAGGTCAGGAGATCGAGACCATCCTGGCTAACACAGTGAAACCCTGTCTCTACTAAAAATACAAGAAAATAGCCAGGCATGGTGGCGGGTGCCTCTAGTCCCAGCTACTCAGGAGGCTGAGGCAGGAGAATGGTGTGAACCCGGGAGGCGGAGCTTGCAGTGAGCTGAGATCGCGCCACTGCACTGCAGCCTGGGAGACAGCGAGACTCCGTCTCAAAAAAAAAAAAAAAAAAAGAGAAATTGGACCCTTGTGCACTGTTGGCAGGAATGTAAAAGGGTGCAGCCATATGGAAAACAGGATGGCAGCTTCTCAAAAAATTAAAAACAAAATTGCCATGTAATCCAGCAATTCCACTTCTGGGTATATACCCCAAAGAATTGAAAACAAGGTCTCAAAGAGATATTTGTACACCCATGTGCATAGCAGCATTACTCATAATTGGTAACATGTGTAAACAATACAAGTGTCCATGGATGGATGAATGGATAAGTGTCTTAGTTGCTTTGTGCTGCTCTAACAGAATATGTGAGACTGGGTAATTTATGAAGAACAGAGATTTGTCTCTTACAGTTCTGGAGGCTAGCTGGGAAGTCCAAGATGGAGGGGCCCACATCTGGCAAGGGCCTTCTTGCTGCATCATCCAATGGTGGTAGGTGGAAAGGCAAGAGAGCATGAGGGAGAGAGAAAGGGGCCTGATCCTCAACCTCTTATCAGGAACCCACTATCAAAACAACAGCATTAATCCATTCATGAGGGCAGAGCTCTTGTGATCTAATCATTTCTTGAAGGTCCCACCTTTCAACACCAGTGAATTGGGGACTAAGTTTCTTATACATGGCCACGTGTGGTAGCTCATATCTGTAATCCCAACACTTTGGGAGGCTGAGGAGGAAGGATCACTTGTGCCCAGGAATTCAAGGCCAGCCTGGGCAACATAGTGAGACTTCATCTCTACAAAATAAATTAATAAATAATAAACTAATAAAAATAAAAATTAGCCAGACATGGTAGCAAGTGCCTGTAGTTCCAGCTGCTTAGGAGGTTGAGGTGGGAGGATCACTTGAGCCTAGGAGGTTGAAGGTGCAGTGAGCTATGATTGCACCACTGCTCTCTAGCGTGGGCAAGAGAGTGAGATCTTGTCTCAAAAAGTAAGAAAGAAGGCTGGGCATGAAGACTTACGCCTGTAATCGCAGCATTTTGGGAGGCCAAGGCAGGTGGACTGCTTGAGGCCAGGAGTTCAAGACCAGCCTGGCCAACATAGCAAAACTCCATCTCTACTAAAAATACAAAATTTAGCCATGCATGGTGGTGTGCACCTCTAATCCCAGCTACTCGTGATGCTGAGGCACAAGAATCACTTCAACCTGGGAGGCAGAGGCTGCAGTGAGCCAAGATCATGCCACTGCACTCCAGCCTGGGCAACAGAGCAAGACTTTGTCCCCCCCCACCAAAAAAAAGAAAAAAAGTTTCCAACACATGAACTTCGGGGGACACATTCAAGCCATAGCAATAAGCAAAATGTTGCATATTCCTACAAAAGAATATTAGTCTGCCTTTAAAAGGAGAGAAATTCTGCAATGTGTTACAATATGGATGAGCTTTTTTCTTTTCTTTCTATTTTTTTTTTTTTTTTGAGACAGAGTTTCACTCTTGCCCAGGCTTCAGTGCAATGGCACAATCTCACTTCACTGCAACCTCCGCCTCCTGGGTTCAAGCGATTCTCCCGCCTCAGCCTCCTGAGTAGCTGGGATTACAAGCGTGTGCCACCATGCCTGGCGAATTTTTGTATTGTTAGTAGAGACGGGGTTTCACCACTTTGGCCAGGCTGGTCTTGAACTCCTGACCTCGGGTGATCCGCCCACCTCAGCCTCCCAAAGTGCTGGGATTACAGGCGTGAGCCACTGTGGCCAGCAACATAGATGAACTTTAAGGACTTTAGGCTAAGCAAAATAAGCCAGTCACATAAAAAATAAGCACTATATGATTCCACTTATATGAAGTACTTAGAGTAGTCAAAATCATAGAACCAGAAAGTAGACTAGTAGTTGCCAGGGGTGAGGGGAGTGGGGAATGGGGAATTATTGTTTAATGGATAGTTTCAGTTTTTCAAGATGAAGAGTTAAGAAGTTGGACGGTGGTGATGACTGCAAAAAACTATGAATGTACTTAGTACTACTCCATTGTACACTTAAGAATGGTTAAGATAGGCCGGGCGTGGTGGCTCACGCCTGTAATCCCAGCACTTTGGGAGGCCAAGGCAGGTGGATCACCTGAGGTCGGGAGTTTGAGACCAGCCTGACTGACATGGTGAAACCCTGTCTTTAGTAAAAATACAAAAATTAACCAGGCGTGGTGGTGCATGCCTGTAATCCCAGCTACTTGGGAGGCTGAGGCAGGAGAATCACTTGAACCCGACAGGTGGAGGTTGTAGTGAGCCGAGATCACTCTGGCCTGGACGACAGAGTGAGACTCTGTCTCAAAAACAACAACAACAACAACAACAACAACAAAATAAACCCCAAAAGAACATCATGTGCCCTCATTTGGAGAAAGAGCAAAAAAACCCATCATGACTGCCCCTGGCAAACTGGAGGCAGGAGAATGGTAAGAGGGACTTCTACACGTGAGGCAAGAGCAAGATGATGGAGGAGGGACTGAAAAGACCAAGGTTATACTAACATCGGAATGTGTTAATATGCTAAAAAATTGGAAAGATACAGAGAAGATTAGCATGGCCACTGTGCAAGGATGACACACAAAAAATAATTGAAAAAAAAAAGTAAAAAATAAAAAGACCAAGGTTGAGGTCCCAGAAGCCAAGAATTGAGGCTGAGGCTGCGTAAATGTAAGATCCCATGCTAGGAGTCAGGATCTCTCACCAGTCTCCAGGGTGTCAGACAAGGCTCTTTCATCTCCTCTTCCTCCACCTGTGGTGACAGAGGGTCCCTGCCTGCTGACCATTTTCAGATGTGGGTGCAAATCTGAATCAATGTAGAGACATCAGCAATCCACTGGCAGAGCATCAGGTGAATTGAGCAGGTAGGCAGAGTTGGAGAATAGGTGTGAGTGAGTCCTGGGAGGGATGTTCCTAAGGGCAGATGGAGAAATTGGGTAGAGGCCCTTTAATAAACACAGAAAGGCTTTATGTAGGAGTTGCGGATTCCAGCAGGTGAAGGGGAACCCTCCCCCCACCCCGCCCCGAAAATCCTGGAACAGGTTGAATAGAGGAACGGAGCAGGTGGGAGCAGGGACGTGAGAGGAATAGGAGGCCAAGGGCGGTGGGAAACCAGACTATGCCTTCATTTCCCCCCACCCCCGGGGAGAAGCTGCAACCAGTTTTACAGGACACTCCTGGCCTTGCCCGAGATCAATGACCCCATTCAGAGAGGGTTGATGGCACAACGCGGCAATGCCGGCAGCCAAGGGGTTAACCTTAGGCCAGCTGGCTCTGGGGTGGTGCGAGGGGGTGGGCCGCCACCCCCTCCGGTTGCCTTGGCACCATTGTAGGCGCCTGCTCTGCTGCTGGGAACCTCCGCAGAGCCCAAGGCCCTTCGTTGCCAGTCTGCTCCCCACTCTCTGTCCCAAGTGGTTCCAGGCGCTGAGCCCTTAGGCTTCGTCTGGATTCCCATCCTCCACCCCAGGAGAGGTTGGCTCGGCCTGGCTGGTGCAGGCGGGTCCAGCCCAGGCACAGACATGCAGATGCGCAGTCTCTAGGGCTGCTCCTTAGCCTCCTGGGTTAGCAGCCGGGAGCCATCTGCGCTTTCTCGCCGAGAAAGCCGAGGCTGAACGGATAGGGGGCAGGGAGGGGACGGGGGTGGGGGGTGGGGGTCCCGGAGGTGAAGACCTCCTTTCCCCTGGCGGCAGGGGGAGATCAGAGACACCACGGAGCACAGGTCAGAAACAAGGGAGTAGAGAGGTCGGAGCCAGAGACTCGAGGCGAGGCGAGGCGAGGAGGAGCGAGGAGTCTCGGGCCCAGAGTGTGGGGGTGGAGGGCAGGCCCCCTGCTCCTCCTTCCAATCTCTGCTTCTCCCGGGTACCCCCTCCGCCCTCCGTGGGGCCCGGGCTCTGCCCCTCCCCTCAGACCCTGCACCCTCTGCGGATTGGTCCTCGGCCTGCTGGGGGGCGGGGCCCGAGGGCCCTGACGTCACTGGCCGAGGGGGGCGGGCGGCTGGAGGAGGGGGTGACGGGGCCCCGGCTCAGCACCTCGGAGAGCTCCCTCCCCGGCCTTGTTTTGCTCTGGCATCGCCGCCGGGGGAGGGAGCGAGGGGGCCGGGCACCGGGCGCAAAGGCAGGGGGATGGCCATGGAAGGGTTGAGGGGCCCCGTCGGACAGAGGGCCCAGCCGTGATCCAGCGACGGGTTTGGGGCTCCGGGAGGGGTGGGGGGGCAGCGGGCGGCGGCAGCAGTGGCCGCACATCTGGATGGAAGCGAGCTTTGTCCAGACCACCATGGCTCTGGGGCTGTCCTCCAAGAAAGCGTCCTCTCGCAACGTGGCTGTGGAGCGTAAGAACCTGATCACCGTGTGCAGGTGGGCACCGCTAGTGGGCGGGGGCTGGGGTGGTGAGGGAGAGGGGTTGGGGTGGACTGCGGAAACCCGGACTGAGCGCTGCCGCGGAGAAAAGGGAGGGGAGAAAAGGGTCGAGAATAATGCGTCCACTGTCCCTCCCAGGCCCAGAACCCAGAGGGAGGCTGCAGTCTGGTCCCTACCCTTCTAGGCCAAGCCAAGCCTATGCCCGGGCCTGGGCCTGGGGGGTGAGGGGTGTTTAATTGGTACTGTAGCTTCCTGTGAGAACCAGGAAGTGACACTGTGTGAGGGGGAAGGGGGTGGGGATGGCTGGCTCCCTTGCTGGGAATGGGGCAGGATGGACAGAGGGGACCCCGTGGGGGGATGAATGCCCTCCAAGCATACCCTCATTGACACCCATGTCAAACTGACCTCTCTGGGGTGGGGTTCTCCAATGCTCAGATTCTGGAGCAGGGATGGGCAGGGTCAATTGGGCATGGGGTCAGAGCCCATGAATCCTTCCAGGGAAGGGTGAGGGGCACCACCCAAGACGTGGGAAGGACCAAGAGCCTGGGTTCCAGGTTCAAGGGGAGAAGATCGGGAGGACAGGGCCACTGGTCTCTGAGGGTGGAACGGTTGCAGGGTTGGGAAGATTCTCCGTGATTGCGGGGCCCAGGAAGTGATCCTGTTCACTTCAACCTGCAGTGACTCACCCTCCCTGCCCTGCCCTGTCCCAAAACCAGGGCATGGCCAGCTGCTCAGCCACTCCCCCTGCAGCCCACACCTGCACTCTCCTCTGGTGCTGGGATCCCCTGTCAGCTGCAACCTCCCCTGGCCCCCATGCCTATCAGGTGTTGCCCCCTCAGTGCAGGGTGCTCCTGGGGGCAGGGCTCACTCTTCCCTCGCCAGCCCCACCTGCCTGCCACATAGGCCTCAGCTCTGCTGAAGCCCACCTGATGCCCTGAGGCCCACTAGTGCCCACCTGATGCCCTGGCTCCTGGCTCCCATAGCTCCTTCCCGGTTCCTGGGCACGCACTCCACCACACTGCATCTGTCTCCCAGCACTAGTGCCCAGCACAGTGCTGTGCACATCAGACCTCTGCAGAAATGCCTGGAACTTTAAGGAAGGAGAGAGTGTAGCAATGGCCCAGCCCACAGTGCAGGGCACTGCCTTTACCCTCATTTCCCCCAACCCCTGCCAGTGTGTTATAAAACAAAGATTTCTGTCCTTGGGGCCAGAAGGTCCTAGGTTCAAGCTCTTACTCCATCAGCTTTAGCTGCGCCACCTTGGGGAGGTCTCTTAACCACTCTGGGCCTTGGGTGCCCCATCATCCCCATTTTAGATGTCACAGCCACACCAAAGAATGAAAATGGCACCATCCATGTAGGAGCCTAGCTCAGTGTCTGGCACACAGAAAGAGCCCTGTCCTAATGACGCTCTTCCTGTCCCTCTCTGCTGTCTACCTGCTAGGTTCCTCTTTTTCTCTTGCCTGCCAAGGTAGCTGAGCCTCTTGAGTACATGGGGGGAATGAGGGAACTCTCCTTGACATAGGCCAGAGAAGGAGAAGTTGAAGGGCTGAAGGTGGTTTAGAGCTGGGAGGGAAGGATAGAGTTTTGGGGGGTCAGGGACATAACAAAGGCTCAGTAACCCCCAGGCCCCTACTGCCTCATCACTGTCACATGGTTTGCCTCCAGCTCCCAGAACAGCTCCCTTTAGCAGGCCATGGGCTCCCCTGGGCCCTGGCCTCCCTGTCTCCATGGTAACCTGCAGCAGCCACTGCATCTCCTATCAGGGAGCACACCACAGGGCTCCCGGGGGCAATGACCACCTCTGCGGCACCCCTGAGGACAGATACCATATGGCTGCCATGCTGAACCCAGTCCAGGCCCCATCATGGTCTGACCCAGATGACCAGGGGAAATCAAGCTGGCAGGAGGGTGCGCATAGTGAAGCTGGAATAATGCCCCAAACACAGGCTGGCTCTCAGCAGGGCCAGCCTTCCCAGCCACGACCCCGCTCCTCACCATCCCTGCCCAGCGGCCCTAGGCACCTACCTTCTCCCAACCCTGCCTGGGCTCTCAACCAAAATGTAATGAGGCAGGTACGATTGTTCCCATTTGCATTTGACAAGAAGGGACTCACAGAGGGGCCCAAGGCCACGTGAGTGCCACAGGGAAACAGGATTTGAATCCAGCAGGCTGCCTCCCTCTAGTGCAACCCCAAGACTGACCTGGCTCTGATCTCAAGGCAGTTCAACTCCAAGTTCAAAAGGAAGGGGGACGAGGGCTCAGCTGTGCAATTGGCCTGAGAGCCTCAGAGGTCAGTGGTCCAAGGCTGGAGACTTGCAGAGTAGAGGACAAAGGGCGGTGGAGCAGGGGCTGCTCCAGGCCTTGGTCATCACAACAGCTGCCAGGAGGCCACAGATGTAGCAGAAAGAGCAGAAGCTTCAGAATCAGAATCAGACATACCTGCTTGACTACTCATAAGCCATGTGACTCCGAACAGATCAGTCAACCTCTTGGACCATCAATTTCTTTACCTGTAAAATGGGGATGAGAGTAATACTAAGAGGACCTACCTTTCAGGGCTGAGCATGGGTAAGGGAATGCATGCAAAGTACTGTGCTTGCCACATTATAGGGCTTGATAAATATAAGAAGAAAAGGACATTTCCAAGCAGCTCCCATTTCCCTGGACACCCCGCCCCTGCTCTGCCACCCACAGCAGGGAAATCATGGGATGTTAGGAACTGTGTCCTCATCCCTGCCCTACTCCATTGCAGGGATGGCAGGGGGAGATTGCAGGGGTAGTGACTGCAGAGGGAGCCTGAGGCTTAGACAGGACTGGAGAGGGGGCACTGCATGGCTTCAGTCCTTCAGCCCCACAGGCTTCCCTTAGTCCCTTCCTCCCAAAGAAGCCAGGCCCCCAAGCCCCTTCCAGGGATCTGCTGCCAATGCCCCCTCCTGCCCAGTGTCTGTGTCAGGCCCATACCCCGCACCTCCCCACCCCACCCCCGCCCAGCTCTGCACTGCCTGGTTCTGGGCAGCTGGTGTGTGGGAGGCCAAGCCGGGAAGGAAAGGGGGGAAGGGGGTATCTGTGTACTGGGAGCCCACCTGGCCACCTGCGCATGCCCACACTCCATGTGCACAGTGCCAACTCACATGCCCTGGTACAGGTGACCCCCATCCCCAAAAGGGACTGAAGGTTGCTCCAGCAATCACAGAAGACAGCTCAGGTGGGGCACACACTGGCTTCTAACACCTAGTTGACCCAGGCCTCGCACACACAGACCCTGAAGGGTGGTCTATGGGGAAGGGGCTCCTGGACCGCCCCCGGCTTGTGCCTCATCTTCCTATTTTTTCAGTCCCTCTCACCCCTTGCTCCCGAAGCTTCCTTTCTCTGGCTGTCACCTCTCCTGTCACCCACTTTGTCAATCAGTCTCCCACCTGTCACCCTTCCTCCCCATCTGCCACCCTCTCACTCCACATGACACGGTACCTCTATGGTCACTGTAGTCTTGCCTGTCTCCCCACTCGCTCTGCCCCCCACCACATCCATGCCCTTCCTGACCTTTCTTCTCTGCCGGTTGCTCCCTGTCTCTCCCTCCATCACCTGTTTCCTCACCTGACACCCCACTGCCCCATCTCCCCACCTCGCCGCCCAGGTTCTCTGTGAAAACGCTGCTGGAGAAGTACACAGCGGAGCCCATCGATGACTCATCGGAGGAGTTTGTCAATTTTGCAGCCATTTTAGAGCAGATCCTCAGCCACCGCTTCAAAGGTGGGCCCAGCGCCCCTCCCCCAGCGGTCCCTCCCCCAGCGCCCCTCCCCCAGTGGTCCCTCCCCCAGCGCCCCTCCCCCAGCGGTCCCTCCCCAACTCCCAACCTTTAGCTCCCAGCCACCTCTTTCTGATATACTCCATGGACTCTGAACCCCCTCATTGACCCTGGCCCCCATTCTGGGCCATGCACAGAAGCTTGTGTACAGATCTGGGAAGAGGGAGAGGCCTTTGGCCTACAATCCCCATCATGGGCAAGCGATATGCTGGGGTGCCCACTGCACACGTGCATGTGTGTGCACAGATCTTTGTGGGAGGAGGCTGCTTATGCTTATGCATGTGAGTGCCTCACTACATGGACCCTCTCCAAACTCCCTGGTCTTGCTGAGCCCCCTCCCTGCCCTGGCTCAGCCTGTGCCCCAGCAGGTCCAGTGAGCTGGTTCAGCTCAGACGGGCAGCGGGGCTTTTGGGACTATATCCGGCTGGCCTGCAGCAAAGTGCCCAACAACTGTGTGAGCAGCATCGAGAACATGGAGAACATCAGCACAGCCCGGGCCAAGGTGAGGGGCCTGAAGCAAGCAACTGCTCTCTGCTCTGGACACAGGGGGCCTGCCTGTTTCTTGGTTTTTGCCCCCTGTGCACAGCCCAGGGGAGAAGGGCCCACACCTGATGCTGGACACATGAGTCCCTCTGGGGCAGCAAGTAAAGGTGAACATGATTTCCAGGGCCGGGCATGGATCCGGGTGGCACTGATGGAGAAGCGCATGTCAGAATACATCACCAC
This sequence comes from Homo sapiens, assembly GCF_000001405.40. Taxonomy (NCBI): domain Eukaryota; kingdom Metazoa; phylum Chordata; class Mammalia; order Primates; family Hominidae; genus Homo; species Homo sapiens. Next base: position 44,313,477 of record NC_000017.11, read on the forward strand.
GGCTCTGCGTGACACCCGGACCACCAGGTCAGACTTCCCAGGCAACTCAGACCACAGGTCTCAGAGTGCACCTGCATTGCCCAAACACAGCTGATCCTTAAGTTCCTGCAGCATCCTTCAGTTCCTGGACTACAAGTCCCAGCACCAGCACACATGGCTGATTTCCCTCTTCCAGCCTGGCCTGCAGTCCCAGGACGAACTCTTTTTTTTTTTTTTTTTTTTGAGAAGGAGTTTCGCTCTTGTTGCCCAGGCTGGAGTGCGATGGCGCGATCTCGGCTCACTGCAACCTCCGCCTCCTGGGTTCAAGCGATTCTCCTGCCTCAGCCTCCTGAGTAGCTGGGATTACAGGCATACGCCACCATGCCCAGCTAATTTTGTATTTTTAGTTTCTCCATGTTGGTCAGGCTGGTCTCAAACTCCCAACCTCAGGTGATCCTCCCGCCTTGGCCTCCCAAAGTGCTGGGATTACAGGCATGAGCCACCGCTCCTGGCCCCAGGACAAACTTTTACCACCACCACCACCACCACTTGCAAGTCAAATCTAATGCCCATTATTTGCCATCAATGCCCAGCACGCTCCACCCTTGCACACCTCTGGATGAGCCTCAGCCATGCACCATCTCAAGTGTTGGCTTGCTCCATGATCTACAACACAGCCCTTCTGTCTCTCCAAACAACGAAAGCAGTTCTGTACTTGCTATTCACGGACACAGAGTCCTTATATGGGGAGTTCAATCCCTGCACTGTGGGTTCACAGGGAGGTTGGGTGCCTGAGGCAAGGGGTTACAAGGAGGAGTGTGCCTGTGTGGGCAGGTGCATCTGAAGCTGTCTGGGTGTGGCGGGGGGCATATACCTCCCCATCCCAATTGGCCATACCCAGCCTGATGTTTTTACTGAATTCCATTCCTCAGTCTACACGTTTCAAGTTAACACGTTTTTTGCGCACCTACTGTATACCAAGCACTAATGATTAAGACTTGCTTCCTGATATGAAGGATCTGGGTAACCCAGTACTTGATGAGGAAGGGGTAGCTCAGAGGGAGGAGTCGGCTCAGGGAACACCCATTCTAGGTGATGGGGCCACAGGTGCGAGCCCCAGGCTGAAGGGGGAGAGAGGCTCCAGGCCTGCGTGCAGATCAGGAAGGAGAATTGGCCTTCCTTCAGGATGGGGTGGCAGTAAGCCAACAATAGCAGCTCTGGGGGGGGGGGGGGCGCTCCAGGGGCCTGCTGCATCCTCTGGCCCTCTGCCTCCCCACAGACGGTTCTATGACTCTGGAGCCATCATGCTGCGGGATGAAGCCACCATCCTCACCGGAATGCTGATCGGACTGAGCGCCATCGACTTCAGGTGGGGTCTGCCTGACGGCAGTGGTGGAGGGGGCTGTTTCCCCCATAAATGTCCTACCCCAACCCCTCACACCCACCTCCAACCCTGTGGCTCCTCTGCCTCAGCTTCTGTCTAAAGGGGGAAGTCCTGGACGGGAAGACCCCCGTGGTCATCGATTACACGCCCTACCTAAAGTTCACGCAGAGGTGAGCGGCTCCATGACTGCGGCGGGGCGGGGGACGGGGCCTCGGGACATCCTGGGGACGTCCTGGTCCCACCGCCCTCAGCGGCCAGCGCAGACGCGCGGGGGGAGGGGCGGGACCGGCCGTGCCCACTGCTCCCTCTCCCAAGCTACGACTACCTGACGGACGAGGAGGAGCGGCACAGCGCCGAGAGCAGCACGAGCGAGGACAACTCGCCCGAGCACCCGTACCTCCCGCTCGTCACCGATGAGGACAGCTGGTACAGCAAGTGGCACAAGATGGAGCAGAAGTTCCGCATCGTCTACGCGCAGAAGGTGCGCGACGCCGGCGGGCCCGGGGGGCGGGCGGGCCGGGCGGGGGATCCGGGCATCCCGGGGCGGGGCGGGGATGGGGGCCGCGGCCGGGACGTCCTCCCAGCCGCCCGGGCTGAGCCGGCGCCCCGCAGGGCTACCTGGAGGAGCTGGTGCGTCTGCGCGAGTCGCAGCTGAAGGACCTGGAGGCGGAGAACCGGCGGCTTCAGCTGCAGCTGGAGGAGGCGGCGGCGCAGAACCAGCGCGAGAAACGGGAGCTGGAAGGCGTGATCCTGGAGCTGCAGGAGCAGCTGTGAGCGCACGGCCTGCCCTAACCCCTGACCCCCGCCGCCCCGACCACATCACCGGGTGAACCCCATCTTCACTTCCATCGACTCTAACATCACCCGACACGAGCACCCACCTCTCCAGCATCAACCCTCTGATCCAGCCAGCCCCACCCCGAGATGCCCACAATGATCTTCTAACATTGCCCCCAGCATAAGATCCAGTGACTTCCAACAGCCAGAGCCCACCCTTCACCTTCAGTTATCTTCCGCTAGAGTGGCCATCCAACCTTACTGCAGGGACCCCACGTCACTCACAAGGACCTGCGGTGTTGCTCTGCAACCTTCAACACGATTGCATTCATCGCCTCACTCACCTGCACCACAGGCTCACTGACCGTCATCATCCGCCGTGACCCCCGACCTCACCCCTGCCGATCCCTGTAACACTTCTTCTCTACGCCTTTCCACCACCCTGATCTTGCGGCAAGATCCCCAAGACGATCTTACACTTCAGGGATTCCCACACTATCCTCCACTGACGTCCCCATCACCCCAGCTGACCCCAACAACACTGCACCATTCCCTCCAACTCCCAATATTTGTGCACGAATCCCTGTCACCCCTCCACCCCAGTACCACCTCCACTTCCTCCCGGGATCTGGCCCACTGACCCCAACACCGTATCCCCATTTTTGCCGCTCAGATTTCATTCCTGACCCCTCCCTCATCCCCTTGCTGAATCTCCCTTCCTCACTTCTCCTACTTCCAGCCAGGCCTGACTCCTCCTCCCCCTCCCAGGACAGGTCTGATCCCCAGTGACCACGCCCCTCTGGCCCAGGGTTCCAAGGAGCTCACTACACCCCTGGTCAATCAATGGCCCTCACTGGGAACGCTTAATGGGGCCGAGGGCGCCAGCAACTCCAAGCTCTACCGGAGGTAAGCCCCAGCCAGGTGGGGCTTGGGCCTGAGAGCGGGTCGTCCTGGGGAAGAAGGGCTTCCTCTACCGGCGCACCAGCTCTCGCTCTGCCGCAGACACAGCTTCATGAGCACGGAGCCGCTGTCAGCTGAAGCCAGTCTGAGCTCGGACTCCCAGCGCCTGGGAGAGGGCACGCGGGACGAGGAGCCCTGGGGTCCCATCGGTGAGCTCCCCCAACCCAACACCCAGTACCCCTCCAGAAAGGGCTGAGGCAAGGCCCTGAGGCCTCAAGGCATGTCCTCATTCATTCTCTTAGTCTTTTTTTTTTTTTTTTTTTTGAGACGGAGTCTCACTCTGTCATCCAAGTTGGAGTGCAGTGGCGCAATCTCAGCTCATTGCAACCTCTGCCTCCCGGGTTCAAGGGATTCCCTTGCCTCAGCCTCCCGAGTAGCTGGGATTAAAAGCGCCTGCCACCACGCGCAGCTAATTTGTGTATTTTTAGTAGAGACGCGCGGCTAATTTGTGTATTTTTAGTAGAGACGGAGTTTCGCCAGGCTGGTCTCGAACTCCTGACCTCAAGTGATTCACCCACCTTGGCCTCCCAAAGTGCTGGGATTACAGGTGTGAGCCACTGTGCCCGGCCTCTCTCAGCCTTTCTTGAGGGTTTAGCACAGCAATCGAGAGCTTACTTTGAGGTGGCAGAACACAGCATATGCAGAACCCAGCATAAATCTGGCTGTGCCTCCTCTGACCATGTGAGCTTGGTCAATCACTTTACCTCCATGAGTCTATTCTTTGTAAATGGGGATGTTGATAATCACCAATGTTGTCACATGGTGAGGGCTCAGTGGTTTTTTAGTGTCATGACATCCTCGGGGGCTCACAAACTCTCGGGGAACTCCTTAGACTAATTTGCTCTTATCTCATGCACACTGTGAACTACTTGCCTGACCATTGTTTCCCCCTTCTCTTTGGCTGCCAGGAAGCTCAGAGCCAAATTAGTGGCTCCCTTCGAGCGAATGCCCAGGACTTCAACGCATGCACTTTGTGTTGACCTCATCCCTGGCTTCACCTTGGTTTTTCCCATCCTAGTTCTCCCTATGCCTGAATATCCTGTCTTTTCTTTTTTATAAGCAACCACACTGTATTGGATGACCCTAGATCTTCTTTGAGACAAGGCAGGCTGTGGCCATGTAGCCCCATCACACTGTGTTTGTGATTGTCTGTGTGTCTGTCTCCCCCACCAGACTGTGAGCTCCATGAGGGCAGGGACCGTGTCTTGTCCGTTCTCTGTATCCCCAGTGCTTGGAACAGAGCGAGTGCTCACTGTGTATTTAATAAATGGACAAAGAGAGAGGATGACCCTCACGGGGAGACAGAGACATCAACTGACGATTACAATACAGTGTCCCCAGCACGGTGCCTGGCACAGGCAGGTGCTTAACCAAAGTTTAACTGAAAATGGCAAATGCTGTGGAATATGCCAAGGTCTCCTGGGGGGTGACTTGAGGGCTGCCCCTTCACTGCCCACCCCTCTACCAACTCCCACACATGTAGACTGGTCGCTTGGCCTCACCTGCCCTCTCTCCCCAGGGAAGGACCCCACGCCCTCCATGCTGGGCCTCTGCGGCTCCCTGGCCTCCATTCCCAGCTGCAAGTCCCTGGCGAGCTTCAAATCCAACGAGTGCCTGGTGAGCGACAGTCCCGAGGGCAGCCCAGCACTGAGCCCCAGCTGAGGAACAGCATGGGCAGTGCCAGCCCCACCTGCCAGGGGCCATGGACACCTGCCACCTTTCTTCAACAAGAGTCCCCCAATCCAGGCTACCCTTCCAGAGAACGCTACCCACCCAGCCAGGGTTCTCTCGGGGAAGATCTCGTCTGCTCACCTTAGCTTTCTGCCTTGGCAGCACGGGCTGCGGAAGAAAGCACGCTGGGCCAGGAGGCAGGGGTGCCCAAGCCACAGGGAGCCCCTGGGGAAGCCTGCTCCATTCTTCTGGTGACCTTGGCGCTCCTTCACTCATCTCCCCTGCCCCCTCAGGAACTGGTGGCCCAGCTTCCACACCCCCACCTCCCAGTCTCTAGCCTCTCCATCTGTCTGTGTATGGCCTGGAGTCACTCCTTCCTCAGCCCCCAGGGCAAGAGAGCTCAAATAAAAACCAGAGGACTGAGGGCAGCCTTGTATGTGGGGGGCTGGGGAAGGGCCCCGTCCTGAGGTCTGAAGGAAGTGGAGTCAGTGCCTGACCGAAGACCAAGGTCAGGCAGCACTAGCATGTGCCCTGTGGGGACAGGCAGGCCAGCACTCAGGGAGGGGGTAGCTTCTGTGTCCAAAATATTAGGTCTGCCTAGGGCAGGCCCAAGACATGCAACTGCCCCCCAACCCAACAGCCTTTAAGAACTTGCTCAAAACCAGGCTGAGGCGGCCGAGCACGCCAGGGGCAGGATGGAGGCACACCCTGTAGGGCCAGTGCCCTGTGCTGGCCTCAGCAATGGTGCTTTGGCCCAAAGTTGCAGACCCCTCTGTTAGGCCAGAGCCTGGCAGTTAAGCAACCCTCACTCCTCTGCTGTCGCTTAAGTGTGCCCTTAAGGAGAGGTGTTACCATCCCCCATTCTTTTTTTTTGAGATGGAGCCTCGCTCTGTTGCCAGGCTGGAGGGCAGTGGCACTATTTCAGCTCACTGCAAACTCCGCTTCCCAGGTTCAAGGGATTCTCCTGCCTCAGCCTCCCGAGTAGCTGGGACTACAGGCGCCCACCAGCATGCCCAGCTAATTTTTGTATTCTTAGTAGAGACGAGGTTTCACCGTGTTGGCTAGGATGGTCTCAATCTCCTGCCCTTGTGATCCACCTGCCTCGGCCTCCCAAAGTGCTGGGATTACAGGCGTGAGCCACCGTGCCCAGCCCCTACCACCCCCAATTCTAACCCTAACATGGGGGGGAGGTCCCCAAAGGGACCTCACCACCAGAATGTCTACTTGTGGTCCCTTACACTCTAGGTCCTCACCCCGACTCTCGCCAAACTGGAGAGGTCCTCTTCATAGGTGCCACTCTGGGCAGCCAAACCAGCACCAGGGTCCCTCCCAAGCCTCCCTCCCAGCCACCCCAGGCCCCAGAGGGACAGGCACCAGGCAGAAGTTCATCATCTTTAGACTTAAGGAATTAACAAGGGTCAGGGAGACTACACCAGGCTGAGGGCTTCTTGGTTCCTGGAGACATGCCCAGCTACAGCAAACACAGGGAAACACGAAGGGGGCAGCTGGAAGATTTGGTCTTGAACTTGGGGGGTGGGTAAGTGATGATCCCCACGACTGGAGCAGCAGGAAGAAGTTGTGTCTGAGGAAGTGCTGGGCCGCCCAGAGGGACAGCCCTGCCCTGGAGCTTGTCGCCGGGAGGGAAGGGAAACAAGCCCCCTCCCTCAGTGCTGAGGAAAAGGCACTTGGCTGGGTCTCCTCCTGCCCTCTCCCCATCCGTGGGAGAGACGGGGTCCTTGCCTCCTTGCCCCTTTCAGCCGCCCAGAAGCCGGTCCTGGTTCAGCCTCTGGAAGAAGCTTTTGCCGAACTCATAGGTGCTGATCATGATGGCACAGGAGGGGGCAGCCTTGATGATCCGAGGAAGGAAGCCTGCAGTGGAAAGGAGGCCCGTGTCAGGGGTCAGGTCGCAGGTCCGCCATGCCCCCACCCCCGACACCCACACACTGACCTGCAAAGAGTCCCTTGGTGCCCGACTCGGCCCGGATCCTCCGCAGCAGCAGCCAGGTGGAGTCCACATGCAGGGGGTTCACTGCAAACGCGAGGCCGGCTCAGTGAGACCCCATTCAGGACCCCACCTGTCCCCTGCCACGGCAATCTGGGCCCTCACCTCTCACAGCCTCCATCGCTCCCAGAGCGACCTGGCGTTGGGTCTTTACCACGTCAAAGGGTAGAGTCAGCACTGCAGCCACCTGGTGGGGTGGGCGGGGAGAGGGCTCAGCTCCACTTCCTGGACCCCCACCCCTACCTCCCAGATGGCTCTTGCGGCTGGGAGGGACAAAGGCCTCATGGGGTCTGCTTCTGGGCATCTCCAAAAATCCTCAGGCCCCCCGCAGGGAGACCTCCGCTGGCCTCACCTCCAGCCCAGTCCACTCACCGTCCCTGAGATGCCACCAGCCACAAAGCTCATGCCCACAGAAGTCTGGTCCTTCGGCCTGAACCCATTGAGCCAGCTCTTCACCAGCTCATAGTTGAACCAGTACAGGGCTTGGGGTGGGGGATGCACTGATTAGAGACGGGAAGGGCAAGGAAGTGGCCCCAGACCGTCCACCTTTCACTGCCACCACTCCCTCCCAGCTGTGAGTCTTGTCTGCTACATGCAGGCTCAGAAGCAGGCACTCTGTAGGAATTAATCTCCTGACCGCCTGGGCAAATACTCTACCTGCTAGGCCCACTTCACAGATGAGAAACCCATGGCTCAGAAAAGCTAAGTAACTTCATGGTCACTAGTCACAAAGCTGGGACTTGGCTGTAGACCCTTTGTGCATCACCCCAGGGTTCCCTCACCCACCCCCTGCAGCTTGGGTGCCTACCTGAGAAGGGCACATCTCGAAGGGCAGTGGGGCCCCAGCCCAGCCACAGTGAGCGCCAGCCACCCTGAGCCACTGCAGTTCGAACACAGGCACCCAGCTCCCGGTACGACACATGCTGAGCCTGCAGCTTTGTCCGCATAAGCTCCAGGGGGCTGATCACAGTCACGGTGCCCACTGTGTGGGGATTGGGGGTGACAATGGGGAGAAGTGAGATCACAGGTCTTACATGGCATCACCTACCTGCTGTCCCAGGTCTGGGGACCTAGAACACCCCCCTATCCCTAGGCTGGCAGAGGTTGGGGCTGGGAGCTGGGACTGACTGGGTTTGGGCCGAGGTGGGGACAGAGGGAGGTCAAAGGCCCAAGACTATGCTCACGGCGGGCCAGCGCGCCAGCCACCATGGGTGCGTAGAGGTCAGAGGTCAGGGCTCGACCACACAGGAAGGCCTTCAGTTGGTCATAGGCAGTGAAGTAGATGGCGGTAGCTGGCACAGTCATCACCCTGGGGATACAGAGAGAGGTTAGCTGGGACTCCCAAAAGGACCCAAACTTTTAAAGCATCACCTGCCCCACCTAGCCATTCAACAGGGAGCAAAGGGTCAGGAAGTACCAGAGGAGAGTGGTGCAGGACCCGGCTACTCACAGGGTGGCGGGGAGGCCGCTCCAGAGGGTCCTGGTGCCCTCGTGCCTCACGATCTTCACGAAGGCATCCTGGCCAAGCAGGCACCAGCCCAGGGGAAGAGGAGGGACACAAGTGATGTCTGTGATGGGGCTGGCCCAGGCTAGGCCTTTGCCTGACGCCCTCAGCCTCTGCCCACAGCCCTCAGGCCTCCCTGCCTCTACACATGCAGTACCCCAGCAGCTGGGTCCAGGCGGACACCTGGTCACCCTTCAAAAACCTTATGGAGGCCAGGCACGGTGGCTCACATATGTAATCCCAGCCAGCACTTTGGGAGGCCAAGGCGGATAAATCACTTGAGGCAGGAGTTCGAGACCAGCCTGGCCAACACGGCAAAACCCTGTCTCTACTAAAAATACAAAAATTAGCGGCAGGTGGTGGTGCACGCTTGTAATCCCAGCTACTTCGGAGGCTGAGACAGGAGAACCACTTGAACCCAGGAGACAGAGGTTGCAGTGAGCTGAGATCACACCACCGCACTCCAGCCTGGGTGACAGAGCGAGACTCTGTCTAAAAGAAAACAAACACCCCATGGAGGTACTGCCTTCTCCGGAAGCACTTCCTGACGGAACCGGCTACCTCTGCGTGCCTTGCCCAATCCCTTTACTCCTGGGTCTGCTGCCCAGCCAGACCGAACTCCTCACGGACACCGACGAATCCCTACGGACCCAGCTGCTCCTCACCATGGTGCCAGTGAAGCGGGTAGGGTCTTGAAACCAGGTGGCACAGCGGGCACCATTTGGGCACAGGTACAGAGGCTCCAGGACACCATTGCAATACAGGAGGCACTTCCCTGTGGATTGGAGAGAGGAGGGCACTGGGGAAAGGCAGGGGGCATTATAATGACAGGATCCTAGAACCTTGCAGGGAGGCAGTGGGCCCCTATCCCTGGAAGGCCAGTAAAGGCCAGGTCCCTGTGTGGATGTTCTGGTGCAGGTCACAGGACTGGCTGGCAGGACCTGGGAGTATATGCTAGTCCATGGCTGTGGAGCCCACTGGTGCCCTGGGGACAGGGACAAGGACTGTCTCCCCCTTGCACCCTCCCATGCTCCCTGTGGCTTGGGGCACTCACATTTGGTATAGGAGAGGCTCCACAGTCTGGAGGAAGGCATCAGCTCTAAAATACAAGGCAGCCCCTCAAGTCAGGAGAGCCCCCACCCGCCCTAGGGACCCCATCTCTGGGAGATCTTTTTATTTTATTTTTTGAGATGGAGTCTTGCTCTGTCGCCCACCCTGGAGCATAGTGGCACAATCTCAGCTCACTGCAACCTCCACCTTCCCGGTTCAAGCGATTCTCCTGCCTCAGCCTCCCAGGTAGCTGGGACTACAGGCGCATGCCACCAAGCCCGGCTAATTTTTGTAGTTTTAGTAGTGAGAGAGTTTCACCACGTTGGCCAGGCTGGCCTTGAACTCCTGATCTCAGGTGATCCACCCACCTCAGCCTCCCAAAGCGCTGGGATTACAGGTATGAGAAACCACGGCCAGCCTCTGGGAGATCTTTCTTTTGCCCAGGCACCACCCCTCACTAGTTCCAGGTCAGGTACTCACCGCTGGCCATGGAGGGCCGCTGAGACTGCAGGCGAACCTTCACCACGTCCAGGGGTGTCACTGGGGGAGGAAGCGGGTCTGAAGGCTCCTTTCAGGACCCCACCCCTAGGACTCCTCCCCCAGGACCACACAGCCTCCAATCTCCGGTCTGCCCCATCCCCACCCGCCCCCACCCCACCTCCCCTAGGTCTTACTGAAGAGAGAGGTAACCACAGCCCCGGTGCCTGAGGCCACCATTTGCTGGAGGGGGCTGATGCCCGCAGGGTCCTGGTCAGCCATCTTGAAGCTTCAGTCCTGAAAACCAAACCTCAAACAGACCACAACTCCAGGGATGGCAGGAAAGGAGGCTGGGCCACTGTGAGACTTTTGTTTTGAGACGGCGTCTCGCTCTGCGCACTGTTGCCAGGCTGGAGTGCAGTGGCACCATCTTGGCTCACTGCAACATCCACCCCCGTTCAAGCGGTTCTCTTGCTTCAGCCTCCCAAGTAGCTGGGACTACAGGCGCGCACCACCACGCCTAGTTAATTTTTGCATTTTTAGTAGAGACAGGGTTTCACCATGTTGGCCAAGATGATCTCGATCTCCTGACCTCGTGATCCGCCCGCCTCAGCCTCCCAAAGCACTGGGATTACAGGCGTGAGCCACCGCACCCGGCCCACTGTGAGACTTTAACCCAACCCTCATCCACCGCCCTCGAAACATCTGTTGCCTCAACAACCCTGGCAATGACCTCTAAAGCAGGGACTGTCCGCCCCCCTCCGCCGGGGAAAACTAAGGCTCGGGGAGACGAGGTGGCCTGCCCAAGGTCACTCAGGAGTGGTTCCGAAGGAAGCTAGGGTGCCAGACCTATCGCTCGAATGCAGTAGGAGCCAGGGTCCTTCCCTCGTCCACCTCGCACGTGTCCACTGCGCACCTCCTACGTGCAGGCGCGGATTTGGCCCTCGTGGCCCCAAAATCAGAGTACCTGTGCTGCCCCCACAGCCCCCACTCCAGCACCAAGGCCCCGGGCAGGCACCTGAGAGCCCAAGTTACTGGGCGTGGAGGGACGGCCGGGCATCGAGGGTGACGTGTAAACAGATCCGGTGACCAAGAAGGGCCCGTCGCCTCCTCAGGACTGCGGGCTGGGATGCCCGGCCCTCCCCGCCCGGCCGGACGGGCCAGACCCGGGGCCCGGAGAGAAAGAGCAGTCTCTGGGTTCCCGCCCCAAAATGCAGGCCCGGGGCGCAGCCGGGAGAGCGGGAAGTAGGAACGTAGGACCAGGACGTCTCCCCGACCCTCGGCGACACTCCCGGCCCCGAACGGCGGAGAGCCGCCAGGTGAGGGGGACCACGCCAGCTCGACGGCCCCAGCACCTGCCCTGGCTCGCACGGCCGCCCGGAGACCCCCGCTTCCGTCTCCGCCCCCAGCCCCGGCCCAGTGCCGCCTACCTGGCTCTAGGCTGGTGCTCGTGCGGCGCGGCGCCCAGGGTCAGGCGGGCCCATACCGGCTCCGCCGCCTGTGCGCGGTCCGCGCGCGCTCGCAGCGCACCTAGGCCGACGCCGAAAGCAGCCAAGGGGGCCCCGCCCCTACACCGCGCCACGAGGCCCCGCCCGCCGCGGGCCGACCAGCCGCAAGCCCGGAGTGTCCCCGGCTCCGCCCACTCGCGTCTCCGCCCGGACCTGCGACGGTCCCGCCCCCTTGACGGGGCCGCGCGGGCGAGTTCCATGCCTGTCCAGCGCTGAGAGCTGCCGGCCAACTTCGCGGTCTCCACGTCGCGCTTAACGTGGCAGCAGCACGCACTTCCAGCATCTTTTTTTAGACAGCATCTTTTTCAGCCTCGCTCTGTCGCCGAGGCTGGAGGGCAGTGGCGCGATCTAGGCTCACTGCAGCCTTGACCTCCCGGGTTCAAGCGATCCTCCTGCCTCAGCCTCCGGAGTAGCTGGGACCACAGGCGCGCGCCGCCACGCCCGGCTGGTTTGTTACTTTTATTTTTGTCTCCCTATTTTGCCCAGGCTAGTCTGGAACTCCTGGGCTCAAGCGATCCGCCCACCTCGGTCTTCGAAAGTGCTGGGATTCCAGGCGTGAGCCGCCGCGCCGGCCTTAACAGCGCATTTTCACCAGCCCCGCCCCGGCCGCGCGCGGCACTGGAAACCCCAGCGCCTTCTGGACGGCGAGGGTGACGCACTGGCCCTCTTCCTCGGTGTCCTCAGGTGCGTGGCGGCGGCAGTGAGAATGAGTTCTTCGAGATCGCCGGGAGACCACACAATAACGACGAAGTTACTTGCCGGGCTACCCGCCGAGACTTGAAAACTTCGCGGCGACTTCTCTCGCCGGCCTTAGCATCGCCCCCATTTTTCAGGTTACAGGACAGGCCTGCAACTGCAAAACGCTTTGTAAACCACAGGGCCCCGCGCGGGTGTGCGCCACTGGGTTAGCTGAGCTGCAGCCCGGGCCGGGCGGGCTGGGACGTGAGCAAGCCGGGGGAGACGGGAGAGCCATGGGGAGCCAGATCCCACCTTCGCGTGACCTTGGGCAAATCACAACCTCGCCTAAGGCCCGGAATGACTCTGCGCGGAGAGGAAGAGCACTGAGTGCGGGAGGGCATCGACGTTTTGGTGTTGGTTGCTCTCGTATCGTGATTTCTTCTGAGTCTCAAAACTCTTTGCAGTAGGTTATTGTTGAAATAGATTACCACAGGCCGGGCGCGGTGGCTCACGCCTGTAATCCAGCACTTTAGGAGGCCGAGGCGGGCGGATCACTTGAAGTCAGGAGTTCGAGACCAGCCTGGCCAACATGGTGAAACCCCGTCTCTACTAAAAATACAAAAGTAGCCGGGCATGATGGCTGGCGCCTGTAATCCCAGCTACTCGGGAGGCTGAGGCAGGAGAATCGCTTGAACCCGGCCGGCGGAGGTTGCAGTGAGCCGAGATCGCACCACTGCATTCCAGCCTGGGCAACAGAGTAACACTCCGTCTCAAAAAAAAAGGCCGGGCGCAGTGGCTTACGCCTGTAATCCCAGCCTTTTTGGAGGCCGAGGCGGGCGGATCACCAGAGGTCAGGAGTTCGAGAGCAGCCTGACCAACATGGTGAAACCTCGTCTCTACTAAAAATACAAAAAATTAGCCGGGCGTGGTGGCGCATGCCAGTAATCCCAGCCACTCGAGAGGCTGAGGCAGGAGAATCGCTTAAACCCGGAAGGCGGAGGTTGCGGTGAGCCGAGACTGCGCCATTGCACTCCAGCCTGGGCAACAAGAGCGAAACTCCGTCTGAAAAAGAAATAGATTACCCCGTTTTACAGAAAGTGAAACTGAGGCTCGACGTGAAGAGCCGGAGATTCGAACCGGCCGGGTGCTTTTCCCAGGGCTCCACACTGCCTCCCCGGGAGACAGGAAGGCTTAAGTCCAGCGCTGCCCTCTCCGATCCCGCTTGTCAGGGAGACACTTTATTTCCCGGGGCAGCCCCGTACCCCAGGCCCCACCACCCACTTCGCGTTTAGAACTTCTGTGCTATCTTGCTTATTTGTCCTAACAGAGAAACCAGCACGCGCGGGCGGTGGCGGAGGGGGGCGGGCGGGCGGGTGGAGGCGGGGGGGGGCGGGCGGGGAGATGGGTACTCCTAGCCTGCGCCTTTAAGAAGGGTAGGCCTCGACTTTGACGTCTCTGCCTTCCCCGCCCTTCAGGCCCCCACTGGTCGCGTCCGGCGCTGGAGGAGCCCAGTCAGCCGGCGCCTGCCGGGTTAGCACGTGGACTCCGAGGGGCCAACTATCAGCTTTCCCTGACAAAATGCCTTTGAGCTCCCCCACAGCTCTGAAACTCCAGCTTGGGAGCAGGGAGAGTGCAATCTGTGACCTGTAAAGGGGCGCTGGGCAAAAGGGCCCGAGAGAAGGCGTCCTTTCCATTCCCTTCCCATCTCAAGCTGAGTTCAGAAATGACACGAAATAATTTAATCAACTATCAGTCAAGGTCGGGCTCACGCCTGTAATCCCAGCAGTTTGGGAGGCCGAGGTGGGCGGATCACCTGAGGACAGGAGTTCGAGACCAGCCTGACCAACATGACGAAGCCCCGTCTCTACTAAAAATACAAAAATTAGCCAGCGGTGGTGGTGCGCACCTGTAGTCTCAGCTACTTGGGAGGCTGAGGCCAGAGAATCGCTTGAGCCCGCGAGGTCGAGGCTGCAGTGAGCCGAGATCACACCACTGCACTCCAACCTGGATGACAGAGGGAGACTCTGTCTCAAAAAATAATAAATAAATAAATAAATAAATAAACTATCGGTCAAGGTGAAAGCCTACTCTCCGCCAAGGTTCTTTACAACTTAGACGTTTTGGTTTACGGAACAGGGGAGGAAACTGAGGGCTCTTGTGTGTAGTGACTTTACTCGTGTGGAGGAGAACCCAGACTTTCCCTGCACACACTCTCCCGTTTTATGGATGAGAAAAGGGGGGCCCCAAAGGTCAAATCGCCCCAAGGTCACTCAAATGAAAGAGTCAGCATTAGACCCCCCAACGTGCCTGAGCCAGATGGGCTCCCACCCTGTCCAGTTCTCAACCCAGGTGCTGTGTTCCAGCAGCACCCTGACCTGGCTTTCCATCTCACCTGCCTCTTACAAGCAAGTGTCTTAAGGCCTCTAAGCCTTAGTTTCCCCATTTACAAAATGGGCTGATGGTGATGATAACGCACCTTCCTCTAGGGATTATGTAAGGATTTAATGCATTAATGGCTGTGACGTGCTTAGAACCCTGGCAAGTGGCAAGCATTCTATGACAACTACTACTATTGCTGTTACTGTATTGTTGTTAATTGCTCTCTAGAACCTGTGGCATGGAAAGTTCCCCAGATTCTGGCCCCACCTCTGCCTCCAGTATGCAGTGATGGATAATAATAACTTCTTATACCCAGAACGAAGGTCACCAGTGCAAAGTAGCACAGCCAGGAATCAAACCTGGGGACCTCTGAGCCTGTTTCCCCAACAGTACATTGAGGGCCTTGCACTCCATTTCTGGTTTTCTTTTTGTGATGCTCTTAAATAGGATCCTTAGAGATTTGTGGATACACCTGTTTCCTCATCTGAAAATAAGGACGATATCACCTGCTCTGCCTAACGTACAGATTCTTAATATCATGTCTCTGAAAGCTACATGAAGAGTCAATAAACAGTTCTGTGAGACCTGCCAGGGGCCCAGAGCCGCGTGGATCACAGTCCTTACCTTCTCCAGAATGTAAATGCTTTGAAGCTTAGAGAACCATGAGGCCTCATGGGTGTGACCAAAGCAGTGGCCGCTGGAGAGGTTATCCATGGGTGATGGGACACCTCGGGACCTCGTGAAGTCTCTCCCAAGAATGACCGTGGCAGTTCAGGGTGGAGGAGGAGCTTTGACATGCTCCAGAAGCTATGGAGCCCTGACTCAACACGCCCACCCTCGAGGAGCAAGCCTGGAAGGCTGCAGAGGTGGCCACTGGCCTGGCTGACTCAGGCAAGGTTTACATTGGTTATGCACCCAGTGGTCCTTCCAGAGGCAACATGTGGCCCCATGTGGCCATCTGCAGCTTCCTCGCACAGATGGAAAAGCAGAAACTCTCCCTTTTTAACTGTAAAAGGGGAGAAGAAAGTACCAGCTGCAGGGGTGGTTGTGGAGACTGAAGGACCAGTCCTCACCTGATACCCAAGGGGCCAGTTTATTACAAGGCTGAATTTGTCCAAGGCAAGCCCTGGGACAGGGGCAGTGTCCCCTCCAGCTTGAACCCCCAGGGCCTAGGAAGACATCTCTGGGGCTGATGGAGGACTCAAGGGCTTCACCCATGGATGGGACCCCACCAGCACCTCTGAGTCCAGGGCCAGCACTGTCTGCATCTAGAGTAGTCTCCCAAAGCAGGGCCCAGGGCTGCAGAACCACTGAGGCCCCCTACTGCCCAGAGGAAAAGTCCAAATCCCAGGCCCATAGCAAATGTAGTCTGATCTTTTTTTTTTTTTTTTTTTTTTTTTTGAGACGGAGTCTCGCTCTGTCGCCCAGGCTGGACTGCAGACTGCAGTGGCGCAATCTCGGCTCACTGCAAGCTCCGCTTCCCGGGTTCACGCCATTCTCCTGCCTCAGCCTCCCGAGTAGCTGGGACTACAGGCGCCCGCCACCGCGCCCGGCTAATTTTTTGTATTTTTAGTAGAGACGGGGTTTCACCTTGTTAGCCAGGATGGTCTCGATCTCCTGACCTCATGATCCACCTGCCTCGGCCTCCCAAAGTGCTGGAATTACAGGCGTGAGCCACCGCGCCCGGCCTGTAGTCTGATCTTTAATGGATTCTGAGGGTGGAAAGGAGTAGGGGAGTGATGGAGGACTTTATTGGAACAAGTGGAGAAAAGGGAATAAGGTCTGTATGCTAATTACTCTTTTTTTTTTTTGAGACGAAGTCTTGCTCTGTACCACAATGCCCGGCTAATTTTTTTTTGTTTATTTATTTATTTATTTATTTATTTATTTATTTATTTATTTATTTTTGGAGAGACCGGGTTTTCCATGTTGGCCAGGCTGGTCTCAAACTCCTGACCTCAGGTGATCCACCCACCTTGGCCTCCCAAAGTGCTGGGATTTCAGGCATGAGCCACCATGCCTGGCCTCCCAGGTTCAAGCAATTCTCCTGTCTCAGCCTCCCGAGTAGCTGGGATTACAGGTATGCACCACCATGCCTGGCCAATTTTTGTATTCTCAGTAGAGACAGGGTTTTGCAATGTAGGCCGGGCTGGTCTTGAACTACTGACTTCAGGTGATCCACCCACCTCGGCCTCCCAAAGTGCTGGAATTATAGGCGTGAGCCACAGCACCTGGCCAATATTACTTTATCAGTGTTAAAATTTCTGGAGTGATAACAATACTGTGATTTTGTAGGAGAATGCCCTGTTCTTAGGAAACACATACTGTAGTGTTTAGGGATGAATAAAGTGTTGTGATGTCTGTAACTTAGTCCTAAATGGCTCAGCAAAAAAAGAAGCCAGGCATGGTAGCTCATGCCTGTAATGGAGGCTGAGGCAGCAGGAGGATCGCTTGAGCCCAGGAGTTTGAGACCAGCCTGGGCAACATAGGGAGACCCTGTCTCTTATAAAAAACAAAAAAAAAATTAACTGGGTGTGGTGTTGTGCACCTGTAGTCTCAGCTACTTGGGAGGCTGAGGTGGGAGGATTGCTTGAGCCCATGAGGTGGAGGCTACAGTGAGCAGTGATTGTGCCACTGCACTCCAGCCTGGGTGACAGAGCAAGATCTTATCTCAAAAAAAAAAAAAAAAAAAAAGCCAGTGTAGCAAAATGTTAGCCCCATCTCTACTAAAAATACAAAAATTAGCCAGCCGTGGTTGCGGGTGCCTATAATCCCAGCTACTCAGGAGGCTGAGGCGGGAGAATCGCTTGAACCCAGGAGGTGGAGGTCACAGTGAGCTGAGATCACACCACTGCACTCCAGCCTGGGTGACAGAGCGAGACTCCGTCTCAAAGAAAAAAAAAAAAGAAGATATATATATATATATATATGCATACGTGTGTGTATGTGTGTGAGTGTATATATATGTATATTTGTGTGTGTGTGTGTGTGTATATATATATATATATATATATATATATATATATATATATATATATAAAACAGCTGGGATCAGCCCAATTTGGGGAAGTCCTCCCTGTCTCCCCCTGCCTCTGTGGCCTGAGAAGGTGGGCTGGAAGTGTCTAGGCACCCAAGGCTTTATTGGGGGGCCCTGGGTGTGGTCTGAGGAGGTGGGCCCCTAGAGGGAGAGGGTCCTGGCTAAGACTTTCCAGCATGTCCCCCAGCCTGGGTCCCAGAGCTCTGCTGGGACAGCGTGGATTAATATGGAAGGTAGTTTTAGCCATAGCTATGAAAATTCTAAACGCCAAACCCTTGATCCAGCCAGGCCACTTCTAAGCGTTTCTCTAGTCATCTGCTCATACAAGTGTGAAATGATGGTACCAGCTTGGCCTTCTTCATTGCAGCCTTCTTTGTAACAGCAGAACATCCCGTGAAAGGGAACTGTTAAGTACGTGACCCTATCTCCATGTGACAAATCCACACAGCCTTGAAAGGGCGGCATTCCCTGACCTATCCAGGTGGGGTGGGGGGTGAGGGCTGCAGATCTCTATATCATTATGTAAAACAATCTCAAAGACAGAGTTAAATTAAACAGCAGGTGCTGAGAGCGTGCTGGACACTCGTTCCAAACAGCAGCGTTACTGCCCCCTAGAGGACATTTTTTGAAATTTATGCGGCCACTGTCATTTCTGGTTGTCACAAGACTGGGGCTTCTGGCATTTGATAGATGGCAGGTCAGGGAAGCTAAATGCCCTGTAAGGTGTAGGACAGTCTGACACAATAGGGAATTTCCAACAACAAGAACACATCTCTCAATTTCCTTCTGTCTTTCTGGGCAATTACATACATGAGGAAATGTTTGCAATTCTCAGACCTGGAAAATGGTTCTGTTTTACCCATATACCCACACCTTTTTTTTTTTTTTTAGACAGGGTCTCTCACTCTGTCGCTGGTTGGAGTGCAGTAGCACGATCACAGCTCACTACAGCCTCGACCTCCCCGGCTCAAGCGATCCTCCCACCTCAGCCTCCCGAGTAGCACACTCCTCTGCCTGACTAATTCGTTTGTATTTGTTGTAGAGACAGGGTTTCGCTATGCTGCCCAGGTTGTAACCATACTTCTTTTGAATACTTATATTCTGCTATGCATTGAGTTTTCCAGGAATAAAACCACTCTGCAGTTGTATGGAAAATTGGGTTTTGTCTTCAAGAACTTTACCGAAGGTCATTTGCCATTTCATTTTTTGTTTGGTTTGTTTTGTTTTTTTGAGATGGAGTTTTGCTCTTGTCGCCCAGGCTGGAGTGCAGTGGTACGATCTTGGCTCACTGTAACCTCTGCCTCCTGGGTTCAAGCAATTCTCCTGCCTCAGCCTCCCAAGTACACGCCCAGCTAATTTTGTATTTTTAGTAGAGACAGGGTTTCCTCATGTTGGTCAGGCTGGTCTCAAACTCCCGACCTCAGGTAATCTGTCTGCCTCGGCCTCCCAAAGTGCTGGGATTACAGGTGTGAGCCACCGTGCCTGGCCTTTTTTTTTTTTTTTTTTTTTAAGACGGGACCTCACTGTTGCTCAGGCTGGAGTGCAGTGGTGTGATCATAGCTCACTGCAGCATTGAATCCCTGAGCTCAAGTGATCCTAGTGCTTCACCTTCTCAAGTAGCTGGGACTACAGGAGCGTGCCACCTCGCCTGGCTAATACATATATATATATATTTTTTTGAGTCAGGGTCTCTCACTCTGTTGCCCAGGCTGGAGTGCCGTGGCACAATCACAGCTCGCTGCAGCCTCGACGTCCTGGATTAAAGCGATCCTCCCACCTCAGCTCTCTCCCCCCTCCCCCCACCAGTAGCTGGGACCACAGTCACGCACCACCACGCCCAGCTAATTTTTGTTTATTTTTTATAGAGAAGGGGTGTCAGTATGTTGCCCACGATGGTCTCAAACTCCTGGGCTCATGTGATCCTCCTGCATCCACCTCCCAAAGTGTCAGGATTACACCACAGGGCCCAGCCTTAGTCATTTCACTGTAAGATGGGAATAATAATTGTACTACCTCAAAGGATTGTGTTACAGATTAAAGAGCATAATACAGAACCTGGCACAATATAAATCTCAATAAACAGTAACAGGACCTACCTTTTAAAAACACTGAAATGAAGTATGCCAGCTATCATCCTAGCAGAAGAGATTGAATTAAAGTCCCCTTATATGTATTTGAGTACAGATTTCTCTGCTAATTCAGAGAATTAGGGGACCTTGTCTCCATCCTGGGTCTCAGTTTCTTCATCTTTAAAATGGAAAACTGGGTGTGGTGGCTCACGCCTATAATCCCAGCACTTTGGGAGCCCAACGTGGGCAGATCACCTGAGGCCAGGAGTTCGAGACCAGCCTGATCAACATGGTGAAACCCCATCTCTACTAAAAATGCAAAAATTAGCTGGGCGTGGTGGTGCACACCTGTAATCCCAGCTACTTGGGAGGCTGAGGCACAAGAATCGCTTGAACCTGAGAGGCAGAGGGTGCAGTGAGCTGAAATCACACCACTGCACTCCAACCTGGGCAACAGAGCGATTCTCTGTCTCAAAAATAAATAAATAACCAAATTAAAATAAAAAATAAAATAAAATTGAAAGGATAGTACTCCTGGCCCCACTTCCTTCCTAGGGCTGCCAAGGTCTAAGCTGAGAGATGAGGGGTGTGGCAACAGTGCATGACAGGGAAAGCTGGCCTGGGGCGGGCCGCTCCTTCTCCCTTCCTGTCCTCCGTGCAGCTGACTTCTCCCTGCCCTTCTCTGGGTTCTGGAGATGACTCTGACCCAACCTCTCTGAGCTCTCTGAGTGGGGCAGCTTCCTCACCTAGGCCCTGGCCTATTGCTTCAGAGACAGGTCCCCACCGGGTTAACAAGAGGAACCCCTTTGATGTCCTAAAAAGAATTCCTCCTGTTTTTAATGTGCCAGTTTACAAGATCTCTTCACATCCATCATCCCGTTTGAACCTCACATGACTGTGTGGAGGGCAAGCGGGGGTTATTGTGTACACATTTTACAGATGAGGAAACCGAGTCTTGGAGGAGTTGAGTAATCCATTCAAGTCAGTTGGAGCAGACATCTCCTGACTCACAGGGGGCCCACCTGGAGAAAGGCCAGGGGCACTCAGGTGGGCTGGCAGGGCTGGGAGGGCTGGGAGGGAGGATCAGGGCCGTGAGCTGAGCTGGCATCGGCATCCAGTGGAGCTGGTGAGGTGGGCAAAACTCTGGGCTCTGATTGATTTGCACTCAGACACCAACACCACTGCATCCTAGCTAATGACTGGATAAGACTTTAGCATCTCATATGCCTGTGAATGGAGATCATTCTCTGGAGTGTTACAGGAACTCTGCATTTGAAACACAGGCCTGATTCTTGCCATCTCTACTCCTGCTCCCAGCTCTCACAGCCAGAGTCAACAGTGCCCGCCTGTCCTTCCACTGCCACCACCCAAACTGTCTACCTGCTGCCCTTAACAACAGATAGGATCCAACTCCTAGAGTCCCCAAGCAATTCAGGGACCACTCAGAGGTGAAACAACCCCAACCATTCTCAACCTTAGCAAAAGGAACAGGGTGGTGAAGGGTACTCCCCATGCCCATAGGGACACAGGACACTGGCCAGACCACCAAGTGGCGCCTGGCCCCCCATGGGCCTTCCTGACCCGGTAGCCACCCCTCCCAGGGGAAGGACACAGTGTTCTCAGATGTGGGCCCAGGGGCTGTGTCATGGAGGAGCTGGGAAGGGTTTAGAGGACCTGGGTTTCTGTCTTTGGTTTTTTTTTTTCTTTCCACTCTAGTAAAATCAAATTTTATATCATTGATTTTGTAAAGTTTAATTGGAAAATGAATTTCTTTGTGTTGAATAAGTGCAATTTGCTGGTCAAAATTCATTCAAACATAGGAGTGAGAGAGGAGGAAGTGACTGTTTATTGAGGAACTGTGATGTGCCAGGCACTCCACAAGATGTTTTGCTCATTCAGGCCTCCTGAGCACCCTGGGAGACAGGCATTCCAATGAGCCCATTTCACAGATGAAGGCATTTAGGGTCAAAACAATAAGCCAAAGTCACCCAGCTGGCAGGAGGCCACGCTGGAATCCAAGCTCAGCAGACAGTGAAGAGGCCCGTTTGCTCTGCTCCCAGCCTGTCTGCTAGGC
Source organism: Homo sapiens (assembly GCF_000001405.40). NCBI lineage: Eukaryota > Metazoa > Chordata > Mammalia > Primates > Hominidae > Homo > Homo sapiens. Next base: position 44,335,026 of record NC_000017.11, read on the forward strand.
TTGCAGAAAAGCACTGACTCTTGTCCTCTGGCACCTGCCACCTGCCTGTCTGGGGTGGGAAAGGCGAGAGGACAAGGGTGCTGCTTTTTGTTATAATTTGATTAAAATGCATTTGTGGCCGGGCGCGGTGGCTCATGCCTGTGATCCCAGCACTTTGGGAGGCTGAGGCAGGCGGATCGCTTGAGCTCAAGAGTTTGAGACCTGCCTGGGCAACATAGTGAAACCCTGTCTCTACCAAAAATACAAAAAAGTAGCCAGGCGTGTTGGTGTGTACCTGTGGTCCCAGCTACTTAGGAAGCTGAGGCAGGGGGATCGCTTGAACCTGGAAGGTGGAGGTTGCAGTGAGCTGAGATCGCGCCACTGCACTCCAGCCTGGGTGAGCGAGACCGTGTCTCAAAAAAAAAAAAAAAAAGTATTTGCATATGACACTTTGTTAAAACAGTGCCATGGCTCACGCTTGTAATCCCAGCATTTTAGGAGGATCACTTGAGCCCAGGAGTTCGAGACCAGCTTGGGCAATACAACCAGACCCCATCTCTACCAAAAAATAAAATAAAATTAGTCGGACACGGTGGTGTGCACCTGTAGTCCCAGCTACTCTGGGGACTTAAGTGGGAGGATCAATTGAGCTCAGGAGTTCAAGGCTGCAGTGAGCCATGATCATACCACTGTACTCCAGCTTAGGTGACAGAGTAAGACCCTGTGTCTAAAAAGCAAACAAACAAAAAACAAACAGTTATTGAGTGAAAAACAAAACAGAGAAGTGGCTTATCCACTGTCACTGGGCAAGTTCACGGCTTATGCTGGGATGGGAACATGGGTCTCCTGACTGTGGTCAGTACTTCTGTTCCCAAATACCCTGCCACAGCCTCTAGCCTGGGCACTGGGCTGTTCCTGCTTCTCCTCCCTCATTACCCCCCCATAGCCCAGTAACCCCCCACCCCTAGCTCTGGTTTCCCTTTCTGCCTAAAGGGAGACGCTCTGTCCTGATATGGAGCATTCCCCCCAGGACCCCCAGCCCTACCACTCATGAGTTGGAATAGTTCCGAAAGGACATAGCCTGTCTGCTCCTGCTATCTCTGCCTGCCGTGTGGGGAGCTGGTCCAGAATGATGGAGCCCCTGGGGAGCAAGGGGTCGTGTCCAGCTTGGGAGGGCTTCTGGAGACCTGGCCCGAGTCCCAGATCCTTCTTGAACTAGAAAAATGCCTGCTGTTTTTAGTGCATTCTCAGTTGACAAAGCATTTTCTTACCTCTAATCCCATTGGATCTTTATAATGAAGAAGGAATTCCCTGTCAATCTGCATTGTATTTTATTTAATTAATTTATTTATTGGTTTTGAGACAGAGTCTCGCTCTGTTGCCCAGGCTGGAGTGCGGTGGCATGATCTCGCCTCACTGCAACCTCCGCCTCCTGGTTCAAGCAATTCTAGTGCCTCAGCCTCTCAAGTAGCTGGGATTATAGGGGTGTGCCACCACACCTGGCTAATTTTTTTAAAAAATTTACTTATTTATTTTGAGACGGAATCTTGCTCTGTCGCCCAGACTAGAGTGCAGTGGCGTGATCTCAGCTCACTGTAACCTCCATCTCCTGGGTTCAACTGATTCTCTCACCTCAGCTTCCCGAGTAGCTGGGATTACAGGCGCCCGCCACCATGCCCGGCTAATTTTTGTATTTTTAGTAGAGATGAGGTTTCACCATGTTAGCCAGGCTGCTATCGAACTCCTGACCTCAAATGATCTGGCTGCCTCAGCCCCCCTGCATTGCATTTTAAATCTGAGAGACAGAGGCTGAGAGTGGCCTGTGTCTAGCACCAGGACAGGCTACACAGTTTGGAGGTCCAGTGCAAATGAAAATGTGGGTCTCCTTGTTCAAAAGTATTAGGACTCTGGCCAGGTGCGATGGCTCACGCCTGTAATCTCAGCACTTTGGGAGGCTGAGGCGGATGGATCACCTGAGATCAGGAGTTTGAGACCAGCCTGGCCAATGTGGTGAAAGCCCGTCTCTACTAAAAATACAAAAATTAGCTGGGCATGGTGGCAGATGCCTGTAATCTCAGCTACTCAGGAGGCTGAGGCAGGAGAAGCACTTGAACCCAGGAGGCGGAGGTTGCAGTGAACCGAGATCACGCCATTGCACTCCAGCCTGGGTGACATATAAGGTCCAGCCCTACGGGGCTTAGCAGGTGTTCTCCCCGTGTGCGGAGATGAGAGATCATAAGAAATAAAGACACAAGACAAAGAGATAAAGAGAAAACAGCTGGACCCTGGGGACCACTACCACCAAGACGCGGAGACCGGTAGTGGCCCCGAATGGCTGGGGGCACTGACATCTATTGCATACAAGACAAGGGGGGCAGGGTAAGGAGGGTGAGTCGTCCAAGCGATTGATAAGGTCAAGCAAGTCAAGTGATCATGGGATAGGGGGCCCTTCCCTTTTAGGTAGCCAAAGCAGAGAGGGAAGGCAGCATATGTCAGCGTTTTCTTCTATGCATGTATCAAAAAGATCAAAGACTTTAAGGCTTTCACTATTTCTTCTACCACTATCTACTACGAACTTCAAAGAGGAATCCAGGAGTATGGGAGGAACATGAAAGTGGACAAGGAGCGTGACCACTGAAGCACAGCACCACAGAAAGGGGTTTAGGCCTTGGGATGACTGCGGGCAGGCCTGGATAATATCCAGCCTCCCACAAGAAGCTGGCGGAGCAGAGTGTTTCCTGACTCCTCGAAGGAAAGGAGACTCCCTTTCTTGGTCTGCTAAGTAGCGGGTGCCTTCCCAGGCACTGGCGTTACCGCTTGACCAAGGAGCCCTCAAGCGGCCCTTATGAGGGCGTGACAGAGGGCTCACCTCTTGCCTTCTTGGTCACTTCTCATAATGTCCCTTCAGCACCTGACCCTATACCCTCCGGTTATTCCTTGGTTATATTAGTAATACAACAAAGAGTCATATTAAAGGCTAATAATTAATAATGTCTATACTAATGATTGATAATGCCCATGACCATCTCTATATCTAATTTGTATTATAACTATTCTCATTCTAACTATTTTCTTTATTATACTGAAACAGTCTGTGCCTTCAATCTCTTGCCTCGGCACCTGGGTAATCCTCCGCCCACAGTGACAAGAGTGAAACTCTGTCTTAAAAAAAAAAATTAAGAATTTCAAGATAGGACAGCAGAGCTTTAAATTTTTTTTTTTTCCTAGAGGCAGAGTCTTGCTCTCTTGCCCAGGCTGGGGTGCATTGTTGCAATCACATATCACTGCAGCCTTGAGCTCCCGGGCTCAAGTGGTCATCCTGCTTTGGCCTCCCAAAGTCCTGGGATTACAGGCGTGAGCCACTGCACCCGGCCTGTAGAGCTTTAAACAAAGCACAGGCTGCTTCTGAGCACAGGGCCCTCGTCACATGGCTATGAAGCCAGCCCTGCCTGGACCCAGAACCCTGGTGTGGGCACTTTATAGCTTATAAGCCCTCCAGTCAAGAGGCCTCAGCCTGAGCCTCCCTGAGCCTCAGTTTCCTCTCCTGTAATCTGTGAAAGCACTGAGCACTAATCTCCCTTCCGGGCTAGCTTTCTGCAATAGCTTAAAGCTCCCATCCCAAGATCTCTCCAAGAATCCTCTTACCAAGTCCCTGCTCCCAGCCTGGCTCCCTGGTCCCCATCCCTCTCCCCTCTCACACCCTTTCAAAGCCCAGAAAGGACAGGTGACCGAGTGACTGTCTCTGGGCTCATACAGTGGGGTGGTCTCCTGTGACAGGCTAGGGCTTCAGGGTATGGCTTAGCCTATCCCTCACACTTCCTTGGGGCCTCTTGGGGCAGACAGCCCAGGCGGGGCCCAGCAGGCACACTAGTCAGGTGCCTGATGATGAGGGCAGGCGCCTGGAACTGGGTCAACAATCGCTCACACGGAGGTGACTCAAGCAGCAAGGGGAAAAAGAGGTGGGGGTGGGGAGGTGGCTGTTTCTGTGCCCTCACTTGAGCCTCAGCTTTTAGGGTTGCCAGATTTATTTTTATTTTTATTTTTGAGAGTCTCACTCTGTCTCCCAGGCTGGAGTGCAGTGGCGCAATCTTGGCTCACTGCAACCTCTGCCTCCCAGGTTCAAGCAATTCTCGTGCCTCAGCCTCCCAAGTAGCTGGGATTACAGATGTGCACCACCACCCCTGGCTAATTTTTGTATTTTTAGTAGAGATGGGGTTTCACCATGTTGGCCAGTCTGGTTTTGAACTCCTAACCTCAGGTGATCCACCCACCTCAGCCTCCCAAAGTGCTGGGATTATAGGCGTGAGCCACCATTCCTGGCAGCCTGAAAATTTTTTAATTTTTTTTTAATTTTTTTTTTTTTTTAGTGATGGGGTCTCCATATGTTGCCCAGGCTGGTCTCAAACTCCTAGGCTCAAGTGATCCTTTCACCTTGGCCTTGGCCTCCTAAAGTGCTGGGATTACAGGCGTGACCCACTGTGCCTGCCTGCTGGTATGTAACTTGTTGTTTTTTTTTTTTTTTTAGACAAAGTCTCACTTGCCCTGGCTCAAGTGCAGTGGTGCCATCTTGGCTCACTGCAGTCTCCGCCTCCCAGGTTCAAGTGATTCTCCTCCCTCAGCCTCCTGAGTAGCTGGGATTACAGGCATGTGCCACCATGCCCAGCTAATTTTTGTATTTTTAGTAGAGACAGGGTTTCACCATGCTGGCCAGGCTGGTCTTGAACTCCTAACCTTGAGTGATCTACCCACCTCTGCCTCCCAAAGTGCTGGATTACAGGCCAATAGGCCTGGCCCCCTGTAACTTTTTTTTTTTTTTTTAATTTTTGAGACAGAGTCTTGCTCTGTCGCCCAGGCTGGAGTGCAGTGGTGCCATCTCGGCTCACTGCAAGCTCCGCCTCCCTGGTTCACGCCATTCTCCTGCCTCAGCCTCCCGAGTAGCTGGGACTACAGGCGCCTACCACCACGCCTGGCTAATTTTTTGGATTTTTAGTAGAGATGGAGTTTCACCGTGTTAGCCAGGATGGTCTCCATTTCCTGACCTTGTGATCCACCCGCCTCAGCCTCCCAAAGTGCTGGGATTACAGGCGTGAGCCACCACGCCCGGCCCCTGTAACTTCTTAAGCGAAGGAAAATAAAAAAAAAAAAAAAGCAGAAGCCACAAAGGAAAAGATTGACCAATATATTTCAGATGACATAACAACAACACAAAAGACAAATGACAGATTGGGAGGAAGCATCTGAAACATACAAAATACCCAGAATATATAAACAGCTCCTACAGTTCAACAAGAAAGAAAATACTGCAAAAACAATCAGCAAATAATACTGTGATGGTAGAACAATGTATCTACTTGGATGGTGCTCCTGGATTAGATTAACATTTAAATCAGTGAACTTTGGTTAAAGCAAATTGCTCTCCATTGTAGGGAGACCCCCTGAAACTATTGCTACGGAATAAAAGATGAAATGCTCCTGATTATTGTAAATACGAAATTGCATGCAGGATTGTGTAAAGACAATGCCAGGTTGGACTGCCAGTATAAGCCAACAGCTCGTGATGTGCTTCCCCCTGAAGAGAGCCTATGAACAGACGTGCAGTCAGGGAGGTTTCACATCACCAATATTCCTATCCCAGAAAAGCAGATGTTCATAGCCCTGGGAATGGAATGTGACCCTTGTGGAGGGCCTATAAATGGACGCATGAGCGGCACCTGTTCATATGGATAAGATAGGGCTATAAATGCCCTCATCTTGCCATGGCTCTTCTAGGCCTCTTTAAGGTTAAGGCATACTCCCTTCTGATAATTTCTGGTCTAACTGGTTATCTAGCTTCACGTCCTGTTTCTATGGATTGTTTGTAACCAGCTTTTGCTGCAACTCTTACTGCTGATTAATATCTTGCTAATCATAGGTTATGGAAAGACTGTGTTTCTGTTTTAAGGCTCTGTTAGAAATTACTGATGCACACACTATATTGTAAATTCTTATCTCTGTATACTGTACTTCTGCATACAGATGTTATGTTAAAGAATTACTTCATCCCCATGTGACCATCTCACCTCATAATCAAACGACCCTAAATCCCTCACTAACCTACCCTCGCCCTCACTAAACTTAATAATAAATGCTGGTATATCCAGTGCATTGGCAGCATCGCAGGACCAGAAGGCGGTGACCCCCTTGGACCCAGCTTTCACTATCTTGTGTGTGTCTATTATTTCCCGACCTGCCGATCCACCTGGGGACAAAGAGAGAGCCCCATTGCCTTGTGGGCTGCTGGCCAGATCCCGCGATACTCCATAATGTGGATGGACCTGAATAAAACAGAAAGACGGGCCTCGCCGAACTAGAGGGAATTCTCCTGCAGGCTACCCTCAGACTTAACCATCAGCTCTCCTGGGTCGCCAGCCCACCAGCTCACACTAAAGGCTTAGGATGGTTATGATAAGAAAGACAGATGATAACAGAAGTTAACCATGGATGAGGCTAAAGAGAAATTGAAACCCTCATACATCGCTGGTGGGAATGTAAAATAGTGCAGCTGCTTTGGAAAACAGGCTGGTAGTTACACAAAAGGCTAAACAGAATTATTATGTAATCCACTAATTCTACTCCTAGGTATATACCCAAGAGAAATGAAAACATGTCCACACAAAAACTTGTATGGGCCGGGCGTGGTGGCTCACTCCTGTAATCCCAGCCCTTTGGGAGGCTGAAGTGGGAGGATCCCTGGAGTTCAGGAGTTTGAGACTAGCTGACCAACATGGCAAGACCCTGTCTCTACAAAAACCACACAAAAATTAGCTGGACATGGTGATAAGCACCTGTAGTCCCAGCTACTTGGGAGGCGGAGGTGGGAGGATTACTTGAGCCCAGGAGGCAGAGGTTGCAGTGAGCAGAGATGACACCACTGCACTCCAACCTGGGTAACAGAGCAATACCCTGTCTCAAAAAAAAAAAAAAAAATGCTGGGGGGATGATGAAGATAGGCACAGTGGCTCAAGCCTGTAATCTGTAATCTCAGCATTTTGGGAGGCTGAGGCAGCAGGATCACTTGAGGCCAGGAGCTTGAGACCAGACTAGGCAACATATTAAGACAAAAAAATACAAAATATAGCTGGGAGTGGTGGCATGTGTCTGTATTCCCAGCTACTCAGGAGGCTGAGGTGGGAGGGTCTGAGGCTGCAGTACAAGGTGGCACCACTGTAATCCAGCTTGGGCGGCAGAGGAAGGCTCTGTCTCAAAAACAAAGAAACAAACAAAAATGGGCCACGCGTGGTGGCTCACGCCTGTAATCCCAGCAGTCTGGGAGATTGAGGTGGGTGGATCACTTGAGGTCAGGAGTTCGAGACCAGCCTGGTCAACATGGCGGAACCCTGTCTCTACTAAAATACAAAAATTAGCTGGGCATCATGGCACATGCTTGTAATCCCAGCTATCCGGGAGGCTGAGACAGGAGAATTGCTTGAACCCAGGAGGCAGAGGTTGCAGTGAGCCAAGATCGTGCCACTGCACTCCAGCTTGAGTGTTGGAGTGAGACTCTGTCTCAAACAAATGAAAAGAAACAAACAAAAAAGAAATGAGATACTGATACCTGCTATGTGATAAGCTTTGAAAACATTATGCTAAGTGAAAGAAGCCAGTTGCAGATCACATATTATAAAATTTCATTTATATGGAATATCCAAATCTATAGAGGTAGAAAGTAGATCAGTGGTTGCCTAGGGTTAGGGAGGGTGACTGCTAAAGGACATAAGGCTGCCTTCTGTGGTGATAAAAATGGTCTTAAACTGATTGTAATGATGCTGCATAACTCTCTTAAGACACTAAAAACCATTGAGTTGTACACTTTAATTTTTTTGTGTTGGCGGGGGTGGATGGAGTCTCGCTCTGTTGTCCAGGCTGGAATGCAGTGGCACGATCTCGGTTTACTGCAACCTCTGCATCCCGGGTTCAAGCGATTCTCCTGCCTCGGCCTCCTGAGTAGGGAATTACAGACCTCGTTATCGTGGCACCTTACCCTTCTGATGTTAAAAAAAAAAAAAAAAAGAGCGAGAGAGAGAGAGAGAAACATTTGTGAAGTAGGTTGTTGAGTCTCAGCACTATTGACCTTTTGGGCAGGATACTTCTTTGTTGTGGGGGATTGTTCTGTGTGTCGTGTGATGTTTAGTGGGATTGCTGGCCCTTACCTACCAGATGCCAGTGTCCCTCCACCCTGAGTTGTGACAACCCAGATTGTCTCCAGACACTCCTAAATGTCCCTGGCCGGCAAAATTGCCGCTGCTCAAGAATCACGGCTTTGACGATTAGACTTTGTGATATTTGTTTCAGTCTGTTTAGGTTTTTTTTCTTCTACCTGTATTTTTTTCTGGTTCTGGGTGGTTGTAATTAGTAGGTTATTGATCGATTCACCTAACATTTCATGAAAGTTTCATGTGTGTGTGTGTTTCAATAGAAGCATAAACTATACTCCCTAGTCTCAAGATACACAGGAAGGAAAATAAGCACAAATGTGTCACCAGGGCACAGACTAGTACTAGGTCCTCAGCAGGCCAGGTGTCTTATCCGCTGTCTGGGTCTGCTCTAGCTCCAGGCTTAGAACCCCTGCCACACGACTCCACAGCTCGGTTGGCACCCTTTCCCTCCTCCGACTTCTGCTGCCTCGAGCTTGGTTAGCCATCCCCCTGCCCCTGCCTCATCCTCAGCTCCAGTTCCTTGCTCAGGCTGCAGCAGTCTCCATCCCCTGTGCAGACACTGCCGTTCCTCCACGGCCCAGTATCAGGCTTTCCCTGGGCCTCTCCTCTCTCCTGGCCCATCTCCCATCATCCATCTCTGCCTGGCCCAGGCCCTTTGGCACCAAGCAGGCTGACTCTTGTCACTGGCTAATCTGTTCTGTGGTACATTTTCTCTCCTCACCCTCCCATATCAATTCCTCGAAGGCAGGGCCGATCTGGAGACTAGGAAGCCACTTCTCTTTCGACAGCCCCCACCACAGCCCAGCCCGTGCCAGGCACCCAGCAGCTCCTGAAGCCCACTGGCATTGAACATGGCATTCAATCCCTGCCAAGCCTGCCCTTCCCATCTGGTTTCCCAGGGCTCTTCCCAACACCTCCTCCTCCACCTGCCAGTTAAAATCTTCCCAGACTCAGCTCAAGGAGATGCTCCTAAGGTGGAATGAAATCTCTTCTTCCCCACCTGGAGACAATCTACTTCCTCTCCCTACACCTGGCAACTGGCGCACAACCTTGTATCTTAAATTAGATTCAGCCTGAGACTGTCTCCCACCAATCCCTGCTCCCTGTCCTGCTGAGCACCTTGAGGAAAGGGCTTTGGGGCTGTTTATCTTTGTCCTGGAAACCATCCTTCAACTCACTCTGGGGCCTGCCTAGCATGTCAACCGAGTTTGGAGAATAGGGCAGAATAGGGCAGGACAGGACAGGACAAGACAGGGCAGGATAGGATAGGAGCGAGCCAGCTCAGTAGCTCACATTTGTAATCCCAGCGCCTTGGGGGGCTGCGGTAGGAGAATCGCTTTGGGAGCAGGAGTTGCAGGCCGCAGTGAGCTATGATCAGCTTGGGCGACTGAGCGAGACCCTGTCTCTAAAACAAACACACAAGTCCGGGCGCGGTGGCTCATGCCTGTAATCTTAGCACTTTGGGAGGCCGAGGTGGGCGGATCACGAGGTCAAGAAATCGAGACCATCCTGGCCAACATGGTGAAACCCCGTCTCTACTAAAAATACAAAAATTAGCTGGGCGTGGTGGTGCGCGCCTGTAGTCCCAGCTACTCGGGAGGCTGAGGCAGGAGAATCGCTTGAACCCGGGAGGCAGAGGTTGCAGTGAGCCGAGATCGTGCCACTGCACTCCAGCCTGGCGACAGAGTGAGACTCCGTCTCAGAACAAACAAACAAAAGGATAGAAAGGCGAGCACAAATATTCCCAATTCATAACACTCCCTCGCACTGTCAATGCCCCAGACACGCGCTATCATCTCTAGCAAACTCCCCCAGGCGCCTGCAGGATGGGTTAAGGAAGGCGACGAGCACCAGCTGCCCTGCTGAGGCTGTCCCGACGTCACATGATTCTCCAATCACATGATCCCTAGAAATGGGGTGTGGGGCGAGAGGAAGCAGGGAGGAGAGTGATTTGAGTAGAAAAGAAACACAGCATTCCAGGCTGGCCCCACCTCTATATTGATAAGTAGCCAATGGGAGCGGGTAGCCCTGATCCCTGGCCAATGGAAACTGAGGTAGGCGGGTCATCGCGCTGGGGTCTGTAGTCTGAGCGCTACCCGGTTGCTGCTGCCCAAGGACCGCGGAGTCGGACGCAGGTAGGAGAGCGGCCGCGCAGACCTCTCGCCTGCTCCTGCCCAGGGGCCCGCCAGGGCCATGTGAGCTTGAGGTTCCCCTGGAGTCTCAGCCGGAGACAACAGAAGAACCGCTTACTGAAACTCCTTGGGGGTTCTGATACACTAGGGGGAGTTTTATGGGAAAGAGGAAGCAGTAATTGCAGTGACGCCCCGTTAGAAGGGGCTTTCTACCTCCCCAGCATTCCCCCAAAGCAGGGACCACACCATTCTTGACCCAGCTCCACCCCTGTCGGTAGGTGCTGGCTTCTTCCCCTCTCCTGGTGGTGGTGGGTGGTTCCCGCGGCGGCCTGGAGCCGGAGGGGCGCGCGACCCTGGGCTGGGAGCTCCGAGGGCCTGGGAACGAGACCTGAGACCTTGGCTTCTCGAAGGTAGTAGGGACTTGGGAGTGGTGACTGAACCTGGTCTGGCTCCTCCTTACTTCCTCTTGTTGCGGGTGGGACGAGCTAGCTTCCGCCTCTCCCAGCCACTTTTTCCTGCTCATTTGCAGCTAGGTTGGCTCCCCTTTTGGGAATTTCCTCTCCCCTTGGCACTCGGAGTTGGGGGGTGCCACCTAGTGGAAGATAACGGAGCTAGGGTCTTGAAGAGGCTGCTGTCCCCTCTGGCTGTTTTGGCGGTGTAGGGTGGCATGAGAGACTGCGACTCGCCTCCTCATCCCTGTTTCTGTATGCGAGTGCTTGTATTCAGTAGAAGCATACACTATACTCCCTCAATTTAGGGTAAACAGGAGGGGCCACATGCACAGGTAATTCACCAGGGAGCCGAACACTCCTGTGCAGACAGACTCCCCTTCCCAGCAAGCCATGGCAGCGGACAGCCTGCTGAGAACACCCAGGAAGCAGGCGGTGCCAGCTGCAGGTGCTTTGCCTGGGAGCTGTGGGGCTGAGGAGAGGGTCCACTGTCCAGGACCAGTGAACTTCATCCTTATCTGTCCAGGAGGTGGCCTCTTGGGGATGCTGAGTTAGGGGAGGGGCACTTGAGGAAAGCCAGGTGGAGCAGAGAGGATGTGAGTGACTGGGTGGGTGAGATTTCCTGCCCCTCCCCCCGCAGTGGTATCCACACCTAGACTCGTGGGGTAACTGAGGCACAGACAGAGAGCAACTTCTCAGGCCCTCACAGTTGGCAATTCTAGGATTAGGACCCAAGTGCGATTTTCAGGCAGTCCCTGTACCCTGTTTCTGTTGTACCTGTTGCACCATTCCCAGGCACTGCCCATCGTGCCACTAGTGATATGAACCCAGGTCCAATACGCTCTGGGGCCATCAAAGCCTGACGTCACCATGACCTGATGTGTGACGTGTTATAGGTGTCCCTTGGTATCTTCACGGAACTGGTTCCAGGACCCCAAAATCTGTGGGTGCTCAAGCCCCTGAGATAAAATGGTGTAATATTTGCATATAACCTATACATACTTTAAATCATTTCTAGATTACTTATACCTAATACAATGGAAATGACATGTCGGCTGGGCGTGGTGGCTCATGCCTGTAATCCCACCACTTTGGGAGGCCGTGGCAGGTGGATCACCTGAGGTCTGGAGTTTGAGACCAGCCTGACCAACATGGTGAAACCCCCATCTCTACTAAAAATACAAAAATTAGCCAGGTGTGGTAGCGCACACCTATAATCCCACCTACTTGGGAGGCTGAGGCAGGAGAATTGCTTGAACCTGGGAGGCGGAGTTCGCAGTAAGCTGAGATCGCGCCACTGTACTACAGCCTGGGTGACAGAGCAGGACTCCATCTCAAAAAAAAAAGAGAAAAAGAAAAAGAAATGCCATGTAAATAGTTGTGATCCTGAATTGTTTAGGGAATAATAAGAAAGAACTATCTGTAGATGTTCAGTATAGATGCACCCATCGTAAGCCTAACTACATTGTATAACTCAGCAACGATGTAACATTTTCAGGGGTTTTTTTGTTTTGTTTTTTGAGACAGAATCTCAGTCTCACTCTGTCACCCAGGCTGGAGTATGTTGGCGTGATCTCTGCTCACTGCAACCTCCACCTCCTGGGCTCAAGCGATTCTCCTGCCTCAGCCTCTTGAGTAGCTGGGATTGCAGGTGTGCGCTACCACGCATGGCTAATTTTTGTATTTTTAATAGAGATGGGGTTTTACCACGTTGGTCAGGCTGGTCTTGAACTCCTGACCTTGGGATCCGCCCACCTGGGCCTCCCAAAGTGCTGGGATTACAGGCGTTAGCCACCGCGCCCAATATATTTTGATCCCTGGTTGGATATGGAGGGCTGACTGTACTTAACATCTCTAAGCTTCAGTTTCCTCCTTTAAAATAAAGGTGTGGCTGGGTGTGGTGGTTCAAGCCTGTAATCCCAGCACTTAGGGAGGCTGAGGTGGGTGGATCAGCTGAGGTCAGGAGTTCAAGACCAGCCTGACCAATATGGTGAAACCCCCTCTCTGCTAAAAATACAAAAATTAGCCAGGCGTGGTGGCGAGCGCCTGTAGTCCCAGCTACTTGCTTGAACTTGGGAGGCAGAGGTTGCAGTGAGCTGAGATCGTGCCACTGAACTCGAGCATGGGCAACAGAGCAAGACTGTCTCAAAAAAAAAAAAAAAAAGGGGGTGAGCAGACGTGGTGGCACGCTCCCACAGTCCCAGCTACTTAGTAGGAGGCCAAGGTTGGAGGATTGCTTGATCCCAGGAGTCTGAGTCCAGCCTGGGCAACATGGCAATACCTCATCTCTAAAAATAAAATAAAAGTAAAGGTATTAATTACTACTTTGGATGGTTGTTGCAAAGAAATATATATAAAATAATGGAGAGTCTTGTAACTGGCTCCCAAGAGGCTCAACAGACATTACTGTTTTTGCTTCTTCATTATGAGTTACCTCTCTGGCCACCCCACTGAACTAGCTGGGCTAGCTGAGCCTGGGAGAAGAGTTGTTTAGGAAGTGAGAGGCTGCTCTCCACAGAGACTCAAGGCTCAGTTCCTCCTGGTGACTCAGATGGGCAGCCCAGTGGGCACACGTGGTCTCTCTCCACATGTGGCTGAGTTTCACTTCCAGAATAGATGGAGAGGCAAGGGCAGGGTTTAGCATGCTTGAGGAATCTCAGAGGGCCCTGGTGGTGTGGGGGACCCTCAGAACACAGGTGTCTCAAGGGCTGACCCAGCTTCTGTGTCCTTTTCTCTGGGTGAGGAGGGGACATTCATGGGCAGATGGTGACCTCTGGGGAAGGCAGCCCAGACTCCACTGGCCACCATATTTCCTTTTTCACAACTTTCTCACCCCTGTGGTTTCCCATGTCATCATGTGGCCGCTTCCCGCAAGGCCTTAGCGGGGTGCAGGTATGAACATAGTGTCAGGCAAGGAGGCATCTGGAGGGGAACCCTGGCTTTTCCTGGGGGGACTCCCTCCCTGCACCCTAGCCCTGTCCTCTCCCATGGCTACTGATGCCTTCCCCTCACCCCAGAGGTGGCCCACATCTGCACAGATCAGACCCACAAAAATCACGTCTTCCTGACTCTCATAAGCCTGCCCAGTGAGGCCCAGGCATTAGGCCATGTGCTGGGGACTCAGACCCACACATATACGCATGTCAGCATTCATGCTTACAGGTCCGCACATGCTGGGGCAAGTGTCACACACGGGGCGCTGTAGGAAGCTGACTCTCAGCCCCTGCAGATTTCTGCCTGCCTGGACAGGGAGGTGTTGAGAAGGCTCAGGCAGTCCTGGGCCAGGACCTTGGCCTGGGGCTAGGGTACTGAGTGACCCTAGAATCAAGGGTGGCGTGGGCTTAAGCAGTTGCCAGACGTTCCTTGGTACTTTGCAGGCAGACCATGTGGACCCTGGTGAGCTGGGTGGCCTTAACAGCAGGGCTGGTGGCTGGAACGCGGTGCCCAGATGGTCAGTTCTGCCCTGTGGCCTGCTGCCTGGACCCCGGAGGAGCCAGCTACAGCTGCTGCCGTCCCCTTCTGGTGAGTGCCCCTCAGCCTAGGCAAGAGCTGGCAGCCTGGGTTTTCCCAAAGGGTCATCTTGGATTGGCCAGAGGAGGACGCCAGGCACAAGTCTGTGGTTTATCATTTTCCCTGTCTTTCTAGGACAAATGGCCCACAACACTGAGCAGGCATCTGGGTGGCCCCTGCCAGGTTGATGCCCACTGCTCTGCCGGCCACTCCTGCATCTTTACCGTCTCAGGGACTTCCAGTTGCTGCCCCTTCCCAGAGGTGAGCGTGCCATCAGCCCAGTGGAGGGGCTTAGGTCTGCATTTATGCTTTTCCTGCACTCTACCACCTGCAGATAAAAGGGCCCTGCCAATGCAGGTTTCTCTGTGTTCCACAGGCCGTGGCATGCGGGGATGGCCATCACTGCTGCCCACGGGGCTTCCACTGCAGTGCAGACGGGCGATCCTGCTTCCAAAGATCAGGTGCAGCTGGGGTGTGGGTGCAGGGCAGGCAGACGGGCAGCATGTGGAGTCTGGAACCCAGGAGCCCAGCTGGCGGGGGCAGCCCTGATTCCTGCCCTTGTGCCCTCATTCATGTGGCATCTGTACTAAGCAACAGCCCTGCTGTGGACAGAGGGGCAGCACTGGGGATAGGAGGGTGCGGGAGAAAGTGCAAGACTCCAGGTCCAGGCGTTGTGGGGGTGGGGAGAGGTCGAGCTGGGCCGGTCTAATACCAACCCATGGTCAGTGGGTGCCCCTTCCCCATGCCATCTTGCTGAGGGAGGGACTGGATTGTGAGGAGGGTGAGTTAGGCCTGCCTAGGAGATCACTGAGCCTTAGTGTCACCCTCAAACCCCAGTAGCTGGGCTTGCAGGCCCTGGTGCCACCAGCTCCTTGTGTGATGGGGGAGTCACCTTCCCTGAGTGGGCTGGTAGTATCCTGGGTCATCTTGTCCACAGGTAACAACTCCGTGGGTGCCATCCAGTGCCCTGATAGTCAGTTCGAATGCCCGGACTTCTCCACGTGCTGTGTTATGGTCGATGGCTCCTGGGGGTGCTGCCCCATGCCCCAGGTACAAATCTGGGGGAGATGGGGGTATGTGGAGGGAAGTGGGGGCAGAGTTGGGGGCCAGGGGCAGGGGGTGAAGACGGAGTCAGGACCATTTTTTCTCAGGCTTCCTGCTGTGAAGACAGGGTGCACTGCTGTCCGCACGGTGCCTTCTGCGACCTGGTTCACACCCGCTGCATCACACCCACGGGCACCCACCCCCTGGCAAAGAAGCTCCCTGCCCAGAGGACTAACAGGGCAGGTGAGGAGGTGGGAGAGCATCAGGCCAGGGGCTGGGGCGGGGCCTCATTGACTCCAAGTGTAGGAAAAAGTTTCCTCCATCCTGGCTGCCCCTCACGTTTGCTCCTCTTCCAGTGGCCTTGTCCAGCTCGGTCATGTGTCCGGACGCACGGTCCCGGTGCCCTGATGGTTCTACCTGCTGTGAGCTGCCCAGTGGGAAGTATGGCTGCTGCCCAATGCCCAACGTGAGTGAGGGGCTGGAGCCAGCTTGGCTGTGTGCCCCCAGCCACCTGGCCCTGACACGCACCTTACAGGGGCTCTGTGGCATGGGGCTGGCTGGCTGCTTGCTGGGAGCCTGGCTGATGCAGGGTTCATGCTACCCCCTAGTGGGGGATTGGGGCAGTGCCAGCCATCAGCCTGGCTGCTCCCTGTGTGCTACTGAGCCTGGAAGTGACAAAGACCCACCCCTGTCCCCACTCAGGCCACCTGCTGCTCCGATCACCTGCACTGCTGCCCCCAAGACACTGTGTGTGACCTGATCCAGAGTAAGTGCCTCTCCAAGGAGAACGCTACCACGGACCTCCTCACTAAGCTGCCTGCGCACACAGGTACCAGAGGCAGGGTGCAGATACAGGGGTGGGGCCCCCTTTCCTCCCTTTTAGGCCTGGCCTTAGGATCACTGCAAGGTGGTGTAAGCGGTACCCTCCATCTTCAACACCTGGTTCCAGCTGTGGAGCCGGCAAAGGGTTGATACCCCTGAGGGTCCCCAGTGCCACTTCTGACCTGTCCTCTCTGCTTCCCTCACAGTGGGGGATGTGAAATGTGACATGGAGGTGAGCTGCCCAGATGGCTATACCTGCTGCCGTCTACAGTCGGGGGCCTGGGGCTGCTGCCCTTTTACCCAGGTACCCAGGGGTGGCGGGTGGGTGGGCTGAGCACAGTGTGGCAGGCAGCCGGGCCCCAGTGCCCACCTGCCCTTCTTCATCTGCCCTAGGCTGTGTGCTGTGAGGACCACATACACTGCTGTCCCGCGGGGTTTACGTGTGACACGCAGAAGGGTACCTGTGAACAGGGGCCCCACCAGGTGCCCTGGATGGAGAAGGCCCCAGCTCACCTCAGCCTGCCAGACCCACAAGCCTTGAAGAGAGATGTCCCCTGTGATAATGTCAGCAGCTGTCCCTCCTCCGATACCTGCTGCCAACTCACGTCTGGGGAGTGGGGCTGCTGTCCAATCCCAGAGGTATATGGGAGGGGACAGCATCTTGGCCTGGGCAGGTGGGTGGCCAAGCTCCTATTGCTTTCTGCCCTCCGCATAGCCCATAGGTGATACCCAGCTCTGACAGATTCGTCCCCAGCTGGAGGTGCTGTAAGCAGGAGAGGCGGGCTGGAGTAGGTAGGGGCTCGGCACTGCGCCCCACATAGTGGCTACCTACAACGCCCTTTCCTGCCCACCCCCCAGGCTGTCTGCTGCTCGGACCACCAGCACTGCTGCCCCCAGGGCTACACGTGTGTAGCTGAGGGGCAGTGTCAGCGAGGAAGCGAGATCGTGGCTGGACTGGAGAAGATGCCTGCCCGCCGGGCTTCCTTATCCCACCCCAGAGACATCGGCTGTGACCAGCACACCAGCTGCCCGGTGGGGCAGACCTGCTGCCCGAGCCTGGGTGGGAGCTGGGCCTGCTGCCAGTTGCCCCATGTGAGTGCCTCCCTGCCTGCCCCTGGATAGGGGAGCTAAGCCCAGTGAGGGGACAGGAACATAATGCCATTCTGTGCTCCCTTCCCCGCCAGGCTGTGTGCTGCGAGGATCGCCAGCACTGCTGCCCGGCTGGCTACACCTGCAACGTGAAGGCTCGATCCTGCGAGAAGGAAGTGGTCTCTGCCCAGCCTGCCACCTTCCTGGCCCGTAGCCCTCACGTGGGTGTGAAGGACGTGGAGTGTGGGGAAGGACACTTCTGCCATGATAACCAGACCTGCTGCCGAGACAACCGACAGGGCTGGGCCTGCTGTCCCTACCGCCAGGTCAGTGCCAACCCCCATCCTGGGGCTGGGTATGGCCAGGGACCAGGTCCCACCTCGTCCAACCCTCTCGCCCCCCTCTGACCATCCAGGGCGTCTGTTGTGCTGATCGGCGCCACTGCTGTCCTGCTGGCTTCCGCTGCGCAGCCAGGGGTACCAAGTGTTTGCGCAGGGAGGCCCCGCGCTGGGACGCCCCTTTGAGGGACCCAGCCTTGAGACAGCTGCTGTGAGGGACAGTACTGAAGACTCTGCAGCCCTCGGGACCCCACTCGGAGGGTGCCCTCTGCTCAGGCCTCCCTAGCACCTCCCCCTAACCAAATTCTCCCTGGACCCCATTCTGAGCTCCCCATCACCATGGGAGGTGGGGCCTCAATCTAAGGCCTTCCCTGTCAGAAGGGGGTTGTGGCAAAAGCCACATTACAAGCTGCCATCCCCTCCCCGTTTCAGTGGACCCTGTGGCCAGGTGCTTTTCCCTATCCACAGGGGTGTTTGTGTGTGTGCGCGTGTGCGTTTCAATAAAGTTTGTACACTTTCTTAACAGTGTCTGATTTGCCGCCCTGCCTGCCCTCCCCAGGGCCCCAGAACAGGGGTTCACGTCCACTGCCAACACTCCCCTCCCCTACCCCACAGAAAGACATACACAGCCTTAACCTCACCAGTTTTATATTTGCTGCTGCCCACATCGGCTGTATCACATTACCCCCTAGTCCCCAGAGCTGTCCCAGCCACCAGCCCTGTGACATCGTAGCCCAGAGATGGGCTAGTCAGCAAGCAGCACCCCCTCCCCTCCCAGGGGTCCACAAAGAACGCCCCCTCCCTTCCCAGCCCTCACACTAGCAGCTGAGGCTGGGTCACCCCTCCTGCTTTCCCACAATAGAGCTTTCTATGTACAGCCACGTCTACACAGGCACTGCTTCCCCCCAGCCCTCCTCCCCGGCACCTCCCCGTGGGGGTCTGGACCCCCCCTCCTCCCCGGCTTGGAGGCAGACACAGGGTCCCTTGCAAGACACGACCCAGCACCAACCACGGAACAGCTCCAAGGCCCCTGGGCCCCTCTCCGGCCTGGGGCTGGGAGCTACGCGCGAGGGCCCCCGCGGGCCCCCGGGGCGCGCACCCTGGGTGCGGGCCCGCGCGGGAGGGGCGGTGCCAGGCCCTGCGCGGGCGCTACTTGACGTTGAACACCATCAGCGGCCGCTCCTCCCGCCGCTGCCACGGGCTCTTCTTGTCTCCCGCCTCGTCGCCCACCTCCGCCCCCAGCTCGTCCTCCGGGCTGGTGAGCGAGTCGCGCCGCAGCTCGCTGGCGCTGCTGCGGGAGCTGTCCCCGCGGCTGCGGCCCCGCCCCCGGGGTACCGTGGCCGCCCGGCCCTCGGGCGCCGCCACCTCGTCCAGCAGCGGCGTCAGCGAGTTGTCCTCCGGAGAGCAGAGGCCCGTGCGGCTCTCGCTGCTGCTGGGCTCCGTGTCCTCGCTGAGCGCCAGGCGCGGGGGCGCGGGCGGCGGCGGCGGCGCGGCAGGCGGGGCGCGCTCCCGCTCCTCCCTCGCGGGCCGGCGGCGCGCGGGCCGCGCCTCGTGGACATCTACGCCCGAGTCCAGGCTGGCGTCGGTGCTGCGTGCCCCGCCGCCCGCCTGCAGGTCGATGTAAGAGTGGCGCACTTGCGAGTTGGAGCGCCCGTCGAGGGACACGAACCAGGCGCGCGGGTGCGGCTTCACGCCCAGTTCCAGCAGCTTCTTCTCGGTCAGGGCCTGCAGCTCCCCGTTGAGCTGCGCCATGGTGGACTCGTTGAATAGCACAGGGATGGTGACTGAGCCACTGACGGGCGCCGCGCGCCCGGCCCCCCAGCCCTCGCCGCCGCCCCCGCCGCCCTCGCCCCCCGGGCCCGAGTGGCCCGGCATCTGCGGGCGCTGGGGGTCGGGCTGGGGAAAAGCGCGCGCCGGGCCGGGTGCCGTGCCCTCCGGCGGGGCCGGCTCGTCGCCCACGCCGGCGGCGCCCGCCTCGCCGCCGAGGCGCACGTAGTGCGCGGGGATCACCAGGGTGGGCATGACGTTGCGGTAGACGTTGTCCTTGAGGTGGTCGATGGAGCCGCAGAAGATGAGCTGCCCCGCCTGGCCCAGCGACGGCGGCCGCGCCAGCTGGTCCACCGACTGCGACAGCAGGAAGTCGGGGGTCTTGCCCTCGGCCGCCCCCTTGTGGCCCAGGTAGTGGTCGAAGGGCGGCGGCGGCGAGGGCGGCTCGTGCAGGAAGGCCGCAGCCCCCGAGGGCCCCCGCCGGTGCTCCTCTAGGCCGGGCTCCAGCCCGCCGGGGCCCTCGGCCGAGCGAGCGCCCTTGAGCCCGGCGCTCTCGCCCCCGCGGGCACCCGAAGGCTCGGCGGCCGGGCGGCTGGCAGAGCGCGGCTTGGTGCGGAAGAAGTCATCCCGGGAGGAGGCCAAGTCCCGGGAGCTGGAGAAGGCCGAGTGGAGGGGGCCTGGAGGCGGAGCCTCGGGGTCCCCCGACGGGGCGGGTTCCAGGGGTCCCCCACAGATGAGGTGGAGCTGGGACATCGAGGTGGCCTGGTCTCGTTTGTTACCGTCAGAGGGCCCCGAGAGCTGCAGCTTGCGGTGCTGTTGCCTCGGCTTCAGGCAGCGCCTCCTGGAAGGGAGGGAGCAGAAGGGGCCGCTCAGGAAAGGGTGAGGGCCAAAGTAGGCCCCGAACCCCCTTAGATGCAAGACAAGAGACGAATATAGTGGAAGAGGTGGGGAGAATGCCTGGGGCGCTCAGGAGAGATGGCGGGGAGCCGCCGTGTCCGTTTGGCGATCCCCTCAGGGTCAACTCTGCACTCCTCTGCATGTAGGATGTGCTGCGAGAACCAGGGATGAGCATCTAAGCTGTCTATGGGTGTGTCCGGCCTGGAGTCCTCTGGGAGAGAGAGCTGGGCTGGTAGGGGCAGTGGCAGATCTCTCTGGAGGGGCCGGGCTGCAAGTCCTTAAGCCCTGCCTCCCCTCCCACCTCCCCGCTGTCTTCAACCACCAGCACCAGCCCTTCAGGTCTTAGCATGTTTGCAGGAAGTCTTTTCCTGTCTGCCCCTTGAGGACCAGAAGTGGATTTTATGCATCTTTGGGGCCCCAGGGCCCGGTACAAGTGCAGGGGAGGGTGAGGGAAGCCCCGTGCTCACCGGCAGTAGTAGATGAGCAGACACAGCAGGATAAGCACCAGCAGGGCCAGGGCTGCCAGGATGGTGAGCAAGAAGATGGTGTGGTAGGTGCCGATGTCCTGGATGCCCGACGTGATGGTGACCAGCCCTGTGCCAGGCGAGGGCTTAGCGTTCAGGTGTAGACACCCTTCCTGCCTTTCAGAAGTCTGCTCTCCCAGCTCCCCTCCTCCGCGGCCTCTACGCCCACTGCCCCACTACTCTTACCAGCCGTGGGGGAGGCCATGGCGGCCACCCAGTACCCCAGCTGGGGGGAGACGAAGGTCCAGTAGAGCTGCCGGCCTTCCTTCCGGATTACACCAGTGCCATTGCGCACCCACAGCCCTGGGAGAGGCAGGGGTTTTGTCACACTTGAGTCGCTCCCACTCAAGTCCCACTTTCTTCTCTCAACTCAAGCACCTGCAGCCCCCTGAGGCACTTACCACTCTTGGGGTCAAATCTCCAGGCTGGAATGCTGGTGCCCACGGTGAGGGCACGAGTCTCGGAGGGCACGGGCAGGGACAGGTGAATGGGGCCTGAGAGCGGCACCTCTGTCCCATTACCTGTCAGCAGGTGCACGCTCACAGCAGTCAGGGGCATCAGCTCCAGCCAGGAGCCATTGCCTGAGGGAAGAGGGTACAGGGCTGAGGGCTGATCCTGAGCCTGGGGAGACCCCATCCGTGCTGGGCACCCAGCCTACCTGAGCTGGAGGCCTCAGTGCCCAGGAAGGCAGGGAAAGCCCGCATTTCCTGCTGGGTGCTGGCAGGCGTAAGTGACGCCCAGAGCTGGCTGTAGGTGGAGCTGACAGGCAGGCGGGCAGCCCGGCGCTGGAACTGCACCAAGGGCTGGGAGCGGGCACCTGGAGGGAAAGAGGGGCTGCAGTGGCTTGACCATGGACAGGGATCCCCAGGGACCAGAGCAGAAACCCATTATCTAAGGAAAAGGGGGACATGAGGTCAGGCCACTTTGGAAGGCCAGGGAGGGTGATGCCTTGGGGAGAAAGCTGGGCAGTCATGGAATGTTAACCTGGAAGGGACATGGACCTGAAATCTCTGTGTGACCCTCAGCAATTTACTTGTTTTAGTAGAAAGTTTCCTTATAGAACCTATAAAATGTTGCGATCCAGATCCTCAAACAGTATTGTCTACTATGTGGCAGGCACCAGGTTAGACACTGGGGGCCCAAAGATGAACGTCTGCTGTGATGGGAATGTTTTCTAGGTGTGCTGCCCATTATGGTACCCACTGGACACACGTGGCTGTTAAGCATTTGAAATGTGGCTAGTGTGACTGAGGAACTGGATTTTTAATTTTTAAAAATGTAATGATTTTTTTCTAGGTGGGTGCAGTGGCTCATGCCTATAATCCCAGCACTTTGGGAAGCCAAGGTGGGTGGATCACCTGAGGTCAGGAGTTGGAGACCAGCCTGACCAACATGGAGAAACCCTGACTCTCTTAAAAATACAAAATTAGCTGGGTGTGGTGGTGCATTCCTGTAATCCCAGCTGCTCGTGAGGCTGAGGCAGGAGAATCACTTGAAACTGGGAGGGGGAGGTTGCGGTGAGCTGAGATTGTGCCATTGCACTCCTGTCTGGGCATCAAGAGCGAAACTCCATCTCAAAAGAAAAAAAAAAAAAAGGCCGAGCGCGGTGGCTCACGCCTGTAATCCCAGCACTTTGGGATTCCAAGGCAGGTGGATCACGAGGTCAGGAGTTCAAGACCAGCCTGGCCAAGATGGTGAAACCCCATCTCTACTA
Source organism: Homo sapiens (assembly GCF_000001405.40). Taxonomy (NCBI): domain Eukaryota; kingdom Metazoa; phylum Chordata; class Mammalia; order Primates; family Hominidae; genus Homo; species Homo sapiens. The sequence goes on from NC_000017.11 coordinate 44,357,486, forward strand.
AAACTACAAAAATTAGCCAGGTGCGGTGGCAGGCGCCTGTAATCCCAGCTACTCGGGAGGCTGAGGCAGGAGAATCGCTTGAACCCAGGCAGCAGAGGTTGCAGTGAGCCAAGATCATGCCATTGTACTCCAGCCTGGGCAACAGAGTGAGAATCCATCTCAAAAAAAAAAATTAATGAATTTTTAATTTAATTTACTTCAATTTAATATGTAGCTAGTGGCTACTGCATTAGACAGTTTAGGTCGTGTGTGTGTGTGTGTGTGTGTGTGTGTTGGGGTGGAGGGGACAGACATACAAACAATTCCAATACAATATGGTCACAGCTAACATTTATTAATCTTTAAGCTATGCTGGGCACTGTTCTAAGCAGGTTACCTATATTAACCCCTGCAATTAGGAAAATAGCCCCTGAGCTAGGTATCTATTATCAACCTCATTTTAGAGGTGCAGAAATGGAGGCACAGGGGTTCAGTAACTTGCACGAGGTCACAATCCTCGAGCCCGGATAGAAGCCCAGGCCATCGGGCTCCAGGCCCATCCTCTGCCATGCCATTCCTCCTGCCTTGCTATCCAAATAGAGGGATGCAGAGGACTAGGGGAGCTGGTCTCACTCAGCTCAGGGGAGGCCCTGTGGAGTCTTGGAGGATGTGGAAGACTCAGCCAGGAAAGAAAGAGGGAAAGGACATCCAGGAGGCCTGGCATGAGAAAGGCCCAGAGGCGTGGGGCAGAGGGCGGCCCGGGCTCTGGAGGGTGCAGTCAGCTCTGAGATGGCACCTGGGCTTGGTACTGAAAGCAGTAGGCGCCATGCAGGGGCTTCAAGCTAGGGGGCCACAAAGGGTCCACTGGTATTTTAGAAACCTGCAGGGGCACTTAGAAGCTTGGGATCAGAGTGACGAAGGTGAGCAAACAAGAGCAGCTTGGTGAGGCCGGGTGAAGTGACTCGCGCCTGTAATCCCAGCACTTTGAGAGGCAGAGGCGGGTGGATCACCTGAGGTCAGGAGTTCGAGACTAGCCTGGCCAACATGGCAAAACCGTCTCTACTAAAAATACAAAAATTAGTCTGGCGTGGTGATGGGTGCCTGTAATCCCAGCTACTCAGGAGACTAAGGCAGGAGAATCCCTTGAACCCAGAAAGCAAAGGTTGCAGTGAGCCGAGGTTATACCACTTCAGCCTGGGCAACAGAGCAATACTCCATCTCAAAAAAAAACCCAACAACAACAACAACAAAAACTAGCTCCATGACAAGGGCTCAAGCTGAGACTACAAACTGGGATGGGGTTCCTCAAACTCCGAAACCCACCATGGCCCTCTAAGCGGAATGGAGCCCCCAAACCCTCACTGTCCTCTACTACCCTCCACCTGATGTCTCCCCCTGGCCTTCCTCTCCAGTGGAGGTGCCTCTGCTTCCCCTTCACTCCTGAGTCGAGGGCTGACTGCTCCGTTCGACAAGCTCTCACCCAGCCAGGTCCCCTCGCAGGTTAGGGCCGTCTCAGCACTGAAAGCAGCTGCCCTCCACTCCACTGCCCTGCCTGCTCTGGAACTATTTCAGGGCTTGCAATGATCTGTCTTCCTACTTGTCTGTGAACGTCCAAAGGCAAAGAGCGGGTCTTCTTCCTCACCGTGGTTCCCAGCACCAGCCACAATGCCTGGCACAGCCTAGGAGTTGAAGTAAGTACTAGCTGAGCGAGACCAAAAGCCTGGGGGTAGACCAGGAACTGCAGGCTTGCTCTGGGCCTTGCACTTCCTGTGCACCTGTGCATCCAGCAGGTGCACAACAAATCTGTGTAGACCCATTGAAGATAAAGGTGGCAGGGAAGGTAGGAATAGATGGAGAATAGAAACCACGAGAAGCCCCGATAACTGTAAACATTTATTGAACACCTTCTGTACTGTGTTTTTTCACTTTGTGATTTCTTACTCCAATTTGATGATGTAGGCACTAACCTTCCACGTCTTACAAATGAGCAAATTATGGCTCAGAGAGGTGAAGTGACTTGCCCAAGGACACCCAGCTAATATAGGACAGTGGAGGTCTCTACACCTAGGTCAGGGGAAGGAAGAAGAGTTGGCGTGGGTGAGGGGGAGCCTTACCGGGAGAGCCTAGGAGAATGTGCACCAGGTCCTCATAGAGGATGAGCGTGGCCGGCCGCTCAGGGAGCAGGTAGAGGCTGACAGACGCATACACTGCGGGAGGGATGGCCGGTCAGCTCCAGGAAAACCCACCCCCTACCCCCCAGCCAGGCACCCCCTCCATCTGAGTCCCAGAGGCTTCACCCTCCCTCAGCCCCCTCTGTGTACCCCAGCCCAGGCAGCAGCTGCTGGAAAGCCTCCCCCTCCACCCCCAAGGAGACTATTTTGGGAAGGGGCTGATGGAGGGTCAGCTGCTGTCCCCCCCCTCCACCTGCCCCTGCACTCACAGGGCAGCTTGTCAACACGCCAGGGCACAGAGTTGGTGAGGAAGCCAGGGCGGGCAGCAGTGACCAGCACCCAGGTGCCCAAGCGATAACTGAGGGGCAGGGTGGCCACACCCTCTGAGTCTGTGGTGCCAGCTGCCAGCAGAGTCCGGTTCCCAAACACATCCACTGAGGCCCGGGCCAGGGGCACCAGCTCCCCGCTCACATACACCTGCACCTTGATCAGGATCTCTGTGGGCAAGATGGGGCAAAGGGAGTGAGGACGAGGGAGGGGGAAAGAGAACTGGGGGGAGCCCCAAGATCAGAGGAAGGAGCTGTGTTTGAGAGAGTCTTTTGGGCTGAGGCTAGAGAAGGCATGATTTAAGACCCAGCATTCACAGAGCACTCACTGAAACCTCCTATCAGCCCATGCCGGAGGTGGGACTATTCCTGTATTTCATCGTCTAACACATGCGCTGTGTCACATTTTCACAATTCTAAACTCGGGCTATGCCTATGATTGATGATGCCATCGTTATAACTGGCAGCATTTCTTCCTTTCTTACTGGTACCTGAAATCATGGTGCATCTTACAGTCAGTGGTGTATTGGATTTGATAATATATGCTCTTAGTCCATTTTACAGATAAGGAAACTGAGGCTTAGAGAGTTTAGATACTTGGACTACAGCTAAGTGGAGATCTGGGATCCAGACCTGGCAGTCTGCCTCTAGAAGCGACATTCTTAACCCCGGGCCTGGGGAGAGGAGAAGGACAGGAGGGCTGAGAAAGGCTAAGTAAAGCTGGGTCCGCAGGCGGAGAGGAGAAGGGTCAAGATTCAGCAGTTTGAAAGGGAGGATGGAGGCTAGGGCAGAGTTTGGGGTCTTGGGAAAAAATTGACAGGGGACACTAGGAAACTGGTCATTCCCATCATTCATCCTTTTCCCAGAATCCTTTGCACAAGCCTGTTTCCCTTCAGATTTAGGGACTCACCCCAACCCCATGCCCAAACAAATTACTTCTGCCTCCTCCCCCTCACATGAACCGCCTGCCCCCTCCCAGCTGGTCAGCTACAGTCAGTCACCATGGCAACGCCCTCATTCCTCCCAGGAGATCAGGCAGGGAGCTGGGGCCCTGGTAAGGGAAAGGAGATCTAGGGGGGAGCAACCCAGGCCCAAGAGAACTATTGTGGAGGGGGCTGGGGAGGGAAGCCCAAGTCTTTTGCTTTCCAGGGATGCCTCTGCCCACAGCCCGTGGAGAATCTGGCCAGGCCATCAGGCAGGCGTCCTGCCCTCAGATGGCGTGATGGGAAGGAACCAAGCCTTGAGTTGTTCCCATGGATTCTCCAGGCAGTCTCTCTGATCCAGGGCACCCCTTCCCATCAGCACAGCCCCTCCCTCAAGAACACACTTCGCCCCTACCTTCCTGCTAACAAGGTGTGTCATGCATGTATGGACACCTCAGTGGGGGGCCCAGGAGACAGGTGGGAAGTGGGCTGAGTGCTGGATGCAAATCTAGTGGGGGTTGGGTATGGAAGGAAGAGTCTGGAGCTGAGAGCAGCAGGGCCTGGGGAGGTCAGGGTGCTGTGGAGACTTCAAGGAGAGGGAAGGCCTTAGAGTGGAGCCTGACACTCAGCAGTGACAGGTGTCTTAGCTCAGGCTCCCAATCCGCAGCCAGCGCCACGCCTGCCCTAGGCATCCCATCCAGCTGTTCCCCTGAGCCCACCTCCCCTCCCAGGCCAGAGCCCAACCCTGCAGGGTGGGTGCACACTCCACTCACTCTCGCTCTCTGCTCCTCCAGGAAGCTGGCACCCCTTTACTGTTTTTTTGCACATTTGATGTGATTTAATTCTTACTTCAATTTGATGATGTAGGCACTATCCTTCCATGTCTTACAAATGAACAAATTATGGCTCAGAGAGGTTAAGTGGCATGGGGTGGGGGGAGGTAGAGCCTAGGAGGACGTGTGCAAGGTCCTCATCCATCCCCCTGCCAACACCCATTAGGAATTCGGAGAAGCTAGAAGGTCCTGGCTACTCCCACCTCCATCCCGGGCTTAGGAACAGCTGGATAGAGCAGCTGGGGAGAGGGATCCCGAGTCTGAGATATGGTCATTTGAGGGAATGCCTTGGGTTCAAGAGTCAGAGTTTCAGAAGAGGGAGGGGGCTGGGGAAACAAAACTGGGGTGGGCTGGTAAGGATCTGTGCCAACCTTGCGGGTGGGGGAGAAGGGAGGGGGCAGGTGCCTAGCAGATTCCCTTCCCCCTTTCCCTCAACCTGGGCTCCCCGCCAGCTGCCCCAGAGAACCCCCAATCCTGGCTCTATTCCAGCCAATTCCCTGGGCCCCTTCCCCTGAGGTGCAGGGACTTGAGGGGAGGGGCGTCCTAAGAAACTAGGGCTTCTTCCTACTAAGAAAAGCCTGATCTCCTCCCCGAGAGAGCTGGGGGAGACTGAGGCAGAGGGTGAACCCTACCCATTCCTCGAAGCCTGACATTCCATATAGTATCCACCTCTCCCGGCTCTAGGCCTGCCTCAGTCCAGGAGGAAATCCGACCCCCTCCCTTCATCCGGACCCCACTTCCCTCATCCAGACCCCCCCACTCTGCTTTTCCTGCCAGCTCCTTAGTGTGGGGGGTGAGGAGTGAATACTGCTTCAGGCAGGGATGGGGCCCACAGGCAGGAGAGGGAGAGCAGGACCCGGGAGGTGGACTCAGGACTGGAGTGGGCGGAGGCCCCCAAGCGTCCAGGCCTGCCTGTGGGATGTGTTGTCAGGGTCTTGCTCCCCCACCCTTTCCTGCTGCAGGAGCCGGCCCCACCCCCACCTCACACACCCACCTGCGCCCGGTGAGTCGCTGGGAAGGGTCTCCTCCACTGCGAAGATGTGAGATGAGGAGGGGGTGATATGGGGGCGGGCAGGGGACAGGAATGCCAGGAGGCCTGCTGAATGGGGGGGGACCCAGGCACCTGCCCTCCCAGCCGGCACTGCCCACAGCCAGCTAGCTCAGCATGGCTCCACGACCACAAGCCTGCCATGCTCCCTCAGCTGGGAATCACAATGTACCCCCTTTTCTTAGAGGCCCACAACTGCGGCTCGTCCTCCATCATAGGCTCACAAGCATTTATTTGGTGCACCCCAAACTCTAAACCAGGGGGGCTGGCTGGGAGCTGTCAGGCTCCAGGGCAAAGAACCCCATTAGAGCAGTCAATCCCGCCCACAGCCTCACCCACTCCCCCTTCTCCCCTCCCCCCTTCAAACCCAGCTCCAGGCTCCCAGCCTCCGGTCCCGGCCTAGGGTGGCAGCGGATGCCGGCGCCCCCACCCCGCCAGGGTCGGGAGCGAGCAACCCGCAGGGGGCTGCGGAGCAGGCGCCCGCCCCAGCCCGCCCCTGGGCGGGTGTCTTCGGTAGACAATGGCTCAGGCAGCAGCGCCTCGCGGACCAGGAGGGAGAAAAACAAATAGGGAGAGGGCGGCGGCGCAGATCCTGGGGACCCTCGCACTACCCATTGTGTCTCCCCAAGACCCCCGCCCCGGACGGCCTCCCTCTCCCCGCCTCCACTTTCCCCCAGAAGCGCCAACCCCAGATCGCTTAGCTCCCCCCACCCGAATCCAGGGAACAGAATACCACTCAATTCACGAACGCCGCGAAGAGGGGGCTGACGGGCGGGAGCCTGATCAGGGGGCGCAGGCCCGCGATCGCGGCCCCTCCCGGCTGAGACTCACCCTGCGGGCTGGGGGGCTCCGGCGGCGACTTGCCGGGAGCCCGGGAGGCGCTGCCGAGCAGCAGCCCCAGCAGCGGCAACAGCCGCGCGAGGACGCTGGGGCCACTCGCCGGCGGCATCGCGGGGCTAGGCCGGGCCCTAGCGGTCCATGGCTCCCGCCTGGTCCCGCTCGCCCGGCCCCGCGCAGCCCCAGCTCTGCGCCGCGCCTCGCAGCTCCGGCTCCCGCTCCCGCTGCGGCGCCCGCTCAGCGCGATTGTCTCCGACCGGAGCCGCCGCAAGCGCCCCCTGCAGGCGGCGCGCCACACCGCTGGCCCTCCGGCACCGCCCCCTCCCGGCCCCGCTCCGCCCGCCGCCCCCCGGTACTGCCCACCTTCAGCCCACCCCGCAGCCCCCGCGCTCTGCGCTCCCAGACTCTGCGCTGCAAAGGAGTGTCGGGATTAGGGTCCCATCACCCGGGTTCTTGGGTTTCGAGAGTCCCCAAAATTTGGTGCAAAATTTGTGTGTGTGTAGGTGGGGAGTGGATATTGCCTACAACACTCTCAAGGGGTACGGTCATGAAAGTCTCAGAAAACTGTAAGAACTCCCTGCTCGATGGCCCCCTTCTCCCGGTAGAACACCTAGGCAGTGCTGGGGTGATAGCAGGGAAGGCCCCCTAGACCCCCCTAAGTCTCTCTTTTTTTTTTTTTTGAGACAGATTTTTTTTTTTCAGAGACAAGTGAACATTTATTTTTGGGCCTTTCTTCCTATTTCAAGTCTTTTTCAAAACAAGGCCCCAAGAATCTCCAAATTCAATTATGTCCCTGGGCTTGGCCGACTGGTGCAGGAGTCTTAGGGAGCCTTGTACAAATGCTAGAGTTACTCACTTACCGACATTAAACTAAAACGCTGGAATTTTTCCTTGGAAACTGGACTGTGATTAGAGGTGCTTGCCATGAACATAAGCTACTGTTTCTTCTCCTTCTTTTTTTTTTTTTTTTTTTTTTTGAGAGAGAGTCTTGCTCTGTTGCCCAGGCTGGAGTGCAGTGGCGTGATCTTGGCTCACTGCAACCTCTGCCTCCCGGGTTCAAGTGATTCTCCTGCCTCAGCCTCCCAAGTAGCTGGGACTACAGGTGCACGCCACCATGCCCGGCTAATTTTTGTATTTTTAGTAGAGACAGCGTTTCACTATGTTGGCCAGGCTGGTCTCGAACTCCTGATCTCAAGTGATCTACCCGCCTCGGCCTCCCAAAGTGCTGGGATTACAGGCGTGAGCTTCTGTCTTTTCTTTGACCCTTCCTTTCCAGTTTTTGAAGATAAAGCTGGAAATAATCTTCTCTGAAGATACTTGATAAAAATTCCCAAAAAAACAAAAACACATGCTTCTACTACCCATGCTTCCACTTCATTAATAAAAATTTACTGCAGTTTGGCACCTGGGTCTAGTTCAGCTGGCGGATGAGCTGACTGATGCGTTCACCCTGATAGCCAGGTGTGCCCATCTCCTTGAGGAAGCCCACTGTATTTTTGGTAGCATGACGGGCCACTGAGAGGTAGAAAGGGCGTAACAACCATGAGACCTCCTGGAAATGCTTCCCTGGGACGGCAATTTCATGACTGAGGTCTTCCAAGCAAACGACACCAAACTTCCCCAGGTGCTTCTCAATCACTGTGTTGTCTGTCAGAGGAATGGTCTTATTCCTTATTCCTGACCTTGGCTTGTCCATGTTTCAAAATGAGTTCCTGGACAGACTTCAGATTTGGAAATCCCCAGGTCACATAAGGTTCCACCATACGCAGCATTTTTAGGTTCTGGGGGGTGACTTTTACAAAGACACCACTAAAAATTTTCTTTAGGCAAAGTCTTACAATGGTTCTCTGCACCAGTAAACTCACGCCATCAATTCTTTCGATGTGTACAACAAAGGCCAAGGAATGTTTATCTGGCAATTCCAAGGCATGATGTTTCACTTCTAGTTGTCTGAGATGCACTTTGTCACATTTCTGCCATCAGGAATCATGTAGGAATGATTCCAGTTGCTTAAACCTGAGCCCTTTTCCTTTCCTCTGCTCTTTCTTTGACAAAAGTGCCTGCTTTGCCTGGGTGGCTTTGAGGGCTTGGTAAGCCTTTTTTTCAGGAGATTTTCTAGAACCAAAGGGATTTTTCTTTGCTCTTGCTCGCCATTTTTCTAGTGTTGCAGCTACCGATCATTAAGACAGAGTCTTTTGCTGTTGCCCAGGCTGGAGTGCAATGATGCAATCTCGGCTCACTGCAACCTCTGCCTCTTGAGTTCAAGAGATTCTTGTGCCTCAGCCTCCTGAGTAGCTGGAATTACAGATGCCTGTCACCATGCCCGGCTAATTTTTGTATTTTTAGTAGAGATGGGGTTTCACCATGTTGGCCAGGCTGGTCTTGAACTTGTGACCTCAGGTGATCCACCCGCCTCAGCCTCCCAAATTGCTGGGATTACAGGTGTGAGCCACCGTGCCTAGCCCTAAGTCTCTTATTAAGCCATTGGCAAGATATTCAGCCTTCTGGTCTTCAGTCTTCCTTTAAAATGGGAGTTGTCATAATCTCTACCTCATAGGGTTGCTGTAACAACTAAATGAGATGTAATGGCCAAATAATGATGTCAAAAGAGTCTAGCACAAGCCTCACAGGAGCAGGGGCGTAATAAATGCTGTTACTGTTGGCCCAGGGTGAGGTAGGGACTCACCTGTGCCCAGGTAATATGATCCATTGCTGGGCAGTGCTAATGGCTAAGGAGTGTTTCCAGGGCTGGCAGCAGCCTTTCTCTTCCACCAGTTGGTGATTCTCAGTGGTCTTGGTTCTGGCTTTGTGAATGATAAACTGGGTCTCTCCTTTGTCCTCAGCCATTGAATCCCATATTTGAGGACAGCTATTGGCTTGCCCTAGTCCCAGCCAAGCTCTCTTTCCTTCCAGTTCAATATTTCTGGTTGTCATCATCAATCAGTTTCCACCTGGCCAAATCCTTAACTGGTATCTCTTCCCTGGTTCTCTCTGGTTTGTCACCTTCTCTTTCTCACTGTATGGTGGCCAAGAGGGGACTGGATACCTAAGGCAAGGACCCCATTTCCCAGAGAACAGCAACCCTCCTGGTTGGGTCTTCTGATTTAAGGGGACATCATTATAAGCTTGTGGACAGAATGAAAACTGCCAGTGTATCTGTCTCTCTTCTTTCTTTCTCCCTTCCTTCTTCCCTTCTTCTTTTCATTTCTCTCTCTCTTTTCTTTTCTCTCTCTCTCTCTCTCTCTTTCTTTTTTTGATGGAGTCTTGCTCTGTCACCCAGGCTGGAGTGCAGTGGCTGCGATCTTGGCTCACTGCAACCTCCGCCTCCCGGGTTCACGCCATTCTCCTGCCTCAGCTTCCTGAGTAGCTGGGACTACAGGTGCCCGCCACCACGCCCGGCTAATTTTTTTGTATTTTTAATAGAAACGGGGTTTCACCGTGTTAGTCAGGACGGTCTCGATCTCCTGACCTCGTGATCCACCTGCCTTGGCCTCCCAAAGGGCTGGGATTACAGGTGTGAGCCACCGCGCCCAGCCTCTCTCTGTTTTCAACAGAAATTTCCATCTCACCAGATTTCCCAGTGCTATTCTTATGTAACCAGTTTTTTGGAACCTCAACACAAGACTTAGCACTCATCCCTGGTGAATTTCATCTTGTTGGTTTCCACCCAACTTTACAATCTGTCAAGGCTGCTTTGAATCTGCTTCAGTCACCCATTGTGTTGGAGCTCCCTCCCAGCCAGCAGCCATCTGCAGGGTGAAGATGGCTTCCTCTACCTCCATTCAAGGGACTCATAACAATGCCAGGCAGCCCAGGGCCAGGATGGAGCTTCATAGAGATCTCCTTCAGCTTTATCAGAATTGTTCAGGTCTAAATCCGAGTCCCTAGGATCCAGCTCACATTTACGTCTTGTCTATAAGGACAAATGCCAAATGCTTTGCTGGATCAAGATAAGTTGTCTGGAGCCATCCAATCGCAATGACAGAAGGAGGAGGCAATTTGGCTGGTATTCAAGGATCACGGCTTAATCTTTTCTTAAATGCATTCAGTCACCCAAATAGAAACCTGTTCCGAAACTTGCCATGCATGGATGTCAAAATATTCTCTTCAGAATTTACTATTTACACCTTTGGGTAGAATCAAATACCAACAGCTCTTGCTGTTGTATTGTTCATCAATGGCTTCCCCCAACACTTGGCGTCAAGTCCAAAGTCCTCCCCATGGCCACGGGGTGTTCCTGCCCCCATCCCCCATCTCCTGAACCCTCACCCACACCTGCCTCCAGCCACATGGGCCTCCTTGCTTTTTTTGAACACACTAAGCCAGCTCCTACCTCAGGGCCTTTTCACTGGCTGCTCTTTCTTTCCAGAACATTTTATCTTCATGTAGCTGCATGGCTCAGTCATTCATCTCCCTGCTTATCTCATCAAAGAGGCCTTCCCTGACCACCCTACCTAAAATGTTAGTAGCACCCCTCCAAACACCCACTATATATATAAAAATATATATATATATAAATATATATATATATATATATATATATATTTTTTTTTTTTTTTTTTTTTTTTTTTTTGAGACGGAGTGTCGCTCTGTTGCCAGGCTGGAGTGCAGTGGCACGATCCTGGCTCACTGCAGCCTCCGCCTCATGGGTTCAAGTGATTCTCCTGCCTCAGCCTCCTGAGTAGCTGGGATTACAGGTGCCCACCACCGTGCCTGGCTAATTTTTGTATTTTTAGTAGAGACGGGGTTTCTCCATGTTGGCCAGGCTGTTCTCCAACTCCTGACCTGAGGTGATCTGCCCGTCTCAACCTCCCAAATGCTGGGATTATAGGTGTGAGCCACCGTACCCGGCCCACCCACATACAATCTATCACTCTCTCGTCACCGTTATTTTCACTCACAGCACTGACTGCTACTAACCATACATTTATTTGTTTACTTTACTTTTTACCTCTGGAATGTAAGTTCCAGGAGGGCAGGGACGTTGCTTTGTTCACTGCTGCATCTCAGCACTGGAATAGTGCCAGGCATGTGGTAGTGAGAGGTGACACTGTGCTGGCAGTCCTCACAGCCCTCGCTCGCTCTCGGGGACTCCTCTGCCTGGGCTCCCACTTTGGCGGCACTTGAGAAGCCCTTCAGCCCACCGCTGCACTGTGGGAGCCCCTTTCTGGGCTGGCCAAGACCGGAGCCAGCTCCCTTAGCTTGCAGGGAGGTGTGGAGGGAGAGGCCCAAGCGGGAACCCGGGCTGCGCTCGCTGCTTGCGGGCCAGCTGGAGTTCCGGGTGGGCGTGGGCTTGGCGGGCCCCGCACTCGGAGCAGCCAGCCGGCCCTGCCGGCCCCGGGCAATGAGGGGCTTAGCACCCGGGCCAGCGGCTGCAGAGGGCGTACTGGGTCCCCCAGCAGTGCCAGCCCACCACTGGGCCTTAGCTGCCTTCCTGCAGGGCAGGGCTGGGGACCTGCAGCCCGCCATGCGTGAGCCTCCCACCCACTCCATGGGCTCCTGTGCGGCCCGAGCCTCCCGGATGAGCGGCGCCCCCTGCTCCACGGCGCCCAGTCCCATCAACCACCCAAGGGCTGAGGAGTGTGGGCGCACGGTGCGGGACTGGCACGTAGCTCCACCTGCAGCCCCTGTGCGGGATCCACTGGGTGAAGCCAGCTGGGTTCCTGAGTCTGGTGGGGCCTTGGAGAACCTTTATATCTAGCTCAGGGATTGTAAATACACCAATCGGCACTCTATCTAGCTCGAGGTTTGTAAACACACCAATCAGCACCCTGTGTCTAGCTCAGGGTTTGTGAGTGCACCAATCAACACTCTGTATCTAGCTGCTCTGGTGGGGCCTTGGAGAACCTTCATGTCTAGCTCAGGGATTGTAAATACACAAATCGGCACTCTGTATCTAGCTCAAGGTTTGTAAACACACCAGTCAGCACCCTGTGTCTAGCTCAGGGTTTGTGAGTGCACCAACCGACACTCTGTATCTAGCTGCACTGGTGGGGCCTTGGAGAACCTTTGTGTCTACACTCTGTATCTAACTAACCTGATGGGGACGAGGAGAACCTTTGTGTCTAGCTCAGGGATTGTAAACACACCAATCAGCGCCCTGTCAAAACAGGCCACTAGGCTCTACCACTCAGCAGGATGTGGGTGGGGCCAGATAAGAGAATAAAAGCTGGCTGCCCGAGCCAACAGCGGTAACCCGCTGGGGTCCCGTTCCACACCGTAAGAGCTTTGTTCTTTTGCTCTTTGCAATAAATCTTGCTACTGCTCACTCTTTGGGTCCACACTGCTTTTATGAGCTGTAACACTCACCGCGAAGGTCTGCAGCTTCACTCCTGAAGCCAATGAGACCACGAGCCCACCGGGAGGAACGAACAACTCCAGACGCGCTGCCTTAAGAGCTGTAACACTCACCGGGAAGGTCTGCAGCTTCACTCCTGAGCCAGCGAGACCACGAACCCACCAGAAGGAAGAAACTCCGAACGCATCTGAACATCAGAAGGAACAAACTCCGGACACGCCGGCTTTAAGAACTGTAACACTCACCGCGAGGGTCCGCGGCTTCCTTCTTGAAGTCACTGAGACCAAGAACCCACCAATTCTGGACACAGTAGGTGCTCCGTGATTATTTATTTTTATTTTTAATTAAAAACATTTGTTTTTAGCCAGGGCCTCAGTCTGTCACCCAGGCTGGAGTGTAGTGGTGAGATCAAGGCTCTCTGCAGTCTTGACCTCCTGGGCTCAAGCAATCCTCCTGCCTCAGCCTCCTGAGTACCTGGGTCTACAGGAACATACCACCACACCTAGCTAGTAATTTTTATTTTTGAGATGGAGTTTGGCTCTTATTGCCCAGGCTGGAGTGCAATGGCATGATCTCGGCTCACTGCAACCTCTGCCGCCCAGGTTCAAGTGATTCTCCAGCCTCAGCCTCCCAAGAACCTGGGATTACAGGCACCTGCTACCACAGCCAGCTAATTTTTTGTATTTTTAGTAGAGATGGGGTTTCACCATGTTGGCCAGGCTGGTCTTGAACTCCAGACCTCAGGTGATCCGCCCACCCCAGCCTCCCAAAGTGCTGGGATTACAGGCGTGAGCCACCTCTCCCGGACAATTTTAATTTTTTTTTAGAGACAGGGTCTTTCTCTGTTGCTCAGGCTGGAGTGCAGCGGCATGATCATAGCTCACTGCAGCCAAAAACTCCTGGGCTCAAGCAATCCTCCTGCCTCAGCCTCCCAAAGTGCTAGATTACAGGCATGAGCCACCATGCCCGGCCAATAAATATTTATTGAACCCAGGAAGGAACAAATCCCTCAGGACTCCAGGGAGACCTCCCCACATATGCTGCTCAGCTCTACTCACCAAAGCTGGAGAGCTGTCTTCCATCCTCATCTTTCCTGGCTGAAGGCCCCTCTTGGTGGGGAGGAAGGGACAGCAGCAGGGTAGCCAGGGAGCGATGCTTGCTGTCTCCTCCCTGGCATGACGCTGCCTTCCTCAGGCAACAGCTGAGCCAGCCTTCCTCTGCCCCTTCTCGCTCCAAACAGCTTTAAAGTCCTTTTTTGATAGGAAGGCAGGGAGAGCGTGTTATTTTTCCACGCCTCAGGTCATTGTAAAGTTTACCCTTCCGAAATCATAACAAATGTGCTATTTAAAGCTGCCGTAGCTGGGCGAGGTGGCTCACACCTGTAATCCCAGCACTTTGGGAGGTTGAGGTGGACGGATCACCTGAGGCCATGAGTTCAAGACCAGCCTGGCCAACATGGTGAAATCCCTTCTCTACTAAAAATACGAAAATTAACCAGGCGTGGTGGTGCACTCCTGTAGTCCCAGCTACTCAGGAGGCAGAGGCAGTAGAATTGCTTGAACCCGTGAGGCGGAGGTTGCAGTGAGCCGAGATCATGCCATTGCACAGCCTGGGCAAGAGCGAGATTCTGTCTCAAAAATAAATACATTAAATAAATAAATAAAGCTGCCCACCAAGGACACAGCCTGCCTTCTCTGATGCTCCCATCCCCCTCACCTGCCCTCCCATCCCATCCTGCCCTTAGACATGTTCATCCCCTTCTAGTCTTCCCTGAGGCCCTGCCGCCCTTTCTCCCTCTTTTCTTTTTTTTTTGAGACAGAGTTTCACTCTTGTTGCCCAGGCTGGAGTGCAATGATGCAATCTCAGCTCACTGCAAACTCTGCCTCCCGGGTTCAAGCGATTCTCCTGCCTCAGCCTCCCGAGTAGCTGGGATTAGAAGCATGCGCCACCAGGCCCAGCTAATTTCGTATTTTTAGTAGAGACAGGGTTTCTCCATGTTGGTAAGGCTGGTCTCAAACTCCCAACCTCAGGTGATCTGCTCACCTCGGCCTCCCAAAGTGCTGGGATTATAGGCGTGAACCACTGCGCCGGGCTCTCCGTCTTCTGTTACACCTACCACCCCAACTCTGTACTCCCTGACACTCCCCAAAGACAGTGATTTGCAAACTTCGCCCTGGCAGTGACTCTCTCGTTCATACTTCCACCAGCCCTAGGTCCCCGTCCAAAACATTCCTTCGGTCATCTCTTCTCTGGCCCCAAAAGGAGGCAGCATGCTCAGCATCAGGGCTCAGTCTCTTTATTAGGCAGCAGGAGGGGGGGTAGCCCAGCTCTGTTGGGAGGGAAACGACACCAAGAGGACCCAATGGAACAGCTCCAACCCAAAGCTTGGAGGCAACTTGTTGGAGAAGGGGCGGTGCAGGTAGCACGCCCAACCCTCCTGCTAGAATAGTGTAGGCTGCACCATCACTCCCCCTCTTCATCATCTTCTTCCAGGGGTGGCCGGTTCCGCTTGAAGAAGCCGACCTGGGGGTACACGGGGGCCAAGGTCAGGGTATACAGATGATTTGCTGGCCCCAGAGCACATGTGAGGAAGTATGCTAGCTATGAGCACCTCCCTGGACCAGCGCAGAACATGAAGCCCACTGTACTCACAAATGGATGCCTTTTGACATTTAGAGATAATGCATGGAACGAATTGTTGGGTTTTTGTTTTTTCTCCCCTGAGTTTTTATTTTTTTCTTTTTTTTAGAGGGAGTCTCACTCTGTCACCCAGGCTGTAGTGTAGTGGCTCGATCTCGGCTCAGTGCAGCCTCCACCTCCCGGGTTCAAACAATTCTCATGCCTCAGCCTCCCGAGTAGCTGGGTTTACAGGTGTGTGCCACCACGCCCAGCTAATTTTTAGTAGAGACAGGGTTTCACCCTGTTGGCCGGGCTGGTCTCAAACTCCTGACCTCAGGTGATCTGCCTGCCTCAGCCTCCCATTGTGTTGGGATTACAGGCATAAGCCACTGTGCCCGGCCTCTGAATTTTTCTTTTTTATTTTATTTTTAGAGACAGGGTCTTTCTGTTGTCACCCAGGCAATCCTCTCACCTCTTAGCCTCCCAAGTAGCTGGGACTACAGGTGTGGACTACCACACCTGACTAATTTTTTTTAAAAAACTTTTTTGTAGAGATGGAGTCTCACTATGCTGTCCCAAACTCCTGGCCTCAAGTGATCCACCGCGCCTGGTCCCCACCTGGAATTTTTCTTTTCTTTTCTTTTGAGATGAAATCTCACCCAGGCTGGAGTGCAGTGGCACAATCTTGGCTCACTGCAACCTTCACCTCCCGGGTTCAAGTGATTCTCCTGCCTCAGCCTCCCGAGTAGCTGGAAGTACAGGTGCCTGCCACCACGCCTGGCTAATTTTTGTATTTTTAGTAGAGATGGGGTTTCACCATGTTTGTCAGGCTGGTCTCGAACTCCTGACCTCATGAACCGCCCACCTCGGCCTCCCAAAGTGCTGGGATTACCGGTGTGAGCCACCACGCCCAGCCTGGAATTTTTCTTATACTGAAGTTTGTGTCTGCATGACTCGAGCATATGATGATATGTATTTGATTATTGTGGGTCTAGTGCGTGGTTTTCCCTAAAAGCACCATGTCTTCCCTTCAGTGTGCTTGAGACTCCTCCAGGTGCAGAGGAGCGAGTGACCCTCCAGGGCCACATAGGAAGGGAGGAATAGGGTCTAGACCAATCCTTGGGCCTCTTGCCTCACTCAAGGGGAAGGGCAGGGCTAGGAAGAAGTGCATCTTGTCCTTGAGACCAGCCAGGAATTCCTGAAGGCAGGACTTACACCCTCTATACCCTCTATATCCTCTGAATCTTTTTGGTGGCAGGGGTGTCTAAAGGCCTCAGAATTTCAGGTGCTATCCTTTCCAGTGGTATGTGTCTGGAAGGGTTCCCAGGAGAATGACATTTTTGTGTTTGTTTTGCCTTTTTTGCTCTACTAGAGAAAGACATTCTATTTTTTTCTTTTTTTTTTGAGATGGAGGCTCGCTCTGTTGCCCAAGCTGGAGTGCAGTGGTGTGATCTCGGCTCACTGCAACCTCCGCCTCCTGGGTTCATGCAATTCTACTGCCTCAGCCTCCCGAGTAGCTGAGATTACAGGCATGTGTCAACACGCCCGGCTAATTTTGGTATTTTTAGTAGAGATGGGGTTTCACCATGTTGGCCAGGCTGGTCTCGAACTCTTGACCTCAGGTGATCTAAACGCTTTGGCCTCCCAAAGTGCTGGGATTACAGGTGTGAGCCACCCCACTGGACCGAGAATGACATTCTAATAGTGGAGACATAGACCCCTGGTCCCTGGATTACCCACTTGGGTGGGCCACCATCTCTCCTTGACTCCCTGTGAGGCAGGGCAGAGCCAAGCCTGTGCCCCGCTGGGGACTCCACCGTCCTTCACACCTCACCTTCCACATGGCCAGGACCAGGATGGTGAGCAGCAGCAGGCCACCCAGCACACCCACCAGCACCCACCAGATTGGAATGGCCCTCTCCTCCAAGGCCCGGAGCAGCTGTGTCCACACCTGGGGGCAAACCCACGTGTCTCCTCAGTCACCTTGACACCTGCCTTTCACAAAGACTCAAACCTCAGGCTGGTGACCTCCAGCCATGCCACCCACCCGTACCACCCCTCAGACTTTTCTGGCTGGGCACTGACTGGGGGACAATGGGTCCTGCAGGACTGGTCTCTGCTCCATCCCCCCACACTCACCTGAGCTTCCCCTCGGGGCAGGCTGAGCGGGGGCACCGCATAGGGGAGGGAGGACACGTTGAACCATGCGTGCGACTGCAGCACAAACTGATCCAGAGGCCTCTGGACAGGTTGGGGTTGAAAGCCGTTTACACCCACAAGAGGCCTATTGGTTGCAGGAGTCCAGGTCCCACACCCCCGGCGGGGAAGCCCTGCCTCTGACCTAATCCCACTGCAATCCCCCAAAGTAAACCTTGCCTTCCCTCTCTTCCTGCCCTCCCACACCAAACCCCGCCCCTCCCAGAGCAAAGTGGTCCCCGCCCAGAAGGCCCGGCCCCGCCCCACCACGGCCCACCCCACCTGGTAGAGGCTGGGCAGCCACAGGAAGGCCAGCACCGTGACCATGGCCCGCTGCCCGCGCGCCATCTCCTGCAGGTCACACTGCACCACAGTACAGGGCGCCGAGTCGCAGCTCTGAGGGGAAGCATCGTCAGTCCCCAGCCCGTCCCGGCCCATCACCCCATCATCCCCCACCCCCTTACCCCCAGGACCCAACGCAGAAGGGGCCGGGGGTTCAGGAAGCGGTGGCCTTCCCATCAGGAAGGGCCTTGGATCCAAGCTTCGGATGCTGTCTTTCCACGGGCTTGCTCACATAGTCCCAGAGATGCAGGGAGGGTCATCCCCCAGCGCACAATGCTCAGATCTATGATAACCTTGCTTTGGCATTGTTTTATGCTCCTTAACGTACTGGGAAGCTTTTAAAAAGTGCAAGTGTCTTTCAGCTCACCCCAGACACAAGCCAGCATGCTCCTCCATGTTCACTTGAAGTGCTCCCAGGGACCAAGCGTGGCCCACAGAGGCCCACAGCACACCCGGACCCCTCTCCCTCCTCCCATCCCCTCTGCCCCGTGGGTCCCGGGGAGGCCGGGCCAGAGACCAGAGAGCCTGCTCACTACGAGAACTGGATCCTGAAGCCTCGAGGGCTGCTCGGGCTCTGGCAGGAAGATCTGTCTGCGATCCCGCTTGTGATGGGCCGGGTGAATGGGGGAGGGGCTGGGGATGGGCAGCCCCCAGTCCACCTGGGGGGGCAAAGGAGTGGTCAGGCCCAGGTCTCCCCCGAACCCCAGCCCACAGAGGTGCCCCGGTGGTTGGTCTGGGGCCGCCTTCCCAGGTCTTTCTTCCACCCAGCTCTTACCTTGAGAGGGTTGACAGGAGGCTGTGGGAAGCACTGAAGGCCCCCCTGGGGCTGTATATCCAGGATGTAGAGCAGGTCGGAGGGCTGGGACTGTCCCGGAAGGTGGATGCTGAGGTGAAGACCATTCACAGTCCCAGGGCCATTGTTGTGGAGCTGAAGGGGTGGTGGTGGCAGGGTGTGGGGAGCTTAGCGCCTCACCCGGAGTTCTGAGGACCCGCTCACCCCAGCCAGGGACGCGAGGCTCCCCAATACCTCATAGGTGTGCTCCACTTTGGGTCCCCAGCTGTCCAAGCTGTTCTGCTCCCTCTCACCTTCTTCTGCTGCCACCACCAGGGAGGCTGGAAAGGAGTTCCTGCAGGTGCCCAAGACCCCCAGAGAGAGTGTGATGCCCTGATTGGCCTGTGAGGTTTCCCCAGCGCCCCCTGGAGTTTAGAGCCCTGAATGCCATCTCCCTTCTCCACCCCTGGCCTCTCACCCTCGCAGCTCCACTTGGGCCTCTGCCCGGACCGGCACGTCCAGCAGCACAATCTTGCTGTTTGGATTCTGGCTGTTCTTGCTAGAGGGGAGGGGATGAGGAGAAACAGGGCCAGGGACACCAGCCCAGTGACTTTCTGGGGGTGAGGCCAGAATTTTAGAGAGTTCAGAGAGAGCTAATTATACAAAGAGCATGCCACACTGAAGTTAGACCTGGGAAAGAACTTCCTCTAGGGCTCCAAGACTCAGACATAAATCTCTGAGGAAGAAAGGGAACCAGGCTTCTTCAAAGACCTTTTTTTTTTTCTTTTGAGATAGAATCTCGCACTGTCGCCCAGGCTGGAAGGCTGGAGTGCAGTGGCCCAATCTCAGCTCACTGCAACCTCCACCTCCCAGGTTCGGTTCAAGCTATTCTCCTGCCTCAGCCTCCCGAGTAGCTGGGATTGTAGGTGCGCACCACCATGCCCAGCTAATTTTTATATTTTTAGTAGAGATGGGGTTTCACCATGTTGGCCAGGCTGGTCTCCAACTCCTGACCTCCAGTGATCCTTCTGCCTTGGCCTCGCAACGTGCTGGGATTACAGGTGTGAGCCACTGCGCCTGGCCTCGAAAGACCCTTCTGTATGGAAGGGACCTGAGGGGCTCTGCACGGGGGTCAGACGGGGGAAGGGTGGTGGGTAGGCACGCTCGCCAGGTCAGTACCTCCGTATCTGCAGCTGGAAGGACACAGACTCCCCAGCCTCTTCCAGATTCCCCACGCTCACCAACATCGCGATTCCTATCTGGGAGATGAGGAGGGCCAAGGTCACTGCCCAAGTGCCCCACTTAGGACAGCCCTGCCCTGAATGTGGCCTCCAGTCTTCACCCTCCAAGATCACCACTATTCTTTTTCTTTTTTTTTTTTTCCGAGACGGAGTCTCACTCTGTCACCCAGGCTGGAGTGCAGTGGCATGATCTCGGCTCACTGCAACCTCCACCTCCCAGGTTCAAGTGATTTTTCTGCCTCAACCTCCCGAGTAGCTCTGACTATAGGCGTGCGCCACCATGCCCGGGTAATTTTTGTATTTTTAGTAGAGACGGGGTTTTGCTATGTTGGCCAGGCTGGTCTTGAACTCCTGACCTCGTGATCCACCCGTCTCGGCCTCCCAGAGTGCTGGGATTACAGGCGTGAGCCACCGCACCAGGCCACCATTATTATTTCTATTTTACCTGGAAGCCCACTGGGTAAAGGGGCTCAGAGAGGGAAAGTCACTCACCCAAGGACATGTGGCAAGGGAGTGTGAGGACCAAGATTCTGGCCCAGAACTATGTGGCTCTAAAACCTCACCCCTAAAATCTGGTTATTCATGAGCCCCTGGTGGAGACCCGGTACCACGACCCAGCAGCCTCACCTGGGCGTTCTTCTTCATGGGGTTGCCCAGCTCACACAGCACCACCCTGGTCTCATTCTCCTTCTTCTGATTACAGATGAGTCTCTCAAAGCCCTTCAGGAAGGCAGTTCCAAGAAAGAAATTACAGAGCATCATATATATATATTTAAGCTCCCTTGGAAGGTCTGGAAAGATTTGTGTGCCAAGGTAGGGAGGGGGGGGTTTCTTGGGGTGGGGTCTCAAGGGACTGTCACATGCTAGTGTGTGTATTGCTGTAGCACTACTACTTTTTAGGCATTTTCATTTTGGAAATAAAAAACACAAAACATTAGAGTATGACCCCCATTATTATAAACTATATTAACAACATAAAAAATAAATATATACTTATGTGAGTGTGAGTCAATATTGAAAAAAAGACTGGAAGGAAATCCACCAAATGTTAACAGAGGTTCCTGTTAACATTTGGTTCCTAAACCTTTTTTGTTTTTCTGGTTTTTGTAATAGAGTTTTGGAATTCTGTGCCATTAGCAAGTATTCCTCCTCCAAATTAAAAAAAAAATAAAAAATTACATCTTTGACAGCAAAGCAGAAGAGAAGAGGGACTCTCAGGGAGGGAGATGAGAGAGCCAAGGCTCCAGTGCCTCCCAGGTCCCGGGTACTGTTCCCAGGGTGGGGGCCATACCTCGACATTGCTTAGGGCCCGCATGTAGTGGGCGCCCTGGGGCAGGTGCACGGCCAGCTCTGCTTCATAGGCCCCCTCGCCCTCGTTGGCTGCGTCCATCTGCAGCTCCAGGACATTATCTGCCCCAACTAGGAGCGGGGAGCCCGTCCTGTGGGGAAAGAGGAGTGAAGCCAGGGAGCCTGGGTCTGGGCCCAGGATGTGGGAAAAGAGGGGACTAAGGTGTGGAGCAGGTATGATAGGCAGAAAGGGCCAGGGTCGGGCAGAATGGGAGGCCTCCTCACACGCTGGCAGTGAGCTGAAGCTGGGGCACACATACGTCATCTTCCCCACAGTCCAGGACGATTCGTGTCTAGAGGGGCACATTGGGGTGTGCGGGTAAGTTGGGGATGTGTGAGGTTTAGGGATTACATCAGGGTTAGGAAAACAGTGGGCTTGGGGTTCACATAGGGGCTTAGGGAGTAAGAAGATCTGAGGACGAAAAGGAGTTTGTAGATGGTATCGGGGCTCGGGTTTATTTGGAGGTTTGGGACAATGTCAGGGTTTGTCAATTTACATCAGAGCTTAGGGGATACTGGGATTTTCAGGTGTTTATTTTATTTTTGGAGACGGAGTCTCGCTCTGTCGTCCAGGCTGGAGTGCAGTGGCACTATCTCGGCTCACTGCAAGCTCCGCCCCCCGGGGTTCACGCCATTCTCCTGCCTCAGCCTCCCAAGTAGCTGGGACTACAGGTACCCGCCACCACGCCCAGCTAATTTTTTTTTTTTTTTTGTATTTTTAGTAGACGGGGTTTCACTGTGTTAGCCAGGATGGTCTTGATCTCCTGACCTCGTGATCCACCCGCCTTGGCCTCCCAAAGTGCTGGGATTACAGGCGTGAGCCACTGCGCCTGGCTTTTTTTTTTTTTTTTGAGACAGAGTCTTGCTCTGTCACCCAGGCTGGAGTGCTGTGGCACACTCTTGGCTCACTGCAACCTCTGCCTCCTGGGTTCAAGTGATTCTCCTGCTTCAGCCTCCCGAGTAGCTGGAATTACAGGCATGCGTCACCACACCCGGCTAATTTTTTTTGTATTTTTAGTAGAGATGGGTTTTCACCATGTTGGCCAGGTTGGTCTCTAACTCCTGACCTCAGGCAATCTGCCTGCCTCGGTCTCCCAAAGTGCTGGGATTACAGGTGTGAGCCACCATGACTGGCTGGATTTTGAGGTTTTCATTAGGGTTTGGAATGACATCAAGGTTTTGGGGTTCACATTGTGACTTGGCACTAACCCTAATCCTGATTTGCTATCAGGGGTCCTGCACCTCCCTGGCCTGTCCCTGCCTGTCCCTACCTGCTCCTGCACATGGGTGTCTCCATGCAGCACGACAGCAGGGGCCATTCCAGCCTCCGTGGGCGGTAGGGACACATTGAGGCTGAGCACAATGGGGCTCAGCTTGTCCCGGAAGTCTGCCTCATCCTAGGACAGGGGCAAGAGTCAGGCCATCTTGCTACCATACACATCCCACCTTCTCCTGGCCAGTAGGCACCGTGTCCTGACCACCCCCGGACTCACAGCACCCAGCTCAGTGCCCCAGGGCTAGATGAACAAGTCCAGTGGGTAAGTTCTACTCTCCCAGCCCTGCCAATCCCCTGCCTGGGCGTACTCGAAGGAAGGCCATGGTGGTGTGGCAGATGGGGCTGTGCTTTCCGCCCAGATCCAGGTTCAGGGTGGTGCCTGCCTGTTGAGAGCCCAGCAGCAGCACCCGCCGGCCCTGGCGGGGCTTCTGCCGGTCCAGCTGCAGCTCGGCATTTAGGGCTGGCAGGGCAAGCAGAAGAGTCAGGACCTCCCTGGCCAGCCTCCGGGGGAGTCCAAGCCCACCTCCCTCCTGCCCCCTTCATGCCACTCACATAGCTTCTGAGGAATGTTGTGCCCAGTGGCTCCAACACACATCTGGATGTTGAAGCTGCAAAGACGTAAGTGGGGCTCAGGGGTTGGAGCCTTTCTGAGGTCCCAGATCCTTTAAGGCCCATGCCCTCTGCCTCCTCACCAGCTCACGGGTGTCTTGGTCTGAGGTAGGACACAGCTCTTCACAGCAGGATTCAGTGAATCTTGCACCAGTAGCTGGACAGAGGCCTTCACCACTGGCTGAGCTCTGATGGGATAGGGTGATGGGGTAGGCTTGCCATTGTGGCTCCTCCTGGCCTGGCCTCCTCTTGATGGCACAGGACCTTCCCCATCCCGCCCCTGGAGCCAGTGCTCACCTGTACACAGCCACCTGGTTGGCCCCGTAAGCTCCCACGATCAGGTCTATAGACATCGAGGAATGGGTCAGAATTGGCGATTAGGGCATGGGATCCTCATCTCATCTTCCCAGGGGTTCCCCACACCACCTCCCCCACTGGAGGTTTCACCCAGCCCCTCTGGCAGTCCATAGTGGGACACCAGGCCAGGCATGAGCCCCTGGCCGTGTCTCTTGGCACTTCCAGCGAATGTCCAAGGGCCTTTCTTGGGCATTTCTAGCTGGAGGCAGTCCAGGGCACCTGGGTATCCGTTGTCATCGATGTCTACGGCACCTCGAAGGGAGAAGCCAAAGGCAGAGCCTGTGGGGAAGGGGCTGTCCAGGACCTGGGAGGGACGTGACCTCAGCCCCTCACTCTGACCCAGGAACACCAGCACTTGGCCCCGGCCACTGGGACCCCCGTAGGGGGCAGCCACTGCAATGTCTGGAAGGAGTAACAGAAAGGAAGTGGCTGATTGTTATTCAGCCTCCCTAGATGACTGTAAAACTTTCCTGAGCTTCTCTGGGAACATCCCAGGAGACTAGGAAAGGGGTGCAAAGTGTGGGTGAAGGAGGCACTGCCCTACCCTCCAGGAGTTAACAATCAGGTGGGAGAGGGACCTGCCAAGTAGGATTGTTATAAAAACAGTGACAACTCTCACTGTCTATTGAGGAAAATATATCCTGAAAATTAAGCATCATTATTCCCTTTTCTAAATTTTTTTTTTTTTGAGATGGAGTCTCGCTCTGTTGTCCTGGCTGGAGTGCAGTGGTGCGATCTCGGCTCACTGCAACCTCTGCCTCCCCCGTTAAAGTGATTCTTGTGCCTCAGCCTCTTCAGTAGCTGGGATTACAGGCGCCTACCACCATGCCCGGCTAATTTTTGTATTTTCAGTAGAGACGGGGTTTCACCACATTGGCCAGGCTGATCTCGAACTCCTGACCTCAAGTGATCTGCCCACCTTGGGCTCCCAAAGTGCTGGGATTACAGGTGTGAGCCACCGTGCCCAAGCCCCTTTTAAAATTTTTTTATTTTTAAGACAGTCTTGCACTGTCATTCAGGCTGAAGTGCAGTGGTGCAACCATGGCTTACTGCAGCCTCAACCTTCTGGACTAAAGCAATCCTCCCACCTCAGCTTCCCAAGCAGTTGAGACTATAGCCACCATGCCCAGCTAATTTTTAAAAATTTTTATGGAGACGAGATCTCCCTATGTTGGCCAGGCTGGTGTCAAACTCCTAGGCTCCAGTGATCCTCCTGCCTCGGCCTCCCAAAGTGCTGGGATTCCAGGTGTGAGCCACCGTGCCTGGCCATCTAGCATCTATTTCTAGCCTTCTCCATTCCATCAAACTCCCAGACCCCCCACACTTCCTTCAGCAGGTGACGTAATCTCTTACTTCAGGAAGAGAGGCAGCCCACTGTTATGCTATAATCCCACACCAACTTTCTTTTCCCTTTCCCCATTTGACCCTGGAAGAGGTTTCCTTCCTTCACCCTGACACTGGGCCAGTCACCCTCCCACCCCCTGAGGCATCACAGGGACTCTCTGCTGGCTCATCCCCCCATTTCCCCACAACATCATTTTCAACCTACTACATGTTCTTCCACATTGAAATAATCTTCCCTTGACCCTCATCTCTTTTCTGTGATCACCTTTTCTCTTTTTCCTCTTATAGTCAAACATGTTTTTTTTTTTCCTTTCTATTCCTCAAATTCCTTTTTACCACAAACCTGTTGAAAGAGCTGTCTACATTAGCTGCATCCAATTTTTCATCTCCATTCATACCTTACCCCATTGCATTCTGGCTTCTGACCCTATCTTGGCCTGAATCAATTTATGTCACTGTCACCAATAACCTCCCCTTCTTTTTTCTTTCTTCCTTTCTTTCTCTATTTTTTTTTTTATTTTGTTGAGATGGAGTCTTGCTCTGTCACCCAGGCTGGAGTGCAGTAGTGGCGCAAGCTCAGCTCAGTGCAACCTCCACTTCCCGGGTTCAAGAGATTCTCCTGCTTCAATTTCCCAAGTAGCTGGGATTACAGGTATGAGCCACCATGCCTGGCACCCTCTTCTTGCTAAAGCCCATGAATATTTCTCCAGCCCCACCTAATTGTATCTTGCAGCAGCAGCAGGAGCTGCAGCGCCCACTTCCTCCTGTGCATGCTCTTTAACGCATGCTCTTCCTTGAGTCCCGGGCCATCAGACCCCCTGGGTTCCCTCCTCCCTCTCTGGACACTCCTCTGTCTCCTTCTCAGACTTACCTCCTGTAGGAGTCACCTAAATGCTTTTGCTCCCTAGGGCTCTATCCTGGGCCTCTTATTTCACAGGTCCCGGGACCTCATCCACTTTCCCCAAACCCCTGTCTCCCATTCAGATCTCTCTTGTGGAAGCGGGGAGAGCCACTCCCAACTGTTCTTTGGATATTTCCGCCTAAAGCACCCAAGCCCTTCAAGCTCAACAGGTCCAGAGCTGAACTGCTGATCTCCCGCCTCTCCCCAGCACCTGCTGCACGGCCTGAGTTCCAGGCAGTGGAGGCCATCACAGGCACCCAACTCCAACCTCTCCCCTGGCCCCACATCCAGTCTCCCACCAAGTCCTAATAATCCGAGTCCTAAATATCTGTGAAGTCACTCCCATCTCTAACTCCACTGCCAAAATCCACATCCAGGTGGTCATTGTCTCTTGCTTGGATTAAGGCAAACACTTCCTAATTAGTCTTCAACTCTCCCATCTGCTCTCCACTCAGCACCCCATGTGTCTAAGCCACATACTTATATGCTTAAAACCCATCCTGGTTCTGGCTGCCCTCAGGCCAACTCCATGCTTTTTGAGTGGCTGTTAACCCCTCTGCAGCAAGTAGGGCTCCTCTCTTCCCTCACCATTGTAGCCATCCCGGTCGAGGTCGCCCAGGGGTGCGATGGCAGAGCCGAATCGCCCATAGAGCTGTGTGCCAGTCAGCAGGAGGCTGGGGGCACCCAGCGCGTGGGGGCCTCGCGGCTGCAGGAACAAATACACACGCCCCACTTCGGCCAGTTTTCGGTCTGCCCGGCTCTCCATATACAGTGGAGCGCCCACCAGCAGATCATGCCTCCTGTGGGCCAGATGAGTGGTTACATGGGACTGGACCAGGGGTATATTGGGGCTAGGGCCAAATCTCCTCGACCCTTGCTCTCCTGTTCCTCCAGTGGATACGTGAGACTAGGGCTAGGAAAGGGAGACAGAGGGCAGCTCTGGTAATTTGGGACCCAACTGGGTAGGGGTGGGGCATGTCCCTCCTCACCCATCCCCGTTGACGTCAGTGACAGCCACTGAATGCCCAAAATACGACGCCATCTGCAAGATGAGGAGCACCATCATTCACGCCGCTGGACAAGCATCCTCTTTAAGAAATGGGCCCTCACCTCCCATGAAATATTCTGAAGTCTCAGTTCCCCCTCCACCCAGCCACGCCCACTGGGACCTGGCCCCCACCTGCTCTCCGCGCAGCCGATGCAGCCTCTGGTAGTAGGAATCCAAAATTTCCACCTGCACGGACAGCGCAGGCGAGAGCATCATTCTTGTACCCAAAGCAACCTCCCACTCCAGGTGAGAAAGGGTGGTTTGGTGGAGGCGGGGCGGGGGTGGGGGGCGCTCAGGAGTTGTCAGCCTGAGAACTGGGATAAGGGGCTTCGGGAGGCCCAGTGGTGGGGGCACTTACCGCTCCCAGGGTCCAGCTCCAAGTGGGGGCACCGACGACATATTCTGGCGATAGGGAGAGCCAGGCTCAGGGAATGAGAGCCTTAGAACCTACCCACTTCCCGCTCCCCGTTCTGCACCCAGGGAAAAATGTGTGTGCAGGAAGATTTCCCTACATAGGGGAGATTTCAGGAAGGCGCTCCTCCCCGGGCTGGGCTACCCAACTCCCGCCCTAAGTGGATTTCTTGCCTGTAGTGTTGAGATCCCCGTCGAACTCGCCCACGGCCACCGAGTACCCTGAGGACAAGGGCGCAAATTAGTCTTTTCCAGGGGAGGAAGCACAGAGGGGACGGAGGGCAAAGAAGGAGGAGATTAAGGCCACTCAGCCCCAGCCCTGCATTGTGCAGATGGAAAAACGGAGGCCTTCGAGGGGCCAAGCCCTGCCCCAGGCTGCGCTACGAGTCCGCAGTGGAAGGGAGCGGTGGGCGCATGGGAGGTGGGCGGTCTGCGGGGAAGCCGCAGGAGCGGAGGGCGGGAGCGGCTTAGGCGGTGGGTTGGCCGGCAGGGGTGGCCATGGAGGCTCCCACAGGGGCAGGACCTGACCGTCTGCGGTGGGCGGTGACCCTCGGGGTGCTGGAAGTCTGGAATGGCGGTGTTACCCCAGTAGCCGTCGAAGTACTCTGGGTTGCTGGAGTCAAAGGAGAGGCTCTGGGAGGACACGTGCCACAAAAGGATGCCTGGGCGGTAACTCGAGAAAATATCCGCAACTGGAGCCTGGGCCAGGAGACCTAGGGCGGGAGGGACAGCGGGTGTGAAGCCCAAAGCGGTCTCCTTGGGCCGCGAGAAGGGAGGGAGGTGTACGGATGGGCACGTACCTAAGAAATAATAGCCGCCAGGAGCCCCAAGCACCAGCTCTCCGGCCTGGAAGGGAAGTCCTGAGGGTGAGAGGGGGCCCTGTTTGGGAGCCGCCCCCACTGCGCTTTTGCTCCCTACTCGCCTGAGTGACCACGGAGCTGAAGCCCGCTTCACAGTAACGCTTGTCCCAGCCTGCAGGAGACAAGGAGGAGGGGTCAGCGCAGGGGTGAAGGGAGGCGCGCGCGAGCCCGGAGGAGGGCTGGGGGACAGGGGCGGGGCCTTGAGTCGGCGGGGCCCTGGGGCGAGGCCAGATCCAAAGCAAGGGCTGCGGCGCTGGGGGCGGGATCCGATGGGGGCGGGGCCAAGCCGTCGCGAGTGGGCGGGGCCAGGTCGTAGCTGGCGCTTACTAAAATCATTTTCCACGTAAATGCGGCTCAGGGTGTTCCCGCGACAGGGGGAGTACTCGGCGCGGCGGCCGCTCTCTGGCTGAGCCAAAAAGCAGCTACCTACGGGCGTCTTCTCAGCCTCCTCAGTCTTTTCTAGGACGTTCCAGTGCTGCCAGGGGGCGCAGGCCTGGAGAAAGGCCACAGGAGTGGGGACGGGCGCGAGACTTGGGCTCCTCCTGGCCCCAGGTGTCCCTGCCCCCGATTGTTCCCTGTGCCCTGTACCGCGGGGCCCACCACAATGACGTCGCTCCAGCTGACGACCGACGCCCCCAGTCCTTGGCGGGCCTTGAAGGTTTGTAAAGTTTGGGAGCCTACATTTCGGGTCTCATCACCTGGAAGGCACAAGAAGGGGTGGGGCGCTGAAGCCCGGCAGTCCACGTCCCTCTGACCCCAACCTTGCTCTCCTTGCCTGGGACTCACGGAGGTCAAAGAGCAGCGAGGGGCACTGGCCGCCCTCGGCCCTCCAGGGGCACAGGAACACGCCGCCCGTCTCCTCCTGGCTGGGGCCCAGGGTCCGCGGGGCGCCCACCACGATGGCCACTCTGCATAGGAAAGCTGGGTGAGCGCCGCGCAGATTCCAGCGTATCCCAGGCCCTGGCGCCGGCGCTGGGAGCACTGCCCGGAAGGCCATGTGGCATGGGGGCACTGGACCATCTTTCCTCAATGACACCTCACAGACCACCGTGATGTACTTCTTCATCTTATGGACAGTGAAACCGACTCTCAGCGAGGGCAATCACGTGGCTAAAGTAACCCAGTGAGTTGAGAGTAGAGCTGGGACTATAACCATTTGGTTTGATTTGAACACCAGGGGTTTGAGATCTTTGCTGAAAAAGACCTAAACTCTGTACAACACCTCCATCCTTCCACCCGCAACAAGAACCAGCGGTTCACATGCTCCCTGGAATGCCTGCCTAGACTGTTACCAGATCCCCTCTTGAGAGCTGGTTTTAATGAGGGAAGGTAGCGGGTACCTCTAAAGTGGGGCTGGAGTGTGTGTGCTGATAGGAGGACCCTAGCAGATCTAGGTTTAAATCACAATTCTGCCATATGTGAAATAGGAATACCAATTTCATAACCAATGACTGGTTTTCACAACCAGTCAATGCTGTCAGGAGTAAATGTAATAAATACGAGTAACGGTTAGCATGGTCCCAGCCAAATACATAACAAACGCTCTTGAAACAATGCTATAATTTTAAAAAATAATTTTGTTGTTTTGAGACAGGGTCTCATTCTGTTGCCCAGCTGGAGTGCAGCAGCATGATCACAGCTCACTGTAGCCTTGATCTCCAGGGCTCAAGCAATCCTCTCCCCTCAGCCACCCTAGTAGCTGGGACTGCGGGTGTGCAACACCATGCCTGGCTAATTAAAAAAAATTTTTTTATAGGCTGGGCATGGTGGCTCACACCTGTAATCCCAGCACTTTGGGAGGCCAAGGGATTACAGGCGTGAGCCTCTGTGTCTGGCCCATAATATTTTTTTAGCCTGCAGGATGTTTAAGTAGTGCCAATGGGATCACTACTTATAGGAGGGGAAATCAGCAGGAGTGGGCACAGGAAGGAGTTGAGCTGATTCAGGCCCAATGACAGCATTCGCCAACACCCCACGAGCTTTGGAACTAGAATGACCCTTCAAAATTGTCAGAGTTGGCCGGGTGTGGTGGCTCACGCCTGTAATCCCAGTACTTTGGGAGGCCGAGGCAGGCTGATCACCTGAGGTCAGGAGTTTGAGACCAGCCTGGCCAACATAGTGAAACCCTGTCTCTACTAAAAATACAAAAATTAGCCGGGCATGGTGGCATGCACCTGTAATCCCAGCTACTCGGGAGGCTGAGACAGGAGAATCGTTTGAACCCAGGAGGCAGAGGTTGCAGTGAGCCGAGATCACCCCATTGCACTCCAGCCTGGGCAACGAGAGCGAAACTCCATCTCAAAAAAAAAGAAGAAAAAAAGTCTGGGCATGGTGGCTGAAGCCTGTAATCCCAGCACTTTGGGAGGCCAAGGCGGGTGGATCACCTGAAGTTGGGAGTTCGAGACCACCCTGACCAACATGGAGAAACCTCGTCTCTACTAAAAATACAAAATTAGCCGGGTGTGGTGGCACATGCCTGTAATCCCAGCTACGCGGGAGGCTGTGGCAGGAGAATCGCTTGAACCCGGGAGGCAGAAGTTGCGGTGAGCCAGTGATTGTGCCATTGCACTCCAGCCTGGGCAACAAGAGCGAAACCCCATCTCAAAAAAAAAAAAAAAAAAAAAAAAAAAAGAAGAAGAAGAAAAAAAGAATTGTCAGAGTTGATGAAAGAGGGCTGGACCCTTATCAAATGCCTCCCCCACACCTGCCTCCACTCTCCCCACTCACCCACTTCTCATTGATCAGACACTGGATGTGGGCCATCTTGGGAGGGGACTTGGAGTGAACTGGCTCTCTTCAGCAGAGGAAATCCCCTAAGTGGCTGACACTTGAAGGCTATCTGCCATTGCCACCCATTGCCACTCCCTGAAGCTGGTGGGCACAGTGTCTCTCACAATAGTAGCTCAGGGTACACGCTATGAAGAGGAGGAGCCAAGACTCTAATCTTGGCACTCTTGATTCTGAAGCCTGATCAATACTAATCATTAATGACCTATTGCTTCTTTTCAAATATTTATAATGTTGATGGAGATGAGGGAAATGGAACAGAAATGCAAGGTGCGGGAGGGTAGACAACTTTAGTTCTGCAAATCAATTTAGGACATGTGCTCCTCTCCACATTTCCTTTCTTTTTTTTTTTTTTTTTTTTTTGAGACAGAGTTTCGCTCTCGTTGCCCAGGCTGGAGTGCAATGGCATGATCTCGGCTCACCACAACCTCTGCCTCTCAGGTTCAAACGATTCTCCTGCCTCAGCCTCCCGAGTAGCTGGGATTACAAGCATGCGGCACCACGCCCGGCTAATTTTTTTTTTTTTGAGACGGAGTGTCACTCTGTCACCCAGGCTGGAGTGCAGTGGCATGATCTCAGCTCACTGCAACCTCCACCTCCCGGGTTCAAGTGATTCTCCTACCTCAGCCTCCCGAGTAGCTGGGACTACAGGAGTGTGCCACCACGCTCAGCTAATTTTTGTATTTTTAATAGAGACAGGGTTTCACCATATTGGCCAGGCTGGTCTTGAACTCCTGACCTCATGATCTGCCCACCTCTGCCTCCCAAAGTGCTGGGATTGCAGGTGTGAGCCACTGTGCCTGGTCTCTTTTTTTTTTTTTTTTTTGTATTTTTAGTAGAGACGGGGTTTCTCCATGTTGGTCAGGCTGGTCTCGAATTCTCGACCTCAGGTGATCTGCCCGCCTCGGCCTCCCAAAGTGCTGGGATTACAGGCATGAGCCACCGCGCCCGGCCTCCTCTCTGCATTTCAAGGTGTTGAGGGTGGAGTGGTTCATACAACTGACCCTTGGGGAAAAAATAAAGCATCAACTCTTGTCTTCCCTTTGTTCTTGCTGTAGTTTTCAGTGCCCATCAGCCCACATGTGCCCTGCCCTTATACCTTCACCTGAGCCAGTCCCCTGGACCCCAACATTCTTGACAAGAAATCAACCTGAATAGGCCCCACAAGTCACCTTGCTCAACTGCTATCGCAAATGGGAAACTCGAAGCCCCCAGAAGCAGTGATGGGGAGGGGTCCTGCTCTCTCCCAATACCCCAACTTCCCTTACGGCTCACCTCCCATGGCTGTCCTTGTGGAAGTCCAGTGAAAATCCAAACTGGCTGCCATTGGGGCCTGCATAGAAGGTGAGCTGCACTGGGTCCAGGTTCAAGGCCCAGGCTGGAGGGGCAGCACAAGGTCCCAAGAGCAGCAGCACCCACTCCAGAAGCCAGAGGGCTTGCAGTGGACACAAAGCTCTGGCCATCTTCCTTCTTCCACAACCTCCCAGGCAGGAATGGGCCAGCTCCTCCTCCTTCCCTTCAGATTCCTCCACAGGAAGTCTTTTCTTATCAAACTGGAACCCCAAGTAACTTGCTGAGCAACGGGCAGAGCAAAGGGCTATAGCCCCTGGACTCATGGTGGCTAGAATTGCCAGGAAGTGGGTGAGGCCACCCAGAGGGTGGATGCTCATGGCTGAAAGCCATGACTCCTCCCCTTTCCTGAGAATAGTTTATTACCATGTCCTATTGGTTCTGCCTATCAATGATGTCTCTTGAATCTTTACCCCATCTCTACTACCACCGTGCTAGTCCAAGCCACCATCACTTTCTGCTTGGGATAGCGTGATTGTGAACTGGTCCATACTTGTCTACTCTAGCCTACAGTTCTAATCTCCTCCCTTCCCCCATCTGGCTGTACAGCTGTGGTGCTTTGTGACTTGGCCACAGGTCGGGGAAGGAGAAGGAAGCTGCTGCCCCCGATAAAACCTGAGGCTTCTGTATCTTTTTGGATATGGCATTTACCCACTTCCTCCTTCTAGGACCTTGGGCGGCCTCAACCAGCCATATTGGTGCAGCAGCTTCCTCACTCCTCCTCCGTCTTGAGCCAAGCTTTAGTGTGGCCACAGCAGTGCAGTCAGTGCTGGGGACAGGGTGGTGAATGGACCTTGGTCTAGGTGGCAAGGAGATTGGGGATAAAGTGGAGTTATTCCAGGGAATTTTGACTCACAGTTTCTGAGATTATGCATTAGCTGTTCAGTTGAAGGTAGGCCCTCAATCCTTTTTGGGTGATGGAGCTCTTTAACCATTAAGACTTGATTCTGGTTGGGGGCTTTGCCTAGGGGAGCCTTCCCTGACTCCTCAGGCTGGCCGCGTGGGCTAACACACGTAGGCACAGCATTGAGCACACTGTTTACTCTTGGTCCGTTCACAGGATTGTGTAAATGAGTCCCTTGGGAGCAAGGCTCCTTGCTACAGCCCTAGAGACTACCCAAGAGTCCAATGTGTAGTACGTGTATTGCTGAAAGACTGGATGGAAACACACACTAAGGATGGAAGATGCAAACATAGGGTGACAAAGTGAAGGGATGAGTTTTGAGCAGAAAGGCAAAGTCATTTTCTCTCGGTAAGCGGAAGAGGAGGAGTGCCAAGTCTTACTGGCACTCATGCCTTCCCAAAAAAGCAGGTTCTCAGGAAGATTTAAGAGGTCCGCTAGGGGTAACCATAGCCACATTTTCCTTTTGATTTCTATTTTCTGATCAAACTTAACCATTGCCGTATCCTGCTCAACCACCCTGTACCATTTTGAAGTCCCCTCGTAATTTACTACCTCAGCCTAGAGTTAAGAATCTTATCCTTTATAGGACAGGAAGCTAAAAGCCTGAACTTTGGTCTGGGCCTTCTTCATTGCTGAGTTCCCAGTGTCAAGTACATGGGAGGCGTGTAATTAATGTATTTGCTTGAACGAATACTTAACCCAGTCCTCTACTTACCTTCTATCCTCCCACTGTCCTCAGGTGAGTGATTGCTGTATTACTGGTGTATTCTGTGAGGCCAAATATGAACTTACATTTCACTCAAGTTTTCAATAAGTATTTACTCTGTTCAAGGCACTGTGTTGATAAAGGATACAAAGATAACCATTAGGCCAGGTATAGTGGCTCATGCCTGTAATCCCAGCACTTTGGGAGGCTGAGGCAGGAGGATGGCTTGAGCTCAGGCATTTAAGACCAGCCTAGGCAATACAGTGAGACCTCGTCTCTATTTTAAAATTATAAAAAATAAAATATTTTAAAAACTCCAAAGATAGCCATCAAGGAGACTTAACAAACAGCCCAGAAAGAGTTAAGACATGAACACACATAACTGCAGCAGAGAGACAGTCAAGCATGCCTTGAAAAATACACAGATTATCAAAGTCGTATATCATTGTTACTCATAACAACCCTAGGAAATAAGTACTATTATGCCCATTTTATAAACACAAAACTGTGGCACAAGAGTTTTAGGTAAATTGCCCATGTTTACGCAGCCAACAGATGGCAAAACTAAGATTCAAACATGGGTTGCACTTGAACTCATGTTCAAGTTGCCTTTTGTCAGAGAATGAAAGGGTTTTTAGGCATAGAGAATACATGAGAGCAGCAAAGGAACACAGAGGTAGGGAAGGACAAGTAGTTGACTCAGCATAGCAGAATGCTTAAAGGGTTGGACTGAGGCGCAAGGGGGTAAAGCTTGGGGATTCAAATTACTGGAGGTCCTTGAATGCCATATTAAGGAATCTGAACTTTAATCCATGGGGGATGGAAAATCATAAAGATTTTAGCCGGGCATGGTGGCTCATGCCTGTAATCCCAGCACTTTGGGAGGCCCAGGCGAGTGGACCACAAGGTCAGGAGTTTGAGACCAGCCTGGCCAACCTAGTGAAACCCCGTCTCTACTAAAAATACAAAAATTAGCTGGGCGTGGTGGTGTGTGTCTGTAATCCCAGCTACTTGGGAGGCTGAGGCAAAAGAATTGCTTGAACCTGTGAGGCGGAGGTGGCAGTGAGCTAAGATCATGCCACTGCACTCCAGCCTGGGCGACAGAGTGAGACTCCATCAAAAAAGAAAAAAAGAAAGAAAGAAAAGAAAAATAAAATTATAAAGATTTTTTACACCAGGTTTGGTGGCTCATGCCTGTAACCCTAGCACTTTGGGAGGCCAAGATGAGGATTGCTTGAAGCCAGGTGTTTGGGACCAGCCTGGGCAACATAGTGAGACCCTGTCTCTACAAAAAAATTAAAATTAGCCAGGCACGGTAGTGCACACCTGTAGTTCCAGCTACTGAGGAGGCCGAGGCAGGAGAATCACTTGAGCCCACGAGTTTTAGGTTACAGTGCACTACGATTTTGCCACTCCACTCCAGCCTGGGCAAGAGTAAGACTATGCCTAAAAAACAATTTTTTTTTTTTTTTTTTTTTTTTTTGCTGGGCATGGTGGCTCACACCTGTAATCTCCCAACACTTTGGGAGGCCAAGGTGGGCGGATCGCTTGAGGCCAGGAGTTTGAGATCAGCCTGGCCAACATGGCAAAACCCTGTCTCTACTAAAAATACAAAAATTAGCCGGGTGTGGTGGTGCACACCTATAATCTCAGCTGCTTGGGAGGCTGAGGAAGAATTGCTTGAACCTGGGAGACGGAGGTTGCGGTCAGCCGAGATCGTGCCATCACACTCCAGCCTGGGCAACAAGAGCAAAATTCCATCTCAAAAAACCCAAAAAACCAAAAACCAAAAAACACATTTTTGAATTTTTTTTGGCTCAATTCTGATGCACAATCCTCAGTTAATGATATTTTACTTGGCTCATATTCTTTTTATTTTTGAGACAGGATCTTGCTCTGTCACCCAGGCTGTAGTACAGTGACCTGAACATGGCTCACTACAGACTTGACCCCTGGGCTCAAGCAGTCCTCCCACATCAGCTTCATGAATAGCTGGGACCACAGGCTTGTGCCACCATGCCCAGCTAATTTTTAAATTGTTTTGTAGAGATGGGGTCTTGCTATGTTACCCAGGTTGGCCTCGAATTTCTGAGCTCAAGAGATCCTCCTGCCTTGGCCTCCCAAAGTACTGGGATTATAGGCATGAGACACTGTGCCTGGCCACTTTGCTCATATTCTTGAACATATAATCAAAATGTTTACTATGTATTCAGTGTGAGATACGTTGGGGGCTGCGGTGGGGGGATATAAGAATCACTCCCTGTTCTCTCAGAGATTACAATTTTACTGGGAAGCAATGAATACAAAATGAGCTGCATTCAGATTCTGAAAAGCCAGTAAGCTTACACAGAACAGGAAATTAGGTTCTAGTCAGGAAGGCCACCCAGGAAAATGCTGCAAAAATTGAGATATGAGTTGGTAGAAGTGAGTGAAGCTGTCTTTGGCAAATAAGAATGGAAATGGCTGACGAGGCCTGAATTAGTCATCAAGGGTTTGAAGAGGGAGTACTTTCATGTTTCAGGCCAAGGTGGCTGAGGCCTTATCAGAACAAGGCAATTAACTGCACGTATCTTCACATAACACTCTATACAGTCCAGTCTGCCTCTTTGACTTGTCACCTCCCCTGCTCTCAGAAAATCACTTTTTTTTTGTTTTTGAGATGGCGTCTCACTCTGTCACCCAGGCTGGAATGCAGTGGCATGATCTTGGCTCACTGGAACCTCTGCCTCCCGGGTTCAAGTGATTCTCCTGTCTCAGCCTCTTGAATAGCTGGGATTATAGGCGCACGCCATCATGCCTGGCTAATTTTTGTATTTTTAGTAAAGACGGGGCTTCACCATGTTAGTCAGGCTGGTCTCGATCTCTCCTGACCTCGTGATTCGCCTACCTCGGCCTCAGTGCTGGGATTACAGGCTTGAGCCACCGTGCCCCGCCCATTTTTTTTTTTTTTTTTTTTTTTTTGAGACGGAGTCTCACTCTATCACTCAGGCTGGAGTGCAGTGGCATGATCTTGGCTCACTGCAACCTCCACTTCCCACGTTCAAGCGATTCTCCTACCTCAGCCTCTTGAGTAGCTGCAATTACAGGCATGCACCACCATGCCTGGCCAATTTTTTTTTTTTTTTTAAATTTTTAGTAGAGATGGGGTTTCACCATGTTGGCCAGGCTGATCTCAAACTCCTGACCTCAAGTGATCCACCTGCCTTGGCCTTCCAAAGTGCTGGGATTAGACATGAGCCACCACACCTGGCCTCACTTTTCATTTTCTAACGTGTGTGTGTGTGTGTGTGTGTGAGACAGACAGGGTCTCACGCTGTTGCCCAGGCTAGAGTGCAGTGGTGTGATCTTGGCTCACGGCAACCTCCCGGTTCAAGCGATTCTCCTGCCTCAGCCTCTCGAGTAACTGGGATTACAGGCGTGTGCCACTACGCCCGGCTAATTTTTGTAGGTCTAATGTCATTTCTTTCTGGGTAAGGATCTTTGCTATTTTAGGAATATAGGCAGATCTGAGTACTCAACCCCAGGTTCAAGTTGAACAGCTCCTCTTTAATCAAAGGGAGAACACAGATGTATCAAACAGAGTAGGAAAGAAATGTATCAAAAGACAGTAGGAAAGAAAGCCTTTCCTTCTTGAAAGGCTGAGGTTGAGAGGGAAAGCTAATTTATCACTACAACTCTATGGTAGCTTTCCATGCTAAATTTTCCCTGCCTCTTTTGTGATTTTTTGATATGGAAGAGTAGGGGTTATATCTTCTCTGTAACAATTAGGCCATATTTCCTTATACCAAGTAGAGGTGCTCAAACACTGTAGTGGTATTAAAGGGCTGAGGAGAGTAACTGAAGACTGGCATACAGAACTCCACCTGGAGGACAAAAGTCCGGCAGATGATTCTTGTCATCTCAGTGCCCTTAAAGTAGTCCAAAATCCTAAAATTCAAAGCCAGAAATTCCACACCCATTTAGTAAGCACCTATATATACACCATATATTCTACTACACACAGATTATATATCTAAAATGGAAGGAAATCTTTCCTCTTGTGGGAAAGAGGAAGTGGAAAGGAGGTGTACATCCCAATACATCTACCTACAACTGAGAGAAATTAACTACTATTACCACCTCCCACACCATCATCTTTCCTCTCTCTTTGCGTAGCCTGAGCTTTCAGAAGCACAACTGCAAACATCTCTAACTGGTTCACAGGAATCTATTCCTTGGTCATGTCAAACAAGATGTTATTTATAACCCACACCTCCAACCCTACCTAACTTTGAGTGGATGGGGCAACAATTACGACAGACTCTGCTAAGTTTCCACAAATCATTGGTTTATTAGAAAGTTCCTTTCCCTCATTTTACAGCATATATATCTCTATCATATGTGATAAAGTTAAATACAATCTGTTATGCTTGTAAGTAAGGTTTATTTTTATTTTTACTTTTAAAATCACTATTCTGGAAGTTAAAGAAAATGCCCCTAGGAAGGCAAAGAGGCAGCCAGAGTATGGCTCAATCTACAAGCT
The DNA here is from genome assembly GCF_000001405.40 of Homo sapiens. Classification (NCBI taxonomy): domain Eukaryota; kingdom Metazoa; phylum Chordata; class Mammalia; order Primates; family Hominidae; genus Homo; species Homo sapiens. The sequence goes on from NC_000017.11 coordinate 44,395,493, forward strand.
AATGGGAAGCAGCACGAAAATGTTAATACTGTATTATTTATTTACATGGGCTGAAAGCAAAGAAAAATGAGTCCCTTCACTTACACAGATGATTTCATTTTTCCAGTGCTAGTTATCCAAGAAGTGATGCTTCTGAATCAGATGAGTACTGAACAGGTAGGAGGGTGGGAGGGCAGTCAAGAGTTGTGTTTGCCTGCCACTTTCTTTTCATAAACTTTACTCTTTTGAGAATTTGCGAAGGCAGGAACAGAGCCTTGGCCCAGGTAAGTATGGTTTTTCTTGTCAAGTGACCAACCAACCAATTCTAGCCACACGAATAGTTAGGAAAATGCCAAAGTGGGAATTGTTAACCTCATCAAAGGAGATGGGACCTGCAACACAAGCACCTTTGGGTCAGTGTGTTAATTAGGGCTGAGAGCCTGGGTGAAAGGCAAGAAGAGGGGCAAAAGAGGCTGAGGTGGTAATTCCTCTTGTCAGTGTCATGGGAGAAAAGAAACAAGGAACGTTTACTGTCTAAACTGAGCTGGGCAGAGGGCATGGAAACTATGAAGCAAAATATCTGTAAATGTGCTCACCTCCCAACAAAAGGAAGACTGTCCCAACTCATCCTCCAGCCTACTTCTACTTCCGTTTCTACCAACCCAAAAGGCACATTAAAAAAAAAATTGTCAGAGGGGGCTAAGTACTAGGAAGGCAAATGGACTGACTGCCTGGAACAAGGTACCCAGGGAAACCCAGGAATCCCCCCAGACAATCACCAAATCTCACTGCTTCCAGACAATAAAGCTGTTGAATCCCCTCCTTCTCCTCTGTGGGGTCTACCTGTTTCTCTGTGTAAAACAGCAAAAGTACATGAGGGAGACTGTTAAAGATGAGCATCCCTCAGAAGCCCCCAGCTGACTGCTGCCCATTAGCTCAAAAATCCCAATACTGGGGGCACTACATACTGCAAATTACTTAACATTTTGTCCCAGCAAAAAATGTTTTAACATTTTATAGTTCATAACTTCAAAAAATACATAAGTTTGGTAAAATATACATGCTTAGTCAGTTTTGCATCTAGCAGAAAACAAATATTTTATTTTTTGTTTTCATTTTATAACCTTTAGAGTTTCTTAATTCAACTAGGGCAAACATATTTACACAAAGCCACCAGAACGAGGATCACTTAAAGAGCTGGATGTAAAAAATATTATTGCAGTATACTACAAATATGGAACCTTTTTTATATGAGCTACAAAAAGCAGCATTTACGTTTATAGAGTTCAGTGCAATTTTTTACATTAAAAAAATCCTATAAATTAAGAAGGAAACATCAACACAACAGAAGAAAATATACCCTTCACTTTAGACACATGAGCTCCTCTCTGGGCCATACAGCTTTTATTCATGATAGGATCTTCTTTTCTGGGATATGGAGATGCCTCTTCTGGGATGAGGGATACCAAGATAACAGTGCCAAATGTGTGGCTCCGTTGATGTGGGAACTGGATGGAATTGCAGCCTGAGTTATATCAGGTTCCAGGTGAGACGCTTTCCACCTCACCTGGGATAACGTAACGTCACCAAAGATGGTCAAAGATACTACCCCAAAATGGTGGCACTTCCACCACTAGAACAGCTTGGCCTTCCCTGTGGCGCTGAGAAGGCAAGACCAGATGGGCCCACAGCAAGTGCTCTGGTGACAACCCACTGGCCAGAGGGGAGGAAAATGTTTTAAAATTTACAGAAGGGAAGAGCAGAGGAAAAAAGCAGAGGGAGGAGGGGATTATCTAAACTTGACAGTTTGGAGATGTTGCTGCAGAGGGGTGGGTAGCACTTACTGGTGTTCCCTAGCTTAGAAACACAGAAGAGGGAGGGACAAATTGAGAGGAGGACAGGAAAAAGAAATCCCTGATAGTAAACTGAAAGCAAACTTCAAATCTAAACCCACCCCTGCAAGCCAAAACTCAATTCTTTGGCTGTCAGACACTGCCCATCCCAGCTTCTACTTGCTGGTATTAATGGCTCAACACCCCCAAGGGAACATTTATGGGTCTCCTCCCCTGGCCCTACCTAGGATCCCATCCCCCAACTCACGTGCCATGGCTGGGGGGATGTTGCAGGTCCTGACCTGAGAAGATGGGGTGAAGTAGTGGGTGAAGGTGAAGTGCAGTGGCAGCTGCTGCAGCAGGCCGTGGAGCAAGTAGGGTGGGGTAGAGGGCAGCATGTGGGACAGGGTGAAAGGTGAAGGGCCCAGGATGGATGGCTGAGGCGGGAATGATGTGGATGGGATGGCTAGCGAGAAAGGTGGCAGGGTGGCCAGGGATGATTGAGTGAGTGAGGTGGGACAAAGAAATGGGGGTCAGATGGGGCTGGGGAATATGATGCACCTGGGCAAGTGGTTGGGGATGGGGGTGAGGGTGAATGCCGATGGCGGCAGCAGCTGCGGCAGCATGATGTTGTAGGATGGCATGCTGAACAGTTGTGATGGAGGTGGCAGAGGCTGTAGCTGGCTGCTGAATGTGGATGGGTTGCAGGGCTGGTGTGGCTGGGGCCAGGGCAGCTGAGGCTGGAAAGGCCTTTACTTGCTTGGCCAGAAGCTGCTGCTGGATGTGTTGCTGAGCAGCCTGCTGGAGCTTGCTGTACTTCTCCATCTCCTCAGGGGTGAAGGTGATGGGCTGGCTTTCCAGGGGGGCCAGTGAAGCATCCTCAGCCCCATCTGTTGACTCAATACTAGGATCCCCACTGGGAGGTGCATAACTGGGGAAATGCTCAAGGTCTGGTGCTATAGGCAGCAAGCTGGACTCCACAGGGCCTGGCTGACTGCTGCTATCCAGGGACTCCAGGGTGTCCCCATCACTGGGGTCGGGGAGGTAGTTATGGGAGATGGTTGGGTCCCCAGGGTAGCAGTCAGAATGTGCTGGGGTGCCTAGTGGAGCCACAGGGTGATCAGCAGTAGCTTCTCCAGACTTTGACTCTTCTGGGGGTGGGTCTAATAAGGGGCCAGTTGTTTCCTCTGAAGGGAACTGATGCCCAAATAGGGCATCACTACTCCCTGGGGGCCCCTCTTCTGTCTCTGACTGTTCTTGCTCTTCCCCCCTTTCCAAGCCAGACTCTTCACACTTCTTATTGGGCTTTCGGGTAGCTGGGAGCTTCCCTATCAGTGGAAGGACAGGCTTATTGCCAAGAGATGGGGGGAGCTTGGGCCCAAAGTAACCTTGTGGGGGGTCCTTGAGCTTGGGCCCAGCTTTATTAGGGGTGGCCTGCACCTCCTCACTCACACTAGGTTTCCTCTCCACTTTCCTTGACTGGATCTTCTCCAGTAGCAGTTTGGCAGTGACAGAGTTCTTGTCTTCAGGACTGCAGTCACCTTCTGACCCTCTTCCTGTGCCAATGTTGCTGTTCTGGGAAGGTGGACCTGTTGCTTTACTGTCATCTCCTCTGCCATCATCTTTCTTCCCAGGACCTTCTCCCCGGCCTGATCGGAAATAGTGGGGGGACTGGGAGCGGTAGATCTTAGAACGAATGAAGTCCCGACGCCCAGAATGCCTCTCCTCAGGGCTCTCGTGACCCCATGATCTCTTCCTGGAGCCTGATCTCTGGGAAGGGCTCCTGGTGCTGCGGCTGCGGTCCCGGCTATAGCTCCGGCTCCGTTGCCAGCTGTGGGCTGTGGTGCTACGGCTTCTCCGCTTGCTTCGACTACGACTACAACTGCTGCTGCGGCTGCGGCCCCGGGATCTTGAGCGCTCTCTGGTATGACTCCGAGATCGGCTTCGGGACTGGCTGCAACTGAGGCTATAGTCATCATCAGAAGATGAATATTTGTGCCGTTTTGATCGGTGTTTGGAGCTGGCATAGTCTGAGTCATCTGAGTCATGGGAGCGCTTGGAGTGCCTTCGTGATCTGTCACTGTAGTCACTGTAGCTGTCATCAGAGTAACTGCGCTGTCTACTATAGCAGCTCTGGTCTGAAGAGGCATCTGAGCTACTTGAGTAAGAACGCCGGGAGGAACGATGCGAGGAATGGCGCCGGCCAGACCTTGAGCGGCTGCGGGAATGCTCACTGCCTGAATCTTCCTCTTCTTCTTCCTCACTGTACTGGGATGGAGACTTCTGGTGCAGCCGGTGTGAGGAAGCATCATCACTATCCTCATCTCCACTACTGGGTTGGCTCCGATGGCTAGACCGGCTGCTCCGTTTGGTGCCTGCTCTTCGCTGGCAGGATGAAGGTGGAAGTTCACCTTTGTGTTTCCTCCCACCATGGTCTTGGGAGCTGCTACCACCCCCACCTTCATCCTTTTTGCCACTGCTCCCCTCTTCAGCTGGGAGGGATCTCCGCTGGGAGTCATCTTGAGCTCTCCGCCTTCTTCTTGGTGGTGCGGGACTGCCACTCCCAGGGGGTTCTGGTTTGGGTCCTCGTTCAGAATCTGCTGGGGCTGATGACTTATTCTTCTTTCGTTTTCGTTTCTTGCGCTTCTTAGATTTCTCCCCTGACTCTGCCTTAGAGCTTTTCTCTTCTGTGTCAGCCTTGTGTTTACGTTTGTGTTTGCTGGATTTTTTGTGCTTCTTTTTCTTTTTGTGCCGGTGGGACTTCCCAGATCGTTCTTTCTTGCTGGGAAGGCTTCTCCCTGTGTCTTCTGTCTCAGACCCATGGCTACCCCCAGGCTCCTGCTTGTTCAGGCCGCTACAGGCAGACCCTGAAGCAGGTGCGTCCATTCTGCCTCCTGAGGAACGTACTATTTTCTCTCCGCCCACTTCCTTGCTTTTATTTGGCTCACCAGGATCTAGGCCTTGGAGATGGTCCTTTGAGGAGCTTCCTATATCCTTTGGTTTTTCTGTTCCTTTAGTTCTGGCATCTTTGTTCCTTGAAAGTTTAAAGTCAAAATATAAAGGGTTACAACTGTATGAAATGGAGGGTTCTGCCTTGGTGAAAATTAATAGTTCTGATGGCCACTGGAGGGCAGTGCTTTCATCTTTGCTCAAAACTGGGAAGAAGGGACCAGTAGGATGTTTGGGTCCTTCTTGGCTTTCTTTCCCTGCTGGGGTGGCCAGAGAGGTTTCTTTAGAAGAGTTGGACTCACACATTTGGGTCTCTGAAACCTTCTGACTATGACTTTCTAAACTCTGATCACTTACATCCCCTCCTAAGGCCTTCTTTGCCTCAGCTTTGCTTCCTGGTTCTGAGGGCTCGGTCATGCTGGTTTCCTTCGGCTGCTCAGAGACTTCACTAACTGTCTTTTCTGCTCCTTGGCTTGCTGCCGCCTTGATGCAGCTTTTAGGCTTGGGAGAACTGCCTTTTTTACTCTCTGGGGCATTCTTTGGGTGTGTAGTATTATCACCATCCATTTGTTCACTGGCTCTCATAAAAAGTAGAAAGGGAAAATTAGGTTTTACTTTGCAGTGTGCTGGGGGGATGTAGTGGTAATACTCAGGCTCTGTAGCCCCAGCTCCTTCTTCTCGTTTCATCCTTTTTAATTTGGATAATGTTGAGGCAAGGGACCCTCCATCCTGAGGGTCTTCATCCTCTTTTTTACCATCAAGATTACTGCTCCCATCAGAGTCTCCTACCTTCTGCAGTCCTTGGTCAGAACTCTTCTCATCGGGTTTTGTTCCATCTTCAGAGGTCCCTTCCTCCGCATGGTCCTTGAAAACTGATGCTATTGATTCGAGTTTGACAGGAGCCTTTTTGGCAAAAGAAAATGACACTCCCAATTTTTGCAATGGGGTCCCCAGATTATTCTTAATGCCAAAGCTGATGCCTTGGGAGGCTAACCCAGGAGCCTGGGCCAGTCCAGTGGTATTAGTGATTTGTACTGCAGTGAAAGGGCCTCCTTTATCTGTGGAGAATTCAGATCCCAGGCCACAAGAAGCAGTGGCACCTGTGCCACTATTTGTAGCTGATTCATCTTTATCATCTTCTCCACCTTCTTCATCTACAGCCACTGTGGTTGGTTTGAACATGGGACCACTTCCAGGTGCACTACATGATGATTTAGAAAAATAAAAAACAAAAAGCAGGTTTAGGAGTACATTTCATAAACCTTATAAAATACTAATCTCTTATATCCTATCATTCATTATAGGTAGGTCTCAAAGACAGTGAGTGGTGGTCATATTCCCTAGCCCTATACTAACAAATGCGACTTTCTAAGAGGAGGTTAGGCAAAGACTCATTCTGTTAACCTACCAAATTCCCAGGGCCAGCCAGTTATTACATAGCTTTTCCTTAAGCTGTCTAAAGTACAAAAAGCTGGGTGTGGTGGCTCATGCCTGTAATCCCAGCACTTTGAGAGGCCAAGGTGGACAGACTGCTTGAGGTCAGAAGTTCGTAAACAGCCTGGCCAACACGGTGAAACCCTGTCTCTACTAAAAATACAAAAATTAGCCAGGCATGGTGGCACACACCTGTAATCCCAGCTACTTGGGAGGCTGAGGCAGAAGAATCGCTCTAACCTGGGAGATGGAGGTTGCAGTGAGCCAAGATCACGCCACTGCACTCCAGTCTGGGTGACAGAGCGAGACTCCCTCTCAAAAAAATTAAAAAAAAAAATAAAAAATAAAGTACAGGCCGGGCGCAGTGGCTCACGCCTGTAATCCCAGCACTTTGGGAGGTGGAGGCGAGCAGATCATGAGATCAGGAGTTCAAGACCAGCCTGACCAACATGGTGAAACCCCGCCTCTGCTAAAAATACAAAAATTAGCTGGCTGTGGTGGCGGGCGTCTGTAATCCCAGCTACTCAGGAGGCTGAGGCAGAAGAATAACTTGAACCTGGGAGAGGCAGAGGTTGCAGTGAGCTGAGATCGCAGCACCACTGCACTCCAGCCTGGGTGACAGAGCAAGACTCTGTCTCAAAAAAAAAAAAAAAAAAAAAAAAGTAAGACTTATGTCACGACTGAAATAGCCCATCATTACTATGTTTCTGATCTCATTTCTTATTTTATAATTTTGTCCATCAGTATGTTATCTAATGTATGGCTGTACATGTATTCACATAGGTTTTATTTCATTCAATTAAAGAAAAACTCTTGCTGGGTCAGGGTGGCTCACATGTGTAATCTCAGTGATTCAGAAGGCTGAGGAGGGAGGATTGCTCGAGGCCAGGAGATCAAGACCAGTCTGGGCAACATAGTGAGACCCCACCTCTAAAAAAAATAAAAATAAAAATTTCCCCATGCTTTCAAATTTCATTTTTTAAAAATTTGCATATTCTGAGTTAAACATAGAAACTTCCACTGTGCTACTTATGGCAGTCTGTGGTCAGCATGTCTGCCACAGAAACTAAAAAGTCCATGCCTATCTCCTGGGTACCGTAACAAGCATTTGCTTTGGTTTTGTGGCAGTTTCTGGGCATTCAGTACTACAGTCATAATGTTACCTGAGCACTTTCATCTTTGACAAAAGGAACATCAAGGAGCCTCAATAGTTTTAAACTGATGATCTTGCCTGAAAGTTTTATTTTTCTGAGGTGGGGTCTAACTGCATTGCCCAGGCTGGAGTGAAGTGGCATGATCATAGCTCATTGCAGTCTCAAACTCCTGGCTCAATCCTCCCACCTCAGCCTCCTAAGTAGCTATGACTACAGGTGCACCTCACCATGCTGGCTAATTTTATTTATTTATTTGAGACAGTGTCACCCTATTGCCCAGGCTGGAGTACAGTGGTGCGATCTCGGCTCACTGCAACCTCTACCTCCCGGGTTCAAGTGATTCTCCTCCCTCAGCCTCCCAAGTAGCTGGGACTACAGGCATGTACCACCATGCCCAGCTAATTTTTGTATTTTTAGTAGAGATGGGCTTCACCATGTTGGCCAGGATGGTCTTGATCTCTTGGCCTCGTGATCCACCTGCCTCGGCCTCCCAAAGTGCTGGGATTACAGGCTTGAGCCACCATGCTCGGCCCATGCTGGCTAATTAAAAAAAAATTTTGCAGAGACAGAGTCTTGCTATGTTGACCAGTTTGGTCTTGAACACCTGGCCTCAAGTGATCCTCCTGCCTCTGTGTCACAAAGTGCTGGGATTACAGATGTGAGCCACTGCGCATCTGGCTTGCAATTTTTATAGTTTGTACACTATACAGCGTACACTATACCCTTAAATTCCAAATCAAGAACTAAACAGAATCAGAGACCTATTTATATGATGTCCTTGTTATCCAAACCCTAGCTAACAGCTTTCCTCAACTCAGGGATAAGTATATTCAGACAATATGTAATCTCTCTTTTTTTTTTTTTTCTCCCAAGCTGGAGTTTTGCTCTTGTTGCCCCGGCTGGAGTGCAATGGTACAATCTTGGCTCACTGCAACCTCTGCCTCCTGGGTTCAGGCAATTCTCCTGCCTCAGCCTCCTTAGTAGCTGGGATTACAGGCGTACGCCACCATGCCCGGCTAATTTTTGTATTTTTAGTAGAGACAGAGTTTCACCATGTTGGTCAGGCTGGTCTCAAGCTCCTGACCTAAGGTGATCCACCTACCCCGGCCTCCCAAAGTGCTGGGATTACAGGCGTGAGCCACCGTGCCCGGCCAATGTGTAATCTCTTGCTATCTAAACTATTGCTACTGGAAAATGAGAACTCAACAGATTTGGAGAGCAAGAAATACTTACACTGTGTTATGAAACCTACTCCACAGCAAACAAATAAAAAACAACGCCCCGCAAACTGAATAAAAAGGGGATTCTTTTTTTTGAGACAGGGTCTTGCTCTATCACCCAGGCTGGAGTGCAGTGCTGTGATCACAGCTCACTGCAGCCTTGATCTCCCAGGCTCAAGTGATTCTTCTACCTCAGGCTCCTGAGTAGCTGGGACTACAGGCATGTGCCACCATGCCCGGCTAATTTTTAAGATTTTTTTTTTTTAGAGACAGGGTCTTCCTATGTTGCCCTGGCTGGTCTTGAGCTCCTGGGTTCAAGTGATCCTCTTACTTTGGCCTCCCAAGGTGCTGGGATTACAGGTGCGAGTCACTATGCCCAGCATATGCTTTTTAATATAAATGTTAGAAAATGGGAATCATTGTAATAGTGTCATAATTTATTGATTTATTGAGAATCTTTGATGTGCTAGGCATCCCTTCAAGCATTTCTGAGGTAATAATCACTCCTCACAACAACTGTAAGTTGTTCTTATCTCTATCTTACAGATAAGGAAACTGAGGCATAGAGAGTTTAGATATAATTTCATTAAGTCACATAAATAGTAAGAAAAATATGGCCTCAAAAATACACAAACTTAATCAGTATATTATACTATAATTATATAGATATGCTTTTAGTTTGAAAGAAGGATCTATTAAACATTTTAAGGAACTGGAGGACTAATTATTATGTTAAGTAAAGTAACCCAGGAACAGAAAATCAAACACTGCAGGTTGCCACTCATATGTGGAAGCTTAAAAAAAAAAGTTGATCTCATAGAAGTAAAAAGTAGAACAGAGGATACTAGAAGCTGGGAAGGGCGGAAGGAGAGATTTGTTACAAAATTACAGCTAACTAGGAAGAGTAAGTTCCAGTGTTCTGTACCACTGTAGGATAACTAGAGTTAACAATACTATATAGTTTCAAATAGTTAGAAAGAGGATACCGAATGTTCCTGCACAAAGAAATAATAAATGTTTGAGATGATGGATATGGTAATTACCCTGATCTGATCGCTATATATTATATGTATTGAAACATTACTAGGTAACCTATGAATATGTACAGTTGTTATCTGTCAATTAATAAAAACTGAAGGTTTATAATTCTTTTTTTTTTTTTTTTGAGACGGAGTTTCACTCTTGTTGCCCAGGATGGAGTGTAATGGCGCAATCTTGGCTCACCACAACCTCCGCCTCCCAGGTTCAAGCGATTCTCCTGCCTCAGCCTCCCTAGTAGCTGGGATTATAGGCATGTGCCACCACGCCCGGCTAATTTTGTATTTTTAGTATAGACGGGGTTTCTCCATGTTGGTCAGGCTGGTCTCGAACTCCCAACCTCAGGTGATCTGCCCGCCTCGGCCTCCCAAAGTGCTGGGATTATAGGCGTGAACCACCATGCCCGGCCACTTTTGTTTTTTTTGAGACAGAGTCTTGCTCTGTCGCCCAGGCTGGAGTACAGTGGTGCGATCTTGGCTCACTGCAAGCTCTGCCTCTCAGGTTCACGCCATTCTCCTGCCTCAGCCTCCAGAGTAGCTGGGACTACAGGCGCTCGCCACCATGCCCGGCTAATTTTTTGTATTTTTAGTAGAGATGGGGTTTCACCGTATTAGCCAGGATGGTCTCAATCTCCTGACCTCGTGATCCGCCCGCCTCGGTCTCTCAAAGTGCTGGGATTATAGGGGTGAGCCACTGCGCCTGGCACAAGGTTTTTAATTCTTAAATCTTAATTTAAATCTTAAATTATAATCTGAAATCTATAATTTAAAATTTTAAGGATTATAATTATCTGTACAACCCTCTGATAAAAAATATCCTCACCATTCAGCTTGTTTTCTTTGCTCTGCCAACTCATGGAGCCGCCGAAGGGCTTTTTCCTGTTTTTTCTCATCCTTGCGGGATCTTGAAGAGACATTTCGAGCAAACTCTCTCTGCTTCAGATCTTTTAATCTCTGGGTTAAAAGAAAGAAAGATACAGAGGGTGGATGATTTACAGTAACTTGGGAATCAGAAAGCAAAGCCTTTAGGACATGACCCTCAACCAACAGTCATGGTATTAGTGTTGAACACATTATCATATTCTCTTATGGCAATTGAAAACACAATGGCTGATTACTTTGGGTATAGCACTTGCAGTATCTGCATTTCTAATTAGGACAGCATATCATTTGCTTTATTAGGCAAAATAAAATGATCTCAAATGCAACAAGCAAATTTTAGAACACTGGGAGGAAAGAAAGGGACTATTTAATCACCTGCTCCTCCAGGATGCAAAACTAGACAAACATAACATGAGATAAATTGTAATAACACAAGCCAAAGAGAACAGAAAGGGGTTAGGCTAGTACAGAAAATTACCCAGGTGTAAGATCTTGAAAAGCAATGTACAGCTTACATGGGGGGGGGGGGTTATTTAAATTAGAACAAATAGAAAGCATACTTTTATTTCACCATAAAAAGGTGGTTTTTTTTTCTTTCAGCATGAGTAGAGGTTTCCTATAACTATTAAATAAACCCAAGACAGGTCTTCCAGCGCTAGCATGTTTAGAGCTCACCAGTCTGACCACTTTTATCTGGTCAGCCTGCTGAAAGTAGTATGTGAGGCTTTGCATTCCTTCATGGCCCTGAGAGGAATATCCAGGGGATGAGGAGGGAGAGCAGAGATAAGTCAAAGATTTTATTACTTAAAATCCAGGTAACAGAATGGGTCTTTTATTTTCAGAAGCTACTGTATAATTTTCCTTAAAATAAAACAAAACAAACTACAACCAAAAAAGAACAGTGTTATGACACACTGGTGACAGAACCCAGACATATCTATCTGCAATGAAGACAGAACTAAAATTATTTTCAAGACATTAGATAATAACAAGAAACAAACAAAACGAAACATATACATTAACCTATGCTTTTACAACAGCATTGGGAAAAGGAATTTGACCCAGTATAAAGTGGACATTGCTTTGTAGAAAGGCATGATGTTCAACAGACAGAGGAATTTTCTTACCTAATATTTATGAAATGTGTTTTGAATCTTTTTAAATTGGGAGGGGGGAAGGGTAAAAAGACACACACAAAAAAAGATATACAGCTAAAGACACTAGTAGAAAAACTCACTCTTGTGATCTGGGCTCCCAAATTAGAAGGATTTGCTTTCAATACATCAGCTGAAAATGTCACATCACAAAGAAAAAAAAGTAAAAAATAAAACAAGAGTGGAAGAGAAAAAAAAAATAAAGCAAGCATTACTACACGAGCTCTCTTAGTGAATCTGTAAACTATTATACTGAACAATCAGGGACAAAGCCATCAACTCTAAAAGGGCTAGGGAGAAGGGAAGCACCTGTACAACATATATATGTGTACATACACACAGACTGACACAGTAATCCCACCTAGAAAAATGGAACTACCTGTATTTCTTCCAGAAAAATGGTTCCAGAACTTTGGAAAAGACCATTATGGTATTAAAAAGCAGTCCTGTTTCCATTAGCCCTTATTATGGGGGAAGTTCAAGTAATGAACAGCTGGCAAAACTGTTAGTGCCCATAATTAAGATTTTTTTTTTTTTTTTTGAGATGGAGTCTCACTCTGTTGCCCAGGCTGGAGTGCAGTGGCACAATCTTGGCTCACTGCAGCCTCCGCCTCCCAGGTTTAAGAGATTCTCATGCGTTAGCCTCCCAAGTAGCTGGGATTACAGGCGTGAACCCCTATGCTTGGCTAATTTTTATATTTTTAGTAGAGACGAGGTTTCACCATGTTGGCCAGGGTGGTCTCAAACTCCTGGTCTCAAGTGATCTACCTGCCTCGGCCTCCCAAAGTGCTGGGATTAAAGGCATGAGATACCACACCCAGCCCACAATTAAGATTTTTATAAAACCACTTCAAGATGAAGGATCAACTATTTTAAATAAATACGAATTCTAATTTCTTCCTCCTGAGGGGAATGGGGCAGAAAGAAAAGGCTTATCAGGCCTATTATATGATTACTTTTGGCCACAAACCTAGTTTTTTCTTCCCCAAACACGTAACAGGCTCTCTAACCAAGATTTAGATAGAATATAATGTTCTTCTCACATCTGCCATTTTCTCTTTTTTTTTTGAGATGGAGTTTTATTCTGTCGCCCAGGCTGGAGTGCAGTGGTGTGTGATCTTGGCTCACTGCAACCTCTGCCTCCCGGGTCCAAGCAATTCTCCTGCCTTAGCCTCCCGAGTAGCTGGGACTACAGGTGCCTGTCACCACACCCGGCTGATTTTTTATATTTTTAGTAGAGATGAAGTTTCATTTTCTTGGCCAGGCTAGTCTTCAATTCCTGACCTCAGGTGATCCGCCCGCCTCGGCTTCCCAAAGTGATGGGATTACAGGCATAAGCCACTGTGTCCATATACATTATGGCCTGCCATCTTCTCTCTAGCCACCTGCTAAGACTGGAAAATTTCCCCATGCCATTTCCTCCCCTCTTACAAATATTTCACTACTTTTAGGAAGCATTTTTCAAACTACATGACATTGTCCAAAAGAACAATCATTTTATCAAAGTATGGAGTCCCCAGGGTGAGTCAAGATTAGGCTTTCCATTCAGCAGCCACTCTGTACAACCTTGAAGATGAAGGAACAGGACCATGCCCACATCATGCTGAAGACATCCTATCTCAAGTTCCTACCACAGGAATATGGTTGGAGGTAGATACGGAAGAAGATGGGATGAAGCAATAAAACGAATCTAAATTGCAGGCTCCCTCTGGGCAAACCTATCCTAAGAATACCCTATAAGGCTTAGGAAGGCTCCCAGTATCACATTTACAAACTTTACAGTCAAGTCTGCAATCTCAAAAGCAGAATTGAGAACCCCAGAATTCTCACCCCAACCTTGAGACAGGACTCAGCAAACCATCTCAAACTGAGTATGTATACTTGTGGTTTCTCTCAGATGAGGACATTCTGGCGACTTTTTTTTAAGAGACAAGGTCTCACTTTGTTGCCCAGGTGGGAGTGCTGGGGCTATTCACATGTGTGATTCCACTACTGATCAGCATGGGAGTTCTGACCTGCTCTGTTTCCGACCTGAACCAGTTCACTTCTCCTTAGGAAACTTGGTTGGCCCCCAGCTCCTGGGAGTTCATCACATGATGCCTAACTTAGTGCAGACACCCAATCAGCATAGCGCACTATAGTTCAGAACTCCTGGGCTCAAGTGATACCCCCAGCCTCAGCCTCCCAAGAAGCCAGGACTACAGGCATGCACCACTACGCCCAGCCAAGACATGGGTTATAAGGTTCATATTTTCCTTTACCTAGAATGAATGCCTAACTCCAAGTGTCTCCTGCCTACTCAAGGTCAGACTAAATTCTTACAAAGTCTCCACTGATCCTTCAAAAGAGGTGACTGTTCTTTCTGAACTGTCCCTAGTGGTGCTTTGTCATACTGCTCACCTAGCAGCTATCGTACTTTGTTCTCTGACCAGTTATTCCTGTCTTTTAAAAAGGCAGTATGTGTAAAGCATCGGAGTCAGAAAGCTTGGGTTCAAATCCATTAATTACTAGCCAATCCACTTATTACTAGGTGATTTCACCTCTCTGAGTTCCAGCTCCCTCATTAAAAAACAGGGCTATCTATCTACAGATTAACAAGATTAAATGTCAAAATAAATGTAAAGCATTTAATAAGTCACAACTGTTCAATACTCCCTTCCCTCCGTGTGGGGCAGGGACTACAGCTTATCTTTATAATCAACCCCGCAGTGCACAAAACACTACTAAGTCTACGGAGGGCATCTGGTAAATGTCCAGTGAATAATTCAGTTCAAACATCAGATCCTTCATTTTTCCTCAAATAATTTTTTCTACTATTTGTAGGAAAGGTTGATATAAAGTATTCTCGTATCTTTATTAGGGACATATTAAAGTTATATAGTATGGTCCTCCTAGTTACCACTCCAGATACCTCTTATTTCTAGACAGAATTGGGCCAAATGGCAAAAGATACTGGCCAGAAACTTCTCAGCTTCCTACCTAAAAAGTAATTTTTATAAAGGCACAAGGACCTAATCAGAGTCAGGTTTTCCAAAATTGCCTATTTTATTCCAAAAGGCTACCAACGTCTGGCTCATTTGTCACGGAATACCCACGTGAAATTCTGTGAATTGTACCTGCACTTTTCTCTTAAATTCTAAAGAGGAACACAACTATAGATAATTTCTTCAGGTGAGAATAGAGAAACATGCCTGCCTATGAGAGAAGAGACAGCGCTCACAAGACCAAACACTGCAGATATGTCATCAATCTCTTGTCAAAGTCTGAGCAAATTCCATACCATACACAAAAATTCAAGTTAAACTCCAAAATGGGACATTCTAATTTGAATGGATTTAATTATCCATTTAAGCTGACTCAAAAGCTATGAGATGTCCTTATCTCTGAAAATTATACGATATGCTTTCTGAAGAGCTGCTAATAAATTAGATTATGTTATTGAACCACTAATGGTATTAACAAAAATTTAAGCCACATAGCACATTTTTAGTTGGGAAATACCTTAATTCAAGAAAAGGAGACTGAACCCCACTGGAAATGAAAAGATATGAAGATTCTGTTTTCCTGAAAAATCAACAGCATTTTTCCAAAACAGTATACATTTGTGGCACAGTACAGAATGGAAGGAACATTTCCCACAGATCCTTAATCACATGGTGGCTGGGATTTCCATTACACCTTCCAGAAGACCAGTAGAAAGGCAAGACCCTAACAAATGATCCAGTACTTGAAGTACCCATCCACATTAACTGTGGCTCTTTGGGTTAAAGACCACTCTAAATGGAAATGATATTCCAGTTCTTAAAACATAACTTAAACAGCATTATATTGGCAGAAAAACGTTTTACTGTGGACACAAAGTATTGCTCTACTATCACTGAAAAGATTAAGCCAAAGAAATGAGAATCAGGTAAATCTGAATGTGGATTATAAATGTGCAGAAAAGGTACACCCCAACAGCCACCCACTTCTCTTTAAGTGTAGACTTCAAGAGCAGAAACATTCTGCTCAGTGTCTATTAAAATAAGGCAACTATGACAATTGGGCTTTGCAGATCATCTGTAAAATGGCTCCCAAGAAATACGGCCTCTTTCTATAGTGGTTAGAACTTTTAAGATAGTCATCATTCTGTCAATAGTCAAGAGCAACAGTGTTCCTGCTCAACTGTGATTGAGTTGAGTAAGACACACATTTCTGCACAGTGTTCTCTAACAACAAAAGATAATACAAGGGTTTAACAAAATCTTTTTGTATCTTTTAGTGCTATGCTTCTCTCTACCATCAAAATAAAATTTGACACTAGGAGTTTATATTTGATGGAGTATACTAAGAATAATTCTGATTACTTTCTCGAGTATTTAAAATTGATTATCTACATTTAAATAAAACCCATTTTTCTCATGTAAAGGGGATTTCAAGTATCAGAAAACAGGCAGAATTTAGGGCAGAATATTTCCTACTGCCACTAAAATCCCATGTTCTACATTTACTCAGCTCTGAAGAGAAAACTTGATTTTGTCCCTTTAGGGTCTAAAGATTATCCATGGCGTCTTTCCCTCACCAGATAGCAACTCTGCTCTCCCAACAGGGACTGAGGCTTAGTCTTTCTTTGTAACTAACTATGCAATGTACACATAGTTGTCTATGACACAAAAGAGATGCGCAGTAAATATTTATCAAACTGGGTTGTGGCTCACACCTGTACTCTCAACACTTTGGGAGGCTGAGGTAAAAGGATCGCTTGAGGACAGGAGTCCAAGACCAGTCTGGGCAACACAGCAAGACTGTGTCTATAAAAAAAAAATTGAGATGGAGTTTCACTCTTGTTGCCCAGGCTGGAGTACAATGGCGCAATCTCAGCTCACCGCAACCTCTGCCTCCCAGGTTCAAGGGATTCTCCTGCTTCAGCCTCCCGAGTAGCTGGGATTACAAGCATGCGCCACCACGCCTGGCTAATTTTTGTATTTTTAGTAGAGACAGGGTTTCTCCATGTTGGTCGGGATGGTCTCAAACTCCTGACCTCAGGTGATCTGCCCACCTTGGCCTCCCAAAATGCCGGGATTACAGGCATGAACCACCACGCACGGCCAAAAAAATTTTTTTAAATTAGTTGGGCGCAGTGGTTATGTGCTTGTAATCCCAGCTATATGGGAGGCTGAGGCAGGAGGATTGCTTGAGTTCAAGGTCACAGTGAGCTATGATTGTGCCACTGCACTCCAGCCTGGGAAACAGAGCAAGAACCTTTCATTTTATTTTTTATTTCATTTTTTTGAGACAGAGTCTCCCTCTGTCACCCAGGCTGGAGTGCAGTGGCAGAATTTTGGCTCACCACAACCTCCACCTCCTGAGTTCAAGTGATTCTCGGGCCTCAACCTCCCGAGTAGCTGGGACTACAGACGCATGCCACCACACCCGGCTATTTATATTTTTAGTAGAGACAGGGTTTCACCATGTTGGCCAGGCTGGTCTTGAACTCCTGACCTCAGGTGATCCACCTGCCTCTGCCTCCCAAAGTGCTGGGATTACAGGTGTGAGCCACCACACCCAGCTGAACCTGTCTTTAAAACAAAATAAAAAAAGATGTGTTGTATCTCGACCACTATTTCTGGCTAAGCATAATCTGGCCTTCTTCAAATCTCAACCACTCCTTTTCCTCTTATGTCAATGATCCTGCATACCAAAATCACAGCCTCTTCTCTCCACTGTTTTTTTTCCCCCTCCCTCTACAACAAAACATTAATGTCTGTCTCCTCTCCCCTTCCTAACTGAAGTAATCATGCTGTAGTTGTTGCTTGCCCGGGTCACCCTAATTCATGTCTCAGTGTTTGATGTTCATGGATGAGATCACCCAAGAAGATATCACCAGGTGGTGGGTGAGAGAAAAGACCAGGAGAGAATATAGAATGTTTCAGTATTAAACTACCCAGTGAAGGAAGATTATAGATGAATGGTTAGGGAAAGCCACGTTACTGAACATTAGATGTAAATTCTTTCTTTTACCATATGCCTATTAGTAAGTGATGAAAATTAATTTTATTCAGTAAGAAAAAACCAAGTATTTGGTAAGAGAGAAAATTAGATACTAATGCCAATTACAGATAGTGAAAAACTGAGAGAAAAAGAAAAAAATACAAATTCTTTTTCTTCTTATTTTTGAGACAGAGTCTCCCTCTATCACCCAGGATGGAGTACAGTGGCATGATCTCAGCTCACTGCAACCTCCGCCTCCCACATTCAAGCGATTCTTGTGCTTCAGCCTCCCACGTAGCTGGGATTATAGGCTCCCACCACCATGCCCGGCTAATTTTTTGTGTTGGGATTACAGGCATGAGCCACTGTGCCCAACCCAAATTCTTTTTTTTCCTTGAGACAGAGTCTCACTCTGTAGCCCAGGCTGGAGTGCAGTGGCGCGATCTTGGCTCACTGCAACCTCCCGAGTTCAAGCGATTCTCCTGCCTCAGCCTCCTGAGAAGCTGGGACCATAGATGCGTGCCACCACACCGGGCTAATTTTTTTGAGATGGAGTTTTGCTCTTTTGCCCGGAATGCAGTGGCATGATCTCTGTAGCCTCCACCTCCTGGGTTCCAGCAATTCTCCTGCCTCAGCCTCCCAGGTAGCTGGAATTACAGGCACGTGCCACCATACCTGGCTAATTTTTGTATTTTTAGTAGAGATGGGGTTTTGCCACGCTGGCCAGGCTGGTCTCAAATTCCTGACTTCAAGTGATCTGCCCGCCTTGGATTCCCAAAATGCTGGGATTATAGGTGTGAGCCACTGTGCCCGGCCAGGCCGAATAGTCCAATATCAAATTAATTTGTCATAAAATTACCATGTAATGCTTGTTTTGCTATTTTCAGGAATTCAGCAAAACTCCTTAAAAGTATGGTATATTCTTTAACAGCACCAAGTATGCCTGCTTTAAGGCATATATATATATATATATATATGTGTGTGTATATATATATATGTGTGTATATATATATGTATATATATGTGTATATATATATATGTGTATATATATATGTGTATATATATATATGAACATATACATACACACATGTACATATGTATATGTAGTACATATTTTCACCACCACTACCACCATGAAAACTTAAGCTGGTTAATGAGGTTTTAAAAATGACTTAGAGATAGACTTCATATACCCTAAAATTTACCCCACCCCCCTTTTTTGGAGACAGGGTTTTGCTTTGTCACTGCACTGGAGAGCAGTGGCACAATCAGAGCTCACTGCAGCCTCGACCTCCCAGGCTCAAGTGATCCTTCCCACCTCAGCCTCTCAAACAGCAGGGACTACAGATGCACTCCATCATGCCCTGCTAATTTATTTTTATGTTTGTAGAGACAGGATCTCCATATGTTGCCCAGGATAGTCTCAAACTCCTGGGATCAAGGGATCCTCCTGCCTTGGCCTCCCAAAGTGTTTACAGGCGTGAGCCATTGCTCCTGGCCCAAATTCACACATCTAAAGTGTCAAATTTAGTGGGTTTTAGTACATTCTTAGAATTGTGCAACTATCACCACTATCTAATTTTAGAACATTTTCATTACTCCCAAAAGAAACCTCATACCCATAAGCAGTTACTCACCATCTCCCCTTTGCCTAGCCCCAGGAATCTACTAATCAGCTTTCTGTCTCTATACATTTGTTTATTCTAGACTTTTTATATAAATAATACAATATGGGGTCTTTTGTGATCAGCTTCTTTCACTTAGCATACTATTTTCAAGATTCATGCATGTTGTATATACCAGTAAGTCCTTCCTTTTTATTGCTGAATAATATTCCATTGTACAGATGTACCACATTTTATCCATTTACCAGTTGATGGACATGTGGGTTATTTCCCTTTTTGGCTATTATGAAGAATGCTGCTATAAACATTTTTAGGCAAGTTCTTGTGTGGACATATGTTTACACTTCCCTTGGGTATATACTAGTAATATGGTAACTTTGTATTTAATGTTTTGAGGAAGTGTCAAAAACTTTTCCACTATCTTTTCACTATCTCATCAGCAATGCAGGAGGGCTCTAACTTCTTGATATCTTCTCCAACACTTTGTTAGAGTACCATTTTTATTTTAGCCATCCCAGTGGGTATGAAATGGTATACATAAATTTTGTGGTTTTGTAGATAATGAGCTTTAAGTATACAGGTTGAGTATCCCGTATCTGAAATACTTAGAACTGGAAGTGTTTTAGATATTGGGCTTTTTTACATTTTAGAATATTTGCATTGTATATTTACTGCTTGAGCATCCCAAATCTGAAAACCCAAAATGCTCCAATAAACACTTCCTTTGAGAGTCATGTTGGCATTCAAAAACTTTCAGATTTTGAAACATTTTGGATTTTAATTTTTTGAATTTGGGATGCTCAATCTGTATTTACATAGCACTCCAAGAAGATATCTGGGGACAAAGATTTGCCCCATAGGTAAAATCTGAAGGCGGATAAGTCATAAGAGCTGCCTGGGTCCAAAGCAAATGGCACAACAACAACCCAGTTCAGAGCTCTTTACAGTACTGTCACTAAAGAACTTATTACTTAGGTTGCTTTAACTTTTCTGACTACAATAGAACAAAGAGTCTAATCCCAGCATCTCTACCACAGTGCATCACTGTGATAAATTAAGTGTAAGGGGCAGAAAGGTTGAAACTGTAGAACAAAAGTAAGGCAGAATCATTTTTAGTCAACTGGGATTGAGTGCCAAAATGAAGAACAGTTAGAAATACATAACAAGAGAATGCCTGGTTTACCCTGGCAACATTAGGTCCTGAAGTGTCTGTTTTGAGGGTTACCCCTAATCACAAAAGCAGACAGCTCCCCTAAGCAGAAGGGGATTTTTTCAACAGTTTTGTTGTTTTTGAGACGGAGTCTCACTCTGTTGCCCAGGCTGGAGTGTAGCGGTACTATATTGGCTCACTGCAACCTCTGTCTTCTGGGTTCAAGCGATCCTCCTGCCTCAGCCTCCGAGCAGCTAGGATTACAGGCGTGTGCCACCACGCCCAGCTAATTTTTTTTTGTATTTTTAGTACAGATGGGGTTTCATTTCACCATGTTGGCCAGGCTGGTCTCGAACTTCTCACCTCACGTGATCCATCCACCTCGGCCTCCCAAAATGCCGGGAATACAGGCGTGAGCCACCATGCCTGGCCTTCAGCAGATTTTTTTTTAAGGTTAGCTATGTCGTGATTGCTGGGTATAATAAGTTTACTCCCAACATAAGCAGAGGGGAATGAATACATAAGACTTAACAGGTGAAAAGGCATGAAACATGCTAAATTTTTGGAAGACTGGCCAAATGATGTCAATTTTCTTATTAAGCAAAACAGACCCCAAGAAAATGGTATGAACAGTGGTATAGAATACCACTGAACCCAACATTTTCACCTCTCTGCTATAGGTTATTAAAATAAAACTACAACATGTTCAAGTGCTGAGATGCACTCCTTTCTTCAAACCTGTGTTGTTTCTTAAAGCATAATCCCTGAAGAGAACTGTGCTGTTTAAGTAATACATGTTATTGGGTAATGAAACAGTCAACTAAGAATAAGTAATCCTGTCAAAAAGCAGTTGCAAACAATTTAGACAAAGTTAATTAAATCATGTATTAACAGATTATATCCTGTACAAATCAGAATACAGTCACTGGTGGCTGCTAGAGGCTTCATCTGTTTTAGTTCTGCTATTTAAAGCTCAGGGAACTACTGTTTTTGTTCACAACTGAAACAGACCTTGGAATTAAATAAGACTTTAGTCCTTTTAGAAAATGTAAAAAGTATAGGAGTTTTCATACTACAGGTATTTTAGCAGAAAGAAGAGGGAGGCTAAAAGCATATTCCTCTGACTGAGATACTGAATCCTACAGTTAAAGGAATTTTTTTTTTTTTGAGACAGGGCCTTGCTCAATATATTACCCAGGCTTGAGTGCAGTGGCACAATCTTGGCTCACTGCAATGTCCACCTCCTGGGCTCAAATGATTCTCCTGAGGAAAACTCTAAATTTCTGTTCCTTGGTAATGTTATGTTACTGCGTAATGAAACCGTCAAGTGTCAAGTAAGAGTAAGTAATCTTGTCAAAAAGCAGATGCAAACAGTTTAGACAAGGTCAATCCTGTCAAAAAGCAGTTGCAAACAGTTTAGACAAAGTTAACTAAATCATGTATTAATAGACTCAGCCCCTCTAGCAGCTGGGACCACAGGCAACTGCCATCACATCCAGCTAATTTTTGGGGGCATTTTTTGTAGAGACCGGGTTTTGCCATGTTGCCCAGACTGGTCTCGAACTTTTGGGCTCAAGTGATCTGCCCGCCTGAGTCTCCTAAAGTGCTGGGATTACAGGTATGAGCCACCACGCTTGGCCTAAAGAATTTCTGAAGATGCTTTACAGTACCAGATTTTGATAATCTGGATCAGACTACCAGAGACTGAAATCGCAAGGAAGTTGGTCCCAACACTATTAGCAAGGAGGCAGCTTTTCAATGTGCCAGTTCCCCAGTATCAGTCAGAAGCCACGGGAACCTGTGTGGGAAGGAAGGAAAAGCATAGGCCTGAGTCACAAATTCAAATGTTTACAGGAGTTTGGCAGGTAACATAATGAGTCACACAGATTGGTGTAAGAGAAAAGATGAAGTGGAGATCACAGCTAGTTGCAGAATGAGCAAAGAGATGGCAACTGTTCAGCTTTAGTCAACTGTTATGTTGAAATGTAGGCCCAATGTTGTCTGATAATTTTAATTTTTCAAGATAAGCCAAAGCCTAAATTATGTAAAATTGAATTTTTAAAATTTGGGAATCAACTGAAATTAAAAAGGGAAAAACTAATAATGTGAAGGCCAGATAAAATATATCTATGAGATAATTTGTGACCTCTCTAGTTTATGTACTAGGAGGACCTTTAGTGGCACAAACAAGAGGCTAAGATTGGAAGAAAAATCCTGAGTAGGTAACAAGGTACAAAGGAAGCAGCCAAAAAGAGAGAAAGAGAGAGAGAGAAGAAAAGAAAAAGAGGAAGAAAGGAAGGGAGGAAGGGAGGGAGGGAAGGAGGATTGACTATAAAGGTGGTGCTGCTATTAATTAATTTACTTTTGGGAAACAATATTCTTTGGAGTTTGAATTTTAGGCCTCTTGAAATGCTAAAGAAAATGATTCTACTGTCATATCCATCAGCAGACAAATTTTTTAAAGATATGCAAAATAATTAAGGAGGCAAGGACGTAGGGATAGAAAAATCTGTAGTATCAAATTTGTCTGTAACTTACACTAAGCCAACAAAGGTAGGAGATGATCAGTGCTAATGTCTTTTTTTTTTTTTTTTGAGATGGAGTCTTGCTCTGTCGCCCAGGCTGGAGTGCAGTGGCATGATCTTGGCTCACTGCAACTTCCACCTCCCGGATTCAGGCAATTCTCCTGCCTCAGCCTCCCCAGTAGCTGGGACTACAGGCACGTGCTGCCACGCCCGGCTTTTTTGTATTTTTAGTAGAGAGGGGTTTTCACCATGTTAGCCAGGATGGTCTCGATCTCCTGACCTTGTGATCCGCCAGCCTCGGCCTCCCAAAGTGCTGGGATTACAGGCGTGAGCCACCGCGCCCGGCTAGTCAGTGCTAATGTCTATTGAGCATTCAGGTGTTATCAGAATTAACTCATGTAAAAAGGAATCATATATTGGATTTCTTCAGAAATGGAAAGGCCTACTCTTAGAGATTTCAAAATGTATTAACATCGATCACTTGAAAACTAGGGTTAAACTACTGAAAAGAGCCAAAATACTTAATCAGCTTCTGTATCTCTGAAGATCAAGCTGGGTCTTAATATTTTTGTGTTAACAACTCTTCGTAAAATCTTGGAAAACCTGAGAAAAACTAGTGAATATAAAGAGGCACATAACACCCCCGCATCCTGTCAGGAAAAAAACAACTCAAACCTTGAATGAGGGTGACCATATAGCTCCTTTTGGAGAGATTATTTGTGCTTATTAAAGAGAAGGGTATGTTTAGGATCCTGCCTCTACTATAGTTTACTACTAACGTAATACATTATTTCTCTGAAAAATATTAATGGTGAAAATCTGATAGAAGATGCAAACTAGGGATTGCTAATACAGGGTTGAAAGTACTTACCTATTATCTCAGATTCATAATAATCCTGTGTGCCTTCCTGGAAGACAAGACAGGGTGTCTTTATGATTTTAGAGCATGAATTTGGAAAAATGGTAGGTCCATTTGTATGTTAAGTTCATGTCCATCAAAGAGGAATGAAAAATATGTCCTTCCTCCTGTTAGGGGTTATGTGGCTGTGTTGTACCAAGGTCAATTAAAGATTCCTTAGAAATTATTTTTTTTTGTTGTCCGAGACAGGGTCTTGCTCTGTCACCCAGGCTAGGGTATAGTGGCATGATCACAGCTTATTGCAACCTCAAACTCCTGGGCTCAAGCGATCCTCCTGGCTTAGCCTCACAAGTAGCTCGGACTTACACTACATGTGCGTGTCACCACATCAGGGTAATTTTTTTTTTTTTTTTAGAGAGACAGAGTCTTGCTCTGTCACCCAGGCTGAGGTGCAGTGGCACGAGCATAGCTCACTGCAGCCTTGAACTCCTGGCCTCAACAGATCTTCCTGCCTCAGCCTCCTCAGTAGCTGGGATTATAGGCATGAGCCACTGCACCCAGTGGGTTCCTCAGACATTCCAAGTTCAGGGAAGAGACGAACTATGAAAAATTTAGTGCTGTGCTTCTTTTGTTTATATATTTATAACATTCTGTTTTGAGATCCTACTGTTTGCATTAGAACAGCAGTATGAAGAAAGGTGAAAAAGCCTACCTTTCAAGCAAATGAAGAACATTTCACCAAAAACCAAAACCAAAACCAAACTTGTACTACATGGTTTTTTTTTTTTTTAATGCGTAAGATGAGCTTTTAAGATGAAGAAATAAACTCACATGCATTCATTCATCATACCAGCTAAAGATTTTTCCTAGACCAGGGATCACAGATATATATTCTGTATTAGTGAACAGGCAGTCCATGAGTTCTCCATGGGTAACCCTTAATTTTGTATTTTTATTTTGATGGTACTCTAAAGAAGAGTAATAAGTGAATATTCTGGATCACCTAGATGAGCACTTTATAAATGTTTACAACATAACTTGGGACTTAAAATGACAATAATTTGTTTGTACTAAGGTCAAATGACACCACAATATCATATATATACGAAAGTTTTTAATTAATTCTGATAGAATAGGGTTTTCAACTGCAGCACTATTAACTGCCATTTTGCCTCTTTGTTTCAAGGAGCTTTTCTGTGCATTGTAGATGTTACCAGCATTGCTGGCCTCAACCTACTAGATGCCAGTAGTATCACACCCTTAGTTGGGACAACCAAAAATGTACAGAGGCATTGCCAAGTGCCTCCAGAGTGACAAAATCTCCCTAGTTTGAGAGCAAATGCAATAGAGAAAAGTGGTGGGAGAGCTGAGGTAACACAAGGTGTGCAGGAGAATAAACATGTCAAATTCAAATGAACCAAAGATGTAACAATTTCTACTACATTCAGGTTGAGGACAGTGTCACTAAAACATTATCATACAACACATTAATGCTGTCAATGTGAATTTTATTACATTGTAAATCTGTTTTGCTTTTTTTCCCTTAAAAGGCAAGTCTATACATTATTGAAGTTTGAATTATACTTTTTCCTGGTTTACTTTTTTCTTTATTTTTGAGATGGAGTCTTGCTCTGTCACTTAGGCTGGAGTGCAGTGGTGCCATCTTGGCTCACTGCAACCTCCACCTCCCAGACTCAAGCAATTCTCCTGCCTCGAGCAGCTGGGACTACTAGCCAGGCCACCACGCCTGGCTAATTTTTTTTATTTTTAGTAGAGACGGGGTTTCACCAAGTTGGACAGGCTGGTCTTGAACTCCTGACCTCAACTGATCTGCCCGCCTTGGCCTTCCAAAGTGCTGGGATTATACTGTGTGAGCCACCACACCCAGCCTATTGTTTTCTAGTTAAAACTTTTTTTTCTTTACAAAAATTAGCCGGGCGTGGTGGCGCATGCCTGTAATTCCAGCTACTCTGGGGGCTGAGGCAGGAGAATCGCTTGAACCCAGGAGGCGGAGGTTGCAGTGAGCCGAGATCGCGCCATTGCACTTCAGCCTGGGCAACAAGAGTGAAACTCCATCTCAAGAAAAACAAACAAACAAAAAAACCTTTTTTTTCTTTTCTTGAGATGGAGTCTCGCTCTGTCACCCAGGCTGGAGTGCAGTGGCACGATCTCGGCTCACTATAACCTCTGCCTCCCGGATTCAAGTGATTCTCTTGCCTCAGCCTCCTGAGAAGCTGGGACTACAGGTGCACACTACCATGCCCAGCTAATTTTTGTATTTTCAATGGAGATGGGGTTTCGCCATGTTGGCCAGGCTGGTCTGGAACTCCTGACCTCAGGTGAACTCCCCCTCAGCTTCCCAAAGTGCTGGGATTACAGGCACGAGCCACCGCACCTGGCCTCTTTTCTAGTTAAAACTTGACTCTGAAGTCATCGACTAGTGTGTAACCTTTCTTTCTTTTTCTTTTTTCTTTTTTTTTTTGAGACAGGGTCTTGCTCTGTCACCCAGGCTGAAGTACAGCGACATGATCTTGCCTCACCACAAAATCCGCCTCCCAGGTTCAGGCAATTCTCGTGCCTCGAACCCCCAAGCAGCTGGGATTACAGGCGTGCACCACCATGCCTGGCTAATTTTTGTAGTTTTAGTAGAGACAGGGTTTTGCTATGTTGGCCAGGCTGGTCTCGAATTGGCTTCATGTGACTCTGTCCATCTCAGCCTCCCAAAGTGCTGGGATTATAGGCATGAGCCACTGCACCTGGCCTAACCTTTCTAATGCCATTTTTCCACCTAAAATATCTTTTCTGTTAATATATCACAGATATTTCTTAATTGAAAAAATTCTCAAGAACCCCAAAACTTGAGTATATACTTAGATACTAAATGTCTTAATTAAATAAAGATAATCTGAAAGAGTTTTTTATTTGTTTTGTTTTTTTGAGACAAGGTCTTGCTCTGTTGCCCAGTGTGAAGTGCAGTGGCATGATCATGGCTCACTGCAACCTCAAACTCCTGGGCTCAAGCGATTCTAACACCTCGGCTTCTGGAGTAGCTGCGATTACACATGTGCCACCACACCCAGCTAATTACATTTTTTGTAATTAGCTTAGATTGGGGGGCAGGTCTTGTACATTGCTCAGGGTGGTCTCGAACTCCTGGGCTCAAGTGATCCTCCTGCCCTGGCTTTGCAAAGTGCTGCGATTACAGGTGCGAGCCACCGTGCCTAGCCTAAAATTTTTTTTTTTTTGAGACGGAGTCTTGCTCTGTCACCCAGGCTGGAGTGCAGTGGTGCGATCTCGGCTCACTGCAAGCTCCGCCTCCCGGGTTCACGCCATTCTCCTGCCTCAGCCTCTCCGAGTAGCTGGGACTACAGGCGCTCGCTACCAGGCCCGGCTAATTTTTTGTATTTTTAGTAGAGACAGGGTTTCACCGTGGTCTTGATCTCCTGACCTCGTGATCCGCCCGCCTCGGCCTCCCAAAGTGCTGGGATTACAAGCGTGAGCCACCGCACCCGGCCGGCCTAACATTTTTAAATTATAAATACTTTGAAAAACTGGAAAAGGTCCTGGATAGAAGTATTCACTGTTGAATTTTTCTTTCCTGAAAAACCAGTCTTTGAAAGAGTAAAAAAGTAACTGCCAATACAGCTTGTCTATATATATATGCTCTATAAATTTCTCTTCTTCGAATCAAGCAAAGCTGACAATGTATTAAAAGAATGTCCACGGCCGGGCGCAGTGGCTCACACCTGTAATCCCAGCACTTTGGGAGGCCGAGGTGGGCGGATCACGAGGTCAGGAGTTCGCCCCATCTCTACTAAAAATACAAAAATTAGCTGGGCATGGTGGCAGGCACCTGTAATCCCAGCTACTCAGGAGGCTGAGGCAGGAGAATCACTTGAAACCAGAAGGTGGAGGTTGCAGTGAGCTGAGATCCACCACTGCACTCCAGCTTGGGCGAAAGAGCAAAACTCCGTCTCAAAAAAACAGAAAAGAATGTCCAAAGGTATGTAGTAAGTTGAAAAGCTGTCTTGAATACAAGTCCATTAGTGGAAGAATCTTAAATTGGTTAGGTATATTTAAATGGGGGAGACTGTTCCAAAAAAGTGTAATAC
The DNA here is from genome assembly GCF_000001405.40 of Homo sapiens. NCBI lineage: Eukaryota > Metazoa > Chordata > Mammalia > Primates > Hominidae > Homo > Homo sapiens. The sequence goes on from NC_000017.11 coordinate 44,423,375, forward strand.
CACAACCAGCTTACAAATTCTTCCAGTTCTAGTAAGAATAAAACTTGGTCAAAGATTGCCTTTTACCTGTGCACTGAAATCTTATGGTTGGTGGAAGATGAAGGCTAAAAAAAAATCTTAGTTCAACAAGTCCAGCTTAGGAGACATCATTCCAATGCTCATAAATTTACAAGTTTAACAAATACAACTATTGTACCCCCCAAAAACCTAGTAAGTTATGTTAAAGTCACCCAAGATCAAATGGCTTGAAATTCTTTAACAAGCCAGAACTGTCCTATAGGTGTAACAATTTATTTTTCCCTTCTAAACTCTCCCAGGGGGATTATTGCCATCTTCTGTATATCAGTAACTAGTTAGGTACAATTTTCTCCTCTAAAATGATGGGGTGGCGGCGGGGGAGGGGGCAAAGACTGCAAAGTGTAATTCATTTATCAGCTCTTCAACATGCAGCAACAGAGTTTTTTGTTAAAGTTAAGATAGCATCTAATTTTATTTTCCTTCTCAAAATTTATCTAACTTCCAAGGTATATTGAATAGCAAAATGACTTAATAATAGAAAATGGTAGCCAATAAAGCATGAAATCTTATGTAGGGAACTTGAAAATAACAGTCTGCTGAATAACTCTTCAAAGTTTAACGCGTTAAGAGCAGAAATGGAAACAAAGCTCCCAGTGACCCTCAGCTGAATTACAAAATTAAATAAAAACTTAGAAATCAATAAAAGGCAAAAACATTATATAAGATTTACAAAACACAATTTGTCAAATAGTGTATATGTGGGAGTGTGGGCTGGAGGTGGTGTCTATGTCAGGATTTCTGCCACTGAAAAAACAAAGTGTGTTGGATGACTGCAGATAAAGATTGGCAGACACAAGAAATCATAGACACCAAGTTTTGGGGGGTATACTCATAAAATCCAATTGTTGTAACAATAGATAGGTACCTTCTTCTGTTAGCAAGTAACTACAACTCACCTGCTTGTGTGCATGATCATAGGAGTTGATATGGTTATCAAATTCCTGATGTTTCTGATATTGCTTATCACACAGTTCACAATAAAAGTTGGCTCTGAGGTCTTCCAAGGCTTTGGCAATTGCCTTCTCTTTGTCAACATAATCCTTCAAGACCCATGAAATACAAAGAAACAAAAAATGAACTTGGTAAAACTTTAAGTGAATGTTATAGAGAAAACAGTCTATCTGAGAAGACAAAAAAGGGCTTTTCATAATATTTAGTGGTACCAGTAAAAGCTGGATGAAACACAAGTGGTACTTTGGTGGGTAATCTGTGTGTCGTCATACTAACAATTGTCTTCAAATAAACAAATGTTTAAAAGGACTAAGGATGCTCAACTGATAAGTATAATGCAAATATTCCAAAACCCCCAAAAAATCTGAAATCTGAAACACCTTTGGTCTCAAGCATTTTGGATAAGGGATATACAACCTGTATTAATAGTCTAGTTTTCAGACACGAAGGAAAAAAGCATTACCTGAGTCTGTAGCCAATGATGGAGTTAAATATTCTATGGTCATTCTACATATAAGCTGCACTGCTTGGAAAGCCAACCCACAGATATGTGTTATCTGCTGGTCTCAGCGAGATTGAAAACTGTGGGACTCTTACATGTGAGAGGAGGTTGGAGAAAAACAACAACAACAAAAAACTGTGGGACTGACTCAAAGGCAGTCCAATTTGCCTCAGCAGTTTCACTTAAAAACTAGACATCAAAAGACATCTCAAAAAGGAAAAAAGAGAAAACAATTAAAAGATACCTCAAAGCAAGTTGAGTATATTCATTTGCTAATGTCGCACAGAAGGATGAGAAAGGGACAGGAATGCTAAGTGACTACTTGCTTGACTTTTAGAGCAGGGTAGATGCATTACTTTCATAATGAGCAACTCCTTCTAGCAGACTGACCTAAAAAAGATAAGTCTTATCTCAAAGACTATATCTACAGTTTCAAAGCAGCTCTATCATCTCCCATAAGAGCTACTTAATCAGTAAACAAGAAAAGGTTATTATTTTCTGGAGTGGCAGTACTGAACTAATTTGGACAGACTTATTAAAACTGAAAAGTGAGTATGTGTAGCACATTGTTATTTTTGCCCTATCTAATCCTTCACAATAATTTTCTTTGACAGTCCCGGACAGTTTCATGTTGTTTGGCTATTAAACGACTTGTGGCTTTTTTGCCCAGGCTGGAGTACAGTGCAGTTCATGGCTCACTGCAGTCTTCACCTCCTGGGCTCAAGCAATCTTCCCACCTCGGCCTCCCAAGTATCTTGGACTATAGGCGTGTACCAGCAAACCTAGCTAACTTTTGTATTTTTTGTAGAGATGAGGTCTCACTATGCTGCCAAAGCTGGTCATGAACTCCTGGGCTCAAGTGATCCTCCCACCTTGGACTCCCAAAGTGATGACATTGCAGGTGTCAGCCCCCACACCTGGCTGCAAATTTAAGCAACAAAACTAGAGTTCCTGGTATGAATACAGCAGTATAGGAAAACAGCTTTGATTTTCTTCTTGGGTATCATAAAAACAAAATTATGAATTAAAAAAACCCCACCAACTGCATTTTCAGAAGAACTGGGCAACAGATATGATCTGGAGTATGAAAAACACACAGAAGGAAAGTTAAGCTCTTTATAGAACCTGAATGAGGGAAATGTAGTAGAAGCCAGACAAGGCAAAGCTAAGCAATATCAAAAAAGCCAAAGGTGGCAATTTCAGAAAATGGCAAAACATATATCCTGTACATAAAAGGATCCTCTGAAATGAATATACCTACATCTCTTGCACTCATCAAGAATTTCTGAGATCTGGGAAGAACAAAGGGATGAACTTGGGTTAGGGTGGATGAGGAAACATTTGCAGTACAAAGAATGCACATAGAGAAAAGCAAAAAGTTCTGCCCAATTGCGGCAGATCTAAGAAAAGGCTGAGGCCAGGTGCGGTGGCTCACGCCTGTAATCCCAGCACTTTGGGAGGCCGAGGCAGGCAGATGGCTTGAGCTCAGGAGTTCAAGACCAGCCTGGGTAACACAGTGAAACTCCGGCTCTACCAAAAATACAAAACATTAGCTGAGCATGGTGTCACTTGCCTTTGGTCCCAGCTACTTGAAAGGCTGAGGTGGGAGGACCACTTGAGCCTGGGACGCAGAGGCTGCAGTAAGCCAAGATTGCGCCACTGCACTCCAGCCTGGGTGACAGAGTGAGACCTTGTCTCAAAAAAAAAAAAAAAAAAAAAGGCTATCAGCACATGCTCACTAAAGGAAGATCCACTCAACTACACAGGACAAGAAAGGGCACATAGTGTGACAATGAAAATGGTCCCAGAACAATCAGTGACAATCAATAGTGTAGTAAAGTTATTGAATCTTAAAGACAGACTCCTTTCAGCAGCTAGGCAAAAACAATCAAGAAGGGGAAGATCAGGCCAGCCTTTGATCTCTTCAACAACACACACACACACTCTCTCTCTCTCTCTCTCTCTCTCTCTCTCTCACACTCTCTCTCAACTCCAGAAGACAGTGGTACAATAAATACTATAAGATATCTAAGGAAAGAATTAACTTAGGATTTTATATGTATCTTTCAAATATAGGGAATACATACACGTATATATGGAGTTATATGTATGTGTACATATATACACACATATACATAAGTTGATATATATGTAATTGCCTAAATTAATATTACTATTTTTTTTTTTTGAGACAGCGTCTTGCTCTATTGGCCAGACTGGAGTGCAGTAGTGCAATTACAGTTCACTGTAGCATCGACCTCCTGGGCTCAATTAATCCTCCCACCTCGGCCTTCTGAGTTGCTAGGACCACAGGGGCATGCCACTATGCCTGGCTAATTTTTGTATTTTTCGTAGAGACAGGGTTTCATCATGGTGCCCAAGGCTGGATGTGAATTATTTTTATAGGCTTATGTTTATATAAAATACATATATATATAAATAATTCAAGAAACACTGTTTGCACAACCACTTTTAAGTAAGTTAATAGGGTACAAAATTCAGAAATAATAGAAGAAAACTCAGCAAAAGAACTGGCAGACTGCTTTAAAACCATTTACTCCTATAACTAAGGTTAAAAGAAATAGGGCTATTAAAGTATATACATATAACTGTAACATATACATATAACTATGTATGTTATATGCTGTCAGAAAATAGAAATGATACAAATAATAAAAAACTGGGTGGGCAGGCAGAAGCAGATATGAATTTGAGTTTGCTTACTTCTGCAAACTCAATAGAAGTAAAAAGAACTTTACAAAACATGAAAATTATTAAGTAATAGAAGTAGTGTACATAATATAATAATTAAATGGTATGAAGCCACATACTAAGAATGGCCATTTTACTTATTAACATTATATGATAGAGTTTTTAAAATGGAAGAGGAAAGAAGAGAAAACAAGCTAGCTTTTTATTGCTTATAGTACGAAAATAATGGACACTCAAACATGGGTAATTTCATTAAGTTATAAAGGTAACTAGAACAACACAAATATAATCCATCCTATATCCATCCATCCATCCATGTATCCATCCATCCATCCATTTATTTCCCACTTTGAGACCACATAATAACTTAAAAAATAAAATAGGCCAGGCGTGGTAGCCCATGTCTGTAATTCCAGCACTTTGGGAGGCCGAGGCAGGCGGATTACCTGAGCTCAAGAGTTTGAAACCAGCCTGGGCAACATAGCAAAACCCCATCTTTACCAAAAATACAAAAAATTAGCTAGGCGTGGTGGTGTGCACCTGTAGTCCCAGTTACTTGGAAGGCTGGGGAAGTCCTTCAAAAAGTACTCGTAGGCTGGGTGCGGTGGCTCATTCCTGTAATCCCAGCACTTTGGGAGGCCGAGGTGGGTGGATCACCTGAGGTCAGGAGTTTGAGACCAGCCTGACCAACGTGATGAAACCCTGTCTCTACTAAAAATACAAAAATCAGCCAGGTGTGGTGGTGGGCGCCTGTAATCCCAGCTACTTGGGAGGCTGAGGCACGAGAATCACTTGAATCTGGGTGGTGGAGGTTGCAATAAGCTGAGATCGCACCATTGCACTCTGGCCTGGGCAACAGAGTGAGACTCCATCTCAATTAAAAAAAAAAAAAGTACTTGTAGAGGCCAGGCATAGTGGCTCACACCTGTAATCCCAGCACTTTGGGAGGTTGAGGTGGGTGGACAGCTTGAGCCTAGGAGTTCAAAACCAGCCTGGGCAACATGGTGAAACCCTGTCTTTACAAAAAATATAAAAATTAGCTGGGTGTGGTGGCATGCACCTGTAGCCCCAGATGCTCGGGAAGCTGAGGTGGGAGGATCGCTTGAGTCCAGGAGGTCGAGGCTGCAGTAAGCTGTGATCACTGCCACCGCACTTCTAGGTGACAGAGTGAGATCCTGTCTGGGTGACAGAGTGAGACCCTATCTCAAATAAACAGTACTCATAGAATATTTACACAGACAAGGCCAGGCACGCTGGCTCATGCCTGTAATCCCAGCACTGTGGGAGGCCGAGGTGGGCGGTTCACGAGGTCAGGAGATCGAGACCATCCTGGCTAACATGGTGAAACCCTGTCTCTACTAAAAATACAAAAAATTAGCCGGGCGTGGTGGCAGGCACCTGTAGTCCCAGCTACTCGGGAGGCTGAGGCAGGAGAATGGCATGAACCCGGGAGGCGGAGCTTGCAGTGAGCCGAGATGGCGCCACTGCACTCCAGCCTGGGCGACAGAGACTCCATCTCAAAAAAAAAGAATATTTACACAGACAAAAAGCCCATTATAGGCTATAGAAGAAACTGTAATAAAGTCAGAAATGAAGAAGTAATATGCACAACATATATCAACACAGTATAATACAGCTAAGAATTAACAAAAATGTTTAAAAGACCCTTCCATGAATCTGAAGCTGCAGAATTTTAAGGTAAAAAAGGATAATGACAACATTATACAGAGGCTAAAGTATATTGCTTTAAGAAGTTAAGCCTATGTGTATTCCTTGAACACAGGTTTAACCCCTTACAGCAATGGAAACAAGAAAATAAATAAATGTCACACTCTGGAGAAAATCTTGTGTGTATATATATATACAAGAAAACTGATTCCACTTATATAAAGTTAAAAAACATGTAAAACTAGGCCACGTGGTGGCTCACGCCTGTAATCCCAGCACTTTGGGAGGCCAAGGCAGGTGGATCACCTGAGGTCAGGAGTTCGAGACCAGCCTGGCCAACATGGTGAAACCCCGTCTCTACTAAACACACACACACACACACACACACACACACACACACAAAACAACAAACAAACAAACAAACAAAAACCAGCTGAGCATGGTGGCACGTGTCTGTAATCCCAGTTGCTCGGGAGGCTGAGGCACAAGAATTGCTTGAACTCAGGAGGTGAAGGCTGCAGTGAGCTGAGATCGTGCCACTGCACCCCAACTTGAGTGACAGAGTAAGACTCCGTCTAAAAAAAAAAAACAAAATTAGCTGGACGTGGTGGCGCACGCCTGTAATCCCAGCTACTTGGGTGGCTAAGGCATGAGAATTGCTTGAACCCGGGAGGCACAGGTTGCTGTGAGCCATCGTGCCACTGCACTCCAGCCTGGGCGACAGAGCAAGACTGTCTCAACAAAGCAAGACTGTCTCAAAACCAACCAACCAACCAACCAACTCACCGACCCACCCACCCACCCACTACATAAAACTAAGCAATACATATTTAGGATACAAAACACATTAAAAAACCATTTTAAAATGCAAGGGAAAATAGAAGAGGAAGGAACACTTCCTAATTTATTCTGAGTATTACCCTGATACAAAGACATTACAAGAAAACTACAGACTAATATCTTTTCTGTGTACAGATGCAAAAATGCTCAACAAAATGCTATCAAACCAAATTCAACAGCATATTAAAAGGCGAAGTGGGATTTATCCCAGGAACTCAATGTTGGTTCAACATACAAAAATCAATCAATGTAATACACCACTACAATGTAATACACCATTATTAACAGAATATAAAAGGAAAAAACCCACAAGGTTATCTCAGTAGATGCAAAATAAGCATTTGACAAAACCCAATACTCTCTTTCATGGTAAAAACACTAAACAAAGCAGGAATTTCTAGAAATTAGGCACTTCCTCAACCTGATGAGAACAAAAAACCCCCAGCTAACATCATAATGGTGAAAGACTGAAAGCTTCTCTATAAAGATCAGAAAGACGACAGGAATGTTCACTGTTGCATTTTTTTTTTTGAGATAGAGTCTCACTCTGTCTGTCGCCCAGGCTGGAGTGCAGTGGTGCGATCTTGGCTCACTGCAACCTCCGCCTCCTGGGTTCAAGCGATTCTCCTGCCTCAGCCTCCTGAGTAGCTCGGATTACAGGCACACAACACCACGCCCAGCTTTTTTTTTTTTTTTTGTATTTTTAGTAGGGAAGGGGTTTCACCATTTTGGCCAGGCTGGTCTGGAACTCCTGACCTCAAGTGACCCGCCCACCTTGGCCTCCCAAAGTGCTGGGATTACAGGTGTGAGCCACCGCACTGGCCACAGTGGTGATAATTTTACAACACTGTAAATAAGCTAAAAATCATTAAATTGTAGTATTGCTATAAAATGACTAAAATGGTAAATTTATGTTATGTGAATTTTATCTCAACAACAATTTTACCTACAAAATTGTGAGGGGGCCAGGCACAGTGGCTCACGCCTGTAATCCCAGCATTTTGGGAGGCTGAGGCAGGCGGATCACTTGAGGTCAGGAGTTCTAGACCAGCCTGGCCAACATGACAGAACCCTGTCTCCACTAAAAATACCAAAATAATTCGCTGGGTGTGATGGTGCACACCTGTAATCCCAGCTACTCAGGAGGCTGGGGCAGGAGAATTGCTTGAAACCAGGAGGCAAAGGTTGCAGTGAGCTGAGATTCTGCCATTGCACTCCAGCCTGGGTGACAGAACAAGACTGTCTCAAAAAGGAAAAAAAAAAAAAAAAAAAAAAGGCGAAAAACACAAAAATCAGCATAGTGTTTATCTCTAAAGGAGACAGAAATGTGATGGGATCATGAAGTTACTGATAGTGCTCTTTTTCTTAAATTGAGTAGAAAATACCTAAGTGTTTATAGTTTTTCTTTATATCTCACATATTAAAAATATTTAATAAAATAACAAGAATGTCAAATGAGACTGCAGTTTTTGTTTTTTCTTTTAAAAGTCTGGTAGAGCTATTTGGCTCTAAGACTATATACAAGTAAAACTTTGATAAAAATGAAAATTAAAAAATAAAAATGGGAGGCTGAGGTAGGGGGATCATTTGAAGTCAGGAGTTTGAGACCAGCCTGGGCAACATAGTGAGACCCTATCTCTTAAAAAAAAAATTAGCCAGGCATGGTGGTGCACGCCTATAGTCTTGGTTACTTGGGAGGCTGAGGTGGGAGGATTGTATGAGCCCAGGAGTTTAAGGCTGTAGTGAGCTACGATAGCACCACAGAACTCCAGCATGGACGACAGAGTGAGATCCCATCTCTATAAAATTAGAGATGAGAGAGTGATGAAAAGGAAGCAGTCAGAGTAGTGACTAAGAATTCTGGTTCTAAAGACAAGTGAAAAGAGAAGGTGGTAGCTATATGGAGAGTAAATCAGAGTGGGTTTTTTTTTTTTTTTTTTAATTTTAGGATTCCCTCTCCCAACAAATCTTCAAGTATGTTTACTGTTGATAGGAAAAGAACAAATAAAGAGAAAGGTTGCCAATACAGGAAAGAAGTGGAAGGTCTTTGATAAGACAGGGAGAGTTAGGATCCAGAATTCAGATGTATGTACAAATTATCATTTAACAGATGGTGAAACAAAAGAGAAATATTGAAGTATGAGAGCAGGTGAACCCTCGTTTGATGTAGGATAGTATACGTAGATGAAGGCATTACTACCTGATGGTCCAAATTCTCTTTCTTAACTAAAAACATACGGGAAGGCAGAGATACGACAAGGGTAGTTAAGGAAAGATGAAGGCTGAGTACCAATGTTTGAGAATGACAGCTGAGAGGACTAAGAGGGACATGACACATGAGAGGATTAATTGGCAGCTCTGAGGGCCCAGTGAGGTTGGCAGAAAGGGTATAGAAATAAAGAATGCAAGTAATGCATTTTGTACTAACGGGACAGGCTTTTGGTGAGTATGTATGACAAAAGGACTAGGAGGAAAGGGAGTTGGAATCAAAGTGCTGTGAGAGGTAAACATGAGTGTGTGGTGCTAGAGGGGAAAAGTACAAATTAAGGAGGAGCTAAGTTACTAAAGCTTCCAAAGTCATGTGAAGTTGAAGAAAAAATATAGGAGAATAAAGGAGTGACAGCAGGAAGGAAAAAAGACCATGGTCAGATAATAGGACATTTAAGATTTTAGAAACAGTGTAGTTCAGAGTTGACAGGGTTTCGGAGTAAATATTTTGATCAATAAGATGGGGAAAGTAATTCTTGCTCTTGCCCAGGCTGGAGTGCAGTGGTGTGATCATAGGTCACTGCTGTCTTCAACTCCTGGGCCCAAGTGATCCTCCCAATTCAGCTTCTCTAAGTAGCTGGGATTTATAGGCATGCACCACCAACACCTAGCTATTTTTTTTCTTTTTTCTTTTTGTAGAGACAGATTCTTGCTACATTGCCCAGACTGCTCTCAAACTCCTGGGCTCAAGCAATCCTCCCAAAGCACAGCCGTGATCCACCGCACCCAGCCGAGAAATAATTCTATTACCAGGGAGAGAGCATCTCAAGATACTATGTATAATCTTATGAGGCTGTGAATTACTGAGGTATTTCATTTATTTTTCACTCGACAGTGTAACTTTTACTTGAAAAATAAAAATGTATTCTTTATAATGTTTATATTTCAGACAGTACATAAAATGAATCTGGCTTTTCTCACTATTTCAAAATATTTATTCATTCAACTAATATTTATTGAGTACTTATGCACCACACACTGTGCTGGATGCAGGATATATACTGGCAGACAAATAGACATACTCTCTCTCCTCAATGCCCTTTCTGACTAGTACAGAAAGCAGAATATAAATTAGTGAATAAAAATTTATAATTACAAATTGTAAGAGAGGTTGTTGCAAGAGAATAAGGCAGAGTGGTTAATTATTTAAATGAGTTGATTAGGGAAGATCTATAATGAGGTAATATTTAAGCTAAAACCCAAAGGAGAAAATTTAACCAAGTGAAAGATGATGAAACATGGTGTCATGACCACTCTTGTGCCTAGAGAAAGAATGTAGCCAGAAAAAGAGGGCCCAGGTCTGAAGCTGAGGAACTCCAATATCTGAAGTTCAGGCAGAATAAACAGCAGCCAACAAAGGAATCTACATAGAAGCAGCAAGACAGATAAGAAGCAACTAATCTAGGAAAGTATAAATTCTTCAAAACCAAGAGTAATGAAAATGTTTTAAAGAAGAAAGAGTATGCCAGGCGCAGTGGCTCACGCCTGTAATCCCCACACTTTGGGAGGCCGAGGTGGGCAGATCACGTGAGGTAAGGAGTTCGAGACCAGCCTGGCCAACATGGTGAAACCCCATCTCTACCAAAAATTCAAAAAAATTAGCTGGCCGTGGTGGCTCATACCTGTAGTCCCAGCTACTCGGAGGCTAAGGCACGAGAATCACTTGAACCCGGGAGCAGTGAGCTTAGATCACACCACTGTACTCCAGCCTGGGCAACAGAGTGAGACTCAGTCTTTAAAAAAAATAATAATATTAATAATAATAATAAAATAAATAAATAAATAAATGATTTATTGGATTTAGCAAATAGAAGTGTTTGGTGGCCTTGAATAAAGTGGTTTGGTGAAAACTGCTAAAGTCAGTATAAATAGGCTGAAGAGTGAATAAAGAGAGAGGAAAGGAGAAGAAAAAGGGGAAAGAAAAAGGGGCAGGAAAAGAAGATGAGTTGGTTATATTATAGTTCTGGATAAAATAAAACACACAAAAATTTAATATATAGCTAAGCTAAGTTCAAAAACAAGAAAGGGGGTCAAGCGCGGTGACTTACGCCTGAAATCCCAGCAAACTGGGAAGCCGTGGCAGGCAGATCACCTGAGGCAAGGAGTTCAAGACCAGCCTGGCCAACATGGTGAAACCCCATCTCTACTAAAAACACAAAAATTAGGCTTGGCGTGGTGGCTCACGCCTGTAATCCCAGCACTTTGGGAGGCCGAGGCGGGTGGATCACAAGGTCAGGAGTTCGAGACCAGCCTGACCAACATGGTGAAACCCCGTCTCTACTGAGTGTTGGGGTTACAAGTGTGAGCCACTGTGTCTGGCCTCTGCAAGTGTTGGGGTTACAAGTGTGAGCCATTGTGTCTGGCCTCAAAGGACTTTTAACAATTTTTACTGCTACCACTACTTGAATACCTACTATGTAACAGGCATTGTGTTTTCAAACACTAATTCATGTAATCTTTCTAACACACTTTAGAAGTAGGTATTATTATCTCTATAGTTTATACAGAGCCAATAAATAGGAATGTAATAGAAATCTGAGATCTACTACTAATTACCACCAAATGTCAAACAAATGCTGTTAGCAACAGTGATGATTTTCAACAAAATTTGAGTTCTTTCTTATTCAGTGAGCACCTCCCCATCTCCCAATGAATAGCTTTGTTTAAATACCTTGTACTTTTGTCTCAGCTCTTCTGTGTCTTCTTTTTCTACTTCTAGGACACGGCGCCGTTCGGTAGCATCTTCAGCATAATCAAGCTTGACAAAAATAGATATGATTAGATTTAATTCCTAAAGTACCCCCAAGATTAGCTATGAAAAAGTTATTTGCACAACTACAGTATTATCTGAAAACAAAAAAAAATTGTAATTTTGCTTAGCTACTGCTTGCTTTATTGTCACCTCACAGAGAAAATCACATGCAAAATAGTTTGTTACTTTCAGGCTGGTAGTTTCCAAAAGGCACATTTGTTGAAAGTAGACTTCACTTCAATGTTAATTTTCTTTTCTTTCTTTCCTTTTTTTTTTTTTTTTTTTGAGATGGAGTTTCACTCTTGTTGCTCAGGCTGGGGTTTAATGGCATGATCTCCGCTCACTGCAACCTCTGCCTCCCGAGTTCAAGTGATTCTCCTGCCTCAGCCTCCTGAGTAGCTGGGATTACAGGTGCCCGCCACAATGCCCTGCTAATTTTTTTTGTATTTTCAGTAGAGATGGAGTTTCATCATGTTGGCCAGGCTGATCTTGAACTCCTCACCTCAGGTGATCTGCTTGTCTCGGCCTCCCACAGTGCTGGGATTACAGGCGTGAGCCACTGCGCCCAGCGACTCCTAATTCTTTGAAAATTGAGGCTGGGCACAGTGGCTCACACCTGTAATCCCAGCACTGTGGGAGGCCGAGGCGGGCGGGTCACCTGAGGTCAAGAGTTCAAGACCAGCCTGACCAATATGATGAAACCCTGTTTCTACTAAAAACACAAAAATTACCCGGGCATGGTGTCATGCGCCTGTAATCCCAGCTACTTAGAAGGCTGAGACAGGAGACAGGAGAATCCCTTGAACCCGGGAGACGGAGGTTGCAGTGAGCCGAG